>NC_000013.11:100627979-101252979 GCF_000001405.40 Homo sapiens
AAAAGCATACAAATTGGTGACCAACTGATAGGAGAGAGGGAAGAGTGTCAAGAACAAGTGGTAGGTTCCCAACATTCAGGACAGAATGGGTGTGATGACTTTCAAGAGATGTGATGGGTGACCAGCCTTGTTTAGGGGTACAGGATAGGCTGACGTGGAAGTCCATGGTCACCATCCATCTCCAGAGTTCTTTCATTTTGCAAATCTGAAACTCTGTACCCATTCTCACCTCCACCAGACCCTGGCAACCTCCATTCATTTTCCGTCTCTATGCATTTGACTCCCACGTGCCTCATGTAAGTGGAATTGTACAGGATTTGTCCATTTGTGTCACATGTGTCAGAATTTCCTTCCTTTTGTGGCTGAATAATATTCCCTTGCATGAGTACACCACATTCTGTTTGTCCATTTGTCCCTGGATGGACACCTGGGTAGCTTCTACTTTTTAGCTATTGTGAATAACGCTGCTGTGAACATGGGTGTACAAATCTCTCTGAGTCTCTGCTTTCGGTCCTTTTGGATATTTGCCTGGAAATTGAATTGTTGGATCACAGAATTCTGTTTTTAATTTTTTGAGGTACTAACATGGATAGTTTTATGTTATAGGAATTTTACCTCCATTTAAAAAAAAGAGAGAATGAGGAAAGGATTTTCAATGACTGAAGAGGGGGTGAAGTAGGCTGGATAGAATGGGGCTCCCAGCTGCCAATCTACTAGGAATTCTCAGGTCACCTTGGAACGAGGGCATCAGGGAAGCCAACGTCTGGTAGTTTCTCAACTAAACATGGGCTTAGAATAAATGACAAAGAAAAAAGTGGGGACTTGAACTAAGCCTAAGGCAGCCAGACTACACAAGCTCACGAAGACTACAATAAAAAGAATTTGTTGGCCGGGCGCAGTGCCTCATGCCTGTAATCCTAGTACTGCAGGAGGCCAAAATGGGTAGATCACCTGAGGTCAGGAGTTCGAGACCAGCGTGTCCAACATGGTGAAACCCCATCTCTACTAAAAATACAAAAATTAGCTGGGTGTGGTAGTGCACGCCTGTAATCTCAGCTACTTGGGAGGGTGAGACAGGAGAATCGCTTGAACCCAGGAGTTGGAGGCTGCAGTGAGGCAAGAGCATGCCACTGCACTTCAGCCAGGGCGACAGAGCAAGACTCTGTCTCACAAAAAGAAAAAGAAAAAGTGAAAGAAAAAGAAAAGTATTTGTTGATGATCAAAAGCTCCTTTCGGGACTTTACAATACAAAGTGAGTAGCAAGCCCAGAGGAGACGATGCTACAGAAACTCACTCAATCAGAAGCATGAAGTGTGGGTGCTGCTAACAACAGTCACGGTGAATGGTAAGATGGTGTGTAGCTGGCACACCTTGAGTGGCACCCACCAGCTGGGAGCGGTGTTGCGTGCTGTGTGATCGCGGTCTTTCCTCACGGTGGCTCGAGGCCGTGGCTGCTGTGACCCTCTCTTCTGAGTTGATAAACTGCTTCGGGGCCATTCAGCGTCTCATCTAGGGCTGTGAAGTTGGATTAGAACCAGGCTCTGAAGCCTGTGTTTCTTCCCACTAGATAATACACATTGATTACAGTGCTGGGGGAAGATGAGGGTGACTGCTCGAGGCACTTTCTAGATCCACTCATTCATACCACTGGCCTTTTTCCTAAGTAAAATCACATTTCTTTTTATATGTTATTGTCCCCCAAAGTTTACATTAAACCCTCAGCACCCCAGAATGAAAATGTATTTGGAGATAGGGTCTTTAAAGAGGTAAGTAAGGTCAAATGAGGTCATATGGTTGGGCCCCCATCCATATGACCCCAGTCCAGTATGAATGGCGTCCTTACAGAAAGAGGAAATATGGACACAGACACCAGAGATATGTGTGCACAGAAGACACACCACGTGAGGACACAGGGGGAAGGTGCCGTCTGCAAGCTAAGGAGAGAGGCCTCACAAGAAACCAACCCTGCTGACACCCTGATGTGACAATTCCAGCATTTACAACAGTGAGAAAATTAACTGTGGTCTAAGCCACCCAATCTGTGTGTATGTGTGTGTGTGTGTGTGTGTGTGTGTGTGTGTGTGTGTATGTGTGTGTGTGTGTTTATAGCAGCCTGAGAAAACTAATAAAATCTTGAAATACAGAAGTGGTTTAAACACATTCAAATAACATTATGTCTGAACACTGCTTCCAAATGACCCCTGAAAACACAACCACATCCTGCCTTATCCATCTTAACCTACAGTTACAGCACTTCGTCAAACATACTTAGATTTCTGGAAGAATATGCAGCAGTGCATATTAACAGGTTTTCTTAACTGCCAATTTAAAAGCATATAGATTTATGTTTACCCACTCTGATGAAAGGACTCACAAGCAGAGAAATTGCAGGTGATAAAAATGTGTGTACTACCATGCACCACACAGTAGAATTTAAGCTTTCTGCATCAAATTATTGTCCATTCATAGGTATTTTTGTCCTCAAATTGTAGCTTGGAGGAGGCTCAGTTAATGCTATCGCTGAAGTGTGTGTTGAGAAAAGTGCTCTAAATGATTAGAATTTGAGCTTCCCCCAACCCAGCTTGGACATGTGACTTCACCTCCTCTCGTATGCACAAAACAACCTAGGGCCGGAGAATCCAATCTGTCAGTGATGTCCTTGTAGTCCTCAGAATACAAATACAGCTTCTACTCAGACATCAACACGACGCCCGCCTCTTCCGCCCCAAGCTCCTGCTGTTTTCCTTTGTTCCAGGCAAATTCTGTTTTCTCAATAAAAAGCCCAGACAAAGAGTTCAACCGCCCTCTGCAGTATAGACAGTGTTCTGTTAGACACTCAGAATGCCAGAGACCAGAAGATCAAAGGAGAAGGACGTGGGACTCTGGAACAGGAACTAGTTAAAAATCTGATACAGCCTTAGAAGGCAGGCCATCATTAAGAATTGGTAAACAGGTTTCCCTAGAGGCCAGCTTTATCCTATGGGTTAGGTGGAGGGAATTCTTTGAATAAAAAATAGCTGCCTAGATTGCAAAACAAAACAAAACAGAACAAAAATCTCACAACCAGGTCACTTAAAATAGTGTTTAGAGAATGACTGACTTTTGTTTCCCTGAAATATAAATGATTGAAAAGCTTGTTTATTCTTCAACTTTCCCCCTAGCATTTGTGATGCACATGCTGAGGCAATGAACTAGCACAGAAGTCGAAGATAAAACAAACATTACAACCCAGTAACATGTAAATGCAAGAAAGTGAGAGTATCAGTTATGAAAGGCACCTTTAATACCAGGGCTAAACTAATTTGTTATAAATATTCTGGCAACATCTAATGTTAAACTTAAAATGTTTTGAAAACATAAAAATCCTATAGCATCCTGGGTCACTTACTCCTTAAGAAAATACCTCATTGTGGCATATGATCTGTTTCATTGTTAAAAGAATTTATTATAGAATTGTATCACAGAGTTGATGGTGTGACATACTTTTAAGCCTTAAAAACTAAAAATGATTATAAGTATACTTGGTATCTCATCCACAGTAGTCTCAGTGAATTCAACTTCCCTTTGGCTGAATTCAATAACTAATATTGATTGTCTACCATATGCAAGGCACTGTGCCTTGACATGCAGACCAGGGACCAGCACTACCTACACTGACATTGCAATCTCTCAAAAAAGATGAGTCTTAGCTCACACATCTGGCCCTAAATTAGAGCCAGTTGCCAATTTCTTACTTTATATTCAATAGATATCAAATGAAACCAGTATAGAAAATGTGTCCCCTGAAATAATGGGACTGAAGGAAACCAGTGTCTTCCTAAGTGAGATTACTTTCCTAAAATTAACTTACATTTTTTCAAAAAAAAGGAAGTAAAGATAATTTTATGACACTTCAATTTAAAAAGAAACTCCCAAAAATCTCAATCTTGCTTATATTGAATAGAATCATTGAAAAATGTTCTTGAGAAAGGACTATTACCACTGGGTCCATTTTGAAGATGAGGTCTTATATGTATTCCTTAAATTAAGAGGAAACCACACACACACACACACACACACACACACACACACACACTCTCTCTCTCTCTCTCTCTCTCTCTCTCTCTCTCTCTCTGTCTTTCTCCTAATACTTACGTGCATTCCCACAAGCACACGCCCTGTGTTTTCTAGCCTGTAACATATGAAATCACTTCCCGGGCAGATTTTTGGGTTCAGACATCACCTATGTTCCATCCCCCTTATTTACTAGAGGCACCTGGGCACATCACCATACCAGGTCTCTCTGTAGCCACCTACATTACTAACCTAGATAATGTCAGTTTAATCTTGCTATGCTTCAGTTTCTCCCATCTGGGAAAACAGAGAAAATAATACGCTGTCTCTCTAAAAAGCTGAGTGAGAGGATAATAGAGATGAATTATAGAGCCTCTGTAAAGAAATCTGAACTCCTTGTGGTGAGGAACTCCACACATAGAAGGGGCAATTACTGCGATTCAAACAGTAAAGGAAAAATAAAGCAGATCTATTAACGTTTAAGAAATTAAATCACAGGCAATTTATTTTTGGTAGCATAAAATAAATTGATAAGTCAACAAATCAAACTAAAGATAAAAGCTGAAAGTAATTCACTATTTTATCTAAGTCTCTTAACTAAAATATGAATGACAGGTTTTAATCCAAGAAAAAGATAAGTAGCCAGCATCTCTTATATATTATTCTTTACTTAAGTTTCATAATAAGATGTCAACTATTCATTAGTTTTGTTTATATAATTTTGTCTGAAATCACTGCTTTCCCTTAAATATGGAACATAGACATGAAACAGATCCAGAGAGCTCCCCGTCTCCACCCAGGAGGATTACATTTAAGCAATCTAGGCAGCTCTTATGCTGAGGACCTAAGAGAGAATGATCATTATTTCATGATAATAATCTATACTAAAAGAAAATTCTTCTAACCTAACCCCTTGGCCCCCATTTTGAGCAAATAGCGTTCTCTTCCCAACATAATGCAAAACCCAAACTGAAATGAACCTACAAAAGCTAACACTTGGCTGGGCGCGGAGGCTCATGCCTGTAATCCCAGCACTTTGGGAGGCTGAGGATGGGCGAATCACGAGGTCAGGAGTTCGAGACCAGCCTGGCTAACATAGTGAAACCCCGTCTCTACTAAAAATACAAAAATTAGCCGGGCATAGTGGCGCATGCCTGTCCTAGCTACTCGGGAGGCTGAGGCAGGAGAATCGCTTGAACCTGGGAGGCGGAGGTTGCAGTGAGCCGAGATCAGGCCACTGCACTCCAGCCTGGGCAACAGAGCAAGACTCCATCTCAGGGAAAAAAAAAAAAAAAAAAAAAAAAAAAAAAGCTAACACTTTCTGAGCACCTACTGCTGGCCACCGTGTGAGGGCATTTTAGTTCATTCAGCCCTAACAACAAATCCAGCAGATAGGTATTATCCACTTCTGATAGAAAAGGGCACTGCAAGTTTTAAAAAGTGTAGTTTTGCCCAAAGAGGCACAGCTAGTCAAGTGAAGAGCTTGGATTCATCAAGAATACAAGTGAAAAAATTCCTACCAGATTGCTTCAAACAAAAACACTGCCAATTTTAGAGTACAGTCATGCATTACTTGATGACAACAAGGATACATTCTGAGAAATGCATTGTTAGCTGATTTTGTCATTGTTTGAACATCATAAGAGTGTACTTACACAACCCTAGATGGTAAAGCCTACTATACACCTAGGCTATGTGTGGTCTAGCCCGCTGCTCCTAGGCCAGAAACCTGTGTAGCGTGTGACTGTACTGAATGCTGGAGGCAATGGTAACACAATGGTAAGGATTTGTGTATCTAAACATAGAAAAGAGGCAGTAAAAATATTGGTCGGGTGCAGTGGCTCACGCCTGTAATCCCAGCATCTGGGAGGCTGAAGCAGACGGATCACTTGAGGTCAGGAGTTCAAGATCAGCTTGGCCAACATGGTGAAACTCTGTCTCTACTAAAAATACAAAAATTAGCTGGGTGTGGTAGCAAGCGCCTGTAATCTAGCTACTCAGGAGGCTGAGGCCGGAGAATCCCTTGAACCCGGGAGGTGGAGGCTGCAGTGAGCCGAGATCGCACCACTGCACTCCAGCCTGGGTGACAAGAGAAAGACCCAGTCTCAAAAAAAAAAAAAAAAGGTATAATTTTATGGGACCATGGTCATATATATGCAATATGCGGTTTGCTGACTGAAACACTGTTACATGGCACATGACTGTATGTACATTTATGTTTACCTAATCTGACCCCCAAAAAATCACTAGCAGGGCACCCAAAGGTGACATAAATGTGTACTATTGTGCAGCACATAGCATAAACTTCCTGAACTACATTATTGCCAATTTGTAGGCATTACTACCCCTTTAAATTCCAGCTTGGAGGAGGCTAGTTAATGCTATCACTAGAGAGTGGGTTTTGAAAAGTGTGCTCTAGACATCAGAATCTGTGCCGTGCCCACCCTCAGTCTGAATACGCAATGTCACCTCCCCTGAAGCTACTTCAAAGGGTGAGTAGATCATCTGGAAGATGATTAAGACCTCATTAGAGTCATCTGTTTCATTGATACTGTCTGCTTTTAAATGACTTCTTTTCAATTTTGGCTGAGTGGAATTTTAATGAATCTTATCAAAATCATTAAAAAAAACCATACATAACAAAGAAAAACCCAAGTATTCGGTCATGGTCTTACACTAAATACTGCGCGACAGGAAATGTTCTTATTCAGCCCAAGAACTTAACAGATACCCTAGTAAGGTCCCTTTAAAAGAAATCTGGCAGCTAGGTACCTTAGCATTGAGGGGACACACAGACAGAGCACTTCTGAAAAGCTGTTCCTCACTCCGCCACTCGCCGCTGCGCAGCACACATCTCAGCGTGTTGATGAATAAGATTCCCAGCACGACAGCGGCAATGAGTTTCTTAAGAACAGAAAGACATGGTAATTGTCACCAGTGAGATGCATCCGGTCATTCTGTTCATCAGCTGGCACCACTCTCAGTTGATACCTTTTTCTTGGTATGTTTGCTCAGGGCTCCGAATCCAAAAGTCAGCAGCACACAGTACCCAACGCTGGGGAGGTAGAGGACACGCTCTGCGACCACGAAGCCCACTCGGAAGAACAGGTTACTCGCGGGGAGAAATGGGATAACGAGAAATCCCAGGCCCAGAGTAAGGATCCTGGATGATGAAAAGTATTTAAATAAATGGCTATTTCCAGACTTCTCAAGAAAAACATCCTACTCCACATTAAATTAATGCTAAAGACCTTTTCTTTTCCATGGCATCAACTGAGAAAAGATATTGTTGTCAGCCAAAGGATATCATCAGTAGAGACAGTTTAGCTTGGTAGCATGTGGATAAGGCACAAAAATATTCCTCTGGCACTTCACAGCGAGTCTAAGGGTAAAACTCAAAAGCCATACAATTCGTATGGAGAAAATTAGCATGATCGCATTTCTGAGGCCTTATTAATTCACCTACTCCTCACTATGCCTCAAACCATTTAGGTACTGAACAGTTCAGTGGATATTGTTGGTCTCAATTAATTCAAAAACTGTCCCAATCAGTTTTCACGGGGAAAAAAAAATTCCTCCAAAATGTAATGAGAATAATAACACTTAAGTAAGTTTAAAGTTTATGAAATTTGAAATAAACAAATACCATTTTTTGGTTGCTACATCACCACCATAAATTTCAGTCAGGGAGATACGAAGCTGAGCATTGAAACACTTCTGGAACCACCTGATCATTCCCAATGTCCCCTATGATGCAAGAGGATGAATTAAGACTCTAGGTCAATTTTGGTGGCTCCTTCTTGGGCCCTGTGGCTACAGTATTTCTATAAAAATCCCATTTTCTGTGGATAAGGGAACTGGGACTAAAGTTTGTGGCTCCTTAGAATTACTAACCAATTCAACACACAGGTAAACTTAAAACTTAATTTATTTTGAGACATTACTAATCTAATTCCATAAACACTTAGGCTTAAAGGAAATCACCTTAAACAGTTTTCTTTTTCATGAAACACATTTGTTTTCCCCAATTATTTTCTCAATAACTTTTTTTTCCATCAAGAAAGAACAGTCTCTTTGGGGCAATGGCTTATTTTGTACCCAGCTACAACAGAGGGAATCATGGCAGCGTTCACCAGGGTGTTTTGAGGAAGAATTGTGCAATAATGGGCACAACACACATCAATTACACTCTCTGTTCTGACCGTAAATTACTCTTTACCACCTATGGTGAAAAGGATCGCAAAATGCTACTTCCTAGGGAAAGGGGAAGGGAGGGATGAAGCAGTCATCCGTAGCTCCTCTTCCAGCCTCGCTCCCCACCCGCGGAAGCCAGCCATGGATTCCAAATGGATGGAACTCATCCTAGCCATAAATATGCATTTGAAACAAATGTCCTTAGACGTGACTTCCACAAAATCATAAAAATGATCAGCGCAGGATTTCACAAAACGCTTCTGACTCAACCAGCGTGGAACTTAAGATTCAGTGCTGCCTCTTACCTTCTCTTGTGGCCGTCTTCAGAGCACAGGGCTTGGCATATCAGGCCAATTAGGCAGAACCAGAGTGCTGCAAGTGCAATTACCCTCCAGTCGCTGATGGACTTAATGAGGGGGATGCAGCCCATTGACCAATCAAAACACAGCCACCAGGGACACAGCAGCAGCCAGGCATTCAATGAATAGTAGTAATTGTAGTTTACGGCCTGCCAGTCAAAAGGAGAACAAACATCTATTTGATACTGAACTTAAAAAACACATATATACGCACTAACTTCACTTTGGAGGCACTCATATGCTTCTGCTCAATGAAAGCAGTTGTATCAAATAAAATGTTGCCAACGTGTATTGGGTATGTGACTATAGTCTGTAAAAATGTATTAAATGTATTCAGATTTTGGTATATAAAAATATGGCAAAGCCATCAGACTATGCAATACATTCGTTATATTTCTGGCAAAGCTATGATCTATTTGCTGCCTGAAGCCTGTGACCTCTAAATCTGAGGACCCAGGGTCACCTATACACCCAATAACATAACAGGCTTCGATGGCTGTTCTCTTGATTTTGGTCTCTATGAAATGCACAGCTAAGAATCTGTGGCTTGATACCCTTGCCTTTAGAAAAAAGGCAAATCTAAAAGAATAGTCTTGACACCACTAGTCTTCTAAAGATACCACCAAGAAGGTTATATTTAGCCTTAACCCAGCCACAGGGTTAGGGAGCCCTTTCACGGGACTGGCAAGGACCCTGATGTGAGAAGGAACCACCCTCTTTACTCCTTGTTAGAACGGAAATGCAAGGAGCTTCTGCATGCCCTTTCAACCCCCTCAGGAAGACCTGCTTTCATCCCAGAACATCTTTAGTGATCGCAAGCAAACATGGAGGTGGCGCGTGTATTGGGGATTTTGTTGGCGTGCAGAGGAGTGAGACGAGGAGGAGGGGTGAGGGATCTGGGAATCTGGTGGGGGAAGAAAAGAGTCCAGGGGGCGGCAGGCTCAGAACTCACCCTCACCAGCATGCTGTCAGCAAAGGAGGCCGGGTTGTCCACCTCGGTGAAGGCCGGCGGGCCCGTGCCCATGATCCTCCAGCGCACGTAGAGCATCCCAGCCCCTCCAGAGGTGAGCAGGGTCATTCTGAAGAGGAGGCCCCCGTTCCTGAGCATGCCGAGATTCTGCAAGGACATCGCAAAGCCCCAGAGGTGGCTGATTTTCACATAAAAGTGTGGCTGAGCCAGGTACAGATGTGCAGCAATTCTGCCTGAACTGCTTCAACACTGTGCTTTAAAAGGCTGGTTATTGTAGAATTCAAAATCACAAGGAATATTTGAGAATGGCATTTTAAATCAGCTGGTACTTGACATTTTCCATGTCTGGGCTGGAGATAAAAGTACAGACTCACCTCTAATGACTTGTCCTTATGTAGTACCTTCTGGACAATTTCCAGAACATTGAATTTGCCTATCACCAAGATGTCAAATACCGCATTTAAACCCTAAGAAAGCAAAGCAAGACAATCAGCCACGGGAGAGCTTGGCTGTGTTAGGCAGCAATTACACTTCACAATTTCATTACTCAATCTAGACAAGGAACACATAGACTAGAGAATCACGGAAGACCTCTGCAGCTCTTTAAAAAAACACATAACAGCCGTACGTTTCTATGAAATTAGCTCAAGGTAATAGATCATATTTATTATTTAGTAAGCCCCTGATAGTAATGATTTCACAGTCTGCGTGTAGGAGTTCTACAAGATTCAGGATAGCTAGAAATTTGGGATTCCTAGGAAAAGCCCTCGAGAGATACCCCCTCCCCACTTTTTTTGGTCACTATAAAACAGTCCTTTAGTTCATGCAACAGAGTGTTTTCCTGGGCAGTAATCATACTGGAAGATAAAGGCAGCCATCAACCTCAAAAACCCAGCCATGTAAGTGAACCTTAAGTGCCAGTGCACTTTGGCATCTTTAGAAATGGGATGAACACACATGATAATCTCTAATGGAGCTCTGGAGATCTCTTGTGCAGAAATCTAGTTGTCCAGTAGTTTTCTCGCTGGGTTACAACTAGATGACATCTCCCAGCCTCCCCTGCAGTTAAACTAGGTTGCGGGGCTGAGTTCTAGCCTTATGGAATGTGGGAGAAGCGACACGTACCATTTTGGATGTTTGGTTGTAAAACTTGGGCACACATTCCCACTTGGTTTCCCCTTCCAGCTGGCTGGAATGGAGATGGACAGGGTGACTTTGGAAACCACACATTGATGAGAGCAGGCCTTTGCCAGGCAGGGCCGTGGTGTGGAGGACGGCCACCTCTATCAATTTACAGCTCTGTCCATGACCCATGAGGGGAACAACAAATAACTTCAATTAGCAGTCCACCTATGTTAACAGTTTCCAATAGCACCACGATAGTTACTTTCTAGCCGGTAAAATTAAACCTGTAGTTACAGGCGAAAGGAGAGATGGGCCCTGGATTCTATTCTCTCTCCTGCCATGGACTTTCTATAAATGTCACTGCTGCAGGCAGTGTCATCGACAGAACTCCCTGCCCAATCTGGATAAAGCAGTCTGCACATACTCAGTGGATATTGTTAAAGCTGCCCCTAAATGACTTGGGTCTCTTTAATATGATCTTCTTTGCGGCAAAGGAGATCACACATCATCAGAAGTCAGTGGTAATTTGTGGTTTTCAGAGCAAGGATGACATCCCTACTTAACCCTCTCCCAGAAATGCTGGGAGCCACTAATTATCTAATACATGGGCCAGTGCTGGGTTAATCAGTTCAAAGAATTCTGATTTTATTCACCCATGTGAGACATGATCTTAGTGGGTCACAGAAGACCGTTTCTGCCTGGTTGAAAACCACTTTCTAGAAGGCAGATGCTCCCTGCGTAGCAGCCATTGTCTTCTCACAGTTTTCCTGTGAGCTGCAGGACAGTTACCAAGGGGTGGCAGGTTCATGTGGTGAAGAGGCCTGAGCCAAACACAAGACTGCCCCCTTCCTTCTTAAATGCATCATCAAAATGGCCCCATTTTAATCCAATTTTTGAGAATAGCTACCTTTCACTGTATCTTTATTCATGTAAATTCAACCGAACTCTCTCCTGCTCCTGAAAAACGGCACAGAGGAGGCCTGGCGTGGTGGCTCACGCCTGTAATCCCAGCACTTTGGGAGGCTGAGGTGGGTGGATCACCTGAGGTCAGGAGTTCGAGACCAGCCTGGCCAACATGGTAAAACCCTGTCTCTACTAAAAATACAAAAATTAGCTGGACGTGGTGGCATGTGCCTGTAATCCCAGCTACTCGGGAGGCTGAGGCAGGAGAATTGCTTGAACCTGGGAGGTGGAGGTCGTAGTAAGCTGAGATTGCACCACTGCACTCCAGCCAGAGCGACAAGAGAGAAACCGTCTCGAATAAAAATAAAAATAAAATAAAATAAAATAAAATAAAAAATAAAGTACTGCACAGAGGAGCCTCCCGAGGACCTTGTAGATGGAAATTCCGACTCAGCAGGCCTGGGGAGGGGGTGGGGCCTGGGATCCTGAATTCCTAACCCTCTCCCAGATATTGCTGATGCTCCTGGTCCTCAAACCACACTTCGTATTAGGGAAAGGTTCTAAAACCAGCAGTTCTCAGGGACGATTTTGCCCTCCAGGGGGGTGTTTGGCACTGTCTGGAGACATTTTAGGTTGTCACAATTGAGAGGTCCCACTGGCATCTAGTAGGTGGAGACCAGGGACGCCACTAAACATCCCACAAACCCAGAACAGCCCCCACAAGAAAGAACTGTCTGCTGTAAAACATTAATAGTGCCAAGGTTGAAAAACACTGTTTTAGAGCAAATTAAAAAAAAATTAACTCATGAAATTCAAGTATCTTTCTATGGTAATTCTCCCTATACCATCTCTTTGCTAGCTTAATCTTAATAGATACAACCTAATAAAACACTAATTTTTGCCTTGACTTGTATCAAGCCCCAGACAGCTTTAATTGTTCTTTCCTTTCCAAGCTATTTCTATATGATCATTCTAATCCCACAACTTGGCCAGGCGTGACGGCTCATGCCTGTAACCCCAAGGCTAGGAGTTTGAGACCAGCCTGGCCAACACAGGGAGACCCCATCTCCACAAAAAATTTTAGAAAATTAGCTGGGGTGGTGGCACACACCTACACTATACCAGCTACTTGGGAGGCTGAGGTGGGAGGATCGTTGAGGCTGCAGGGAGCTGTAATCACGCCACTGCCCTCCCTCCAGCCAGGGTGACAGAGTGAGGCTCTGTCTCAAAAAAAAAAAAAAGGGAAAAAAAATTCCATATCTTTCCATTTCTCTACCTCTGTTCACAACCTTAATTTCTATATTTTCTTCTAATAATGGAAAGCAATGGAAAGCAGGAAACTGGTTAGAATGGAGAAAAAGAAAAATGGATTTCAACACCTCTCCTTTCCTGGGTCTTTAATCCTAGCATCTACTCAGATCAGACTGAAAAGGTAGATGTCTTTCCGCTTCAGAGAGCCCTCCCCCACCCCCCTGACACTGCCGGTGGAAGCCGAGGTACAGTTTTTTTCCAGGAAAACAATGTACCCCAAGAGAATACAGTGTATACACATATTACACACAGAGAGACTTCAAGGCTCGAAGTTAAAACACGTGATTACCTGGCACATCTGGCATAAAAAGAGTTCTCTGAGAACAAAGTCCCACTAGAAACATTAGCACCATTACAGATTCTCCTTTAAATACTAGACTAGTTATTAATCTTGTAATTTCAGGTCAAACATTTGTGACCATGGAACACTTTGGTTCCAGCGTTGCTTGAAGTTGCACTTGGGTGGTGATTAACTATAACCATAGGTAACCGCTGGGGGTGGAGGAATGACGAGAAGAGAGACAGAATGTGTGTGCACGTGAGGCTTTGAGTGGCTGCAGAACTCCTGTTCCTTCATCTTTTCCTTCTTTCTTTTTTTTTTTCTTTTTTTGAGATGTAGTTTTGCTGTTGTTGTCTAGGCTAGAGTGCAATGGTGCAATCTCGGCTTACCGCCACCTCCGCCTCCTGGGTTCAAGCGATTCACCTGCCTCAACCTCCTGAGTAGCTGGGATTATAGGCATGCACCATCGCGCCTGGCTAATTTTGTATTTTTAGTAGAGAAGGGGTTTCTCCATGTTGGTCAGGCTGGTTTCGAACTCCCGACCTCAGGTGATCTGCCCGCCTTGGCCTCCCAAAGTGCTGGGATTACAGGCGTGAGCCATGGCGCCCGGCCCTGTTCCTTCATTTCTAAACTATCCACCAGCCTTTCTAGATCCAGGATCAAAACCATTGATGAGGTCAGTCCTAGGTGATCTAGGACTGCTGAAATATGTACAAGCATCCCAGAAAACTCAAACCATTCTTTTATCTTTTTCTACAGGGCCTCTCAAGAGCACTCATCATGGCTCCCTAAGAACTCCTCATTCACCATTTCTCCCCAGTTGCACATGACTGTCAAGAAAGTCAGTCAATTCTCCATCTGCAATGCCAGAATTGTGACAGCGAAAGCCATTTGTCCAGAAAGGTCTATCACCTCAGGCCAGCAATGGGATGTAGGCGTGGAGAACGCCACAGAGGCAGGGCCAGCCCCAGATGTCTTTATAGGAGGGAAAAGGACACACAGAAAAAGCAGGCCCCAGCCATGTTGCGGCTCTCACCAGCACAGTGATCCCTTGCTCTTTGCACAGCATGGCCACTGCTCCCAGAAAGATACTCAGCAGCACCCAGAAGGTGGAAGAATGCGCTCCCTCCTTGTTACCTGCCAATTAAGAGAAATGATCAGTGCAAAAGTCATGGAATGCAGCTCAGTTTTTTAGCATCAGGAACTAAAATTCTAAGCAAATACCTTAAACAACCATAACTTAAAAACAGGGTTTGGGCTTCAGACAGCACTTCTCTGTGGGCAAGAGTGCATTAGACAACACCTTCTAAATGGTACCTATGTCCCCACTCAAGGCTCTCCTGAGAACGTGCCCAGGGCCTTTGGGAGGCACTGTCATGAAGCCCTGGCCACAAAGACGTCTCATGCCAGAGTCCCCACGCAGCAGGTACCTTCTTCCCAACCTACCAGTCACCTGCTAGACCATTCTGACGAGTCTTTTTGAGAACTCTCACTGAGACTGCAAACAGTCCATCTGGTTTCAAGATGACCCCAATGGTCACTGCTGCTGCCATGATGGAGCTGCTGGGAATGCCTCTGAGAATCTCCACTACTCCTGGAATAGGAGTTTGGGCCCTGTGGACACCAGGTGGCTTAGGATGGGTCTGCTCTGCTCCCTGTGTGGAACAGCTCCAACCCCTACCAAAGGATACACAGCTACTGACAGAGCTGGCACCTACCTAGCACCTGGGGCAGGTAAAGACATGGACCAGGCTGGGCTGCCAATCTGCATGGGGGCTCGAGCACCAACAAGAAGCCAAAACATCCCCAGACGTGTGAACACTGTAAGAAGCTCAGGTGGGTGGCAGCTCCAGTAACCACCACTGGTCCCTAAGTGGCCTTCTGCGAGCAGGGTCTGGCTGTACACTATCTCGTCGGTGGTGCGTGCAATTTGGGGGCCAGAACTAAACTACTAGGGAGGAGAGGGAAGCTGCATGGATACTCCTCTCCGTTGTGAAGTCCCCACTCTTCATCTAAATGAATAAGCCAACATATAAAAAAGAGATCGGTATCAAGTGGGACAAAAGCGAACCTTCTTGGAGAATCCAATTGTTAGCTCGCCTGGCATTACTCGGTTCAATTCCACTTACACCTGGAACTCCCGGTCTGAATGCCTATGGCTCTATGTAAGCATCTGAATGCCAGCTCTGCCACTCACTGCGTGACACTGAGCAAGTGACTTTCACGGTCTCAAGGAACTCACCTATAACGTGGGGGCAACGTTACCGACCTCAGGATATATTCGAAAGGAAAAAATTACATAGGAACACCTGGCCATTTGTGAGAAAAACTCATAAAGAATGCTTGCAAATGCAAAATATATCTCTATGACAACACATAAGAAATTGACTAGTTTCTGAGAAGTTCTAAAATGAAGAATTGGGGTAGAGGAGGGAGAAAGTCTTACTTTTAATCTTACTTTTCATTACATAACCTTCAGTACTCTTTACATTATTTTAACCATGTGTGTATATTAAAAGACTATGTTAAAAACTAAGCATGTTAAAAATCACTTGGTATAATGCTGGGACTACAGAAATCATTTAATTAATGTTTGTGGTACTTGGGTCAGCCAAACCTGGTCAGCTTAGAGGGGGATGGAATTTCCAATGGGGCTTTGATGCAGTAGTCAAGTGGGTGGCTGATCAGCCACTGTGCCACAAAATGTGCCAGACAACTGGATAGTGTAACAAATACACCGTGACTCTCATTAAACTGCCTGCTGGGGAAATTAACAAGTGTTTGTGTGTGTCCTGCAGACCCTGCAAGGAGGGATAGAAAAATACTTGTGAATACTTGAGATAGAATCAGCAACACCCCAGGATGGAAGGCCTTCCTGTCCTGAAAACAGCCAGTGCGTTCTGGCCTGGGGGTGGGAGGCGCTCTTTTTTTTTTTTTTTTTTTCTTTTTGAGACAGAGTCTCACTCTGTCGCCCAGGCTGGAGTGCAGTGGCACGATCTCGGGTCACTGCAAGTTCCGCCTCCTGGGTTCACCATTCTCCTGCCTCAGGCTCCCGAGTAGCTGGGACTACAGGCGCCCGCCACCATGCCCAGCTAATTTTTTGTATTTTTAGTAGAGACGGGGTTTCACCGTGTTAGCCAGGATGGTCTCCATCTCCTGACCTCATGATCCGCCTACCTTGGCCTCCCAAAGTGCTGGGATTACAGGCGTGAGTTATTGCGCCCGGCCGGGAGGCGCTCTTCACCTCAAATGCTCTACAATGGGGTTGAGACCCTGTCAAGATGAGAAGGCCTGTCCCCAGCTGGGCCCCTGGCTCTCAATGAACCATGAGCAGGACTAACTCCTGATGTGCCCAACACTAGCAGCTTGCAGCTATACAGCTGGGCTGCTAGGACAGCCTCCTCACTCCCACACAGTCTCCAGCAGCAGCAGAAAGTCTGGCCCTTTCAGCTTTTTGGGGGGAGAATCTCTGCGTATCAAATTTCTAGATTTAAAATACAAACAAATGGAATAGCTATTATACAAAAAGTTGACTTGACTTGGCTATTATAGCTGAGGCACTTTAAAGCTTTTCACAAGGCCAGCTGATCGACAGGAAAGCCTCATTAACTGAGATCCCATTGTCTCATAAAACACAACGAACATACTTTTTTTTTTTGAGATGGAGTATCGCTCTGTCACCCAGGCTAGAGTGCAATGGTGCGATCTCGGCTCACTGCAACCTCCGCCTCCCGGGTTCAAGAAACTCTCCTGCCTCAGCCTCCTGAGTAGCTGGGACTACAGATGCACGCTACCACGCCCAGCTAATTTTTGTATTTTTAGTAGAGACGGGGTTCACCATGTTGGCCAGTCTGGTCCTGAACTCCTGACCTTGTGATCCACCCGCCTCGGCCTCCCAAAGTGCTGGGATTACAGGCGTGAGCCACTGCACCCGGCCTGAACATTCTTGTTTTATGCCTTCTAATTATCTCTTTTGCCTTCAGGATAATGGTTCCTCTTCTGACCGTGGCTTTAAAGGCCTTGCTGAAGTGGCCACCGCGAACCCTCTCCAGCCCCTCCCAGCATACACTCACTCCAGGCCCACCACCACTGCCCACTTGCAGGTTCTCACCTGGGTGTGCTTACTGAGTTCCCTTGGGGCAGAACAGTCCTGGCAGAATCCTACCCAATCAATAAAGCTGTTAAATGTCACTTATGCTGTGAAAAGCCAAACCCCACCCTCTCAGGCAGGTCTCTCTGCAATTCACTTGTTTCCTTCCACAGTTAAGAGAGCAAACACCCCTGCTGTATGCACACCTGACTGCCCCTGTGAGCAGGTGAGCCCTCTGTGAGCAGGTAAGCCCGGTTCACCTCTCCATGTCCCTGACTGCCCCTGTGAGCAGGTGAGCCCCGTGCACCTCTCCATGTCCCTGACTGCCCCTGTGAGCAGGTGAGCCCCGTGCACCGCTCCAAGTCCCTGACTGCCGCTGTGAGGTGAGCCTTGTTCACTGACTGCCCCCGTAGATTAGGTTAGGCCCAGCTGTAGTGCTCTAAACTGCCCTGATCACAGTCTATCACAATATTCCTCACAGAGTTTATCACAAGCACTTGATTTTCTGTCATTCCCGAGTCGAGGGTCTGTCCACCTCGGCACTCATCACATGTGGGCTACTTACTTTTTTTGGAGGGGGGTTGCCCTGTGAATCACAGAATGTTTAGCAGTACCCTCAGCTTCTACTCATCAGAGGCCAGTAGCACCACCCCCTACCGCTCCCCTCAGTGGTGACAATCAAAAATGTCACAGATATTGCCGGATGTCAGTAGGGGCGTGGGGAGGGTAGGAAATCACTCCCACTTGAGAACCATTGCCCTAAACCAGTGCCACTCACGGGTGTGTGGTCCATGAACCTGCACCTGGATCTTATTAGACTCAGGCCCCACTGAGATCTGATGAATCAGAAATTGAGGATGGGAACCAGTAATCGGCCTTTAACAAGCTTTCCAGGTGGCTCTGATGCTCCCTAAAGGCAGGGTGCACCCTCTTGAGAGTAAGCCTGTTCACGGCTGGACGGCTGGCACCATGCCTGGCTCATAGGAGCAACTAAAAATTGTTCTGACTAAATCAGCAGGCCCGACTGACGCTGGAAGGGCAGTATATGTTCAGTGAGTGAAGTGACTATCTACTCTCTATCAAAAGGGGTGCAATAAGCTTTGTGCTCCCGACAAATCATGGAACCGCAGGTGTCAACACTGCTTCTTAGAGGCTGTGCATCATCTCTCCTGCAAGGATGGAAATGCTGGAATCCCTTCCAAGATGCTTCCAGCAGGGGGCCACCTGGCCTCGACTTGAGTAACTTCACTGGTGGGGATTAATTTTCAAACCACAGCCCGTTTCATTAAACTCTGGGTTGTTAGATTATTCTAAATGCTGAGCCCAAGCCTGTCTCCCTAAACTTCAGGTCTTAGCTGTGCCCTTGGGCAGCGATCCTCCAAGTTGTTCAGGAGGCATGGAGCCCGGAAGTCAGGCTTCCTCTACTGAATACCATTACACAACAGTATGCTTAGATCCATCAAGCAAACTAAGGATCATTTTACTTGCAGAAATTAATTACTTTCTATGTATCTAATGTCAAAAGATCACAATAAGGAGCCACAACAACAACAAAACCCTGTTAAATTACACATAATTCCAATTTGAGCACTTAACGTATTTATTGTTTCATGTGGGCATTTGCTAGCACTCATCAGCAGATAAGTATTGGCAGGCACTAAAGCTCTAAAAAAAATTATGGCCGAAATAACCCTAAACTAACAGATTGATGAATTCTTTTAGGCTATGGTTTGGGGAAAGGGACACAAGCTTTAGCGAGAGAGCACAGCGTCCAGCTTACAAGTCCATGCCAGAGCCTCGGAGAAGTCCGGGCCTTCCGCCACGTCATGAGAGATGGGTGGCTTTGTCCACTCAGTCTCGGTACAGCCTCTCTTCCCGTGACACATGTTCCTGAGTCTGGGTCAAACTACCTTTAGGATTTTCTCCTATTAGCAGTTTATTTGTAAACAAAACCTTTAATTATAAACGACCTGATTAATTACCATGGGATCTCATCCAGAGATAAACAGAGCAAGAGACCCCTGGCCCCTGCCGGCCACTCTAGACCCAGCACGAGGAGATGGTGCCATGGCCGGGCTCCATCCATTGTTTTCAAGTTGACCAGGCGCTCAGCTCCATAGCTCACTAGAAACCAAATGGACACCCTCCACCCCACCCCATCCCATCCCACCAAACTGTTACCTGAATTTGTTTTTTGTAGGCTTCTTTCACTCTCAGAATTTGTGTTGGTACTTCTCAACTAAACATAATACATTCCCCAATGTAACAGTCTCTGTTCTTAATTTCAAAAGCAAGTTCCTTGATTTTACATTTCTGCCTAGAAAAACGGAATTATCTTGTATTTTTACTTGACTGTAACATGGATTAATTTTCCCCCATGGACTTTGAAAAGAAAAATATTCCTAGTTCCTTCATTAAAAATGCCCAAAAGACAGCTCTTGAAAGCACTCTATTAACACAAAGCTAAATTATGACACAGACACGAAAGTGATGGGCTCCTCTAGAATTCCTCTAGATAAGAATTCTAGATAGTCCTCTTATCTGGAATTTAAAATGGCTTTCTCCTTACAAGGTTAAACCAGAGACTTAATTGAAAACAGAAAAATAACAACTAGAAAACACAGCCTTCAGGTTTACTGACAACCTTCTCCCTAATTTCACCTCATAATTTCACCACACTCTCAAACTCTAAACTCCACCTCTCCCATCCTCTATTGCAATTCTGACAGAAGAGTCCTACTCTTTTTCCTTAGACTTCCGATTTTGCTTCAAACACACCCAGCATGAAAAGATATGAAAGATGAAGGTAATGTTTCTTTGCTGAAGAAGTGTCTTCAGTCTCAGCAATTATTAAATATTAAGTATTACTTCTCAAAACTGTGGCAATTTCAGATCAAAGGCAAGGGCTCAATGGTCAGAGATAAACCTAGTGAGCACTACATTCTAGACCCACCACTCTCCAAGAAAGTAATCATTACAGCTAATGAGTGCTTGAAATGTATCTAGTCCCAGGTGGGATGTGTTGTTAGTGTGGAATACAAAACCGATTTTGGAAGCTTAGTATGAAAAAAAAAATGTGAACATTTTCATATTTTTATATTGATTATATGTTGGAATTATAATTTTGATATATCAAGGCAAATAAAATATATTATTAAAATCCATCTCATCTGTTTCTTTTTATAACGCGGCTACTTCAAAGTTTTCAATGCCACATATGGCTCCTGTGGTATTTCGATTGCATGGCAGTGTCTAGACCATGTGATCAAAGACCCAGCTCACAGATGACATAATGTGCACATTGCTATGTTTGTATCCAGCTCTGTCCTTGAAAACTCAGAAAATAGGAAATGAGTTTGCCTATTTAAAGCCAACTCTTTCTCCAATCCCTACCGGATTAGTCACTCAACAATTTTTGGTATATTTTTGTTTTGAGACAAGGTCTCATTCTTTTGCCCAGGCTGGAGTACAGTAGCATGATCATGACTTACTGGAGCCTTGACCTCCCAGGCTCAAGCAATCCTCCGGCCTCAGCCTCCCGAATAGCTGGGACCACAGGCACATGCCACCAGGCCTGGCTAATTTTTAAAAATTTTTATTTTTGTCGAGAAAGGGGGTCTCACTATATTGCCCAAGCTGGTCTCAAACTCTTGTGCTCAAGTGATCCTCCCGCCTTGACCTCCCCAACTGCTGGGATTACAGGTGTGAGCCACTGTGCCCAGCTGCCACTCAATATTTTATCCAGTCATAAGACTAAGCATGCACACACACTTTGAGTTTCCCAGAATCTAAACTGGAAAGCTTAATTTAATATTTTAAAACCATTTCATATAAATGAAAGGAGTCCTCTTTATATATATGCAGTATATATGTGCATGAATGATAAACCAAGGCCAGCCCATACAGCGTTGACAAAATGCTTCCAGTTCTGGAGGTGAACAAAAAAGGCCTTACAAAAATTCAAGTGAAAAACTAGCTCTGAGTGTTTAGATGGCCCAGACTAGTGGACTTCTGGAAATATGACCTGCTCCATCAAACTTCTGCCCACATAATTCCCCAAATTAAGATTTATTTTAAGCCTTAGTTTGTGAAGGTGACTAATGCTAATAATTATCAACATATAATCTAGAGGAATTTAGACTCTGTGCTTTTGTGGCTATGTTCTTATACAGTAACAAATGCAAACCATTATTTTATTTCCAAGTGTGAGCATTTTAATAAGACAATTGAGACAGGTAATAGTAGGCCACTTTGCATATAGTGGGCACTCGATAAACATCTGTTGAATCAATAAATAGTTTCATTTATTTCTATGTCTATCAGAGTCTTACTATATTACATTTTTCTTGCAATTATGAGATGTAATTTAATACCCAAAAGTTAATCATTTGCTCAGTGTGGACAAATACTGCCAGAATTCAGGTCTTTTTCACTTTTAATTTAATCTTTGAACCCCTTCACACTGGAAGAATCGCCATCATTAAGATATTCTTCTTCAAAATAAATAAATAAATAAATAAATAAATAAATAAAAATTACTTAATATTTAAAAACTATGGAGAAGATCAATATTTTCATTTTAAATTTAGAAGTAACTGTTAAAAACAGTACAAATAAATTCTGAGTGGCAGATGTCACCTCCAACACAGCTGCACTTATAAATATTTTTATTCAGAAAAATCTTCCCCAGATTTAAAATTCTAACTTGTGCATGGCTCTATGTAAGCATCTGAGGACATCACTCTTCCCCAGCATTCTCCATCTCCTCTCCATCAAGACTGTTACATTTTAAATACCAATGACCCAGGAGAGGATGGGAAAAAAAAAAACAAAAACCATTTGGACACCATGCTGCCTCTCTCATCTTTTAAGAAGACAACTTGCTCTAGGATAATTATGCAGCATTAGCAAACATCAATAGTTTACGATCCAGAATTGACCAGAGACATGCCTAGGCAATGTTCTTCTCGTTTCAGTATATTGTCTCTAGCATCTAAGAGAATTCACTCACTTAGGTAAATGGAGGCAAAGGCTAATGGAGTGAAGGGGGCACAGGGAAAAAAATGCAATGACAGAAAGACACTTGTCAGTGCTAACACCCACAAGTGCCAGCAGATGTGATCCATTTAATGAAGCACGTGCCTCGGATTTGGCACTCCTTTCCAGTGGGAAGATCTCCTTTCAGAAAAAGCATCACGTTGTACAAGTTACCCCTCTTCACCACTCTATGCCTGGCATCTCCACCGCTCAAAACTGGCACGTCATGTTGTGTGTGGGAACCACGCCACCCCGACAGGTGGCCGCGACTCTCTCTCTGCCAGAGCAACACAATGAGCATCAGATTCGCGTTCCAAAAGCTGGAACGACCAAGCCGTGCTTCTATGCACAGAATGAAAGAAGTCAGGCTTGCTGGTCTAAAACACGGGTCCATTTGGGGGAAAATCAAGCAATGAAGCAACCAAAGAAACAGGGAAAAGAGAATCTGCATGACTCCCACCGTCAGAATGCAGTCAGCAATGGCCCCAAATTGAAAACCAAGCGTCCTATCGGACATGAGTTAGCCAACTGCCCTATTTTATAAGCAGTGTGATTCTAAGTCAAAGAAAAACAGGTGTCTTTAATCAGAATGAAAATATGAGGCAATGATATCCCAAGAGCAAGATTTATCCCATTTTAGTGCCTGAACTATACAGCTTAAGGTGAACTATACAGCTATAGAACTACACAGCTTAAGGGGAGCTATATAGCTTAAGAACAATGGAGATTTGAGATCCTGCCTTTGATATTATGAGTAAGAATTTAGAACTTAAAATGGTTGTTCTAGGTATATAGAAAATCCATCCCCCTCTGGAAAAGACTCTCTTCTCCCCACTATAAATGAGAATAAATTTCTTCTTTTGGTCTTAACTCCCATGAGACAAGTATTTTAAGGTATCAGTTTAGAAACGAAATTGTTTTGGCTATTCTAGCAAGTTTAATGTGCAGAGATGATCTGTTTCCAATCTGAAATACCAGGCTTTAAGAGAGATGTAAATACAAGATGCCTCATTGTAAGAATAACACTTTTTGTTTTGGGCATTCAGAAGTAATACCCAGTGTGCCATTGATTTCATCTCACTAGTGTTTTTTGTTTGTTTGTTTTTTTAAAGAAAATGTATGCTTCCTTTATGAGGACATCTACTTTTAAAAAATTCTGTTGCAAAGATCTTGCTAGATGTTCTATTTATGCACCAAAAAAAAAAAAAAAAAAAAAAAAAGGCAGAGCCCCAGAAATGTTATGTGAGTACATTTTTCATTTTCTGAAAATACTAGGATTCCAGAGGTTAGGACAGAATAAACTCAAGCAGTTAAAAATCGTCCAGAGCTTTATAATAAAGACGTCCCATCCATAAAAAAAGTTAATGATGTTACCAAAAAAAGTATTCTCTGAAAGAATTTATTAACTAGTTGAATCATTAATTTCAGAGTACTTAATTTTTTGTTCCCTTATAATATTAAACTTGTTCCTCTGATATTAGGCCTTTCTTTGAATTTATGTTCAGATCCCAAAAGTACAAAGACCAGGGTTACGTTAAACCTGAAATTTAAACATTAAATAGCATTACTATTTGTATCTCAATAAAAAATGACTTGTCTACCACCGAAGAGTTAGTTTTTATTCTCTGCTGAACATTTATAGACATGGGCACTTGGAACAAGAAATCATCACTGCAGTGACAATAAATACATGTGTTTACCACTCAGCTTTTTGTACAATTTGTACTGACTACATAGGGTAAAATAAAAACATGGCTGGAGGCTGAGACAGGAGAATCACTTGAACCTGGGAGGTGGAGGTTGCAGTGAGCCAAGATCGTGCCACTGCATTCCAGCCTGGGTGACAAGAGCAAAACTCCGTCTCAAACAACAACAACAAACAAACAAAAAAACCAGTGCTGGGCACGGTGGCTCAGCCTGTAATCCCAGCACTTTGGGAGGCCGAGGTGGGCAGATCACTTGAGGTCAGGAGTTCAAGACCAGCCTGGCCAATGTGGCGAAACCCCGTCTCTACTAAAAACACAAAAACTAGCTGGGCGTGGTGGTGGGTGACTGTAGTCCCAGCTACTTGGGAGGCTGAGGCAGGAGAATCACTTGAACCTGGGAGGCAGAGGTTGCAGTGAGCTGAGATTGTACCACTGCACTCCAGCCTGGGCAACAGAGCAAGACTTGGTCTCGAAATAAATAAATAAATAAACATGCGACTGTTTAAGATATCTCAAACACCAAATGAACAAAGCTCTTGATCCAAATGAAAATATATATATATACACCTGAATTTTCATTAGGATCAAGAGCTCTGTTTTGTTGTACTGAAGGAAATTTAATAGAAGATGAAGGAAGTAAGTAGAACAAAGGCCATGGCCTCCCACTCTGCATAAACACAGCATGAAAAGAAAGGATCCTTACTGAGTGCCTGCTATGAGGGGTACAGGAAGGAAAAAGTCAACAGGAAAGGAAGGAGAACCAGAATATTCTGCTCTGTAGGCATTCTGAATCATGGAAGCTTTATTTTAATCAAAATATACTGGAGTTACGGTAAGCCCCTCAGGGGCATGAACTTTGTTGTTCTAGTCTTTGTATCCCCAGCACCGGAAACCTGACCTGGTACAAGAAACGCCCTTAAAGTTTGATTAACTATTGGTGATGGAATGAATGACTAAAATCAATAAGCCTTTATACTATTTTAGAACAGAATCAGAAACCCATGGCTTTTCATGAACACCTTAACCGGAATTATTTTTGCATATGGGGCTCTTACTGCTTCTTCTCTGTAAAGGTATTATTAATTTGCAGCAAGTTTTCTCCTCCTAAAAAAGACTCTTAAGTACCCTACGAACTGAACTGATCATTAACATGATGATGTTCAAGGATTATTCCAAAGAGTTGTAATCTATCAACAAAGAAGCACATTCTATTCTTCGCATGTTTAAAAAGGAGTATGGAAAATCAGAAACAGAAAAGTCGCTAAGAACAGTGCCTCTGCTAAGAGACTAGGAGAGGCTCCAGCAGACTTCACTAGCCCCGGTTCTGGGGTTGCTCAGACAAAGGGAATTTTGGGAGTTGTGAGGAGGAGGGGAGAGATGGGCTGGCAGCGTGAGGGGCTGTTCTGATGTCGCCGGGCCAGGGAACGAGGTGGACGGGGATAGGCATCCAGTCCTGAGGTCCTGAAGTGACAGAGGGTGGGTCTCAGGGTACAGCACCTTGTTGGGGAGGGGTCAGAGACCTGTTCACATGTGGGACACAGGGGACTCCCCCAAGTAAGCTGGTCACAGTGTGTCTAAGGCCCTCTCTCAAGAATCCACGTGGCTCTGCGCCTCCAGGCCTGTGATGGAATTGAGGCAGAATTCAATCATTCTGTCGGAAATCTGGAAGCGATGAGTGGGAATGGAAAATAGCAGTGAAAGCCAATTCCAAATGATGGGAACTGCAGCTCGAGGATGGGTGTTTTAAACCCTCCGCTTTACACTGCCGAGAAAAACTGTGATGATCCATAACTCAAAGCCTGCCAGGGCAGGTGGACACCATGAGGGGACAGGAAGGACACAAAATGCACGCCCAACAATCAGTTTCAGGGTCAAGACACCAAAGCCTGGATGAGCAGAAGATGCAAACTACTGTAGTTTTGTATTTTCCAAAGACCAAAGAGGCTGTTGGTGCCTGCAAAGGCCCAGAGACCACTCTGGTGGTGACTCCATCGGCTCCATTTAAATGAACGCTTTCCTTTTCCTCAAGAGGGTTCATGTTAACAAGAGAACAGATCCCACGAAGACGGGGCAGCTTGTAGACAAGAGGTCAACAGAAAGCATTCTTCAAAGGCTTCCCAGTCCACCTATCTGTCTTTTAACTGCCCCAAGTAACTTCAACCAAGTCAAAATCTAGTCATCTTAAAAAGCTTTCTATGGAAGCCACATCTACCACTGCTATCGGTTTGCAAATGCAAAAATGCCCAGGTTAACATTCTCAAAAACATCTACAAATTTAACATTAAAGGCCTCATAATTTCTTTCCAATTTTAAAATAAACATTACAAATGCTAAAAGAATGTTACCGGACAAAAAAGAAAGGTCATGTTGGTACTTACAGTTAATATATTTATGTCAGTATTGAAATATACTTTGCCTATTTCTCATGAGTCAAAGTGTTAATAATGGAACAGCCATCACACATTTAAGTACCTTTAACTTTGGTGTTGGTTTCTTGCCAAAAGCTTTATTTAAAAAGTATCTTTTGTATGGATATTTGGAAATAATTTTATAATTTACAAATGCATCAAAAATATATATGTAATATATATTAATATACAAATTTGTGAATTAAAACAGAAAAAAGAAGAGTAAAAGGTTCCAGAAAAAGAATATAAAATGTCTAGCCTTTTCACTTTTCTGTGAGAATACACCATTAAAGGAGGCCAATACATGTATCTGTTCACTCGATGGAAGAGTGTTTAGTATCATAATAGCTTTTTCATTATTTCACAAGAGCAATCTTTAGAAGTAGTGACAGGTTCTATCATATCTCCTAAATGATGTCCCCCACATGTTAAATCTATCAAGGTTTAGTACTTTCCTCAAAAATCACTCTGATGTCTTTGAAATCCATTCAGAACAAGGAGTAGTGACTTTAAGGGAGGATAAGTTAAAATTATGTTAACATCAATAAAATGGCACTTTCAGAAACTTTAGAGTTGTCTTTGAGAAAAGCCACAACGCCTATTTTTTTTTTTTTTTTTTTTTGTGAGACGGAGTGTCACTCTGTCACCCAGGCTGGAGTGCAGTGGCGCAATCTCGGCTCACTGCAGCCTCCGCCTCCCGGGTTCAAACGATTCTCCTGCCTCAGCCTCCCGAGTAGCTGGGACTACAGGCACACGCCACCACACCTGGCTAATTTTTGTACTTTTAGTAGAGATGAGGGTTTCACTATGTTGGCTATGCTGGTCTCGAACTCCTGACCTCAAGTGATCTGCTCACCTCAGCCTCCCAAAGTGCTGGGATTACAGGCGTAAGCCACCGCACCAGGCCCACAACTCCTAATTTTAAATTTTCTTCAGGAAAAATATGATTTCTGATAAACTGTTATCTGTATCTGTAAATTCAGATTTAATTGCCAACTTTTGAAAAGGAAGAACCATTATCTGTAGTGAACGTTAACAGTGAGGTAGTGAAGGGACCCCTCCCTCCCAGTCCTGTTACTGATTCACTGTCTCATGAAGAGTCACACGATTCATTATGGGGCCGGCCAATTCAACCTCGCCAGGTCTCTGGCGGCTGTGTCTCTTGGGAGATTTGTAATCATCATAGGTGGGGAGACCCTTACCCCAGGAAGAGACTGCAGTGCATTATTGCTAAGTTACAGGAAGAAAAGTTACCACCACTGTTCTCAATACTTGAAGGTGTTCTGCTCAGCTGTCCCCAAACTCTCTAATGTATCAGAAAACCGATGAGCGATGGGAAGAAGTGGTGGTTTTATCCAGGCTTGATAAGGTAATAATAATAAAAGGGGGTGGGAGTGGTTGGGTGTAACCATGCCCTGAGTGGGCACTGGCACAGGCTAGGGCCACTGGGTCACCTTTCTGCTGTGCCTTAGGGCAGTTGCAGGTGCTCCAAGACAGGGCCTGAGCCTGGGTTCAGTCTGGACAGGATGGGATGAAGGAGGGACAGTGTATGAAAAATCTCCCTGGCTCTTTCCAAGCCACCTTTGGAAGCTATGAAAGGATAGCTGGGCAATAAATACCTAGAACATCAAAACAGGACAGCCTGTCCTGGAATCATTCGCAATCCTATAATTTTGCAGGAAATAAAATGGCAAAACTCAATCCTGCTGCTGCTTCTGTTCTTGGTCTCAATACCTAATAGGATAGGCCACAGTGTGAACACCAGTGTCAGAGCTTTGCATTACGGAAAAAGCAATGGCACAAATAGACATACATATCTAAAGAGAGTTTATGCATCCTCTGGCCCAGATCCCCTCAGAGTGACACACTCACATAGATGGATTCTTTCCCGTATGTTAAGACACTGCTCAACAGGACAAAAACATGAAGAAGGTGGAAAATTAAGAAGGCAAACAGAATGCTTACTTTCTCTAAATGCTTTACAGTAGCCAAGGAAAGATAACAAGAAGAACAGGGCACACAGGAGGTCTGCACGGCCGACAACACCAGCAACCTTAAAAAAGGGGGAAGAAAACAAAGAATTACATAAAACACATTTAAGGAAATCCTAAACTTAGGAGACATAACTTTTTTTTTTTTTTTTTTGCGACAGGGTCTCACTCTGCCACCCAGGCTGGAGTGCAGCAGTGTGATCTTGGCTCACTGTAGCCTCAACCCCCCTGGGCTCAAGCAATTCTCCCATCTCAGCCTCCTGAATAGCTGGGAGCAGAGGCGCACACCACCACAGCTGGTTAATGTTTGTATTTTTTGTAGAGACGGGGTTTCACCATGTTGCCCAGGCTGGTCTTGAACTCCTGGGCTCAAGTGATCCACCCACCTCTGCTTCTCAAAGTGGTGGGATTACAGGTGTGAGCCACCGTGCCTAGCCAAAACCAAATTCTTTAGACATATAAAACAAGAAACTTCCTAGACTCTGCCACCTATTAAAATAAATACATGATGTAGCTGTGCAATAGTGCTTGGTGTTATCTTACAATCAGTTCTCTCCTCCCTTTTGGGTGTAGGACTTGACTTAACTGCTTCAAGAGAACACTGGATTGGTTTGAACCTGCTGCTAGCTATTCTGCTGGACACAGACGGCGATATGCACGTGCCATAAAAACTGTGTTCTTTAACACACGATACCCAAGAGCTCCAAAGACTTAGTCTTCTGAGGTCACAAAGTGGATTTTCAATTGGAAAATGTTATCAGCTCAAAGGTCATGATATTTAAAAAATAAAATGTGATTGGAAACATGAAGGACATAAAGGTGTGAGAGAAGTGTGAAAAGCCGTCCTGCCGATAGAAAAAGACACAGGAGTAATCCTTCAAAGCTGCCTCTGCTCTTTTTTCTTCCCTTCAGACCAAACTGATTAAGTGGGTTAACCTGGAAAGCTGAATGCTTCAAGAGTGATTAACAACTAGGATGAGAACAGAATACAATTTCTGCCATTTCTTTCCCACATTTTCCACATGGTGACTCTGCCCTTCCTTTCCTCAGTAAGAATGAAGCAATATCAACTATGTGTTTCTTTCTTCAGGCTGATTATTCCAGTAATTGTTCTCCCAATGTTGTACGTGATGAAAGACACAGAATTCCCCCCAGGGGTACTGGACTAGTTTAGGTGGGATTCGTTACTAACTGGCACCTGAATGTGACATGAACCAAAGCTTCTGCTGTGATTGTCCAGGTATCGCTTTAAAGGCTGGTAGGTTAATCCCTTCCCAAAGGATGGGGATGTGATATATGAGCTGCAGAATAAAGGACTCTTCTATAAATCAAGATAAGAAAATATACACTGACTACGAAATTACTATATTTACATATGATTCTCAAGTTCATGTGCAGTCAATAGCTGAAACAGGATGTCTTTTAGGAGCAGATTCCCCTACATCGGTTATACACGAAATGCCGAGGACCATTCGTCACTGTAACTGTGACCTCCTGATGGTTGGTACGTGGCAGCCCGTGGTGTCAGGTGATGGCTGGGAAAATTGAATAAGCTGATAAATCCACCCAGTGAACACCACACACACACAAACACTACCGAGAAGGAAGCCAGGGACAAAACAAAGGCTTAACAGATCTGGAACAAGTATGCCAGTATGCTGGAGGGGAACAATCCAATTGCTTTATGAATGAAATGAATATGCAATGAGCGCTCTGGAATACTCAGGGCTGGAAACTCACTCCATCAGGGACACAGTAAAATAGTCAGAGATGCAGCCACACAGAACAGAGCCTGGTACAGGGTGGGTGCAGCTGACTATGAGTTCCCTGGTGGGTCCTATGGGGTATGTCTATGAACAGGAGTAGCAGAAAGGCAAAGGACAGAGGACGCAGAAGCTCAGGTATCATCTCTGCAGCCCCGGGTGAGTGAGGAGGCAGCTGGTGCATCCTGGCTTTGTGGTCCTCACGCCAGGAGGACATGAGAGGAGACAGGAGCATCTCAGAGCTGTGACTATCTACAGCACCTCAGGATGGACTGGAATCCCAACCCTTTAGAGAAGAGAAAGCAATAAAAGCCAATCCAGACAAGCCTGTCCGAAGGGGACCACAGAGAACAGGGTCACAGGAAACAGGGGGAGCAGGTGTCAGAGACCAAGGGGAAGTGAGGTGAATGAGGGGGAAGGAAGTGGTTTGGAAAAATACTAGGCCTAGAGGCCAGGAGGGCCAGGCTGCCTAAACCACTTGCTATCTGGGTGGCTAGTGTAGATTTGAAGAATCACCAAAAATGAAATTTAAACATCAAAAGCTTATTTTTACAGAAATGTTTCTTTCTGCTAATTGCTGAAGACCATCCCACGACTTTGAGCAATGTACATTATGTTCCTTGACATAAAGAAAAACAAAATTTTTAAAGTATGGGAAGTGTTTTAAAGCAAAAGAGCATTTAGTATTTACAATGAATTTTTTTGGCATAGTAATTAAGAGAGATTTCACTAAAAGAATGTTAAAAAACTACCCAAGGAGAGGGACTGTATCCAATCACTGTTTGAGAATGTACATAAGCAAGAAAACATTTTCTTTTCCTTTTCTGATATTTGCATAATATGTATTTTTAGGCAAACTTTTCTACAAAGGCTATTTTTTTTCTCACAAATACTGTGAAACACTCAGAGTTTTCTGGAGAAATCACTGCAATCCCTCTGAATCCTTAAAGCAGGCGGCACCATTGTTTCCCCAGTAGGTACAATTTGCATGGGGGCCATGAAAAGGAATTAGGGGGATGGGGAAGGTTTCCCCTCCCGATTCCTTCTGGGTTAACGTCTGGGTTCATTAGACAGACAGAACTCTTTTTAAACATTTTGTTTAATTTTTTACTTCTAGAGACAGGGTCTCACTCTGTTTTCCAGGCTGGAGTGCACTGGCGTGATCATAGCTCACTGCAGCCTCAAACTCCTGGGCTTGGGCAGTCCTCCTGCCTCAGCTTCCCAAGTAGCTGGGACTCCAGGCATGCGCCACCACACCTGGCTACAGGCAGAACTCTTAAGGGGGCCTGAGCTTCTCTCCTTGATGTTGGAATTCAGACAAAGTGAAATCTTCCCCAACACTTTGAGGAAAACAAAAAGGAAAGCCCACACAAGCCACTTCTGTCCTCAGGGAAGCGCTGGGGTCCTCCTGCTAATGGCCACACAGAGCTGAAGAGCCACCAGCAGACCAGGGGCTGTGTGGCCCTCCCAGGCTCTCCTCCTTGCAGTAGGGACTGGCCTGTCAGAGGGTTTGGGTGTCTACAAACCACTTGAAGCAATGTGCGGTGGTTCATTAGAAAAACAGAGACATTCCATGAGTTGAGGAGCACAAAACACCGACTGCAATTACAGCATTACCAAGCAGAGGCCAGGAGGGGGCAAGACTGTGAGGTGCCCAAGTCATCCCCATTTGCCCGGCTGTCGTTGCTTTAAAATGGAAAATCCCCAGTCCCAGAACCCTCTCAATCTCAGGCACACTAGATGGCTGATCACCCTAGAAGACTGGAAAATTCAGGTGCTTATTTGCAGTGGGAAAAATCATTTTCAGTGTGAAATGCTGGAGAGTGGTAAAGACCTAAAACATATTAATATAAATGTTAATATAAAGAAATTCATGTTAGGCCAGGTGCAGTGGCTCACACCTGTAATCCCAGCACTTTGGGAGGCTGAGGCAGGTGGATCACTTGGGGCCAAGAGTTCGACACCAGCCTGTCCATCATGGTGAAACCCCATCTCTACTAAAAATACAAAAATTAACCGGATGTGGTGGTGCACGCCTGTAGTCCTAGCTACTTGGGAGGCAGAGGTAGGAGAATCACTTGAACCTGGGAGGTGGGGGTTGCAGTGAGCCAAGATTGTGCCACCGCACTCCAGCCCAGGTGACAGAGTGAGACTGTGTATCAAAAAAAAAAAAAAAAAAGAAAAGAAAAAAAAAGAAATTCATGTCACTAAAACTGCAGGAGCCTATACTGCTATTACTGTCTCCTAATAAATGTACACTGAGACAAATGGGGTAAACTGAGGCAGTTTACTAACCAAATCCCCATTGTCCTCATCTCACAGGGATCTATGTGGCTGGGGCTGCTGTGCCCAAGGCCAGCATTCAGGCCGCTGGCCCAGCCAGCCAGAAAGTGGGGCTGGCTCCTCGGTGTTGGTCAACACCTGGGAGGAGCTCGCCTGCCACCCATTTCCTTGGGTGTTCCACTCTTTGTATGTTTTTAAAGCTGGATTTTTTTTTTTTTTTTGACAGAGTCTTGCTCTGTCACCCAGGCTGGAGTGCAGTGGCATGGTCTTGGTTCACTGCAGCCTCTGCCTCCTGGGTTCGAGTGATTCTCCTGCCTCACCCTCCTGAGTAGCTGGGACTACAGGGGCATACCACCATGCCCGGCTCATTTTTGTATTTTTAGTAGAGACGGTTTTTCGCCATGTTGGCCAGGCTGGTTTGGAACTCCTGACCTCAAGTGATCCACCTGCTTCGGCCTCCCGAAGTGCTGTGATTACGGGTGTGAGCCACTGCGCCTGGCCTAAAGCTGGAATTTTTAACTGCAGGGTAGGAGATAACAGGGGAATGCAGACAGAAGGAAACTGAATACTATCTGCAGAAACGCTGAAAGGTAAATGTACAAAATATCTGTCTTACAATGCTAACTCTTAATTATCCACAAGTATTTCTTCAAATCTGAGTTTGAATGGATGTCATGGTGGGGAGGGGAAGAGAGAAAGAGGTTTTTCAAATGCTCCCTTTTCTCCTAGAGCTAGTCTGCCTCAGTTTCCTTTTAACCATCTGGAATGTGGACTTTCAAGATTACCATGTTCCCAGGTTGCATTTACCTGGAATGTGCGTGTGTGTGAGAGAGAATGTGTGCGTGTGAGTGTGTACGTGTGTGTAAGCACATTCAGTTATACCTGTTGGCACTTGAAACCTTTTTATAAATCAACTTCTGAATATTTAAAATGAGAATTTTAGAAAACTTTCCTTGGCTAATAATTCAAGTATTTCATTTTGCTTTTAAGATCACGCTAAATTAGACGAGAAGGAAGACAGAATCAGTACTTCTCCAGTGAATCCCTCTCTTCCAGTCCCTTATTCAGGATCAATGGCTGCACTATATCTGGGTCCCAGAGAGAACTCAGATCGAAACAAAGTCTAATTCGGTCACAGTTATATATAAAGAGCTTATAACTAAATTTTTACACAGCAGTCCCCAGCCTATTCAGCCCTTAATGTTCTCTGAATTTGCTGAGGTAAAAAACAAAGATTTAAAAAGATATCAGGAGGAGGGTGTGATAACAACTCCACAACACTCTTGATACTGAAGAATAGACAATTTACTAAAGTCAGATGCTAAAAACAGGACGTCTGCTCAGCATCTTGAAACTTCAAGAAGCAACATGCAATTGGTTAAATGTAGATATTTCAATCCCTAAGAAACGAGAAGTCTACTGTGAGGGAAGTAATAAAGTGTATGTGATTATTTTAGGCACTTCGTGCTCACAGAATGAATGACTCCAGTCAAATCTTGTCCCTCAGCAAACATGCTGCCTTTTGCATTTTCAAAGGGTCCACATGGTGGTGCAGGGGGCGGTTCCTGACAACTTCACAAATGCCTAGTGAAATCCCAGCACAGCCTATTCCAAACACACAGAGGCAGCGCGATGGGATGGAGATGCAGCCTCCAGGCCTCCACTGAGGATATGCTGATGTATTTGGTGTTGAACTGGAAAGCGGTGCCCGTACCCTGCTGGGGAGCTGCTGGTGAAGTCTCTCCACCCTCCTCCACCTCACCCTGTGTGATCCTCTCCCCCAGGTGATCAGGGTGAGGTGGAGGAGGGTGGAGAGACTTCACCAGCAGCTCCCCAGCAGAGTGCAGGCACCGCTTTCCAGTTCAATACCAAGTACATCAGCATCTCCTCAGTGGAGGCCTGGGAAGCCCAGAATTTAAGTCCTGCCCGACATCCACTTGCTCCTCACCCTGGATAAATTTTTATCCTGCCAGGCCATTCCCTCATCCCTAAAGTGGAACTGTTGTACTAGCCCCGCTGATGTCACAGCGTTTTCATAACAAGCATGTTAAGTCTAAGAAAGGATTTTATAAATCACAAAGCTGTCAGCGAACACAGAAACACTGCATCAGACCCTCCACTGAAGAACAGTTCTTAGCCTCTGAACTTTAGACCCCGAAGTCCAACAATATTTAACATCCGTGCCTTCACAGCTGGTGTTATGCTAGAAGCTAAACAGAAAGTGTCACCAGAGATCACACCACACCTTATCACGCAGTCCCCACCGACATGGTGCTCTGCATTTTTTTTTCACAAGAGATGTCTCTGCCCCAGACAGAATTGTTTCAAATGTCTGGCAGAGTATTTATGTAGTGTCCTTTCTATTTCTAGAGTATGTTGTGGAGTAGACTTTCTCCAGCTCTGGAACCAAGATGGGTACATAAAGGGAGCCTGTTTTAGGAAACCAGGCGACATGGGGGTGTCATATCGCTTCTCACGTGCATACAGATGCCTCGGGCAGACGACACTTACACACTCGGTGTGCACAGGATGGACAGCAAACAGCAGCGCGGCCAGCAGGGACGCCCTGGGGGCGAGGTGCAGCCTCCGGCCTTTACTGGTGTACTGCAGGCCGCCAAACAGAACCGAGAAGACGTCCACCATGAGGACAGAGATGCCACTGTGCAGGAGGATGTTGACCACGTGAAAGCCCACGGGGTGGAAGCCTCCCGAGAGGTAGTAGTTAATCCTGCAGAAACACAGGGTGTTCAGGGTACACGCGCAGCGGCATGCGGCAAGAAATGGCAAAGGTCTGGAGGAGAAGGCTTGTGTGTGGAAATATTAAAAGGAGAAGCGGAAGACTTTGTGCCAGCTTGATAAAAACAGCATCAAGATAAATAATGCCTGTCGAGCTAAGAAGGTTGTGGAAAAGGTGGGAATGTAATTAACTACAGGGAAAAACGGATGAAACATATGTGTCCAAGGGGAGTGGCGCTGAAGCAACTTGCAGAGGAAAATCGAAAGGAAAGCTAGACGATGTTTTAAGTGCAGAAGGGGCAAGGCTGCAATCCAAGAAGATATAATATTCCACACACTACTCATGGTTACCCCCTAGGGACCTGGATTTAAGACAGTCTTATAACTTGCTTATCCTCCAAAAAAGGGCTCCTCATCAGTATGCCCACCAGCCTTCCCCCAACGAAACACCCTCCGCTGGCAGGGATTCCTATTCTGACTGCTTCTCAGCTGCTGGTGGTTCCAATTCATCACTCCCATGCTCCTGTGGGACGTCTACTCACAAGTGTTTAAATGCACCCGAGGAGCAGGTATGGACGAGAACCTTTGTGAGGTAAATGCATCTATTAAGTGCAAGTGGCTCCCTGATTAACGGAGGGGGGATTGTTTTTAAGCAGCATATTGCTTTTGCATATTGACTTGGTAACAGTAGGAAGATTTATACCTTATTTATTTCTGTAGTGAAAAAAATCAGTTTCATCAGAGGCCCCATGATGCTTTCACTCATATTATTCCATTGGTGTTAACCAGCAAAGGGTCAAACCTCCAAGAACTGAGAAAAATATGAAACACCACCAATGTGCACGTCATCCTTCACAGGGGCCACGCTGGCCTTCTCTGCACCTAGAGACCCATGTATATGAGCAGCTCAGACCCCACCTGGAGCCACTGACTAGACTCCTGAATGCTGAGAACCTGGTGACACACACCTGTATCCAATGTCACACACAAGCTGGGAGGGACCTTCCCAGGCCCTTCAATGTCACAGCTTACCTGAAAGTCAGGACGGTGAGAGGCCGGTAGGACTTGTGGCTGGTGTTGCTGCTCAGTCTACTGCCCCAGAAGTCATGATGCCACAGGTCCCCCAGGGGCGTTTCTGCTTGGAGGTCCTGCAGGGTCACAAAGGGGATGTTCTGGACAAGGGTCTCCCATCAGCCCTAAGCCAAGCTCCTCCATCTCTCACCTGGGATGCAGTCAGGCCTCCTAGCGGGGATGCTGTGCCCAACATGTTCTCTATGTTGATATCTCGAAATACACATGGGCTCACCCCACCAGGCTTCAAACACCGATCAGCTTTCACCCTCCTGGGACATAGCTGATATGCTGAAGGGGCTGTTGCAGACCCTGGCTTCCCCCGAACTCTGCAGGCCCATAGCTCTGGTGCTGTGCTTCTGCCAGCTCCCAACCCAGGGGCTCTGCACGTGCGGGTCACCCCTGGACAGTCACCCTCAACTCTTCATGGCTCAACTCCTTCCGCCATTCATCTCCCAGCTGCCTGGCTCTGCCCTTCCTGAGCTGATCCCATCCCTCTTCCATAGGCCTCTGGACATCTCACCCTGTCAAGCAATGTGTGGCACCCTGGCAACTTACAGTCACATGACTATTTTTCTGTGCCACTAGACTGGGCTCCATGAGGACTGGGCCACATCTGGGTTTGCTGGCTGTATACAGAAGGTGCTTAATACGTGTCAAATAAGTGGACCACACAGCTAAATAAGATCACTATTAACCTCTCACATCTATTAAATAAGGTAACTTACCAAAATGTCCCAGTTAAGTATGGATAAACATATTTTTTTAAGTTTCCATTTTTGATCATGAGCTAAGCAGACTATGAAATCAGAAAAAAAACCTTAATTTTTCCAGACAAAAGTCACTAAATATTAAAAAAAACACTGTACCGCTCTTACTGCTGAGATAATTTGGTACTATACTACAGATGTTTAAAAATGCATTGTTTTACATTCAAAAGATGAAAGTAGATGGCTTAAATTGTGTCTAATGAGAAGAGAGGCAAACAAGGCACTGTGGTGGAGTAAGTAAGAAAAATGACAGATTAACTTTCTCTTTAGAGCATAATTAAACAGGAGTGTTTTAGGGACTAGAAATTACAACATGCTGATCACTTCCCCGGGTTGTCCATCAAGATTCTTCATCGCAGTAACCAAACTCTGATTAATTTAAACAAAAAGGGAATTCTTCAAAGGGGAGTTTGCAGCTCACAGACCCTCCTGTGGCCTGGAAAGCCAGGGCAGGGCCACGTGGCAGGAGCAAAACCACAAATCATGCGCCGGGCACCTGGCAGAGACTGCCTGGCTGCCTCTGGGCCCCCACCTCGCGTGACCAGTTCCTGATTCCAACAGGTGGGCGCACCTGATGGGACAGCCCGTCTGTACCAGCTCCCTAATCAAATCATCTTCTGAGCACCTAAGAATGCCCCAAACAGAAATGGGTCAAATGATGGGTGGCCCCAAAGAGCAACAAAGGTCCACAGCCACCATGCGACTTAGCACCTGCGACTTAAGTGCTTGCTGACTCAAAGGGAAAGGCTTGAAAAGAGGTGACAGATGCAAAGCTGGTCACTGATGTCCACTGTTAAGGGTGACATTTGCTTCCATGGGCATCGGCTTCAGAAGCCAGGAGCACACTGACCACTCCCCAAGAGCAGGTTAGAGATTCTGTGAAGGTCATGTGAGGCACCTGCTCCCTTCGTTGACTCAGTGACAAGCCTGGAAGCCTACCTTCTTCTACACTCTTACAGAAGTACCCGGTCAGCTGTGAAGGGCTTCGGCAGAGGATCTTTTCCTCCCTTTGAACAGGAAATGAACACCAACGAGGTTCTAAATATTTGATTAAGTGGAGCCTCCACAGCAGGGTGTGCTACAGAAAGAAAGGTCAATTCTTCCTCATAATGATTTATGGAAAAGATGTATTGTGTCTAAAATTCCCCCTAACTCCACTGTCTCAAAGAAGATCATCATCTCAAGGAACAAAAAAGGCAACTCCACACTGCAAGGAAGCATCTGGAAAACAGTCTCTAACATCACTAAAATCCAGTAACAGCCTGTTTCACATTACTGTAGGCACAGTGCCAATGAACGGAGGAGTGCCTTTCATTAACCAGGAAAAGAAAAAGGGAGGGCTAGCAAGTTAACAAAAGGGGCACAGTGTGATGCTCCCAAAAACACTGCCAAGACCATGCTCAGCAGAACCACGAAATGGCTTCATCTGCCTCACCTCACAGAAGGAACGAGAATTACACCCAGACACCGGGGCCTCCACATACAACACGGCTCGTGTTTTTCTTCTTCCTGGCTGACCAACATTTTTCAACATGGTTTCTGAATTAACACTTTATATGTCTTCTGCTTTACACAAGTGGAAGAGTCAAGATATTCTCACCAAAATGAATAATGGAATTTAAATAATAAAACTGTAGCTTTCTGAGAAAAGCAGTTCTGTGGCCATTAAGCCACCAATCCGTGCTGGGCATGGTGGCTTGCGCTTGCTATCCCAGCACTTTGGGAGGCCAAGGTGGGAGCATCGCTTCAGGCCAGGTGAGATCAACCAGGCAACACAGTGAGACTCTGTCTCTACAAAAAAATTTTAAAAGTCAGCTGGGAGTGGTGGCGCATGACTGTAATCTTAGCTACTCGGGAGGCTAAGATGGGAGGATGGCTTGAGCCCAGGCATCGGAGGCTGCAGTGAACTATGACTGCACCACTGCACTCCAGCCTGGGCAACAGAGTAACACCTTGTCCCTGTCTCATGAAAAAGCCACCAGTTTGACATAAAAGGTCTGTAGAGTTACTTAGTTCTTTTAAGCATGGTTTAAAAAAGAACTGAAACAGAATCATCTACAGTAACTGCTGAGTGAATCTGAGGAAAATTACAAATGAAGAACTTGAATTAAAAATAAATATTGGCCGGGTGTGGTGGCTCACACCTGTAATCCAGAACTTTGGGAGGCCAAAGTAGGCAGATCATCTGAGGTCAGGAGTTCAAGACCAGCCTGGCCAACATGGTGAAACCCCATCCCTACTAAAAAATACAAAAATTAGCCAGGCATGTGATGCCTGTAGTCCCAGCTACTTGGGAGGCTGAGGCAGTAGAATTGCTTGAACCCCGGAGGCAGAGGTTGTAGTGAGCCAAAATCGTGACACTGTGCTCCAGCCTGGGCAACAGAACGAGACTCTGTCTCAAAACAACAACAACAACGAAAACCCATTAAAACATTAAAAATGATCTAGTGTGTGCCCTCAAAATGGAGATCAACTGCAATATTATATCACAAATAAAATATATGCAAATCAGTCATGTTGCCCCCATACAATACATGCTTGTCATATAGAGAGTTCTTCTCAACATTTTCAGTATGAAAATGACTTTATACTTATTTGGTAGAATCCATAACTTCACATTTTTAAGAGCATTCAACAGTGTTACAAAGAGTTGCTCTAATTATATCTAGTAGGGAGCTAAATGTGTATATTCCTCTAAGTCTTCTTCACTGGCTAAGGAACACACATAAAATATCTTCTGAATAACAGATTGTTGAGAGGCTCTAACTTGTGCCATTTCCGAGTTCTTTCTCCTCTGGGCCTTGCCTGCCTCTGCATTTCTTGCTCTGGTTTTTAGCCTGCTTGAATCTTTTTCATCTTTTCCCACAAACCTCTTTCTTCTGCCCTAACTCCGGGTAGGGAGTGGAAAAAGATTACCATTTTTCCTGCACTGATACATAGCAACCACTGGTAAGCAAAATTGACTGGGATTCTGCAAGTTCAGCAACACCGAATCTCCAAACACGAAACAAGCAGGAACTGCAGCGCCCATGGGCAGCACATTCCTCCTGCCCCAGCAGCTGTCAGCAGGCTGTCCCGACAGTCTCGGAGAAGGACAAAGCGGCAGCCAGCTCCCTGCCTGCTGCTGAAGATGCACCTTCTGGCAGGTGATCACACCCGTCCATCACTGCAGCAAATGCGTGATGGGTTTTTTTTTTTTTTGAACAACTGTGGAAATGTTTTGCAAAATCTGGAATACTAAGTCTGCAACACCCTGCAATGCCCTTGCCTTGTAATCTTAGAATAACGGCCTCTTTGATCCATATGTGGACTGGAGCTCTTGAGGGGAGTGCCTGAGCTGAGGCAGGGGTTCAGAACCTTGGTGCCAGCAATAAGAAAGGCACTAAATCATGGAGGCGATGTTGAAAAGAGAGAAAAATCGAGAGCACCATCGGGGCCCAGGCCAATGCTTAACCTACATTCCACAGAGAACAATGCAACACATACTTAGATGATTACTGAGACACAGTTGGGCAGTTAAGTTTACCAGAAAAGAGTTGAGATACAAACCTTATTGTTAACAATAGCTTCTGAGTCATCAAAGACAAAGTCTCCATCATAGCTGCGTGCAAAACACACAATGGCAACCGATCCCACTACTAACTTAGCCCAGAATGGAGGAAGAACAGAAGATGGAAGAATGTGATCCAAATCAGTGTCCAACACGGCCATTCTGAAAACTGCAGGTTGGTGGCTCCCGGCTCCAGCATTATGCTGGTTAGGAATCTGCAGGAAAAACAACACTGTATAAATATTCATCAACACTGGTAGGACCGTTTCTGCAGTGGGCACCGTGAGTAAGAGCTAGATAGTCATTTATGCTATGATTTTATAGGATGTGATCAGTAACAATTTGAAGCTGTGCTTCCCAAACTTTAGTGGGCAGAAAAGTCACATGGGACACATGCAGATTCCTGGGTCCGACCACAGGATCTATCAAATCAGATGCCCTTTGGTTTCTGATGCCAGAATATCGTTTAGAAATACGAATGTAATGGTATCCTCATCAACCCCACAAGGCAAATCATTTTTAATCGTCCTTGAACCAGTTTACAAAGCTTAAAAAAAAAGTTACCATCCTACCTCATCCAATCCAGAAAAATTAATAAATAGTCATTGTTGGGTTTTAGCACACTGTGTGTGTGGCAGGGGAGAGGGTCGTGTGTAAAACACAACCCTGCTTCTGAAAGAGCTTATGGTCTATTTGTAGCATTCAGGCACACAGGCCAGGGAGCTGAGACTCTGACACAGAGACAGGGGAGTCGAACAGAGAAATCCTAAGGCGGGGCACAGGATCGAATGCTGGGTTCCTAGGCTACTGGCTCAACACAGAGGACAGATAGAGGAAATGACTGGTGGGGACAATATCTTGTCCCAGAAAAGGCTGAGCCATACAAAGGAAAGGAAGGGAGGCTATTCTGTGTGAGGATATGACCTTCAATCCTGGTGAAAGAGTCAAGATAAAAATATATCCTATTTTGAACTTTTCTTTCAAATGGGCATAATGTTTCTCGCCGGGGATGCCTGTGCCTCATCCTTGCCATGTGTTAGTTGTGCGGTCCTGTGCACAACCCCTTTCCTCTCTGAGCCCACCCCCTGCGGCCCTCTGCAAAGCATCTTAACGCCCAGTGGTCAGCGGTGCCTAACAGCTTCCCGCCTTGGAATTCGCCAAAACAAATCTCAACCTACCCCCAAACTCGCACTTTTTTATCTGTCCCCATTCCCACCACATCCTGGACAGGTGCTTTCTTTGGATTTACCAGGATCAGGTTTGGGTAAGACTGCTCGGTTCTGACCTGGGGTACCTCTGGCAACTTACTTGACCTCTCTGGGCCTGTTTCCTCAACACTAAAATGGGGATGGTAAGAGTGCCTACCTTCTAGAGTTGTCATGAGGGTTAAATAGGATTCCCAGCACTGCCTGGCTGTAATGAAGGCTCAGGGGAGGCCGGCTACTATTACTAATACTTTCTTCCAGAAGGCTGAAAGCAGAGGCACAGAATGATTTTCTGTGGGAAATCCCTTTTAGTAGCTGGTTGATTGGTACCGAGGCTCCTGTCTTTACTAAGGGACCTGGACCCTGTTCTTTTCCTGCTGAGATGAAAGAGAATTCCAGCCCCCTGATTGGGAAGGCAGTTTGGATGTATTTGTTTCTGGATCTCTAAGTGGATACCCCAGATTATGGAATCAATAAGAAGCCAGCCAAATAGGCCACCTGAAGTCACAGGCATCTTTCTATAGCCTTCTGTCTGAGTGAAGATGGAGACAGATCCAACAGGCAACGGGACACACCATTCCATGGTGATGCTGTCCCCTTCCAGGGGCCAGAAGGAGGCTCAGATTTACAATCCAGAGATGAAACAGGCCGCAACTCTTCCACTGCTTGTCTCTCGAGCCTCACAGCCTGGCATACGGCATGCTCTCAGCAAGTGCTGGGGGAATACTGCAGCTACTTTTCTTTTCCAGTCAAAGGATAAACCACTTCTCGAATCTAAATTACAACTGCAAACACAACACAGGTTAGCACACAGACCCCAACCTCTATGCTTACATTTCAGCTAAAGAAATTACTCCTGCTACTTAAAAAACAACAAATCAAGGCTGGTTGCAATGGCTCACGCCTGTAATCCCAGCACTTTGGGAGGCCGAGGCCGGTGGATGGCTTGAGCCCAGAGGTTCGAGACCAGCCTGGGCAACAAGGTGAAACCCCGTGTCTACAAAAAAAAATACAAAAATTAGCTGAGTGTGGAGGCGTATGCCTGCAGTCCCAGCTACTCAGGAGACTGAGAGGTGCGAGTATTGCTTGAGCCCAGGAGTTCCAGGCTGCAGTGAGCTGAGATCACACCTCGGCTCTACAGCATGGGCAACAGAGTGAGACCCTGTCTCAAACAACAACAAAGCCCAACAAAGCCAAATACTGAATAGTTAGGAAGATACTATGATTTAACATGGGGAGAAATTTTAGAAAATTAAATGTGAAGGAAAACAAATAATTTATAGCAATTTTAAATGCACAATAGAGTCATGAGCTGACAAAAGGTCATGTAACCGGTTTTGACGTTATCTGTTTTATTGTTTCAATAGTGAATTTATTGGCTCATGCAATATATTTTTGGAGATGGCGTCTTGCTATGTTGCCCAGACTAGCTTCAACTTTTGGGCACAAGTAACCCTCCTGCCTCGGTCTCCCAAGTAGCTGGGACTATAGGAGTGTGCCACTGAGCCTGGATATTATCTGCTTCAGGCTCAAATATTTGAAAATTATTTCACAAACGTTTGTCAAGGTTCAAATGGCCTTCTAAGTAGAATACTAAATCAGGAAATACTTTGTGCTCCTAAATTAGCGACTGTACCTCAGATTGCTTAGAACATAAACGTGTTCTAAGCAATATGTTCTAAGCATAATCATGTTCCAAGCCACAGCCCCAGGATATATAAGGCAGACTGTGGACCACACCATCAACGAGATGCCCTGGTAGGAGGCCAGGTCCAGACTCTTGGGAAGTCAAGTGGATGGCTGACTCAGTGGATCTCAGATGATCTCCTCCTCTGCTCTTGCAGGGACAGCAGGAAACCTGGCCTACCTCCAACGCCCCTGCCCCTACATCATTTCCCAGTTCTGGCTGGCTCTCCCCTCCTTGCTGTGACTCCCCTGCTTCTCTATCTCAGGGGGCTCCTTCTCCTTTCTCCAAGGCCTCCCACTTCTTTGCTGCCACTGAAAATACTCACAAATGCTCTTTTCTTTGAAGGGATTTACTGTTAACGTACATAGTGGAACAGTTTGGAAAATGCCTTTCACTAGCAAACGCAAAAAAAAAAAAAAAAAAGCTACAATTTGTTAGAAAGCCAGGCAAAGTGATCAGTCTAGTCCAGTGGTTGAGACCAAAGGCTCTGGTGACGGACAAACCTGGACTTGCCGGCTGCACGACCTTGAACTGCTTAGTCTTTCTAAGAATCAATTTCCTCACTGGCACAACACAGTACCACCACCACTTTCTTCAGAAGGTGGTGGTAAGGATTAAAGGAGAAAATGTATGCAAACAACTAGTTCTCATTATTGTTAGATTTTGGAGAAATTAGCCGCTGCTTCCCAGTCCCTGACTGCCTGTCTCGGGCGCACCCATGTTGCCAGTGTTTATTCCTGCAGATGGGCTGAGCACTAGGGCCAGCAGTAGCCCATCGGGTGACCTGGTGCGACTGAGAAAGGCGGGCCCTTCTTTTGGGCAGACCCGGGGCACATGGCTTCCTTGGTCAGGTGTCTGGCACAAACTGTACAACCATGCACAGTGACCTTGTTCCCAACTCTCCTTCCTCCAACACTAAACGACTTCTGTTCCTCAATGACCTGAGCCAGGCCTGGCACTCAGTTAAAAGAAGCCCTGTCTGAGCAAGGTGGCAGAGACGGGGGACCACCCTCTCTACATCCCTTCCCCCCTTTTTTTGAACAGGGTTTCACTCTGCCACCCAGGCTGGAGTATAGTGGTATGATCATAGCTCACCACAGCTTCACCTTACTGGGCTCAAGGGACCCTTCCACCTCAGCCTCCCAAGTAGCTGGGACTATAGGCATATGCCACCATGCCTGGCTATTTTAAATATTTTTTTGTAGAGACAGGGTCTCACTATGTTGCCCAGGCTGGAATCAAACTCCTGGCTTCAAGCGATCCTCCTGCCTCAGCCTTCCAAAGCATGGGGATTACAGGTGTGAACCACCGTGCCCGGCCTCCACCATTTTTTACAGTCAGGACATGAAATAGGAAAGGATGCTCTGTTTTCTTCCAGATGGGCCCTAGGTTGAACTTTCTGGTCCCTCTTCTCCACATGATGTCCTGCCTGGGCTCCCTGGCTCCTCTGCCATAGCTGGATCGTTAGTTCACCTTATGAAGCAACAAAAAGAGAGACCCACTGTGGCCTCTGCTACAGGCCAAGCAGAGGGCACAACCCAGGAGGAATGAAGTCAGTGTTCTGCTCGCTACCTGACTCCTGCGACAGAATCAACTGGCCCCTCAACAGGGGCTGAATCTGGAACAAAGCAGACGTCCCTTTATCCTACAATTTCTCAAACTTCTCATATCGAGCCTCTGTTTTCAGGAGGTTAAAACAAATTAATCATCAGTGAGAAGGCCAAAAAGACCCCACACAGGGACCCCAGAAAAACAAATGTCATCCAGCTGTGAACCATGAGGGCCCAATGACAGCTGACACGGCAGCCTGGACTGCGGTAAACAGAATGGCGAGACCAAACCTAAATGTTTCCCCTTGGAAAAATTAGCAGCAGCCACCTACAGAAGAATATTCCCCTCCATGCATCCAGGGGCCTGCTGACCTCTGCCCAGCCTTTCTACCTCATCTGTAACATTCAATCACATAGCCAGCCATCCTATGCACGCTGAGAGGTGACAGCGCCTCTGGGAATCAGATTAGAGAACACAATCGTTTGTGACCCTGCATCCCTGGGCCTGGCAGTTTCCTGACTGATCAGACCCTGGGCCCCTCAAGGCAGGGGCGCGAGCCACCACCACCGCCCTCCTCCGTGCAGTGCTGAATACATGCTACTGAAGGCTAAGGTATCGTCCTGCTGTGACGGCCTTCCCATTTTATAATTCAGTAGCGCACGAGGGCCATGGCTGCCTATAGCAAGAATGTGTGTGGTTTGATATTCACAGTTCCACTGTCCCAGAAAGTTTCCAGTTTGCTAGCTTGTAGCCATTTCCCCTATCTAGGTGCACTGGCCGTGATTTTACCCCACTCCATCTGGGGCGCGCCCGGCGCAGACAGGACTGCAGAGAAAAGGGACAGGGAGGGGACCTAGTCAGTCCCTACTATAACTGTTTCTCAAGACATTCTCCCCATGCATTTATTTGCTCTCCCGGGGAAAGAGCGAAGTGTGGGATGACTCATAGTGGCTAGATCGTTCCTCTAACTCCTCCCTTCTTTTGTGTGTGGTTTAAAAAAAAGAAAAACACACACGCAGCCCATAGCCACAACATCAACAAGACCAGAAGCCCCGCAGAGTTCGCAGGAGGTGGGCAGTGGCTGCGCCACCTGCTCGGCTTCCCCAAACTCCGAGCCCACGCCGGGAAGCGGCGGCTCGGTGGCCCCGGGCGCCCGGGCCGGTGGCCCCGCGCTCGCGCCGCTCCGCTCCGCAGCCGAGCGTGGAGTAGCAGGCGCTCGCGGCGCGGCGGGGGAGCCGCCGCGGAACCCAGGGCAGGCGGCCAAGCGGCCCGGCTGTGTCCAGCCATCGCCTGCGCCGCGGCCAGCTGGCGGCCAGGCGCGGGGCCCCGCGGCCAGATGGCCGCTCCGGGGACGCGCCGCAGGCGCCGGGTGCGCCCGGGCCGAGGGAGCGCCGGCGCGGCTGTGCAGGCAGGGGCTGGGGGCGGCGACCTCTGCCCGGGCGGAGAAGCTCAGGGGCCCGAGCGCGGCGGGCGGGGCGCGCAGCCTCCACGCCGCGCCCTTTGTCCCATGTGCGGCTCACACAGGGGCCCGCGTCCCCCGTGACCCCGGCCCGGGCCGCAGCTCAGGTCCCGGAACCAACTCCTCCAGCAGCGCCGCTCTGGCCCGGGCCGCCGTGCGGGGCTCGGGACACGGCGGCAGCGGGGAACCCGCGCCCGCTCCGCGTCCAACTCCGCTCGCCCCGCGGCGCGCTCGGCCCTGCAGGGGCCGCCCCGCGCGTTACCTGCAAGGAGCCTGAGCCCCGGCCGCATCTCCCTCCCGGGTGCGGAAACTCTGGCGGCTCCAGGCACCCGCCCGGACCTGGCAGGGGGAGGGGCCGCCCGCCGCGCACCCGACCCCCCCCGCGCCGCGCCTCCCGCAGCTCCCCACGCGCGCGGGCGCCCCCCAGCACCAGTCTCGGCCCGCCCCCTCCGCCCGACCATTGGCTGCTGCTCCCGTCACTTTCAGGCCACAGCCAAGTCCCTCCTCAGCTCATTGGCGGACGCGCCGGTGACGTCAGGCCAGGGGGCGCTAGTCGGCGGCGAAGGAGGCGCAGGGACAGACGGACCCGGCGGGAGAGGAGGAAGCCGGGTTGTGGGCGCGGAGCTGAGGCGGAGGCGGGGCCGGGGCGGGAAGGGGCGGCCCCAGCTGGGTCGGGCGAGGCTGGCTGCGGGAAACCGAGTGAGCCCTCGCTTTTCCTCCGGGGTCCGCGCGCGGGACCCTATTTCTGGCCTGTCTCGCGCTTCGCCTGCGCGGTGGTCTCCACGCTGGGACTGCGGCGTCCTCGCAGAACAGCCAGAACTCCACTTCTTCCTGTCCGGGAGGAGTTGTTTAAAACATGCGTATCTCCACCTTCTGCTTCTTAGAACAGAACTGACTGAAGCCGTGTTCTTCCCGCCGAGACCATGCCGCCCCATCGACCCTGCTGCGGCCAGAGCCACCCAGGGCGGGCCCACTCACCGCAGGCTCGGGCCACTTGGTTCCAAACCTCCACTCCCATCCAGGGGCCCGGCACACCCACCACACTCCCACTCTCAGAGGTCTTTGCCGCCTGCTTCAGGAGAAAAGAGAAACTTCCACTTTCCACCGGCAAAACTGCACACCTGCTCCCTCCATCACCGAGCCCCCCCCCCCACCTTCTGTTTTTCCAGTATCGCAGAATCCGATCCGTTGCTCCCTCTGGACTGGAATCCGTATCCTCGGCATTTCATCATTCCAAGATTCTCTACTCCACGTACCCTTGCTGCCACCCTCTTCTACTTTCCATCGCTGAAGTTGGTGAAAGAGGCGCCTGCCCCCAGTTTTGTGGTCTCTCAACTCCACGTGTTCGTTTTCACACTCGGTGAAATTGCCTTTTTAATTGTCGCAAGTAGCATCCACATCACTAAAGTCAAAGGACACTCTCCTTTCTCGTGTTAACTGATCTGAGCAAAATTCCTTCTTTCTCCTTAAAACACGTCTTCCTGTGGCGGGGGTGCTCCACTTTCCTGTCTGTCCCCAGTCTTGGCGTGCTTGTCTACTCTGGGTGACCACCAAATAACAGAGTTTTCAAGGTCTCAGACCTTTCCTCTTACTCCACAATTTTTCCCTGAATGATTTAACCTGCTGTCAACATTTAAATCAATATATCCCAAATTTGCAACTCTAATCTTTGCTCCTCTGAGCTCCAAATCCGTTTATCTAGCTTCCTATTCAGCTACTCCTGGTAACAAGCACCTCAAATGGAACCCATCCAAAACTGAATGCGTCCTTTCCCTGCTTGCTTTCAACTCCCTGTCTCCCTGTGATAGTGAAGACACCACTATCCAGTGTTTCCCAAACTCTGCCTTCACCTCGGCATCTAACAAATCGCCAAGATTCTACTTCCTAAATAACTCTGAAGTCTGTCCACTTCCTACCATTTCCAGTATTACGTATCATAATGTGCTTACTGCACGTGCGTTTTCCCGGCCCACACTCAGTGATGTCTCGTTGGTAGACTGTAATGGGCCATGGTCGAAGTATTTACACCATGGAAATTAGCCAACATTATGAATCATGAATCAGGGATCGATTTGTTTTGCTGATTGTCTCTAGACTTCAGAAAGTGATGGGGAAGATGTTAATAATGTAGATTAAACTTAAAAATGTGTTTAGTGCTGAAACAAGATTGCAGTTTAATGAGTTTATACAAGGGTAAGAAGTAGTTTAACAGATCACATATCAGATTTAAGGACAATAAATTTGTTGGCAAAAAGTGGATCGGTATGTAATTTCACTAGTCACATCATGGTTGAGTTACAAGCATTGGATGGATTCAGATACAAGCCTTTGGCAAAAAAGAAGCAAAGCTTTCTGTGAGAATCAGTCAAGTAGATAGAACTGACAATAAAGAGTGTCTGCCTTTTACTTGTGTATTGTTTATTACACATCCTTTATATCAGAAACATTTATAACACACATATGGTTGTATATATAGGTGGAAATAAAAAGCAGATGAGATTTTAGTCAGTTTTTTTTTTTATACTTTTAAGTTCTAGGGTACATGTGCAGAACGTGCAGGTTTGTTACATAGGTATGTATGTGCCATGTTGGTTTGCTGCACCCATCAAGTTGTCATTTACATTAGGTATTTCTCCTAATGCTATCCCTCCCCCAGCACCCCACCCCCTGACAGGCCCCGGTGTGGGTGCGTGAGGTTCCCCACCCTGTGTCCATGTGTTCTCATTGTTCAAGTCCCACCTATGAGTGAGAACATGTGGTGTTTGGTTTTCTGTCCTTGTGATGCTTTGCTCAGAATGATGGTTTGCAGCTTCATCCATGTCCCTGCAAAGGACATGAACTCATCCTTTTTTATGGCTGCATAGTATTCCATGATGTATATGTGCCACAGTTTATTAATCCAGTCTATCGCTGATGGACATTTGGGTTGGTTCCAAGTCTTTGCTATTTTAAATAGTGCTGCAATAAACATACGTGTGCATGTGCCTTTATAGTAGTGTGAGTTATAATCCTTTGGGTATATACCCAGTAATGGGATCGCTGGGTCAAATGGTATTTCTAGTTCTGGATGCTTAAGGAATAGCCACACTGTCTTCCACAATGGTTGAACTAGTTTACACTCCCACCAACAGTATAAAAGCGTTCCTGTTTCTCCACATCCTCTCCAGCATCTGTTGTTTCCTTAATTTTTAATGATAGCCATTCTAACTGGCATGAGATGGTATCTTATTGTGGTTTTGATTTGCATTTCTCTGATGGCCAGTGATGATGAGCATTTTTTCATGTGTCTGTTGGCTGCATAAATGTCTTCTTTTGAGAAGTGTCTGTTCATATCCTTTGCCCACTTTTGGATGGGGTTGTTTTTTTCTTGTAAATTAAGTTCTTCGAAGATTCTGGATATTAGCCCTTTGCCAGATGGGTAGATTGCAAACATTTTCTCCCATTCTGTAGGTTGCCTGTTCACTCTGATGATAGGTTCTTTTGCTGTGCAGAAACTCTTTAGTTTAATTAGATCCCATTTGTCAATTTTGGCTTTTGTTGCCATTGCTTTTGGTGTTTTAGACATGAAGTCCTTGCCCATGCCTATGTCCTGAATGGTATTGCCTAGGTTTTCTTCCAGGGTTTTTATGGTTTTAGGTCTAACATTTAAGTCTTTAATCCATCTTGAGTTACTTTTTGTATAAGGTGTAAGGAAGGGATCCAGTTTCAGCTTTCTACATATGGCTAGCCAGTTTTCCCAGCACCATTTATTAAATAGGGAATCCTTTCCACATTGCTTGTTTTTGTCAGGTTTATCAAAGAGATGGAGACTTGCTGTGTTGCCCAGGCTGGAGTGCAATGGTGCAATCTCAGCTCACTGCAACCTCCACCTCCCAGGTTCAAGTGATTCTCCTGCCTCAGCCTCCCGAGTAGCTGGGATTACAGGCACCCACCACCATGCCCAGCTAATTTTTGTATTTTTAGTAGAGACGGGGTTTCACCAGGTTGGCCAGGCTGGTCTCGAACTCCTGACCTCAGGTGATCCACCCGCCTCGACGTCGTAAAATGGTGGGATTACAGGTGCGAGCCACCACGCCTGGCCTAGTCAGTTTTATTATTGTCAACTCTCTATAGACAATGCACACCTTATTTCCTGCCTTCAGGGTGGCTTGCCCCCACACGGCCCCTCTTGGTGGGCTCCTGCTTCCCAGTACTCTTAGATTGAAGGCCTCAATCTTTCATGATCTGCAATGCCACAGCATGATCAGGCTGCTTGCCTGCTGCTCCTGAGTCATCTCATGCCTCTCTCTCCTGCATTCCCTAGGCCCCAGCCATGTTGGCCTTCTTGCATCCTCTGGTGTGTTCTGAGCTCATTTGCATCCTGGGCTGTGCAGGTGCACCTGCAGCGCTCCCTCCTATCCTCCTCCATCACACCTGGCTACCTCCAATTTAGAGGTCTCCAACTCTCCAGGGCCGCGGATGGGTACCTGTCTATGGCTTGTTAGGAACCCGGGCAGCACAGCAGGAAGTGAGCCTGCCAAGCGAGCAGTACCATCTGAGCTCCACCTCCTGTCAGATCAGCAACGGCATTAGATTTTCGTAGCAGTGGGAACCCTACTGTGAACTGTGCATGCGAGGGATCTAGGTTGCAAGCTCCTTATGAGAAAGAATCTAACTAATGCCTGATGATCTGAGGTGGAAGTTTCATCCCGAAACCATTGCCCCAACTCCATCCATGGAAAAATTGTCTTCCACGAAACTGGTCCCTGGTGCCAAAAAGGTTGGGGAGCAACCTTTTGCTGCCCTAATTAATTCTTCAGGTCACTACTCAAGTGTCATCTCCTCTGAAAACCCTTCCCTGAATTATCTCCCCAAACACATGTAGGTCCATCTGTATATACTCTCATAGCTTTTATTAAAACTGTAATTAACTGACAGTGTGGCCATTTGTGTAAAGTCTATCTCCAACTATCTCACTAGACTGTAAGTGCCATGAAGGCAAGACCCATGTCTGTGTAGTTAACTCCTGCACCCCTGCAGCTACTGTGCCTACCACACAGCAGGCATTTAACAAGGTATCTCCCAGAGAAGCACAACTCTTAAAGTCGCGTTACATGTTATTGGCAATACTGGAGTTAGAATCAGAGTCTCCTGACTTTATCCAATGTTCTTTTGTTCTGTAAATTGCAAAGCCAGCCATGACCAAAATGATATAACACTATGTGCCAAGCACAGGGGCAGGCTCTGTGGAGAAGGTAAAGGTAAGCATGACACTGATTCCACCTCTTACAATCTTATGGTTTCGTGAGAAGGATAAGACGCAGAGAAAATTTCCCTGTTCCTGTTCCCCTACACTGACCACAACCCCTTGCTCCGATCATGCCTTCTGCATGTGACAGCAACCCCCAGCCCCTTGGACAGGAGCTCTGGGGTTGCTGTCACACATGGAAGGCATGATGGTGGTGGACCACTCAATGTGCTCCAGGCACTATGCTTGTGTTATTTAATTCTCATAAAAGTTCTGGCCAGGCACAGTGGCTCAAGCCTGTAATCCCAGCACTTTGGGAGGCCGAGGTGGGCAGATCACTTGAGATCAGGAGTTTAAGACCAGCCTGGCCAACATGGTGAAACCCCATCTCTACTAAAAATACAAAAAAAAAAAAAAAATTAGCTGGGTGTGGTGGCGGGCACCTGTTATCCCAACTACTTGGGAGGCTGAGGCAGGAGAATCGCTCAAACCTGGGAGGCAGAAGTTGAAGTTAGCCAAGATCACACCACTGCACCCCAGCCTAGGTGACACAGCAAGACTCTGTCTCAAAAAACCCAAAACCAAAACAAAACATAACTTCTGCCAAGTGCATATCATTATCCTCATCCTACAGATGAGGAAGGAAGCACAGAGATCCGGGGTTAAGCAGTCAGTACTTTACTCAATGAAGCCAAGATTGGGCACAAAACCAAGGGATGTAGTCAGAGAGTTAAAGAACCCCCACCTGCCTAATAAGATTATGTTGGACTGGAAAGAACTGGAACAAATAAGAGAGTACATATTGTCTTGTCTCCCCATACCTTCTCCCTTGTGAAGAGCAGATGTCAAAAGTTGTTGTTGGGAGATGAGCCATTTGAGACTTTGGGGATAACTAATTTCAGTTAGTTTGGTTGTAGATTTGGAGGTGGTTGAAATGTTTTGGTGTCTAGGAAGTCTTTGGGCTCTGAAATGTGCACACAGGTGCACTGTAATTTTCATGAATAGAGCCCTCTGGAGTTGGGCAGGGCACAGCTCTCCCAGGTGTACACAGCTTCCCTGGACTTGGAGGACTCCTTTCATGAGATCCCCTCAGCCCTAGGAGAATGTAAGGGGACTCTCAAGTTTCCTTCTTGCTTGCCACCCCTGTTCACCAGATAGAAATTCCATCAAGAAACAGCATGTACAGTGACAGCAGCAACAACCCTCACCGTATACTAGCAGGGACTAAAATGTGGTTGCTGGGCAAGGAACACCTCAACACTTGTCCTTAAAAAATGTACAACCTAGAGAGAAAGAGACAACACATAAACAACCTTAATGACATAAGGCTAAATGATAAATACTGTAAATGGAGCACTAGAGAAAAATGCTCAGATGACAGAGTGGTCATTTTCTACAGGAGTGACATAAGAAGGTATAAAATTTGAGCAAAGTCTCGAGGTATGATGTGCCATCAGAGTAGTTCAACTGCTATTATGAACAATGCTAACTCTCAGTGACTTAGCCTGATCAAGTTTTCTTTCTCATGTCCTAGCCATGCACAGTCTGCTCCATACAGTCATTCTGGGACCCAGACTCCACCCATGTTGTGGCTCCAGGCTTTCATCTTTAACTGGCTTCACAGTTGCTTGGCATTATTCCTTGGGAGGAGGGGAGAAAGGAGTGAATAGATTGAAAAGACACATGTGCTATTAACTGCCTTGGCCTGGAAGTTACACACATTGCTTCCATTCTCTTTCTATTGAAGAAAAGCAGTCATGCTGTCTAGATGCAAGAGGGCTGGGCAATGTAATTTAAGTATAGGCCCAGAAAGAGAAAATCAGTTTGGTTTCACTTGTGTATGATTTTAATAGGAGAGGATTGGTGAGGAACAGCATTCCAGCCACGAATAGGCGTCAGATTTTGGAAAGCTATGGCCATATTTATAGAAATCCAGACCGCCTAGACATGGAATCTATGTGGAGGAATCAGGCTGGAAAGGGTTGAACTTTCCAGATTGAAGAAGGTATGCAATGTCATGATAAGAAACTTGGGCTTTTTTCTATAAGCAGTAGGAAATCTCTGAAGTTTCTCATGAGAGAATGAATTAACCAAGCCATGTTAAAGGAGATTAATCAGCAGAGATTGTACACAGTGAGATGCGATAAGGCTAGGGCTGGAGCAACCCTGTTTTTCTCCAGCAGCGGGGGGTTTGCTGGAAGAAACAAGGATGAATTAGATGTTTAGAGAGACATGGTGCCCAGAGACCATGCAGCGCTGGAGGCCAAGAGAGGTGCCTTAGGTCCAAAGTCTCTCATTTGTGAGGCCTCCTAGATCTTCTTGCCCCATAATTCTGGGAGATGCTTTTGTTTCCTTCCAGTATATTCCATCTTTTTTTCTTAAGATATCTTGAGTAGCTTTTCTTCCTTTTAGATGAAGGAACCTTGATTAAGATGAAGGTCGTTGGAAAGAAGATTTGAAAATTTATCTGTGTCAGACAAGGAACCAAACCTTGAACAAGGTGAATGTAACCTCCATCCACCATCCCTTGCCCTGTCTGCTTTCAATCTTAGCTGTCTGAGCAGAATTAGAGAGAACGAGTTGTCCACATGAGCCAGGCATGAGAATGGACACTTTGGTCTCTGCCATGACTTGTGGGTCATGGGGTTGATAGCCCAGGAGAGCAGGGAGGATCCCAAGGCCTAGAAGGTCATGTAGAGGGAAAATGTGCACATGAAGTAAAAGATTCTAAGAGCTTGATTGTAAGAGCCCCTCCCTGGGTCTTGTTCTCTTCTAAATGCAGCTTCCTCACTTTAAATTGCTATTTTAAATAAATGAGAAAATAATAATAAAATTTATTCTGCACTTATAACTTAGCATGTGCCAGGCATATGATACACACTTTCATTATGTGTATGAACCTGATTATGTTATAGGAACCTAATAATCCCTTGAAGTTTGCTGTAATGACCCTTTTTATTTTTTTGAGATGGAGTCTCCCTCTGTTGCCCAGTCTGGAGTGCAGTGGCGCGATCTCGGCTCACTGCAAGCTCCGCCTCCTGGGTTCACGCCATTCTCCTGCCTCAGCCTCCAGAGTAGCTGGGACTACAGGTGCGTGCCACCACGCCTGGCTATTTTTTTGTATTTTTAGTAGAGACAGGGTTTCACCATGTTAGCCAGGATGGTCTTGATCTCCTGACCTTGTGATCTGCCTGCCTTGGCCTCCCAAAGTGCTGGGATTACAGGCATGAGCCACCGTGCCCAGCCTATCATGACCCATTTCACACCTAGGGAAGTTGAATCTTGGTAATATTAAGTAACTTGCTCCAGGTCACGTAGAGAGCAAGAGTCAGAGCTGGGATGTGCACTAGGCAAACTGACACCAGATCCCATTGTAAAATCGGCACACAAAATTTCCTCCCATTTGATTACTGTTTCTTCAAATTTTTGCTTTTCTCCTCCAAATTGATAAATCTTCCCAATATGCTCCCTTTTCCTTGGATTGGGCTGAGTGAACATTGACAGATCTTGCTCTTTAGCTCAAATTCTATGGTCTTTGTGCAGACCACCACCCTCCTGCCTACATTTTTAGAGACAGGCTTTATTTCCATAATTATTATTTTCCCCACTAATCACATTTATATCTTTGTAGCTCTCATGGAATTTGGAGGGTGCTGTAATGCCTTGTGATTATTTGAGAATTTTCTCTTGTTCTTTTTTTTTTTTTTTTTTTTTTGGTCATATGTCTTTCTACCTTTGCCTGGGATGTCCCCCACACCTGGATACTTCCCACCCACCTTCAGGACTTAGTGCAAGAAGAACTTTCTTTGTAAACCAGCCTTGCTTAAATCCTCAGGTAGAATTAGTCATACCCTCCCTTGGGTCCTCAGTGGGTCCCATAAAGCTACTGAGTCTTTCCAATCTGTTAATTGCTCTTGCAAAGATTCCTTTATAAGTGTAGTGTTTTCTCATCTGATTCCTTTTCTAGTACTGAGTACAGCACTGAACACAGTAGAAACTCAAAAAAAGAAGGGGGGTTGTTGAATTTAATTCAGTTCCCAAATTCAATAGGATGACAAAATATGTAAGGAACACTCTAGTGCTCACAAGTATCTAAGGATACTTAGCCTGGAGGAGAAAAAATCAAGAAGAGTATAATATCAAATATCCTAAGGGCTGTCAGATTCTGTGCTGCTCTCGAAAGCATAATTCAAACTAGTGGGTAGAAGTTGGAAGGAGATTTTGCCTTAGTTTGAGAAATAATTTTCTAAGTATAAATGTCTAGCAATAGAATAGCTTACCATAAAAACAACCATGAGTTCCCCAAACAAATCAGGAAGAACAAAACAAATAATCCCATCAAAAAGTGGGCTAAGGACATGAATCGACAGTTCTCAAAAGAAGATATACGAATGGCCAACAAACATATGAAAAAATGCTCAATATCACTAATGATTAGGGAAATGCAAATCAAAACCACAGTGCAACCACCTTACTCCTGCAAGAATGGCCATAATAAAAAAAATTAGATGTTGGTGTGGATGTGGTGAAAAGGGAACACTTTTACACTGTTGGCGGGAATGTAAACTAGTTCAACCACTATGGAAAACAGTGTGGAGATTCCTTAAAGAACTAAAAGTAGATCTACCATTTGATCCAGCCATCCCACTCCTGGGTATCTGTCCAGACAAAAGAAGTCATTATTTGAAAAAGATACTTGCACACGCATGTTTATAGCAGCAGAATTTGCAGTTGCAAAAATATGGAACCAGCCTTAATACCCATCCATCAAGGAGTAGATAAAGAAAAATGTGGTATATATATACCATGGAATACTACTCAGCCATAAAAAGCAACGAAATAATGGCATTCGGCTGGGCGTGGTGGCTCATGCCTGTAATCCCAGCACTTTGGGAGACCCAGGCGAGCGGATCACCTGAGGTCGGGAGTTTGAGATCAGCCTGAGCAACATGGTGAAACCCCATCTCTACTAAAAATACAAAATTAGTCGGGCATGGCTGTGTGTGCCTGTAATCCCAGATACTCAGGAGGCGGAGGCAGGAGAATCGCTTGAACCCGGGAGGCAGAGGTTGCAGTGAGCCAAGATCGCACCATTGCAACCCAGCCTGGGCAAAAAGAGCGAAACTCCATCTCAAAAAGAAAAAAAAGAAAAAAGAAAAAGAAATAATGGCATTCGCAGGAACCTGGATGGAATTGGAGACCATTATTCTAAGTGAAGTAACTCAGGAATGGAAAACCAAACATGATATGTTCTCACTCATAAGTGGGAGCTAAGCTATGAGGATACAAAGGCATAAGAATGATACAATGGGCTGGGCATGGTGGCTCGTGGCAGTAATCTCATCACTTTGGGAGGCCAAGGCAGGCAGATCACTTGAGGTCAGGAGTTTGAGACCAGCCTAACCAACATGGTGAAACCCCATCTCTGCCAAAAACACAAAAAATTAGCCGGGCATGGTGGTGGGTGCCTGTAATCCCAGCTACTTGGGAGGCTAAGGCTGGAGAATCACTTGAGCCCGGGAGGTGGAGGTTGCCGTGGGCCGAGATTGCACCACTGCACTCCAGCCTGGGTGACAGAGTGAAACTCTGTCTCAAATAAAATAAAATAAAATAAGAGGTACAATGGACTTTGTGGAATTCGGGGAAAGGCTGGGAGGGGGGCATGAGGGATAAAAGACTGCACTTTGGGTGTACACTACAGTGTACACTGCTCAGGTGATGGGTGCACCAAAATCTCAAAATCTCTGCTAAAGAAATTATTCATGTAACCAAACACCACCTGTTCCCCAAAAACCCATTGAAATAAAAAAAAAATGAATCACAAGTTCCCCATCAAGTAAAATCTTCAAGCACAGACTGACCAAGCCTACTGATGAATGCACTAAGGAAAGAATGCATTCCTCCATTCAGAGGGACATTGAACCAGACCGCCTCAGAAAGATGTCTGGTCTGTGAAGATTCTGGGTTGTCAAAGTATAATTTCAAAAAAGCTAAAAACATGACTAATCTGTATGTAGAATGAGGAAGCATCACGAACTTTATTTCACTTTCTAATGAGGGAACAGGTGGTAAAACCAATTCAAATGAGAATTAGAAGGATCAGAACTGTCTCCACCAGAAAACACATTCTGGTACGTCTGCTGAGTTTGAAGCAAAACTGGTTAACGCTCTACAGGATATTAAAATAATAACCTTTAGGGTTATCTTTTTCTCTAGACAAAAATTATTTACATCTCCACTGGGCAAGGTCTACAAATTAACATGTAACTTTACAGAGACTGTACCCTTACCTACTGTAATAAGTAGAAAAAACAAAGTCACAGTCCCCTAAAAATTTTAATAATACTTGGGTGAGCCTGTTAAACAATAGCCCAGGGTATTAGTTTCCTAGAGCTGTTACAACAAATTATAACTGACTGAGTAGCTTAAAACAACAGAAATTTATTCTCTCAAGAGGCTAGAAATCTGAAATCAAGGTGCAGGCAGGGTTGGATCCTTCTGGAGTTTCTGAGGGACAATCTGTCCCATGCCCTTCTCCCAGCTTCTGGTAGTTGCTGGCCATCTGATATGGTTTGGATCTGTGTCTCCGGCCAAATCTCATGTCGAATTGTAATCCCCAATGTTGGAAGAGGGGCCTTGTGGGAGGCGATTGGATCATGAGGGTGGATTTCCCCCTTGCTGTTCTCATAATAATGAGTGAGTTCTCATGAGACCTGATTGTCTATAATAGTGTGCAGCACCTCTCCCTTCGCTCTCTTCCTCCTGCCCCATCCATGTAGGATATGCCTGCTTCCCCTTCACCTTCTGCCATGATTGTAAGTTTCCTGAGGCCTCCCCAGCCATGTTTCCTATACAGCCTGTGGAACTGTGAGCCAATTAAACCTCTTTTCTTTGTAAATTACCCAGTCTCAGGTAATTCTTTATAGCAATGCGAGAACAGACTAACACACCATCCTTGGCATTCTTTGCCCTGTAGACATGTCACCCTCTACCTCTGTCATCACATGGTGTTCTTCAGGACACCAGTCATATTGGATTTAGGGCCCAACCTACTCCAGTATGACTTAGTCTTAACTAATTACATCTGCAAAACCATACTTCCAAATAAGGTCACATTCTGAGGTTCTGGGAGGAACATGAATTTTTTTTTTTTTTGAGGGAGTGATTATTCAACTCAGTATACTCTGTAAGACAGAGAAAGGGACATCCTACCTACTCTTTTGCCTTATTTCCAAGTTTTAAGTACTTTTCTTACCACGGGTAGTTGCTTACTTTCCCAGTCTCTCCACTGGCATCTCACACATGTCATTAGCCATTCAGCTGGAGCTAGCTCTATATTTAATGATGCCACACAAAGGAAAGATATCACATATGTTTCTAATAAAAAATGTAAGAAATGGATCAAATAAAAATGTTTGAATGTAATGATACAAAAGACTTAATTTCCAGGGCAGATGTCTAGCTGTTCAGTTACTATTTTGGGAAAAATCATTTTCATGAGCTGTTTTGGTGTGGGACATGTCCCTGGAATTATTAAGGCAGACTCAGGAGAGTCAGTTTTGGCATACATTAAGAACAGGGGAGGGAATTTTAAGTTATATAGGCAGCTCTCCACCTCCTCCCATTTTATGTTTAAATAAAAGCTTTTTCATAGGAAGTCCAGTTGGGCAGAATTCAGGTTTTTTTTGTTTGTTAGTTTTGTTTTGTTTTTTCAGAGAAGTTGCCAGCATTTATCAAGGTTAGCTTCTGCAGCAAGTCTCTGCAGAATTTTCTGGGGGAAGTGGGGTCCTTTCTTTTCTTTTTTTTTTTTTTTTTTCTGAGGCAGAGTCTTTCTCTATTGTCCAGGCTGGAGTGCAATGGTGTGATCTCGGCCCACTGCCACCTCTGCCTCCCAGGTTCTAGCAATTCTGCCTCTGCCTACTGAGTAGCTGGGATTACAGGCATGCACCACCATGCCCGGCTAATTTGTGTATTTTTAGTAGAGATGGGGTTTCACTATGTTGGCCAGGCTGGTCTTGGACTCCTGACCTCGTGATCTGCCTGCCTTTGCCTCCCAAAGTGCTGGGATTACAGGCGTGAGCCACCGCACCCAGCTGGGGTCCTTCTTAAAACTACGAATGTTAGGTGAGTAGGGATTCATTACACTGCTCCATTTCCCTACCACAGGGAAGATTCTATATTAATTTAATAGGAACTTTTTTGGCTAGACTTTCTTCCAAAAATCCTGGTTGGCAGAGATGATTACTAAATTAAGAGGGGGGTAAATTGGAGAGGAAGAAGATTGAGACTCATCTCCTACCTTTCACTGATGAGATATTACCTTATCAAGATCTTTCTGATGAATTAAGATGGCCCCAACCCAGATGAAGTCTGCTGATGGTAAAGGCCATTCAGAACCCAAATGGGAGAAAGGTTGATTTGGAATCTCTTCATTCATCCTTCCATCCATCCATCCATCCATCCATCCATCCATCCATCTTTCCATCCATCTGATGCAGGACAGGTGAGCCCCCAAACTGGGGCTTAGCTCAGGAAAGTTCTTGGCTTTGCCCAGAAAATAATTCAAGGGTGAGCTGGTGGTGTTAGCTAATCTTTTATTGAAGGGTACTGCTCCTTGCAGAGCAGGGCTAGCTCACAGGCAGTTTGCCCAGAGTCAGCAACATATGGATTCTTAGCAGCTGTGTTTATTCTCACTTATGCCCACTTTCAAGCACATGCAAATTTAGGGGCAGATTAATGCACATTGGGGTGGGTTATTTAGAATTTTTAAGGAAAGGGGGAGCAACTTCCAGGTTCTTGCCATGGAAAAAGATGATAACTTCTGGGTCATTGTCATGGCATTTGTAAGCTGTCATGGAGCTGGTGGGAGTATCTTATGCTAATGAGCAATGAGGGTAGGTAGGGATCACTTTCTTTGCCATCTGCTGGTTCCTGCCAGTTTCTTCATTTCACCCCATCTGGACCAGGTCTTGTTTTGGTCAGCAAGGTTGTGACCAGAAAGCAAGTCTTGCCAGTTATCCTACTGCATTCCCTACTCAGAGATTAGATACCCCTTCTTAATCTTAAGGGGGGTGCAGAAAGGTGGAGGTCCATCTTCTGTAGCTGCTTCTTGCTGAGTTTCTGGGCATAGGCCCTGCCCGGCATTGGAAGAGTAAAAATTTCTGGATACCTAATCTAAGGAACCCAATGGCAGAATGTTTTCATTCTCTGCATCAGAAAACAGGACAGGTTGGAAGCATTCTGCAAGCATCATCTTCAGGTGGAATTGTTGTAGTCTAGAAGACATAAGCTTAATTAAGAGAATAAACAAGCAAGGGGCAAAAATTAGTAATAATAAAATAGCTATCATAGGTCTCAGGAAAGGTAAAAACTAGGTGAGAATATTAAGTGTGGTGTATTATGGCACATACTCCTACTTGTCATGTTATTTATTTGTGCATTTGTGAAACAACAGCTTTAAGTCTTCTACAGGTTCATGAGTATAGGTCATGCAGTCCTCTTATGCCTGCAGGGACTCATAAGAAACAGGTTTAATCTTGGACAGGTGTGCCCAGCTACTGATTCTCTGAAGTTTAACAGCAATGGGGGTACTCAGTAATACCTGATAAAGGCCCTTTTATTTTGGTTATGCTTGATCCTTATATTAGTACCAGAAGTGGGGTGCTGCTGTAAAGATACATGAAAATGGGGAAGTGACTTTGGAGTTGGGTAACAGGCAGAGGTTGGAACAATTTGGAGGGCTCAGAAAAAGGCAGGAAGATGTGGGAAAGTTTGGAACTTCCCAGAGATTTGTTGAATGGCTTTGACCAAAATGCTGATAGTGACTGACATGGACAACGAAATTCAGGCTGAGGTCATCTCAGATGGAGATGAGGAACTTCTTGGGAACTGGAATAAAGTCACAGTTGTTATGTTTTAGCAAAGAGACTGGCGGCATTTTCTCCTTGGGCTAGAGCTCTGTGGAACTTTGAACTTGAGAGAATGATTTAGGGTATCTGGTGGAAGAAAATACTAAGCAGCAAAGTGTTTAAGAGGTGACTTGGGTGCTATTAAAGAGCGTTTGGTTTTATGTAGTCACAAAGATATGGTTTGGAATTGGAACATATGTTTAAAAGAAAAGCAGAGCATGAAAGTTTGGAAAATTTGCAGGCTGACAATGTAATAGAAAAGAAAAACTCTTTTTTATATTCCTTTACAAAATTACACTTTAAGTTCTGGGATACATGTGTAGAATGTGCATGTTTGTTACAGAGGTATACATGTGCCATAGTGCTTTGCTGCACCCATCAACCCATCATCTACATTAGGTATTTCTCCTAATGCTATCCCTTATTTTCTGAGAAAAAGTTCAAGCCAGCTGCAGAAATTTGCATATGTAACAAGAAGCCAAATGTTAATCACTAAGACAGTGGGAAAAATGTCCTCAGTGCATGTCAGAGACCTTCCTGGCAGCCCTCTCATCACAGACCCAGAGGCCTAGGAGGAAAAAATGGTTTCATGGGCCAGGCCTAGGGCCTTCCTGCTTTGTGCAGTCTCAGGTCTTGATGCCCTATGTCCCAGCCATGGCTAAAAGGGGCCAAGGTACAGCTCAGGCCATTGCTTCAAGGGTGCCAGCCCCAAGCCTTGATGGCTTACATGTGGTGTTGGGCCTGTGGGTACACAAAAGTCAAGAATAGAGGTTTGGGAACCTTCACCTAGATTTCAGAAGATGTATGGAAATGCCTGAATGTCCAAGCAGAAGTTTGCTGCAGGGTTGAGCCCTCATAGAGAACTGCTAGGGCAGTGTAGAAGGGAAATGTGGGGTGGGAGCCCCCATACAGAATCCCCACTGGGGGTACTGCCTAGTGAAGCTGTGAGAAGAGGGCCACCATCCTCTGGACCTCAGAATGGTATATCTGCTGACAGCTTGCACCATGCACCTGGAAAACACACAGACACTCAATGCCAGCCTGTGAAAACAGCTGGGAAGGCAGCTGCACTCTGTAAAGCCACAGGGGCAGAGCTGCCCAAGGCAATGGGAGCCCACCTCTTACATCAGTGTGACCTGGGTCAAAGTGAGACATGGAGTCAAAGGAGATTATTTCAGGGCTTTAAGATTTGACTGCCCTGCTGGATTTCAGACTTGCTTGGGGCCTGTAGCCCCTTCATTTTGGTCAATTTTTCCCATTTGAAAAGAGTTTATTTACCCAGTGCCTATACCTACACTGTATCTAGGAGATAACTAACTTGCTTTTGATTTTACAGACTCATGGGAGGAAGGGACTTGCCTTGTCTCACATGAGACTTTTGACTTGGACTTTTGGGTTAGTGCTGGAATGAGTTAAGACTTCAGGGGACTGTTGGGAGGACATGATTGTATTTTGAAATATGAGGACATGAGATCTGGGAGGGGCCAGGGGCAGAAGGATATGGTTTGGCTCTGTGTCCCCACCCAATTCTCACCTTGGGTTGTAATAATCCCCATGTGTCAAGGGTGGAACCAGGTAGAGAGAATTTAATCACGGGGGCAGTTTCCCCCATCATGACAGTTTCCCCCATGCTGTTGAGTGAGCTCTTACAAGCTCAAGTGGTTTTTATAAGGGGCTTCACCCTTTGTTTGACACTCATTCTCTCTCCTGCTGCCCTCTGAAAAGGCACATTCCACCATGACTGAAAGTTCCTGAGGCCTCCCCAGCCATGTGAAACTGTTAGTCAATGGGCATTTCTTCATAGCAGTGTGAGAATAAACTAGTACAATCCTTGAGGGATTAATTTTTTTGTGTCCTTATAAGACTAAGTCTTCTGGTTGAACAGAGAAGCTGTTCTTTTTTGTGGGTGGGGGAGAAGGGCAATACTTTATTTGGTAATTTTGAAAGGCCTTTTGAACCTGGCCTAAAATTTAAGAAAGGGCATAGTGAGGCATGTCTGATACTCTATTTTCAATCATGGCCAGAATTCATTTTTTAGGTTTGTTTTTTTCCCCCCTTTGGTTAAGGGACTTAAAGTCAAAAGACTTACAACCAATTAAATATTTCAGGTGAGATGTGAATGAAAGTGGGCACTCATTAGCCCTTGAAATTTTTTTAAGCAATATAAGAGTCAAAAACAAAAAGCCACAAATAAGGTTATATATCAAGAAAAACCTAGTACTATAGTTTGGCTGTGTCCCCACCCAAATTTCATCTTGAACTGCAGCTCCCATATTCCCCTCATGTCATGGGAAGGGCCAGGCAGAGATAAATGAATCATGGGGGTGGGTCTTTCCCATGCTGCTCTCATGATAGTGAATAAGTCTCATGAGATCTGATTTTTTTTTTTTTTTTTTTTTGAGATGGAGTCTTGCTCTGTCACCAGGCTGGAGTGTAGTGGCGCAATCTCAGGTCACTGCAACCTCCGCCTTCCAGGTTCAAGTGATTCTCCTGCCTCAGCCTCCTGAGTAGCTGGGACTACAGGTGCATGTCAATGCGCCCGGCTAATTTTTTGTATTTTTAGTAGAGTTGGGGTTTCACCATATTAGCCAGGATGGTCTCGATCTCCTGACCTGGTACTCCACCTGCCTTGGCCTCCCAAAGTGCTGGGATTACAGGCATGAGATCTGATGTTTTCAGAAAAGGAAAGTTCTCCTGCACATGCTCTCTTGCCTGCCACTGTGTAAGACATGACTTTGCTCCTCCTTTGCCTCCCACCATGATTGTGAAGGCTCTCCAGCCATGTGGAACTGTGAGTCCATTAAACCTCTTTCCTTTATAAATTACCCAGTCTTGGGTATGTCTTTATTAGCAGCATGAGAACAGACTAAGACACCAAGAGCATAGAATCAAACTATATTGGGGGAAAACACTGCTCCCCCAGACCTCTAAGTCACAACAATAGTCAGAAACAGAGGAGAAAAAGTCACAGGAGGTGATGGAAAAGCTAAAGGAAAGAGTTATTTCAGGCCTTCTAACAGGGAGAAAAAGCTGAAAGCAGCAAGACACAATAACAACCGAATGTTCAAGACACAAATTTGAAAAGCTATTAAAAGAAATCGATCACAGAATTGAAAAGCAATATTTCTGATAATTTGGCAAATTAACATTTTAAGGAAACCAGGTCCAACACATAGACCATTTTTCTAGAAAGTGTACCACAAACAATCTCCCTTTAATCACAGCCAGCTTAATCACACACAAAATTCCTGTTGCAAATTCCCTTTCACAATTATCCCTATTATCGCCCACAAAGACGATTCGATGACATGGCTGGACCCTCCAACCTGTCCCGTACCACCTACCTCCCAAACAACCAGTCACTTTATTTTAAAACAAGAATCTACCACACAAGATCTGTCTTCATATTAAATCATGTTTTTCCTCATCTCTCCCTGCAAAAAATATATCTTCCACCTATAACTTTCCTCACATCTCTCTTTTCTACTGACTGGTTTTCTCCTATTTTGATCCTTCCTTTTAGTAACTTCTGAATTAGACAAAAATTATTTTTTCCAACAAAAATTTTTTCACCATAAAAAATACACCTTCCCTGGCATATTCTATATAAATCTAGGAAGCAAGAAATCCTGAAATGCCTATTGGTATTTTATAGAGGAGAACCATTCAACAATTTTAAGATTTTAAGCCACACAAAGAACTCTCTACTCAGAGCCATTTTAACCATTCGAAAGCCTATGAATCCTCAGTGGTTTACCTAGGTAAAATTCTTAAATTCTAGAAGACATATATTTTTCAAACTAATAAGTTTAGACTAGTTTTATTTGTTTAGTTTATGAGCACTCTTCTATTTATAAGCCAATTGGATAGCACACTGGACACAACACACATCACACAAATGAGGTGACCTATACAAGACTGGATCTAAGTTATTTATAAAATTGGGACTTGTCTGCTGGCCAAATTTTGTTTGCCCCAGTAGACATGGAAGACAGGATAACGCAGGGAAGGGAATCCTGTAGCATCAAGTAAGGAATGGAAGGGGTGAACTGCATTGCTCAAGGGAGACCTCAGAGTCCCTGAGCTGCTGGAGAACTCACTCAGTGGAGACACCAAAGAAAAATGTTTGGGGCCGGGTATGGTGGCTCATGCCTGTAATCCCAGCACTTTGGGGGGCTGAGGCGGGCAAATCACCTGAGGTCAGGAGTTTGAGACCAGCCTGGCCAACGTGGTGAAACCCCATCTGTACTAAAAATACAAAAATTAGCTGGGCATGGTGGCGGGCACCTGTAATCCCAGCTACTCGGGAGGCTGAGGCAGGAGAATTGCTTGAACCCAGGAGGTGAAGGTTGCAAAGAGCTGAGATTGCGCCACTGTACTCCAGCCTGGGAGACAAGAGCGAAAGTCTGTCTCAAAAACCAAAAGAGGAGAAAAGCAAAATGTTTGGGAGGCCAGTCAGGGGATCTCATCCGGGGATCCCAGACACTGACCTCAGGACACTTTCTTGGCATAGGTAACCGTGAGGTGGCAGGGAGCTTAAAGCAGCCACAAATAATTGTGTTTTTTATTATTTTTGGTTGGTTTTTTCACTTCTTTTGCCCTGTCTTTACTGTTGTAAACTTTAAAGGCCGTATTTAAGAGTTGACTCATGGCCGGGTGCAGTCGCTCACGCCTGTAATCCCAGCACTTTGGGAAGTCGATGGTGGACAGATCACGAGGTCAGGCGATCAAGACCACTGTGGCCAACATGGTGAAACCCCATCTCTACTAAAAATACAAAAATTAGCTGGGCGTGGTAGCACACACCTGTAGTCCCAGCTACTTGGGAGGCTGAGGCAGAAGAATGCTTGAACCCGGGAGGCGGAGGTTGCAGTGAGCCGAGATCATGCCACTGCACTCTAGCCTGGCGACAGAGTGAGACTCCATCTCAAAAAAAAAAAAAAAAAAAGAGTTGGCTCATAGGGGTTCGAGGTCCCACTCCTGCATCTTGTAGTTTTCGCCTAATGTCAGGGGCAGATTGAGTAATAAAATGCATATCCAGAGCTTGCCCTGCTGGGGAGTCTGGGTCTGTATTCGTTTATTTCCTGAGTGCCTCAACCAAGCGACCCTGAAACAGAGCAGGACTTTCATCTTTTCCCTGAGTTACTTATCTAACCTTGTCATAATTGACTGGCTTAACCACACACCATTCCCTCTGCTTCTTCTCCACGGCACAGCAAGCGGATGATAACATTTCCAAGTCATGCCAAGTTAAAGGATGTGGTCAAATGAACAAACTCCTCTATCATCCTCCTTGAATTTTCTGAAAACTAGCCAAATTTCTCCTTGTATAAAGCCAAATTCGAGATAGAAAATGGCACATGTACTCTGAGTGTTTCCTCATTTCCTTTAGCTACTTCCCACAATGGACACAGTTTTGATTTCAGGGGCTGAGATAAGGCCCCACTCCTGGGGTACTGGTTGGACTTACTCTCTTGGGCAGCAGGGGACATAGGCTGGGGCTAGTCGGGTAAGGGAGAGGAGTGCCTGATGACCTTGGAGTGGAATCCTGTGTTAGAGAACAGGCGGGACTGACTCAGAATTGCCGGGCAGAGGAGGCTCTGAGGAGGGCGTAGGCCTCTAGGGGGAGCCGCTAGGAGCGGATCCCTTAGGCATGGCGTCCTGGTGCCTGCAACTAACATGAGCCAGGAAAGGGCCACAAAAGCCTGTACATAATAAGGGACCTCCTCCCATATTCCTTCTTTTTTTACAGAATCAGACCAATTGTAAAATAACGTTATAATGTATAGAACCATATTTAGGCCAAATATCTTGGTTTTCTAATTTGTATTGGACTCAAACGGTGCTGCAAAAGAAAATGAGTTTCTTTTGCTTTAAGCTGGATTTTAATTTGCTCTAATAGCCTAAAAGACACCCTAGTGGCTGGTCCTCTGAGATGCTCATCATTGTCCCATGTCTAACAAGAATTTCTACTAGACACAGAAATTTTTCTAAGTCTAGTGAGAGGGAAAGCAACTGGGCTCATTAGGGTTCCCTTTTAGATTCCCGGTTCCTGCAGAGAAAATGTAAGTATAGGCAGCAAGACATTACAAAGTGGATACAAAGTGGATTATAAGTGTTTGCCGGTGAACAAAATATGACAAAAGAAGTATATTTATTAATAAAAGTATAGAAGGAAAAGTGTAAATAAAGTGACAATAAGAAAAGAAAATGCTTTTATGGAAAATGATAACTTTAGGACAGAAAACAAGAAAGGTAGACCAAGATTCCCTTGGATGGGTCTCCAACTCACAATCCTAGAGGAAATGCCAACACGAAACACCCTAGAGAATCCTGGGGGTGGCCAACAATACCAAATGCTGAAAACCCAGAGTACCCAGGTATTAGCCAACGAGGGTCCCCACACCAAATGCCGAAAACCCTGGAACATCCAGAGGGGACCAATAGTGAACACCAAAGGCCTCACTGGGGTGACAGAACAATGTGACTCTGTCATCCCAGGGTCAACACAACAGGGGACCTCTTACAGCCAAGTGTCCTGCCTTAAACAATTGCTCAAGTATGGTTAACAGGGAGTGACAGCAAAAACTGCAAGTGAAACATACATTTCAGAGCAGAAACAAAGAAAATGGCCAGTGAAGCAAATTATAATGGCACGACAGGAGAAACGACCGAGAGAAGTTGCAACAAGCATTTAGTTGATCAGGCCTGCTCTAGGGGACTTTGAATCGACTATCTAGCCAGAAGCCTTATTTTCTGGCTCACCTGATATTGAGGCAGGTGGTAGAGGGGACACCCTTTCAGCAGAGCCAAAATGGAGCTGACCAGTCTCCAACATGGGACCTAGGTGAAGGTCTCTCCAGGTTTTCACAGTTGGGTGGGATCAGTTGATGCGAGGGGACCAGTGCTGCCACTTGTCAGGAAAGATAACGGCCCTTAAAAGAGTCTATGGTTAGTACTGTAGCTCTGCTGGTTTGATTGCTGTAGCGCTGATCAGCGTGTCTTGCCATCTCTTGCCAATCACTGTCTCTTGCTGTCTTACCAATCACTGATTGCTGCTTGCTGATCGCCACTAGCCACCTTTCTCTGACTGCCACCTCTTGGTGTCTTCTTGCCCTGCTGAGCACCACCTCTCACCATCTTTCTGGTTGACATCTTACCATCTCATCATCTCTCACTGTCTCTTGTCATCTCACCTCTCTGCCAATCACCATCATCTCTCACTGTCTCTTTTCATCTCGCCTCTCTGCCAATCACCACCATCTCTGCTGTCTCACTGCCTGTCCACTGATTGCCAATTGCCACCATCTTTGTCTCTTCATGATCACCAGATGATGCAGGGACAGGTGAGCCCCAAAATTGGGGCTTCGCCCAGGAAAGAATTCAAGGGTGAGCTGGCGGTGTTAAACAGCAATCTTTTATTGAATGGCACTGCTCCTTGCAGAGCAGGGTTAACTCGTAGGCGGTGATCACAGAGTCAGCAACATATGGACTCTGAGCAACTGTGTTTATACTCACTTATACCCACTTTCAATTACATGCAAAGTAAGGAGTGGGTTAATGCAAATTTGGGGAGTTATTTAGCACCTTTTAAGGGGTGGTAACTTCTGGGTTGTTATCATGGAAAGGGGCAGTAACTTCCGAGTAGTTGCCATGGCATTTGTGAACTGTCATGGTGCTGGTGGGAGTGTCTTATACTAATGAGCAATGAGGGCAGCTAGGGATCGCTTTTTTCACCATCTGCTAGTTGCTTTTTCCTTCACTTCATCCCATGTGGACCAGATTCTGTTTCGGTCAGCAGCGTTGTGACCAGAAATCAAGTCCCACCTCACATTTATCTATCTATGTGGGTGGAGGAGGTGTCTGGGCTGGTGAACCAGGCTCAGCACAAGCCATAGCTGTTTGTGGCCTTTCTAAATCCAGCTGTTCTGGCAGAGTATCACGCAGGGAAAGCAGCTGTGCAGATGGCTGCACTAAATGTGATATCGCCTCAAGGTCCTGCTAAGGGGCACTGCTGTGTCTGAGACCAGAAAGCGCTGGGCATCTACTGGGCATGGTGGCCTCTGAGCAATGGTGCTGGGTTCTGTCTGCACAGCTGAGCTTTTCCTCTGCCTGCTCCTTTGGGGCTGAGCAATTGAACTTGGAATTCTTGGCACTGAGATGGCAGGTATAATGAAGGTTTCAAGAGGCATATAATGAAATTTTTGATAAATAGCACAGGCAGGGGCTCAAACAAGAAATTAGAAAAATGATCTGACCTTGGTTGTTTCCCAGGCTGATAAAATGGCTCAACCGGTTATAATGTTCAGTAACATTTTCCTTTGCCTGTTTTTCTCTCACTATAAGTCACCCCCGAGGTAAGTGACTCTTCCTTTTTCTTTTCTTGATGTGACAACTCTGGCCTTCTGCCTAGAATGGTGCTGTTCTTATTTCTGCAAAACCATTTAAGAAAATTGGGTAGAGTCGGGGGGAGGAGCCAAGATGGCCGAATAGGAACAGCTCCGGTCTACAGCTCCCAGCGTGAGCGACGCAGAAGACGGGTGATTTCTGCATTTCCATCTGAGGTACTGGGTTCATCTTACTAGGGAGTGCCAGACAGTGGGCGCAGGCCAGTGTGTGCGCGCACCATGCGTGAGCCGAAGCAGGGCGAGGCATTGCCTCACCTGGGAAGCGCAAGGGGTCAGGGAGTTCCCTTTCCGAGTCAAAGAAAGGGGTGACGGACGCACCTGGAAAATCGGGTCACTCCCACCCAAATATTGCGCTTTTCAGACCGGCTTAAAAAACGGCGCACCACGAGACTATATCCCACACCTGGCTCGGAGGGTCCTACGCCCACTGACTGTGCTAGCAATCTCGCTGATTGCTAGCACAGCAGTCTAAGATCAAACTGCAAGGCAGCAGCGAGGCTGGGGGAGGGGCGCCCGCCATTGCCCAGGCGTGCTTAGGTAAACAAAGCAGCCGGGAAGCTCAAACTGGGTGGAGCCCACCACAGCTCAAGGAGGCCTGCCTGCCTCTGTAGGCTCCACCTCTGGGGGCAGGGCACAGACAAACCAAAAGACAGCAGTAACCTCTGCAGACTTAAGTGTCCCTGTCTGACAGCTTTGAAGAGAGCAGTGGTTCTCCCAGAACGCAGCTGGAGATCTGAGAATGGGCAGACTGCCTCCTCAAGTGGGTCCCTGACCCCTGACCCCCGAGCAGCCTAACTGGGAGGCACCCCCCAGCAGGGGCACACTGACACCTCACACGGCAGGGTATTCCAACAGACCTGCAGCTGAGGGTCCTGTCTGTTAGAAGGAAAACTAACAAACAGAAAGGACATCCACACCAAAAACCCATCTGTACATCACCATCATCAAAGACCAAAAGTAGATAAAACCACAAAGATGGGGAAAAAACAGAACAGAAAAACTGGAAACTCTAAAACGCAGAGCGCCTCTCCTCCTCCAAAGGAACACAGTTCCTCACCAGCAACGGAACAAAGCTGGATGGAGAATGATTTTGACGAGCTGAGAGAGGAAGGCTTCAGACGATCAAATTACTCTGAGCTACGGGAGGACATTCAAACCAAAGGCAAAGAAGTTGAAAACTTTGAAAAAAATTTAGAAGAATGTATAACTAGAATAACCAATACAGAGAAGTGCTTAAAGGAGCTGATGGAGCTGAAAACCAAGGCTCGAGAACTACGTGAAGAATGCAGAAGCCTCAGGAGCCGATGCGATCAACTGGAAGAAAGGGTATCAGCAATGGAGGATGAAATGAATGAAATGAAGTGAGAAGGGAAGTTTAGAGAAAAAATAATAAAAAGAAATGAGCAAAGCCTCCAAGAAATATGGGACTATGTGAAAAGACCAAATCTACGTCTGATTGGTGTACCTGAAAGTGATGGGGAGAATGGAACCAAGTTGGAAAACACTCTGCAGGATATTATCCAGGAGAACTTCCCCAATCTAGCAAGGCAGGCCAACGTTCAGATTCAGGAAATACAGAGAACGCCACAAAGATACTCCTCGAGAAGAGCAACTCCAAGACACATAATTGTCAGATTCACCAAAGTTGAAATGAAGGACAAAATGTTAAGGGCAGCCAGAGAGAAAGGTCGGATTACCCTCAAAGGGAAGCCCATCAGACTAACAGCGCATCTCTCGGCAGAAACCCTACAAGCCAGAAGAGAGTGGGGGCCAATATTCAACATTCTTAAAGAAAAGAATTTTCAACCCAGAATTTCATATCCAGCCAAACTAAGCTTCATAAGTGAAGGAGAAATAAAATACTTTACAGACAAGCAAATGCTGAGAGATTTTGTCACCACCAGGCCTGCCCTAAAAGAGCTCCTGAAGGAAGCGCTAAACATGGAAAGGAACAACCGGTACCAGCCGCTGCAAAATCATGCCAAAATGTAAAGACCATCGAGACTAGGAAGAAACTGCATCAACTAACGAGCAAAATCACCAGCTAACATCATAATGACAGGATCAAATTCACACATAACAATATTAACTTTAAATGTAAATGGACTAAATTCTCCAATTAAAAGACACAGACTGGCAAGTTGGATGAAGAGTCAAGACCCATCAGTGTGCTGTATTCAGGAAACCCATCTCACGTGCAGAGACACACATAGGCTCAAAATAAAAGGATGGATGAAGATCTCCCAAGCAAATGGAAAACAAAAAAAGGCAGGGGTTGCAATCCTAGTCTCTGATAAAACAGACTTTAAACCAATAAAGATCAAAAGAGACAAAGAAGGCCATTACATAATGGTAAAGGGATCAATTCAACAAGAGGAGCTAACTATCCTAAATATATATGCACCCAATACAGGAGCACCCAGATTCATAAAGCAAGTCCTGAGTGACCTACAAAGAGACTTAGACTCCCACACATTAATAATGGGAGACTTTAACACCCCACTGTCAACTTTAGACAGATCAACGAGACAGAAAGTCAACAAGGATACCCAGGAATTGAACTCAGCTCTGCACCAAGTGGGCCTAATAGACATCTACAGAACTCTCCACCCCAAATCAACAGAATACACATTTTTTTCAGCACCACACCACACCTATTCCAAAATTGACCACATAGTTGGAAGTAAAGCTCTCCTCAGCCAATGTAAAAGAACAGAAATTATAACAAACTATCTCTCAGACCACAGTGCAATCAAACTAGAACTCAGGATTAAGAATCTCACTCAAAGCCGCTCAACTACATGGAAACTGAACAACTTGCTCCTGAATGACTACTGGGTACATAACGAAATGAAGGCAGAAATAAAGATGTTCTTTGAAACCAACGAGAACAAAGACACAACACACCAGAATCTCTGGGACGCATTCAAAGCAGTGTGTAGAGGGAAATTTATAGCACTAAATGCCCACAAGAGAAAGCGGGAAAGATCCAAAATTGACACCCTAACATCACAATTAAAAGAACTAGAGAAGCAAGAGCAAACACATTCAAAAGCTAGCAGAAGGCAAGAAATAACTAAGATCAGAACAGAACTGAAGGAAATAGAGACACAAAAAACCCTTCAAAAGATCAATGAATCCAGGAGCTGGTTTTTTGAAAGGATCAACAAAATTGATAGACCGCTAGCAAGACTAATAAAGAAAAAAAGAGAGAAGAATCAAATAGACACAATAAAAAATGATAAAGGGGATATCACCACCGATCCCACAGAAATACAAACTACCATCAGAGAATACTACAAACACCTCTACGCAAATAAACTAGAAAATCTAGAAGAAATGGATAAATTCCTCGACACATACACTCTCCCAAGACTAAACCAGGAAGAAGTTGAATCTCTGAATAGACCAATAACAGGAGCTGAAATTGTGGCAATAATCAATAGTTTACCAACCAAAAAGAGTCCAGGACCAGATGGATTCACAGCCGAATTCTACCAGAGGTACAAGGAGGAACTGGTACCATTCCTTCTGAAACTATTCCAATCAATAGAAAAAGAGGGAATCCACCCTAACTCATTTTATGATGCCAGCATCATTCTGATACCAAAGCTGGGCAGAGACACAGCCAAAAAAGAGAATTTTAGACCAATATCCTTGATGAACATTGATGCAAAAATCCTCAATAAAATACTGGCAAACCGAATCCAGCAGCACATCAAAAAGCTTATCCACCATGATCAAGTGGGCTTCATCCCTGGGATGCAAGGCTGGTTCAATATACGCAAATCAATAAATATAATCCAGCATATAAACAGAGCCAAAGACAAAAACCACATGATTATCACAATAGATGCAGAAAAAGCCTTTGACAAAATTCAACAACCCTTCATGCTAAAAACTCTCAATAAATTAGGTATTGATGGGACGTATTTCAAAATAATAAGAGCTATCTATGACAAACCCACAGCCAATATCATACTGAATGGGCAAAAACTGGAAGCATTCCCTTTGAAAACTGGCACAAGACAGGGATGCCCTCTCTCACCACTCCTATTCAACATAGTGTTGGAAGTTCTGGCCAGGGCAATCAGGCAGGAGAAGGAAATAAAGGGTATTCAATTAGGAAAAGAGGAAGTCAAATTGTCCCTGTTTGCAGACGACATGATTGTTTATCTAGAAAACCCCATCATCTCAGCCCCAAATCTCCTTAAGCTGATAAGCAACTTCAGCAAAGTCTCAGGATACAAAATCAATGTACAAAAATCACAAGCATTCCTATACACCAACAACAGACAAACAGAGAGCCAAATCATGAGTGAACTCCCATTCACAATTGCTTCAAAGAGAATAAAATACCTAGGAATCCAACTTACGAGGGATGTGAAGGACCTCTTCAAGGAGAACTACAAACCACTGCTCAAGGAAATAAAAGAGGATACAAACAAATGGAAGAACATTCCATGCTCATGGGTAGGAAGAATCAATATCGTGAAAATGGCCATACTGCCCAAGGTAATTTATAGATTCAATGCCATCCCCATCAAGCTACCAATGACTTTCTTCACAGAATTGGAAAAAACTACTTTAAAGTTCATATGGAACCAAAAAAGAGCCCGCATCGCCAAGTCAATCCTAAGCCAAAAGAACAAAGCTGGAGGCATCACACTACCTGACTTCAAACTATACTACAAGGCTACAGTAACCAAAACAGCATGGTACTGGTACCAAAACAGAGATATAGATCAATGGAACAGAACAGAGCCCTCAGAAATAACGCCGCATACCTACAACTATCTGATCTTTGACAAATCTGAGAAAAACAAGCAATGGGGAAAGGATTCCCTATTTAATAAATGGTGCTGGGAAAACTGGCTAGCCATATGTAGAAAGCTGAAACTGGATCCCTTCCTTACACCTTATACAAAAATCAATTCAAGATGGATTAAAGATTTAAACGTTAGACCTAAAACCATAAAAACCCTAGAAGGAAACCTAGGCATTACCATTCAGGACATAGGCATGGGCAAGGACTTCATGTCCAAAACACCAAAAGCAATGGCAACCAAAGCCAAAATTGATAAATGGGATCTAATTAAACTAAAGAGCTTCTGCACAGCAAAAGAAACTACCATCAGAGTGAACAGGCAACCTACAACATGGGAGAAAATTTTCACAACCTACTCATCTGACAAAGGGCTAATATCCAGAATCTACAATGAACTCAAAAAAATTTACAAGAAAAAAACAAACAACCCCATCAAAAATTGGGCAAGGGACATGAACAGACACTTCTCAAAAGAAGACATTTATGCAGCCAAAAAACACATGAAAAAATGCTCATCATCACTGGCCATCAGAGAAATGAAAATCAAAACCACCATGAGATATCATCTCACACCAGTTAGAATGGCAATCATTAAAAAGTCAGGAAACAACAGGTGCTGGAGAGGATGTGGAGAAATAGGAACACTTTTACACTGTTGGTGGGACTGTAAACTAGTTCAACCATTGTGGAAGTCAGTGTGGCGATTCCTCAGGGATCTAGAACTAGAAATACCATTTGACCCAGCCATCCCATTACTGGGTATATACCCAAATGACTATAAATCATGCTGCTATAAAGACACATGCACACGTATGTTTATTGCGGCATTATTCACAATAGCAAAGACTTGGAACCAACCTAAATGTCCAACAATGATAGACTGGATTAAGAAAATGTGGCACATATACACCATGGAATACTATGCAGCCATAAAAAATGATGAGTTCATGTCCTTTGTAGGGACATGGATGAAATTGGAAACCATCATTCTCAGTAAACTATCGCAAGAACAAAAAACCAAACACCGCATATTCTCACTCATAGGTGGGAATTGAACAACGAGATCACATGGACACAGGAAGGGGAATATCACACTCTGGGGACTGTGGTGGGGAGGGGGGAGTGGGGAGGGATAGCATTGGGAGATATACCTAATGCTAGATGACGAGTTAGTGGGTGCAGCGCACCAGCATGGCACATGTATACATATGTAACTAACCTGCACAATGTGCACATGTACCCTAAAACTTAAAGTATAATTAAAAAATAATAATAATAATAGTAATAATAATAATAATAATAATAATAAAGAAAATTGGGTAGAATGACCTCATTCAGAAGAGAAGAGGCCACAATTTCTGTTTTGTTTGGTTTGTTTTGTTTTTGACAATTGCCAAAGTACACTTTGTATTATTTTTATGGTCTTCATTTTATAAAATACAGAGATATTTTCATCTTTTCTGAGTAGTTGATATACAAAAAGCCTAGGTTTAACCTCAAGTTGTTGCAAATACTGTTATTGTTTTCATAGCTATGTTTAAACTTAGTTTTATGTTTGAAAATGCTACCTATTGGAAAAAATAAAGCAGAAAATAAAGAAAGAAAACACTAGAAATTCTACTTCACACTGATGACTACGTTGGTGCATTCAGGCACATTAAGTATATGTGCACAGTTTTCTCTAAAAGTATACTATACATGTTCTGTAATCAGCATCATTACTCAATCTGTCATGGACATCTTTTCATTTTGATAAATCTAAATCTAAAAATCACTTATGATGTTTGGAGACTATCACATTGTCTGTAACATAATTTACTTAATTAGCTCTCTATCAAGGGGCATTAGGTTCCTTCTGATTTTTCATCATTATAAACAGTGCTGAACATTTTTATGCTTATATTTTCCAGTTTTTAAAATTATCATCTTAAGGTAAATTGATGATGTAGGATTGCTAAGAATATGCAAACATTTTATAAAACATTTCTAGAAAGGTTATACCCATTTATATTTCCTTCAATAGTACATAAAATCTCATTTCTCAATGTTTTGCCCAAACAGGTTTTATCACCATATATGATTTTTCTAATAGGCAAGAAAAGCTTAATTTTGTTTTCAAAAATATTTCAAATAAAACATTGAAAATTTTTTAATTCGTATGTCATCTGTAGCAGCCTGATATCCAGTTCCACTCCCTAGGATCCCCTATTTTATATACTTCTACTTATATTATTTATAATGACTTTCTGTAAGTTAAGAAAATACCATTTTATTTATATTTATTTATCAATGTTAGAGAACAGATTGACTTCCACTGAATTATCAGGGATACATGTTCTTACAGCCATCTTCTTCTGCATCTAATGTTTTTATTTTATCCCACATTAATCCAGAAGAGAAAGTCAATATTTGGATTGAAAAAATCCTCTATGCAAAGCTTCTATAAACAATGTATATTCCTGAAGAAGGCTGGAGAGGCTTATTTTGAAACAAAGCAAACAATTTTAATAGTCACAGAAGACATTCTCATTTTTAAAAGCTCCATCAGCTGCCTGCTGTTAAAGATGGCAAACAAATTCTTTGTCATTATCCTCATTAGAAGACACAGTTTATTTCCTCTTCTTTTGAGTCTGGCCTGGCCTCACACTGCTTAGCCAATAGAATGTAGTACAATTGATCGATATCAGTTTATTTGAGGATTGGTGGCTTCTGCTTCCTCTCTCTCAGAATGCTGTCCTGGGGGTGCTCCCTCTTGAAATCCAGCCACCAAGACTGAGGCACTCAAGACAACACATATCCACTTGAGCTCCCAGCCAACTGCCAGCATCCACCGCCAACCCTGTGAGTGAGCCTTCTTGGACATTCTAGTCTAGCTGAGTACCCAGATGTCACAACTCCAGCTGCTTATGATAATATGGGGAATAGGAAATGTAGCCAATGAATTTGTGGATTTGGCTAAGGAGATTTCAGTTGAGCTCCTAGATGTCTTCAGACCTAGCTCACATCCTGTGGGGCAAAAGAAACACCCAGGTAACTCCAGATTTAGGGTGGATTGTCTTACAGACAATAGTACATAACTGAAGTAGCTGTTCCACCACTGAGTTTAACCTTCATCTGTCCCTGCATCTCCCACTTTTGCTAGGTCCCCACCCATCCTCTCCGCATCTCCACCCCTGCTCCTGCCAACACGATCACTTCTCTTCAAGAGTCAAACTAGCCAAATTTCTCCTCTTTCCTCACTTAAAATGTCTTTCCCCACCCTGAGGACTTTATGCCTGCTGACCCAGGTTCTCAGTGGGCAGAAACTTAGGAAGGCATCCTGCCAAACAAAGTCTCTTCTTTAAGAGAATTGCGATGAGTGACATTTTCTCTACCCATGAACCACACGTGAGCTGCACTCACCACTTCTCCTACATCCGGAGCGAAAACAACCTCCCTTCCTTCTTTTCTTTCCTCTCCCCTTCTCTTTCTTCTTCTCTTTCTGCTTCCTTGTCCTTCTCCTCATTCCTTTGCAAACCATGAAGAGATAAAACTGTCCATGATGAGATGCTCAGTTTTTTCAAGACGAATTGCTGTTCCACCTCTTAAAAAAAGATCTCACTGCAGAACTGTGCACCCGCGTTTATAAATGTTAGATAACTATGGAAATGATTTAATCAGTTCATCAACACATTTGTTAAGCACCTGTTTTCTGTAAGGCACTGAGCTAGCCAATGAGGGAAAAAGACATGTGATAGACATCGGTTTGCACTTTATTTCCTCTCACACGTCTGTCGTCAGTGCCTTATGTACGTGTCACCTAGTCTATTAATCCACACTTCCTTACTGAGTGCCACCATGTTCCAGGCAGCATGAGAAGCAAACAGCCTTCAGGAAGCTTCCCTCTTCTCCACACACTTTCTCCTTGTTAGTTTGCTCAGACTCCATAACCAAGTACCACAGGCTGGGAGTCGTAAAACCACAGAAACTTACTGTCTCTAGTCCTGGAGGCTAGAGTTTGAAATCAAGGTGTTGGCAGGGCTGTTGTCCTTTCGAGCTCTAGGGAAGGGTCCTTCTTTGCCTCTTCCAGCTTGTGGTGGCCCACAGCACTCCCCGGCTTGTAGCAGCATCACTCCAACCTCTGCCTCTATCTTTACGTGACCTTCCCTCTGTGTGTGTCTGTGTTCAAATTTTTCTCTTCTTAGAAGGACAGCAGTCGTGTTGGATAAGGGCCCGCCCTCATCCAGTATAGCCTCATTTTAACTTGATTCCATCTGCAAAGACCCTATCTCCAAATGAGGGCGCATTCGCAGGTTCTGGGGGTTAAGACTTCAACATGTCTTCAATCCGTCCACAAAACTCTTCTTTCCTCCTTCTCTTACCCTCTGATGAAACTTTCTTCTCTTCTACTCCATTCTTTACCATTCCCTTTTCTTTTTACACAGCTGTATCTTACTGTCTCATTCACCTTCATCCCAGACGAGCCTCTCCTTCATTTCCAGCTTCATATGAGTCCCCATGTCTCTCCCAGTGGTGATGCTGGCTCCCTTGGAGGTGGGGCACAGTAGCCCAGAGGGGTATGAAGGAGAGCGAGAGCGCAGGTGAATGTCTTTAGTGACACTCATCTCAGCAATTGTTCCCTCTCCCATTCACTCAGTGTCCTGCAATCTTGAATATACCACCCATAGGGAAGCATGAGGGAAGGAAAGAGCTGAGAAAGGAGAATGAAGATAAGGATGAAATTCCCTAGATAATCACAGCAAGCAATTAATCTAATTAAGCTAATATTATTCAACTAATTTTATAATACCTGCCAGAATGTTATCAGATTTCGCTGAAGTGCAGCAGCATATTTCAAAATAAGTAGAAAGGGATTACAGATCCTAACTTTGGCAATAAGACTTTGAATCCATGGACTCTGTCTCGCAGTGGGGTTATTGGCTAGTATATCATTGGTGCCTGTGGAATACTTGAGGGATTCCAGTTAGATCAATCAGTTGTATGACCTGCTGCATGTAACTGCTGATGAAGAGGCTTTATCGAGCTGAGTCAGCTTCTGATAGCTGAGCCTCAAAACCTCAGGTGTCTCTCTCTTCCATCATTTACGCAAGAGTGAGAGGTTAGGTCAGACCCTCATTGGCACAATTGTTTTAGCTCAGTGGTTGATGAGCTGATTTCCAGTTTCTCTCTCCCACAAACCTGTGACTCACCCACAAAGGAACATTAGTGGGCTTTGCGGCCCTGATTTCTGGCATCCTAGGTGGGAAAATGAAGAGAGTTAAATCATGATGACACATTGCACACCAGCTCTGCAGGCTGTGAGCCAACTGTGAGAGGCAGGCACAGAGAGCTGGTGATATGGTTTGGTTCTGTGTCCCCACCCAAATCTCTGTCAGATTGTAATCCCCAGTGTTGGAGGAGTGGCCTGGTGGGAGGGGATGGAATCATGGGGGCGGACTTCCTCCTGGCTGTTCCTGTGATAGGGAGTGAGTTCTCGCAAGACCTGGTTGTTTAAAAGTGGGCGGCACCTTCCCCTTCGCTCTTCCTCCTGCTCCTGCCCTGGTAAGAAGTGCTGCTTCCCCTTTGCTTTCTGCCATGATTGTACGTTTCCTGAGGCCTTCCCAGCCATGCTTCCTGTGTGGCCTGTGGAACGGTGAGTCAATTAAACCTCTTTTCATTATAAATTACCCAGTCTCAGGTAGTTCTTTATAGCAGTGTGAGAACTGACTCATTTCAGCTGGTGTATTAGTTTTCTATGGCTGCTGTAGCAAAATACCACAGACAGGGGAGCGTAAACAACAGAAACGTATTCTTTCAAGGTGTCAGCAGGCCTGGTTTCTTCTGAGGCTTCTCTGCTTGGCTTGCAGATGGCTGCCTTCTCAATGTGTCCTCACGTGGTCTTTCCTCTGTGTGCACACATCCCTGGTATCTCTCTTTGTGTCCAAATTTCCTTTTCTTATAAGGACACCAGTCAGATTGTGTTAGGGCTAACCCTCATGGTTTCATTTTAAATTAATTACCTCTTTAAAGGCCCTGTCTCCAAATACAGTCGCATTCTGAGGTACTGGGCGTTAGGGCTTCAATATAGGAATTTGGGGGTTGGGGAAGACACAATTCAGCCCATAACAACTGGTTAGCCAAGAGGAACTAGTTTTGGAAGGAGCATATGACTTTCTTTTCTTCCTTTTCTTCACCCCCACCATCCAGAGCCTTGATTGGGCACTTCTAGCTAATACCTCTGGAAGTTGTATTAACAATAAAGTATCTCTAAGATAAGGTTTTCCAAATAGCTTCATATTTCCTAGAGTACTTGCTAAAATGCAGATTCTTGGGCTACCTGAAATGCTATAAATGGGAAGCTCTTAGGGTTGTAGCCTAGGAGCCTGTATGTTCCCAATAATTACTTCTCCAGGTAATTCTAAAGAACACTAAACTGGAGTTGCGTCACTATCAGTTGGAGATGATTGACTTGACAAAACTAATGATTGGTCACTACTTTTTAAATATGCTGACATGCTTTTTGAATAAAAGTTGCAGAGAAAGAGCAGGCTGCTGTGGGTGAACTGTGCATAACTCTATTTTATTGATGTTTCAACCAGTAAGGACAGACTATTACTGAAGCATTAACAAATAGCTGCGGTGATTATAAATTATTGTCACCTAAATGCAGGGAATCCCACGAGTGTGTGTTGAACATGAGCATTCTATGCATCATGCAATTCTCCAGAGGAAAATCAAAGAGCAAAAGTGCCTCAGACATTCTTTCTAAAACCAGTAAGATTGTATATAGAGAGATGTTCCTCAACTTTGGTGGGGTTGCATCCCAATAAACCACCATAATTTGAAGATATTGTAAGTCGAAAATGCATTTAATACACCTAAACTACCAAACATTATAGCTTAGCCTAGCCTACCTTAAATGTGCTCAACACTTACGTTAGCCTATAGGTGGGCAAAAATCATGTAACACAAAGCCTATTTTATAATAAAGTACTTACTATCTCATGTAATTTATTGAAAAACAGAATGGTTGTATGAGTACTCAAACTACAGTTTCTACTGAACGCATTTCACTTTTGCACCATTGTAAAGTCAAAAAATCCTAAGTCAAACCATCATAAGTTGGGGACCATGTGCATATACAATCTTATATATATATATAGTATATCATCATGTGTTGCGTACTGATGGGGATATGTTGAGAAATGCATCATTAGGCAATTTCTTCACGTGCAAACATCATACACTTACACAAACCTAGATGGTATAGCCTATCACACACCTAGGTTCAATGGTATAGCCTATATATACCTACATATGGTATAGCCTATGCTCCTAGGCCACAAACCTCTACAGCATGTGACTGTATTGAATCCTGGAGGCAATTATAACAATGGTAAGTATTTACGTATCGAAACATAGAAAAAGTACAACAAAAATACCATATAAAAGATTAAACATGGTCCATCTGCACAGGGCACTTGCCATGAATGGAGCTTGCAGGATGGGCAGTTGTTCTGGGTTAGTCAGTGAGTCAGTGAGTCAGTGGAGCGTGAATGCGAAGGCCTAGGACATTACTGTCACTACTTAGACTTTATAAACACTCGACACCTAGGCTACACTTAGGAAATATATTTCTTGTTCAATAATACATTAACCCCACCTTACTGTAATGCTTTTACTTTATGAACTTTACATTTTTAAAACATTTTGACTCTTTTGTAACAACACTTAGCTTAAAGCACAAACACATTACACAGTTGTATAATAACTTTCTTTATATTCTTATACATTTTTTCTATTTTTTAATTTTTTTTTACCTTTTAAACATTTTTGTTAAAAACTAAGATACACACATACATATTTGCCTAGGCCTACACAGGTCAGGATCATCAATATCACTGTCTTGTCCCATGGCAGGGTCTTCAGGGGCAATAATTTGCATGGAGCTGTCATCTCCGATGGTAACGATGTCTCTTTTTGGGATACCTCCTGAGGAACCTGCCTGAGGCTCTTTTACAGTTACCTTTTTAAAAATAAGTAGAAGGAGCGTACTCTAAAGATAAAAAGTGTAGTATAGTAAACGCATTAACTAGTAATATAGTCATTTATTATCAAGTATTATGTACCATGAATAATTGTATGTGCTATACTTTTATGTGACTGTCAGCACAGAGGGTTTGTTTATACCAGCATCACCACGAACATGTGAGTAATATGTTGTGCTATGACATTAGGACAGCTCTGATTTCACTAGGGGATAGAAATTTTTCAGCTCTAACATTATCTTATTAGATCACTGTTGTATATGTGGTTTGTTGTTGACCAAAATGTTATTTGATGCATGACTGTATATATCTTTGTATACTATATATTAGTATAGATATCCATATGTGTATATGCATGTGTGTATATATAGAGAGAGTCAGGGTCTTGCTCTGTTGCCCAGGCTGGAGTGCAGTGGTGCGATCATGGCTCACAGCAACTTCAACCTCCTGGGCTCAAGTGATCCTCCTGCCTCAGCCTCCCAAGTAGCTGGTATCACAGGTGTGAGCCACTTCACTTGGCACCCTTTGGTATTCTGGATGTTTCCAGGTCCTACAGGCTCCTGGGGCCACCTTTTCCTCTAACACAAAAGCAACATGGCACGTGTCCCATTGTGCATAGAATAGGGCATTGAGCATCTTTCCTACATGCTTCTGGGAATTTCCTTGGAGTTTATAATCCCGTGCTCATCCCAGCTCCATATTCTAAACATCTCCATCTGGAAACTCTGTGGCCAATCTGAGCACAAGAATTCCTCACCTGCCAGCCCACGTTCTTCCTAAATTTAGCTTTCCACATGATTCCTGTTATGTGTGCTTTCTCGTTCTCTCTCTCTCTCTCCCTCTTCCTCCTCCTCTCTCTCAAATCACCTCCCATACTTCCTTCCTCCATTCTAACATCCACCCCCAAACTTTTTTTCTCCAACTACCAATGCAAGACTAAAAAAAAGTTACTGAATTATAAAAAGCAATTTAATTCTCCATCCTCATCTCTAACTGGACTCTGGGACTTCTTTTTGAGTTAAAAACAAATCATTTGGGCTGGGTGCAGTGGCTTATGCCTGTAATCCCAGCACTTTGGGAGGCTGAGGCGGGCTGATCACAAGGTCAGGAGATCGAGACCAGCCTGGCTAACATGGTGAAACCCCGTCTCTACTAAAAATACAAAAAGTTAGCCAGGCGTGGTGGTGCGTGCCTGTAGTCCCAGCTACTCGAGAGGCTGAGGCAAGAGAATTGCTTGAACCCAGGAGGCAGAGGTTGCAGTGAGCCGAGATCGCACCACTGCACTCCAGCCTGGGCGACAGAGCGAGACTCCATCTCAAAACAAACAAAAAAACCCCAAATCATTCAACGCTGATTTCCTGAACACCTGCCAGGAGATAGGCCCTGTTTTAGTGACCTGAGGTGCCCTCTAAGGTGTTCTGCTAAGGGACCATTCCACCTTCAGAACAAAGAACAGGTTGAAAGTTTGTATTTGAGACTCTCTTATACTTGGGTGAGATCAAATTCTTAGGCAGAACACTCTCTCCCAAATACATATTAGAAATATTTTATTATTTGTTTATTTATTTATTTATTTATTTTTGAGACAGGGTCTCGCTCCATCGCCCAGGCTGGAGTACAGTGGTGCGATCTCGGCTCACTGCAGCCTCTGCCTCCTGGGTTCACGCAATCCTCCTACCTCAGCCTCCTGAGTAGCTGGGATTATAGGGGCGTGCCACCACACCCAGCTAATTTTTGCATTTTCAGTAGTGACAGGATTTCACCATGTTGGCCAGGCTGATCTTGAACTCCTGACCTCAGGTGATCCATGTGCCTCAGCCTCCCAAAGTGCTGGGATTACAGGCTTGAGCAGCTGGGCCCTGCCAGAAGTAGTTTTTTTTTGTTGTTTTTTTTGAGACAGAGTCTTGCTCTGTCGCCCAGGCTGGAGTGCAGTGGCGCAATCTCGGCTCACTGCAAGCTCCGCCTCCTGGGTTCACGCCATTCTCCTGCCTCAGCCTCCCGAGTAGCTGGGACTACAGGCGTCCACCACCATGCCCGGCTAATTTTCTGTATTTTTTTAGTAGAGGCATGGTTTCACTGTGTTAGCTAGGATGGTCTCGATCTCCTGACCTCGTGATCCGCCCGCCTCGGCCTCCCAAAGTGCTGAGATTACAGGCATGAGCCACTGCGCTCGGCCAGCCAGAAGTATTTTTTTAAAGTTCTTGTTATAGTTCCTTTTTTGTGTGTGGCAAAATATATATAGTATAAAATTGGCCATTTAAACCATATTTTGAGCGAACAATTCAGTGGTATTAGGTATAATCGTGATGTTGTACAGCCATCTGCACTATCCATTTCCAGAATTTTTTCATCATCCTAAATGGAAACTCTGTTCTTGTTAAACTGTTCCTGCTACTAACTCCCATTCCCCCTCCTCTCAGCTCCTGGTACCCTCTATTCTGCTGTCTGTCTCTGTGTGTTTGCCTTCTGGCTATCTCAAATAAATGGAATCTGACATTCGTCCTTTTGGGCCTTGCTTATTTCACTTGACATGTTTTCAGGTTCATATGTGTTGTAGCAGGTATCAGATCTGCCTTCCTTTTGAAGGTGGAATAGTATTCCACTGTAGGTATATACCACAGTTTGCTTCTCCATTCATCAGTTGAGGGACATTTGGATGGTTTCTGCCTTTTGGCTACTGTGAATAAGGCTGCCATGTACATGGGTATACAGGCATGTATACCCATGTTTGAGTCTTTATTTTCAGTTATTTTGGGTATGTAGCCAAAAGATGCTGGACCATAACTGCTGTTGCATTTCTTTTTATCAAACATGATATATGGTGGGTGTCAGGACCAGTCTGGGTTTCAATGCTGGCTCAGTCACTTATAATTTGGGCAAGTAAACTCACCGTCTCATCTCCTTTCTTCCTCTTAAACAGGGGCCTGGACTAAGATCCCTTCTAGTCCTAATATTTATGAAATGAATATTGAATCATATTTCACAAAGCCACATTATACCTTATTTCAAAAATGCTTAAATTACCAAAAGTGAAATCTTCAGTTTTACATGTCTCCAAAGTTATTATGTCTTTTGTGTAGAAAATTGTAGCTGCTAATATCTGACATTGTAGCAGTCACTCTGACAGTCTTATCCATCTATCCATTATCCATTTTTAAGTTTTATGTGTTGGAAATATAAACATGAGTCACACAAATTCTATTCTTTGGCAGAAGCAGATTCTGCCAAGTTCTAGTCACACAAATTCAAAGTCACACAAATTCTAATTCATTGGCAGAAGCAGAGGTAGATCAATTCCTTTCCTCTTTTCCTTTATTCCCCCTCTCCCAATTTGAGCAGGGGGAGCATTTTGGCCCAGTCCTCACATCCATGAAAAACTTCAAACATTAGACTTCACTTCTCATGTTGAAGTTAAACACACAGTGACAGAAATCATTGACAGGATAGAGAAAAAATGATGTCATATAAATTGAATCTTGCATCTTATTACTAACCACACCTCTGTAGCATTATAAATTAATATTTTCAGTACATGCTATAATTATCTTGTGATTAACAGTCTTGCATTCGTTGTAGGAATGTTAAAAGGATTAATTTTATACATGTAAATATTTGAACTGTACCACGATGTCTGTTATCCTGGGTTTATACTTGGCTGAGAATAGCAAGGACCCCCAACAAACAGTATCTTAGGGAAGATATATATCTTCCTTCCAAGCTTCTGCCACCAGAAGGCAAGAGGGAGGCAGTCTGGGGTTTGTGTGGCCACAGGAGAGTGTTCTGACAGATGCCACATTATTTTCCCTTCCTCCTGGGCTGGACTATGTTTCCTAGACTTCTTTGCAGTTAGTGTGGCCGGATGACTGAATTCTGGCCAAAGGAAAGCAGTTGGAAGTGATATATGCAGCTTTTGCTTCTGGTTCATAAAACTTTACTGCAGAATTGGTTCATTCCCTCTTTTCATCTCTGCTGGTTGGATGTTCACACCCAGGGTGATCTGAGAAAGCATGTGTTGAAGATGGTAGCACCTCCATCAGCCTGGGTCCCTGAATCATGACATGGAGCAGAGCAGTTCCTTCCATCCCCTGCTAGTTGAAATTTACATACATCATAAATGATTGCTGTGTGAGAGTTCAAAGTTTGCTTGTTACTGCAGTTATTGTTAACTTACAAAGACTACATCAGGAGACTAGTCTCTTTCTACGTTGTCTACCTTGGACATGTAGCTTTCATCCTTATGGTCCTAAGATGACTGCCACATCACCAGCCACCAATAGCTGCATCCCAGCCAGAAAAGAAAGGAGACCAGGAAAGAGCAGAGAGGAGCCCTTTCTGAGGACTTTTACCTATTTTTTAGTGGCCAGGCTTGTGGCATGTGACTACCTCCAGCTGCAAAGGAGGCAGGGAATTTGAATATTTTGTTTGCCAGTCTCTACTGTAGATAGAGGGACATAGTATTGAAAATGAGCAAATAGGCACTAGTCTCTTTTTTGGCATTTCATCTCAAGAACTTTAAAAGCAGCCTCTTTGATCCCTGAGAGGGCCCCTTTGAGTTTCAGCCACTTCGTGCTCCTGCCTGTGGGTGGAGGTCAATATCTGGCCCCATGCTCAGTCAGGCTGACCCGGGCTGTGGTACCTTGGTTGGGCCTGGTCACCTCCCAAGTTACAGCTTTCTTTCTCTTGTCCTTCTGTCTCCACTGTTGTTTCCAGTTCATATAATTTTACTTCTGTTTTTGGCTTGTTTCTGATTTTATTTCTGCCTCCCACAGCTATACCGCCCTCCGGGAAGACTGGTAGGGATTGCTCCCAACTTGGTACAGGAGCTGGAATCCCACCACCCGTGAAGAGGCCTGGCCCTGTTCTCCTAACAGCCTGGACTCCCAGGTGCTACCCACCCTTGGTGACCCAGGGTCGCTGGGCTCAGTGCCCTGCTGGGGTGCCCATTCTCCCTGCTTACTCGCATGCCCCCATCTCCCAGGACCAGGCCTGGGAATACTCTGTTCGTCAGGACCTTGTCCATTTGGTAGCTGGGCAGTGTTGGCTGGGACTAATTCTGTGTGTGTATATATGTGTGTGCACGTGTGTGTGTCTGGTGGTTAGGGAAGGCTTGTGGATGCTGGGCTATGAAAGATGGTCTAGATCTGGGCAAGTGGAGATGAGGGTATGGCCTCCTCTATGATCACCCATAAAACACCAGGTAGGAAGCAAGTGTGACCGACATGTGACTCCACCCAAAGTCCTTAGGCCCCTTTTCCATTCCTCTTGTTCTACTCCCACCCACTCAACCCCCTACACAAACTTCTGTGTTTTGCTTCCCACAGCTCTGTACCTGGGACTCAGCTAGCGTTGCCTCCTCTTACGGAGTCCCAGGAGTGCCTGGGTTTACAGCCCATCTTCCCTCCCACCCTCACCTGGCCCTTCTCCAGTGTCAGGCAGTGGCTGGGGGGTGTAGGGAGTCTGAAGGCCCAGTGCCCTCGCCCTGGATAAAGACAAACTTCAGAGCTCCCCTCTGTTCCCTCCAAGGTCTGTGTCTGAAGTCACCCCCTTCTAGGCTTTTCCCTGTCATCTGTCCAGCTTCCTCAGTAAGTCACCTGCACATGAATCGTCATCTCAGGGCCTCTGCGGAACCCCGCCTGAGACAGCAGAAAAGTGTCTGGGGAGCAGAAATAGCTCATTTGAACTGTGGTCCAGAAAGAGCAGTCAGCTTCGAGTGCCAGGCAAGGCTGGGTCGCACTCTGTTCTGTAGGAAGGGGATGTCAGCAGCAGCTCCTGAACTGCGAATCAGCCTACAGGAGGGGGGTTAATCTATACATTAGCATGGGGGAAACTTGGAGGCAATAAGGTGGCTGGAAGGCTATTTTAATAATCCTGAGTTCTCAAAAGCTTAAAATCAGTTTTTAGGGTGTGGCAGCTGGAGGGTGAGGAATGGGGCGCACAGGAGGGGGACTTCGGAGGCTGTATTGGCCAGGGGGCACGAGAGAAGGCACCCACACTGATGCCCTGGAGTGGGGAGAGAGGGGGTGCCATCTGAAACAGAGAGAAGGGCTGGTCTAGAAAGGGAGAGGGGAAATTCCGTCTCTCATCCCTGTCTGCCACTCTGAAATCATACCCTTTCACTCTGCATTAATATTTCTTTCCCTCGCATTCTTCTTGATTTATCTTCCAGGAGCAGACCCTCCTTTCCAAGTCATCATCTGGCATAATTCTTAGATCACTATGGCTTAATTGGTGTTTGATCATTTTTAGTCTCAGCTCTTCAACATCAAGGGAGAATTTACAGGGGAACGAAAAAGATCTCATTGCGATGACGCCCAGTGTCACAGAGCTGGGTGTGTTAAGTCTTCTTTTACAGCTTTTTGAATGCCATGGCCTTGCATTTAGATAACACCTAATGCCAACAAAGCAGTGAGCTGTGAGGATTGAGCTGTGTAACGGTAGCATTTAACAGTAGGGCTGAGTTTATTGTACATTTTAAAAATTAACTCTGTCCTTCATGATCCTAAGATGTACTGATGATTCTATAGAAGCAGAATGGGTGAACTCTCAGTCCTAGAAATTCTGAATGATGAAGACACAATATAACCTGCGAATCACTTAGATCATTTTTCTTACAGACACAATACTTAGCTTTATTTGACAGTGTTTTCTAAGATTGTATTTTGCTTTAGATAATGAGCCATTGTACTAAGAATGGAGAAATGCTCCAAGGCGCTTGCTTTTAATTTAAACACAAGTTCAATGCACCATCCCAGAGTGGAGATTGCTATCATCATTAGCGCATCTCGCATCTCGGGCTATATTGCTTTCCAAATTTATATGTTCTTTGTGTTAGATGATGGTGCTGTACCCTTTCAGCAGCTCTCAGTGGGTATCCCAAGGAAAAGTATGTTCTTATTAAACAAGGACCAAACTGCTAAGGGAATGCTGCCTTAATTAGTTTAATCATTACAAATTGATTGAGACCCCACCCACATTTTTGAATGCCTACTATGTGCGGGGCACAGTGCTAACTGCTAAGCACTGGGGACACACAGAGGCACCTATAAAATGTGTCCCCTGCTGCAGAGGGACTTGTAGGCTAGTTGGCATTACAGACGTAGGAAACGGATTATTATGGTGCAGTCTGGTATGGTACACAGGGCTCAGCAGGCTTCAGGGAGGAGGCGAACACCCCTGGAGCGCCTGCAGAGCCATTCCAGTTCTCCCTAGCTTCCCTGCATGTTTCAACTGGATTCGGCACTCCTTGCATCTGCTGCTTTAAAACAAGAGAAGATTCCTCAAAAAGTTGAATGCAAAATTACTACGTGACCCTGCCATTCCACTTCTGGGTATATACCCAAGAGAACTGAAAACATGTGTCTACACAAAAGCATTTATACCCACGTACATAATAGCAGTATTCACAACAGACAAAGGGTGGAAACCGACAAAATGTCCCTCTATTACAGGAAAGAGTCCTGATCCAGACCACTAGAGAAGGTTCTTGGATCTTGTGCAAGAAAGAATTCAGGGCAAGTCCATAGAGTAAAGTGAAAGCAAGTTTATTAAGAAAGAAGAACGAAAGAATGGCTACTCCATAGACAGAACAGCCCCGAGGGCTGCTGGTTGCCCATTTTTATGGTTGTTTCTTGATGATATGCTAAACAAGGGGTGGATTATTCATGCCTCCCCTTTTTAGACCATATAGGGTAACTTCCTGTCGCTGCCGTGGCATTTGTAAACTGTCATGGTGCTGGTGGGAGTGTAGTAGTGAGGACGACCAGAGGTCACTCTCATGGCCATCTTGGTTTTGGTGGGTTTTAACCGACTTCTTTACTGAAAACTGTTTTATCAGCAAGGTTTTTATGACCTGTATCTTGTGCTGACCTCCTATCTCACCTGGAGACTTAGAATGCCTTAATCATCTGGGAATGCAGCCCAGTAGGTTTCAGCCTTATTTTACCCAGCTTCTGTTCAAGATGGGGGTGCTGTGGCTCAAATGCCTCTGACACATCAACAGATAACCTAAATGAAACAAAATACTGATACGTGCTACCACATGGATGAACTTTGACACTATTATGTGAAGTGAAATTAGCCAAATACAAAAGGTCACATACTGTATAATCCATTTACATAAAAAATCCAGAATAGGTAAATACATAGAGACAGCAGATTAGTTTTGTCAGGGGCTAATGGGGCGAGGGAATGGAGATTAACTGCTTAATAGGTATGTCATTTCCTTTTGGGGTGATGGAAAATGCATTGGAATTAGATAGAGGTGACCATTGTATAACATTGTGTATGCAGTAAATGCCACTGAATTGTATATTTCCAAATGGTTAATGTTATATATGAGAATTTTACCTCGATTAGAGAGGAGAGGACTACTTATTTGGGTGTTCAGACCAAAGCTGAAGGGATACCAATGATAATATATTCTTAATTCTCTTACCTGGGAGAGAAGGCCCTCTTCAAATCTCTTCAGTCTGTGGTATGTCTTTAGCCAAAATATACCAGGAAAATATTGGTTCGATACAAATGCATCTTGTTTTTAAGCCAACTTGGGAAAGGTAGACACAGCTCAGTTTCATAACAACAATAAAAAATACAGAGTGACAAACCCTATCAGGTGGTATTCAACAGCTCATGGGCTGTTGCCTTAATTTAGACAGAAGGCAGGCAAGGGAAGTTGCAGGAAAATAAAAAAATTAAGGACAAATTATTCATACGTGGATGATATGGTTTGGCTCTGTGTCCCTACCCAAATCTCATCTTGAAATGTAATCCCCACATGTCCAGAGAAGGACCTGGTGGGAGGTGATTGGGTCATGGGGCCAGTTTCCCCTATACTGTTCTTGTGGTAGTGAGTTCTCACGAGATCTCATGGTTTAAAACTGTCAGTTTCCCCTTTCTCTCTCTCTCTCTCTCTCTCTCTCTCTCTCTCTCCCTCTCCCTCCTGCTGCCATGTAAAACGTGCCTTGCTTCCCCTTCGCCTTCTGTCACGATCGTAAGCTTCCTGAGGCCTCCCCAGCCATGTGGAACTGTGAGTCAATGAAATCTCTTTCTTTCTAAATTACCCAGTCTCAGGTATATCTTTATAGTAATGTGAGAGTGGACTAATACAGTGGAGTTAGCAGTATTGTTAGCAGTGGCGGCAAGCTTTGCTTAAAATGGAAGACCGTACAGTGCTATCTGTTAGTATTTTGTGCTAAAGGGAAAAACAAGCCTAGTGACTGTACTAGGGAAAATGAAACGTATTCAGTTTACCTCCACAAACGTGTATGTGAAATTGATTCAGCTCAATTTTCAAAATATGTTTGTCTTAGACCCTGTACATTGGCAATACAAATACAAAGATCTGGCTCTTGTCCTCAAGGATCTTACAGCCTTCAGTAGAAATAGCCAACTGTAGTAGATGAGAGACTGAATATACACATAGACAGTGGCCAGACCGTATATAAAAATACAACTCTGACCCCAAATCTGCAGCAACTACCTCAGAAAATCAACCCATTATATACAGTAACCAGCCCAGGAAGCCATCTGCTGCCTTTAAAAGCCAGACTTACAGGAAGTCAGGCTACTATCTCTAGCAACTGGTCTAAGAAGCCAAACAATAACCCTTCTAGTAGTCGGCCCCAAATGAACAGGACTTGATTAATAACTGACACCTTCCCTAATTTTTGTGCCTGCTTCCAATTTAAGACCAACCACAGAAAGCCAACTATGGCCCTAACCAATCAGATAGGCTTCAATGCTCCTAGTTGGCCACCGTGGGCTTCCCCAGGCCAACAGCCTCCAATCAGGGCACACCTGAAGCCATCCCTTGTGTGCTCTGTAAAGTTCTCCCACTCCCCTGCCTGCCTTTGAGTCCCTGCCAAACAAAAGTGATGGTGGCCAACTCCCTTGATGGAGCAAGCTCTGAATAAGTAGCCTTTGCCTTTCTTGTGTGGGTTGTGTTCATTTATTTCTACATAGAGAAGGCAGAATAAAAGAAGTGCTAAAAACACCTACAAATTTCATACTGTGTGGGAACAAAGGGAAGAGTAATTCCTTCTGTCCCAGGAGGCTGGGAAGGCAACCTTGCAGCAAGTTGCTGAAAAACACCATGGTGCATTCCTAAAGAGCCTCCTTTTAAATTCTGATACACTAGTGCTAAAATAACTTGTGGACTGTTTTTCAGAAGGGAGACATGTTGTCCCACCTCCAAAGGGAGAAATTAGTCCTCTGAGGCCGCCGATGCTAAGGCTGCTGGTGGCTAAGGTTAGCCTCCCGCCAGCTCAGGGTTCTAAGAAAGACTTGCATCACTGACTCTGGCAGGGCTCACGTATACTTCAGGATTTCTCTGCTGGACATGAGCATAATTGTCCATAAATACATGAGAAAGGCTATGTATTTTCATTGCTATTGGCTAAATAGGCTGTTGAGATATTTATGGGCTTTCGGCCCAATTTTCTCCCTTTATCCACCTCCTTCAAGCAGATAGACCCGAGATTCTTTGCCCCCAGGAAGGCTTGAGGCTGCCTGACTTGATTCTAAACCCACTGAGGAGATAAGGCTGTAGGTCCCTGAGAGGCACTTCAATGATGAGGTGTCCTGCTTGGAGATCTGATACCGCAGAGGGGCAGGAGGGAGAGGTACGTGAATCAAGAGCAGGAAGTCTGAGGGTCTTAGAGGAGAGGGAGTCTTGGTCATGGCTTCCTGGAAGCACATGGAGATGCTGACGGACCCAGGGGAGAATCCAAGAATCCAAAGGCCGTCCAGCTCATTTAGGGAGATGGAGTCTCATGGCAGCAATGGGGCCCAGCTGGGGCCATGCAGGGGGAAGAGGATGTCTCAGCAATTAGCAAACTGATGCGAGTCCAGGGGGCATGTCACAGACCTGCAGCAGTGCACACAGACCTCCATAACCGTGCGAGAGCTTCAGGGAGACATCCGGAAACTCTGAAAGTCATTGAGGTTAGATTTTCTACCAGCCTGGTATTATTAGCACTGGGATCAGAAATCAAATTAATTTATATAAATAAAGAGATGTGCTGTTTCCTGAGTTTGTGAACTATGATTCATGTATGAACTTGATGCTTATGAAGTTAACAAAAAAGGGTCATAGAATAAATTAATACAAATGATCTCACGTGTGTATGCATAATTTCAGGGTGGGCTGTATGTACGGAAACACTCATGGTGTGGGGAGGCTGGAGGACCAAGTAGGGGAGATAGATGAATTATCTGGCCGCCCACTAGATGGCGTTAAGGAGCATGTTGTTTTACCTCTGTGGGCAGATTTCTTTGCCCTTCCTCTCTCTTTTCCTTACTACAGATTTTGCAGCGATTCTTTATGTCAGTATTCTATGTTTGTGAATTAGTAAGAACTTAGACTCCCTTAGGAAAATGCATTGAGTAGGAGTTGAAAGCTGAGTAGAAATGATGAGGAGGTTGGGAAATATTAAATCTTTCGTATATAAATTCTTGGTGCTGTTTATATTTCTGGCTTTAGAAAAAAGAGAGCTAGAACATATTTCTTTTCAGGGAGAAATGTTTTTAAACAAGCAATATTTGGGAGAACACATAACCAACATCTACAAATTACAAAAATGTGATTTGATCAGAAATATTTACAGGATTTCTAACAGAAAAACTAACTGGTCTTGATTTGTGGCTTAGAGAGGCAGCCTGCAGCTTCATAGCCTCCTATGGTTCCTGCTCTCCTGCCGCTGGCTTTGGCAAAGAGAGTCTCTTTGGTGGCAGCAGTCGGGGGAGAATGGAGGAGGGGGGATGATTCTGGCCATTGTTGGTACTGGATTCTGGGAGCAGGGCATGGCAGAGGCCAGTACTCTTGGAAGGAGGCTATTGATGGATGGCAGTCAGTTCCTAGAGCGCTGTGCAATTACAGTGTAACACCAGCCTGTGGCAGGCTCCTGGAGAGGAAGCCAACTGCCTCCCTTCTGGCCAAAAACCAGCTTCTGAGATATGGGTGCTCAGGTGGGAAGGAGACCTGGGCCCCTGGCAGGACGATGCTTCACAGTAAAGAACGAAGGCTGGAGGCCGATTCCGTGGTTTAGTTCCAGCATAAGGTGTACCTGGGTGCAGAGGGCTTGCCCCAGCCCGGGCACCAGAGATGACAGATCTGCTTGGCAACAAGGGAATCCTGGGAGGGAGGCGGAGTAGACAGAATTGCCCCCCAAAGATGTCCGCATTCTAATTCCTGGAGCCTGTGGATATGTTTCATTACATGGCAAAAGGGATTTTACAGATGCGATTGACATTACTATTAATAGTCGGTTGGCATGAAGATAGCGAGATTGTCCTGGGTCATGGGGGGTTGGAGGATACCAATGTGGTCACATGAGCCCTTCAAGCAGAGAATCCTAGGAGAGGGCAATAGGATACTCAAGTATGAGGCTGATACCACGTGCCAGTGCTGGTTTAAAGAGAGAGGGGGTAATGTGCCCAGGAATGCAGGTGACCTTAGGCAGCTGACAGAGGCTCCTGAAAATGGGCACCTCAGTCCTACAGCTGGGAGACACTGAATTCTGCCAATAACCTCAATAAGCTTAGAAGCAGGTTCTCCCAGAGTCTCCAGAGAAGAGCCCACGCAGGCCAACACCTTAATTTTGGCCTTGCAAGACCCAGAGCAGAGAAATAGCTGAGCCCACTCAGAATTCTGACCTACAGAGCTGAGAACTAATATCTTTCTGTTATTTTAAGCCACTGAGATTGTTGTTGTTTGTTCTAGCAGCAAGAGGAGAGGAATATAGGACTGGAGGCTGGGGGTGGGGAGACTGGGGCCAGGGCCTGAGGTCATACCTAATTCCAGGTTGTTCTTCATGGTGGGGGAGAAGGTGAGGGTGACATGAGTTGGGGGGTAGGGATATCAGTAGGCTCAGTGCCAGAGGGGAGACACCAGAAAAGAGCAGGAGAGGACAGTAACTCAAGATGGTGGAACTCTTTGCTGGCTTAGAACTTCCTCTAGCTCACTGCTCTGATCCTGGTGGGTGGCAGGATCATAATGGTAGCATTTTATGGAAATAGCATTTGCTATAGTTTGGATGTTTGGATCAAACCTCATGTTGAAGTTTGATCCCCAATGTTGGAGGTGGCGCCTTGTGAGATGTGTCTGGTTATGGAGGTGGATCCCTTATGAATCAATGAATGCCTTCCTTTAAGGGTGAGTGAGCGTTCCCTTTTAGGCCCATGAGAATCAGTTGTTAAAATGAGCCTGACACCTCCCTCTGCTGTCTCTTGCTTCCTCTCTCACCCTGTGATCTCTGCACATGTGGCCTCCCCTTCACCTTCCATTATAAGTGGAAGCAGCCTGAGGCCCTTGCCAGAAGCAGACGCTGGTGCCATGCTTCCTGTACAGCCTGCAGAGCCATGAGCCAACCTCTTTATAAGTTACTTAGCCTCAGATATTACTTTATAACAACACAGACTAAGACAGCATTTGTCCTTGATGGCAAAGCAATCAGCTCCACTTTTGGTCTTTCTTCATTCTTAGGCTTATTTGTTCCAGGTGTAAATCTCTTAAAATTAGCTAACACTCTTCCAGGAAATCACATTGTGAAACAAACATCAGGTGGAGAAGAAGGGTTCATTTGGCCAACATGTACTTTCTTTGATACAGCATTTTGGAAAATGGGAGATGTCTCTTCTACATTGCTTGCAAAAACCGTGCTGGGAAACCATCAGAAAAATAAATTTTCCCAAGAACAGAGCATTAAGGTTTATATTGTTTTTTACCTGAAAGCCTAAAACCAGCTTCCATTTATTTCTTGTGAATATGTCACTTTGAAATATTTAAGATCGAAAGGTTTGGCTTGTTTTTGTAGTGGCCGCTGGATGGAAAACCGACTAAAGCATGTTAAGACTGACTGGGGATGCAATGTGCCAAATTGCAAATACAGCTATCTCTACTTTCTGAGTGACTGTTTATAATACAACTGGAATTGCAGGTTCTTCTACCTCAGAGGTTGAATAAATGACTGTGTTCCCCAAGCAATTCTTGTGTCTTTTTTTCAGCCATTTCTGCACAGAATGACGGTTGTGACCTCCCAAGAGCTAATGTGTTAATTACTATGGGAAATTGCTGTGGGGTCCCCAACAGGGTTGTCTGTAGAATATTAAACTCTCAGTTTTCCAGAAGAGGCATTTCTTCCTTCGCAGTTTTGAACCATCTTCAGGACAGGAGATAACCGTATTCAAGGTTTTCTCAGTGTTCAATCTATATTGTTTCTGAATGGAGGAAATTTCTTGTACAGAGTGGTCGGGGAGATGGTCACTCTACAATTCATCAAGAGCTTAGCTGCCAAAAAATATCACCTTTGACGATCTCCAGCCTATCCTGAAAATTTCACCCTTTAAGTTTTATTTGTTTGTATACGTATTTTATATTTATACCATATCTATTTCCAAAGATGATTTGAGGAGCTATATACCATCAAGCCAGTTAAACAAGAGCCAAAAGCCAAAGCCTTATAATAAAACAAAAAAGAGATTTTTTCATCAGAAAATTTAGGCTGAGGAAAAATATGAAGTCCAAGAAAAAAATGAACTAAGATCTTTCTGGAGGCAACTGAAAAGGAGTTCATAACCAAAAGAAAGGAGGGGTTACAGACATCGAGTGTGTAACAGTAAGACAGCACTAATTCGTCATAGAAGGACAGGAATTTCCACCAGCAGAGCCCCTTAAGAAGGTTATCTGGGAGCGTGCGGAGGGCCCAAGCAATGTGCTGCAGCCCTGCCTCTTGGGTGCCTTTGCCTGCTAGTTACACTGGCTGGGGGAGGTGGGGAGAGCCCTGGCCACAGGGAGGTGCTCTCAGTGGAGGGGGCATGGCAAGTGTGGCAGCTGGGTGTCAACGTGGGGAGACCCAGGGGAACCCCACAGGCACATGAGAAGTGTAAGAAATGTTAGTTTCTTTTTTTCCCTCTCTGTTGATGTCCTCTTTAATTCAAGGCTTTGTATATGCGTGTTTAAACATTTCCAGGCAAAAATATGTTGGGGCTAAAACATTATTTCGTGGGGAGTGATTGGGAAAGTATGATATCAATTTTTTGAACTATTTTGAGCTTTGTGTGGCCTGTAATAGGGCTATTTTTTCAAGATATGAAGTGGGTATTTGAAAAAAATGCATATTCTCTGCTTTCGGAAACAGAGAACGTTAGTTGTTTAGTCTTGTTAATTGTGTACATAAACTCCTATGGATTTTTGTTTGCTTATTTTTGGTCTGCTTGAAGAATATATTTCAAAAGAGGCATGTTAAGACTGCTTTCTTCAAAAATTTTTGCTTTAAAAGATTTTTTCAAAAATTTACACCACCTCCCCATTGTACATTTTTAAGTTGGCATTTAAAAATATTCACTGTAAGGCTGGGCGCAGTGGCTCATGCCTATAATCGCAGCACTTTGCGAGGCCAAGGTAGGCGGATCACCTGAGGTCAGGAGTTTGAGACCAGCCTGGTGAACATGGTGAAACCCCATCTCTATTAAAAACACAAAAAATTAGCCAGGTGTGGTGGTAGGTGCCTGTAGTCCCAGCTACTCAAGAGGTGGATGCAGGAGAACAGCTTTAACCCAGGAGGTGGAGGCTGCAGTGAGCTTAGATTGCACCTCTGCACTCCGGTCTGGGTGGCAGAATGAAACTTTGTCTCAAAAAAAAAAAAAAAAAAAAAAAAAAAAATTTGACTGTAAGTTTAAATGGTTCAAAAGAATGTAATGTTTGAATAATATTAATAGTAAATATAATATGTTTCAATTTCTAAATTTTGGATGCTGTGTAGCGAGAGTTCAGATAATGAGGGATTTACCCAAACTCTGAGTCTATTTGGTTCCTGAATTCACAAGGTATGAATTTGGATGGAGATGGGGGTATCTATATTGAGATTAAAAAAATTATTAGGGTTTATTTTCTTCTCTAGAGATTTGCAGATAGATGGTTGGTTACCTAAATTCAGCGGCTCAAGAATGTCAGAAGACTCCCAAGCTGCCTGATATGGTTTGGCTGTGTCTCCACCCAAATCTCATCTTGAATTGTAGTTCCCATAATTCTCTTGTGTTGTGGGAGGGACCTGGTGGGAGATAATTGAATCATGGGAGCGGTTTCTCTCTACTGTTCTCATGGTAGTGAATAAGTCTCACGAGATCTCATGGTTTTATAAGGGGAAACCCCTTTTGCTGGGCTGTCATTCTCTTCTCTTGTCTGCTGCCATGTGAGATGTGCCTTTTGCCTTCAGCCATGATTGTGAGGCCTCCCCAGCCACGTGGAACTCCATTAAACCGCTTTTTCCTTATAAATTACCCAGTCTCGGGTATGTCTTTGTCATCAGCATGAAAATGGACTAATACCCTGCCTTTCAGCAATTCTGTACTATTTTATACCCTGACCAAAATCATATGCATGCCTCTTTCCCTATTCTCATTGTCAACAGTGTATGTTATAAACCTTTAGAAAGTTTTCCAATTTGAGTGAAAGAGTTATATGTTGTATTCATTTGCATTTCCCTGGTTAGCAGTGAAACTGCATGTCGTTTCATGTTTGTTTGGCTATTTAATGTATGGCACCCTCTTTGAATTGCCTTCTTGTCAATTTTGTCCAGTTTTCTATAAAGCAGTTAAAGTACAACTGTCAGAGCGAGAAAAATATCTGAAAGATAAATAACACTGTACAAATATCCATAATGCATAAAGGCTATATTGACATCTTAAATAATGATGTTATTATATTATAACTCACATACAGAAAAGTGAATAAAGCATAAGTGTACGGTTCATGAATTTCTACAAATTGAGCACACCTGTATAACCAGCACCCGGATTAAGGAACAAAGCATTACCAGACTCCCAGAAGCCTCCTGTCCCCTTTCCAGTCACTCCCTGCTCCATTCCAAGGATAACCAGCATCCTGACCCTTTTTTTTTTGATACACAGTTTTGCTCTGTTGCCCAGGCAGGAGTGCAGTGGTGAAATCTCAGCATACTGCAACTTCTACCTCATGAGTTCAAGCGATTCTCGTACCTCAGCCTTCCAAGTAGCTGGGACGACAGGCATACACCACCATGCCAGGCTAATTTTTATAGTTTTAGTAGAGACAGGGTCTTGCCTTGTTCACCAGGCTGGTCTTGAACTCCTGGCCTTAGGTGATCCACCTGCCTTAGCCTCCCAGAGTGCTGGGATTACAAGTGTGAACCACCATGCCTGGCCCATCCTGACTTTTAATACTATTGACTAGTTTGCTTATTTTTGAATTTTATCTTGTGAAATAAGTTCACAGTGCCCTAGTTACCAACTTCTCTGAGTCTGGTGAGACAGAGCACCCCCCACACACAACAAATTACATAGAGCAGGTTCATTACTCACAGATAGGCAGCAAGGGACGACAGAAGCCTAGGATCCACCATAAGCCATTCCCCTCAAGCTCTGGAAAGCTGCCCAGGACAGATGGAATCTTGACTGTGCATGACCCATTTCTATTACAGCTGAGGGACCCTGAAAAGCAGTCTGCCGTGGGCTTTGTACCTAAGGTTTTATGCCCCGGGGAAATGTGAATTGCTGGGCTAAAGTGTTGAAGGACATCTTGTTTCTAGGGTAGGGGCGTGAATAGAGTCTGGGCTGTTCTCGCCAGCTCCCCCTTCCCAGCACATTCTACAGCTGTTCTTGAGAACTACAAGTGAGAATGGGGGTAGGGGTGAGAGGTGGGGGAGAACTGGGTCAGTTCAAGATCACAGGGAGGACTGTCCTGAGTATATAAATGAATCATATCATTTGACTTCTTTTGCTCAGCAATAGTTGGTGAGATTTGATGGTATCAACATTTTAAAGCAAATCTGTCAATTATACTTTTAAATATATCCAATGGAACCTAAATGCCATAGAGATTTGTTATACACTGTCATATTTTACAAATGTATACACAAAAAACCTTTCCTAAACATTGGGAAAATGTATATTTCATCTTTCTCCTTGGCCTGAATTTCTATTCTACTTCTCCCATAGAATTTTATCTAGTAAATATAATGGAATTTTATGCTTGAAAGTCTTTAGTACTCACTCCATTAAATTTGTTTGCAGTAAAATTATGTCTATTGATTAAAAATCTTGCTTTATTTCTTATGAATATCAGGCTTTTAGTGACAAGAAGTTTATTTTATATTTAGTTATAAGTTAAATTAGAATATAATTGATCAAAATAATATATTAATATATTAATATGGAATAATATATTACAAACTTTGATAAATAATAAACCTAAAACTATATTTTATTAGAATTGTTTCTTAATAGTTGTGATAGGCAAAATGCCAGCTACCCAATTATGTTTGTATCTTAGTATCTGGGACCTGTGAATATGTTCAGTTATATGGCATAGGGGAATTAGGGTTTAGAAGGAATCAAAGTTGCCAGTCAACTGAACTTGAGATGAGGCTGGGTTGTCTAGGTGGGCCCAGTGTAATGACAAGGATGCTGATAAGTGGAAGAGGGAGAAAGAAGAGAGAGAACCAGAAAGACAGCAGCATGAGAAGGGCAGCCTCACGTTGCAGGCTTTGAAGGTGGAGGAATTAGGCCATGAGTCAAGGAGCATAGGCAGCCCCTATGCACTGGAAAAGGCAAGAAAATGGATTCTCCCCTAGAATCTCCAGAAGGAAGGCAGCTCTGCAGACACCGACATTGTGGCCTTCTGAAACCCATTTCAGACTGGCCCCCAGAAATGCAAGATGATCAATTTGCATTGTTTTAAGGCACTCAGTTTGTCATAATTTGTTATTACAGCAATAGGAAGTGAATTTGATAGTTCAATATGGTCTATTACTAAAATGAGATAGGGCACAGCATCCATTTTATTTTTAATTCATTTAATAGGAAGTGGAAAATAAAATATTTTATGTGATAAACTGGCATGAGGAGAGACTATGGTCGGAAAAAAATTTTATTATTTAAGTGTCTTGCTGATCTGCAAGAAATCATATTAATGTTTTATCAGTGAGTTTGTAAGGAATATGTCAAAAATTTATTCCCAGAAAAATTCTGTTTATATTATTTATTTTTATAGACAGGGTCTTGCTTCATTGCCCAGGCTGGTCTGCAGTGGTGTGATCATGGCTCACTGCAGCCTCGAACTCCTGGACTCAAGCAATCCTCCCACCTCAGCCATCCAAGTCGTTGGGACTACAGGCACGTGCCGCCATGCCTGGCTAATCTTAAAAAAAAAAAAATTTGTAGAGATGAGATCTTACATTACCCAGGCTGGTCTCAAACTCATGGCTTCAAGCAATCCTCCTATGACAGCCTCTCAAATTCCGGGATTACAGGCGTGTGTCCTGCAACCAGCCTTTGGTTACACTAAAAAACAACAACAACAACAAAACCAAAACAAAACAAAAACATCACTGACTCTTACTGCTTATGCTATTTGAAAGTTTTTTCTTTCTGGCTGTTAAAATATCGTAGGCATGAGTATTGAGAGCAGCTGAAAATAATTGTTTATGTTTAAAAATATTATAATGAAAAAAGGTACTTCTTGCATTCAATGTTTCTTGTAAATGCTCTCTTCACTTTGCTCTTTTGAGGACTCTTCGAGATTGGAATATCCTTTCACAATGGTTCAGAATGATGTGGCAATGGAGATAAAAGTTTTTACTCCACCATTTCACTCCACTCTAAACTGAAATCAGGACATCCCAACAGGGCTCAACATTTCTACTTTCTTACAAGATAATAGTTGACAGAAATGTGTGTAATGCAGGAAAGAAATTGGATCCTATCAGGGTGTCCTATGACATGATTAACCATTAAAGACAGCTCCTCTTTTGCCACCTGGAGGGCTTTTGGTTGGGTAACCACCCTGGTGGGACAGCTGCAGTCAGCAGTTCTCTAGAGAAGGCAGGCAGCCCATGAGACTTTAAGAACAAATACCCACAGCAGCTGGGGGTGGCTTCACCAGGCTGAAAAAGGGTCTGGGTGGAGTCCCAAGTGTCTACTATACTCTGTGTCTTATAAACTGGATATAAGTAGTTGATTTTGTGTTTGTGTGTGCATGTGTTTTAATGTTAAATTGAATATTCCTTTTAATATGCTGTAGGGAAGGAAAAAATTTTCCTCTACCCTCTTAAGTTTAGTGATGGGGACCCGTGAATTAAAGAAACAAAAGACACAATTTGTATTAATAGTTACGTGTATGGGAGTTGAGAGAAGAGAAGTAAAACTCAAAGAAGGGGTCAGACACTAGGCCTGAATATCATTTTGATAAAGGAAAGGGGCTTTGGGCTTAAAGGGATAACAAATTGTAGGGAAATGACGAGGAAATATATGGAGGGAAACAAATGGAAGAAAAGGGTTATTTTAGTAAGTTGTGTTTATGCAGACTCATCTCGGTGCCACCTCTCCATCTCAGGGGATAAGAGTCACTCTCCTCTTCCTGGGACAGAAGAGGGGGACACCTTTACAAAGGGAAATGTATGCCCTATTTTTAGGTGGATGGGGGATGGCAGAGAACTCCCTGCACCTGTTCATTCTCAATTGCCTTCAGCTCAAAATAATTTTTATGCCAAAATGGCATGTTTTGGGGTGGCAAGTCCTGATCCCCTTCACCAATTTAACCTAACCTCCCCCTCACCTCTCATAGATTCCATCAGCAAATCCTGTCATCTTTTGCAAAATATCTTCCCAGTTCTGTAAGTTGTCACTGCTTCTACAAATACCACCCTAATCCAAGTCCCCATCACATTGCCTAGACTAAGAAAATAGCCTCCAAGTTGACCAACCTATATTGCTCTCCAGCCCCTAACTCTGCCTTTTCTCTCTCTAAAACCTAAATTTGAGATTATCTAACATACCTATTGGTTGATGGTCTGTTTCCTTACTAAAGTGTAAGCTTCATGACAGCCATCAATAGTGGTGTCTCTAGTGCCTATAATAATGCCAGCCACAAAGTATACACATCATCAACACAAGGTTGAACTGATAGTTTGACTGTGTCCCCACCCAAATCTCATCTTGAATTGTAACTCCCACCATTCCCACGTGTTGTGGGAGGAACCTGGTGGGAAGTAATTGAATCATGGGGGCGCTTCTTTCCCTTGCTATTCTTTTGATAGTGAATAAGTCTCACGAGATCTGATGGTTTTAAAAATGGGAGTTTCCCTGCACAAGCTCTCTTCCCTTGCCGCCATGTGAGACATGCCTTTCACCTTCCACCATGATTGTGAGGCCTCCCCAGCTATGTGGAACTGTAAGTCCTTTATACCTCTTTCTTTTGTAAATTGCCCAGTCTTGGGTATGTGTGAAAATGGACTAATACATGAACTAAGTCCCTTAGTTATATTTATGGAATTCACTGGTATGTTTGGGTTTATTCTTATTTTCTTAATTTGTGTTCTCCTACTGGGCTTTCTAGTTGCCTTTAATTAGTGGTTCATTTTTCCACTTTTACTTTCTGTAAGTTGGAAATGTACATATTTTATATCAAATACTTAAATACTTAACATGGTCTAGAATTAATAATTACCTAGAAATTATCTAGAATTAATAAGCTTTGTCTGCAATTATCTTTTTCCTCTGCTTTCCTCAGTCCCACTGAGAAGAAAAACTTTACTGACCTTTTAGTTTTCCCTACTTAAAATCTCACCTGCTTCCATTGCTTTTAACATTGCATGGGATGTCAAAACATAAAGCTTAAACATTTACTACTTATTTTAATGTAAAAATAAATTTTACTATTGTGTTTATAGCTCATTGCATTATACCTGTCATCTCTTCCTTCTGGAACCGTCCCTCCCACTGCCCCATAATTTTCAGTAATTCTTCCAAGGAGGATCATTGGATAGTAAATTTTATGGGATTTTACGTATCTGCAAATGTCTTTATCTTAATTTTAGAAAGTTTTATAATTTCAACTTTTATTTTGGATATAGGGGTACATGTGCAGGTTTGTTACATGGGTAAATTTAGTGATGCTGAAGTTTTGGGGACAAATGATCCCCTTACCCAAGTAGTGAACATAGTACCTAATAGGTAGTTTTTCAGCCCTTGGCCCCCTTCATCTCTCCCCCCTCTAGTAGTCCCCAGTGTTTATTGTTCTCATCTTTATGTCTGTGTGTACCCGATGCTTAGCTCCCACTTATAAATGAGAACACATGGTATTTGGTCTTCTGTTCCTGTGTTTACTTAGGATAATGGAGGTTGCTGCAAGAGACATGATTTCATTATTTTTATGGCTGCACGGTATTCCATGGTGTATATGTACCACATTTCCTTTATCCAGTCCACCGTTGATGAGCATCCAGGTTAATTCCATGTTTTTGCTATTGTGAATAGTGCCGCAGTGAACATACGTGCGCATGTGTCTTTTTGGTAAAAAGACTTATTTTTCCTTTGGGCATATACCCAATAGTGGGATTGCTGAGTCTAATGGTAGCTCTGTTTTAAGTTATTTGAGAAATCTCCAAACTGCTTTCTACAGTGGCTGAACTAATTTACATTCCCACCATTGGTGTATAAGCATTCCCTTTTCTCCGCAACCTCGCCAGCATCTGTTAGTTTTTGAATGTCTTTATTTTAAAGCAGGTGTCAGCAAGCCCTTTTAAATGGTCCAAATAGTAAGTATTTTAGACTTGTGGCCATATGGTCTCAGTTGTAATTATTCAGCTCTGCCAAGGTAGTGCAAAAGCAGCCACAAATGATACCTACATAAATAATGGGTGTGACTGTATTCCAAAACAATTTGTAAAAATGGGGCTGGTCCATTGGCTATAGTTTGCCGACTTCAATTTTAAAAGATAGCTTGTCTGGCTAGAACATTTTAGGTTCAAAATTATTTTCCTTTAGATATTGAAGATAATTGCTCCAAGGTCTCCCTGTGCCCATGGTTATTGTCAAGAAGGCTGAGGTCAATCAGATTTTTTTTTTTTTTTTTTTGAGATGGAGTCTCACTCTTGTCACCCAGGCTAGAGTGCAATGGCTCACTGAAACCTCCACCTTCTGAGTTCAAGCGATTCTCATACCTCAGCCTCCCAAGTAGCTGGGATTTCTGGTGCCCACCACCACACCTGGCTAATTTTTGTATTTTTAGTAGAGACGGGTTTTCAGCATGTTGGTCAGGCTGTTCTCGAACTCCTGGTCTCAGGTGATCCACCCATCTCAGCCTCCCAGAGTGCTGGGATTACAGGCATGAGCCACCATGCCTGACCATATTATTTTTCTTTTGTCAATAACCAGTTTATTCTTCCCCAGAAGATTTTAAGGATTTTCTTTTTATTTTAATGTTGAAGTTTCTTCATGGATTTTCAACTGTCAACTCCCAAAATATCTATCAAAATAACCTTTTGATAAAGCAAAGCTAAGTTTATTAAACTTACTGTAAGGGAGACCATCACTTTGAGACCTTAGCAATGGCTCAAAGGGAGAAGTAAGGAGAGGATATTTATAGCATTTTGGTGTCTGAGCTCATGAGATTTGAGGCAGTTCTTTCAAGCTGGGGAATTGACTGGGATGAGCAAAGTTCGTAACTGATAGTTTAGGATTGTGGCCACAGTGAAGCTAGGGGCTCAAAGCAAATATTTATAAGTAAACTGTTTGATAAAAGAGCTCTTTGCCCAGATGAAAACATGGCTGTCCTGTGAGGAAAACTGGCCAGATGCACAAACTATTTGCCCAGACAAACTGGTTTGCAGGAATTTCCTAAAGTAAATAGCAGTTATTTATTGGTTTACAGCTTTATCTTTCTGGGCAAGGATTTCCTGGAGCAAATAATTAAGTTATGTTGAAACAGGTGGTCTTTGTCCTTGGTCCTAATATTTAAGCCATGTGGATGCAAATGTTCTCTCTTCTCAACTGTGTCTGGATAATTTTAAAAATATTTATCCTGCTGGGTATTGATGGCTTCTTTCAGAGACCTCATGTCTTACTTCGATTCTGTACATTTCTAATCAACTATTTCTTAAAATTTTATTTACTTTTAATTTCTCCAGGCTCTTCTTTTGTAACTCCTATTACATGGATGCTGGAACTAGATTTATTCTACAAATCTCTTAATTTTTGTGTCATTTTGAGCAAATTCCATGGTTCCATTTTCCAATCTATTTGCCTCTCAGCTGTGCTTATTTTGTTTTTCACCCACGTACTAGGTTTTTAAGTTTCAACAATTAAAATGTTCATCCAATAGTTTTGATTGGTTCTTTTTTCTTTGAGATGGGGTCTTGCTCTGTTGCCCATACCGGTCTTGAACTCCTGGGTTCAAGCGATCCTCCTGCCTTGACCTACCAAAGTGCTGAGATTACAGGCATGAGCCACCACGCCCAGACTCTTTCTATTCTTGTGATCGCACACATTATGTCCTTAAATATTTAAAGATATTTTATATGTGCATGTACACACACACACACACACACACACTTACACACACACTGCTTCTATTCACCAACCTACTTCTTTAATGAAAGTTTTTCCTTTTTCACTTATTTCTATCTTCTGATGCTGGATCTGCTGGAATATTTGATTCTGCTTATGTAAATCAATGCCAAGTTTCCCTGTTAGAAGATCTGCTATAATAGTTCACGCAGATGATTGAGATGGGGTGGGAACTGCCATTGTTGCTGCTGCTTTACACTGGCTTTAGTGAGCCTGGCAGAGGCTCCTGTGGTGTGTAAGGAGATGACATCTCACAGTGGGTCTTTAAGGCATATCTGGGGCATTGCGCTGCGTCTCTTGCTCCCAGAGTTCCTGTACCTGCTGCTCTGGGGAAGGCAGGCATATCTGGGGCATTGCGCTGCGTCTCTTGCTCCCAGAGTTCCTGTACCTGCTGCTCTGGGGAAGGCATACACTTGCATCCATGGGTGCAGGTGCCCTGCCCGGAGGCTGCCCTACCACGCTGCGCTCACCTTGGCCACTCTGAGTTCCTCCTCCTCTTTCTGGATCCCCCCTTCTTGGTCGGGGGCACCCCTTGAGGCTCACAGCAGAATTCTCCCACTCCCAGCTAGGCTGCAGTTTTTCTTCTTTATGCCTGCCTACTTTCCAATTTTAAGAGATTCTGGGCCGAGCACAGTGGCTCACGCCTGTAATCTCAGCACTTCGGGAGGCCGATGTGGGCAGATCACAGGGTTAGGAGTTTGAGACCAGCCTGGACAACATAGTGAAACCCCGTCTCTACTAAAAGTACAAAATGTAGCAGCCGGGCATGGTAGCATGCGCCTGTTGTCCCAGCTACTCGCGAGATGGAGGCAGGAGAATTGCTTGAACCTGGGAGGCGGAGGTTTCAGTGAGCCGAGAAGGTGCCACTGCACTCTAGCTTGGGCAACAAAGCTAGACTTCATCTCAAAAAGAAAAAAAGAGATTCTGTATCGTTCTGGTTCATCCAGAGTTTGTGTTCTTCTTTCCAATCATGACTATGCCCTTACGTGTTTACTTTTTTATATCTTTTTAATGATTTCTATGAATGTCATGTAGGAGGGATTAGTAATCTGTTTTGGAACATTTTTTTTAAATGTCAAATGAAAATAAACTCCAAGCCACCATCTTACATCATTGGCAAAAAATTCAGTCATTTGGGGGTACCCCATTATATAGAAAGGTCCTGGGGTATCATAAGCAGGAATAGTTATCCTGGAAGCTGACCTCTAGCCTGACCTGGTTACCTGTGAGAAACCCATCACCAAGGCCCATTGCTAGTTTTGCACCTTCTTTGCCATCATGGATCCAGAAATCTCTGCCAAAGCAGTGTCCTGGGCTGGGACTCCGATCGCTGTCTATACAACAAGCAGCCATTTCCCCTAAGGTCTGGCCACCATCCTTGGCCATTTTGAGGGACTTAGTGGGTTAGAAGTTCCTGTGCTTACCCCTGTTCTAGTTTTCTAGTATGGTGGACTCTCCCTTATATATGGTCATTCCTTTTATGTCCCCTCTCCCTTTTCCAAACACCAATTGTTTTCCTTTCTGTCCTCAGGATGTAATCTCCAAAAGAGTGATAGGATTTGAGAACTATCTACTTCTGATTCTATTCATGGGGGAAGAAAGCACAAAGGCTTATCTTGGAGTGGGCAAGGAAAAATCCAGAGAATAAACCACAAGTAGCTTTCATTATCAGCTGAGTTATCAGCCTAAACGCCTAGAGGTGTCCTTTCCATGGGCCGTCTCCACATGGGCTGGTTTGGGCTTCCTCACTGTGGCTGGGTTCTAAGCACTGGCGTCCCAAGACAGCAAGGCAGGAGTGTGTGGCATTTTTAAGAACTAGCCTTGGAAGTTCATAGTCGCTTCACTTATTATACTGGTGACAGCAGCCCAAGTTTTGTCCAGATTCGAGAAGAGAGGACTGAGACTACCACCACAAGAAAAGTGTCAAGGTGATGTTGCCAGAAGGGCAAGTGGGATGGGGCAGGTTGTGGCGGTGATGTTTGGAAGACATAATGTGACACAATCTGCCCTTTGGCCACCACGGTTCACATTCTTCTACATGTAAAATATATTATCTCCCTTCCCCAAGAACCCTCATATTAGTTCTTTTACAGCATTGTCAAGGGGGTGCCTTGAGCAGGGGAGCTTTCATCTGCCACATAAATCATCACCTTCTTCCTGAACCTTACCAAAATAAACGAGCAGGCCTCTCTGCACATGGCAGCTTCAAGATAAAGCCTTTTGTCTCCATTGGCAGCTCCAGATAGGTCTCGAAATAAACCCGCAATCCAATTAAAACCAGTGTGCCTGCTCTGTAAGTGTGATGTCAGGACTCACGTCTAGTCCTTTCTTTCAGCCACTTTGTTCCTTCTGTAGACATTCTGGAGCTGCCGTTGCACAGCGGTGAAAACAGGCCCAACTTCATATGTCAATATCATCTTTCAACACGTTATACACTGGAAACAGAAATGTTAACTTGGGTTTCTGTGAGTGATGAGATTGTTGGTAATTTTTTTATTTTCTTTTTTCTAATGTCCTAAACATTCTTCTTTCTTTTCTTTCTTCTTTTTCTTTCTTTCTTTTTTTTTTGTTTTTTGTTTTTTTGAGACAGGGTCTTGCTCTCTCACTCAGGCCGAAGTGCCGTGGTGCGATCACAGCTCACTGCAACCTCGACTCCCCACGCTCAAGCAATCCTCCCATCTCAGACTACTGAGTAGCTGGGACCACAGGCATGTGCCATCACATCCAGCTAATTTTTGTATTTTTTGTAGAGACAGGGGTCTCACCATGTTAGCCAGGCTCGTCTTGAACTCCTGGGCTCAAACTATCTGCCAGCCTCAGCTTCCCAAAATGTTGGGAGTACAGGCATGAGCCACCAGGCCTGGCTCTAAACGTTCTAAATTTTTAATTTTCTATGACAAACACTGAGTGTAGAAAACCACCTATAGACACCCTCTGCGTCAGACACCCCAGATTGTCCATCCAACACCAGCCTCCCTCCTTTATCTTTCCTCCTCACCTATTTCTGTTCTCTGGGACTCAGGGACTTAGCCGTATATGCTCTCTGTTCCCCTGCCCTCTGGCGTTGGGTTGGTTTAGCCAGGCAGGAGATCAATGGCCAGAAGGAGAGAACAATCGGGGTATTTCTTTACCTGCTTCTTCTGTGCTGTGGCTCTGGTGGCGACCACATCCTCCAAGGACAGCTCCTGCTGAGCAACCTGCCCTCAAGGCGCTAGGTTTCCTTGGGTTCAATTATGCCGTTTTCTATCTTTTCCTCTTTAGGCCAAAGGGTGGTAAGTGTTTCTCACTGTTGCTCTTCCTGAGTGTCTTTATATCCCTAATTGGCACCCTGCAGTGCTGCCCATCCTCTGTAAGCAATTCCGATATTCAATTCTCTCCATAACTGAAGCTGAGTGGTCTGTTTCCCTGCAAGCCCCTGGCTGACTCACCACTGAGGAGCTGTGGGATATTGCACAAGTCCCTCCCCTCATGAGCTTCTACTTCTCCATTTTAAAAGGGTGGATTTGGACTAGACTGGTGTTTATTAAGTTTTATGTTAATTAAAGTGTTCTTTAAAAAAGGAGTTCCCAAGGATCTAGAACTAGAAATGCTATTTGACCCAGCCATCTCATTACTGGGTCTATACCCAAAGGATTATAAATCATGCTGCTATAAAGACACATGTACACTTATGTTTATTGCAGCATTATTCACAATAGCAAAGACTTGGAACCAACCCAAATGTCCATCAATGATAGACTGGATTAAGAAACTATGGCACATATACACCATGGAATACTATGCAGCCATAAAAAAGAACACTGCATGTTCTCACTGACAGGTGGGAATTGAACAACGAGAACACTTGGACACAGAGTGGGGAACATCACACACCGGGGCCTGTCGTGGGGTTGGGGGAGGGATAGCATTAGGAGATATACCTAATGTAAATGACGAGTTAACGAGTGCAGCACACCAACATGGCACATGTATACATATGTAACAAACCTGCACGTTGTGCACATGTACCCTAGAACTTAAAGTATAATAAAAAATAAAAAATAAAATGGAGTTCCACTCTTGTGCACTGTTGGTGGGGATGTAAAACGGTGCAGCTATGGAAAAAAATGTGGTCGTTCCTCAAAAATTAAACATAGCATTACCAAAGCATCCAGAATTTCCACTTCTGAGTATATATCCAAAAGAATCGAGAGCAAGATCTCGCAGAGATATTTGTGCACCTGTGTTTGTAGCAGCATTATTCATAATAGCCAAGAGGTGGCAGCAAGTCAAACGTCCATCAGTGAATGAATGGATAAATAAAATGTAGTATATTCATACAATGGAATATTACTCAGCCTTAAAAAGGAAGGAAATTCTGACAAATGCTGTAACATGAATGAAACTTGAGGACGTTATGCTAAATAAAATAAACCAGTCATAAAAAGATAAATACTCTATGATTCCATGTGTGCGAGGTACCTAGAGTAGTAGAATTCATAGAAACAAAGTAGAATGGTAGTTGCCAGGGGTAGGGGAAGACATGCAGAGTTTTTGTTTAACAGATACAGAGTTTAAGTTTTGCAAGATGAAAAATTTCTGGAGATTGTTTTCACAACAATATAAATATGCTTATCACAACTATACACTTAAAAATGGTTAAGATGATAAATTTAATGTATATATATTTTCCCACAAAAACAAAAAAAAGTGTTCCATTCAAAAAAAGTTCTATAGTTACATCAGATTTGGAAAAGGTAGTTATACACATACCTTTTAAAGACTCACAGTATACAAGCCTCCTGAGAAGTGGTTGTTGGCTTTTTTTTTTTTTTCTTTGAGACAGAACCTCGTTCTGCTGCCCAGACTGAAGTACAGTGGCACGATCTCAGCTCACTTTAACCTCCACCTTCCGGGTTCAAGTGATTTCCAGCCATTTTTGTATTTTTAGTAGAGACAGGGTTTCACCATGTTGGCCAGGCTGGTCTTGAACTCCTGACCTCAAGTGATCTGCCCGCCTTGGCGTCCCAAAGTGCTAGTGCAAGAATTACAGGTGTGAGCCACCATGCCCGGCCCCCTGAGAAGTTTTGAGTAAAACAAAAAAAATCTGATATCCTCTGTATAAAATCATTTCCCAGAAAGAACTGACAATGGAGAACATAGTTTTGGATACAAGTGAGGAAAACCATCTCTAGAATCCCTTGTGGTTCTAAGTCCTATGGCTCTTTTCTGATTTGAAAAGAGAGTCAATCCTGGTCGATATTATTTCTGGCATGTCTTTGCTGTCTTTTCCTGAACTCAGGGATTCTCCCTGCCACAGATGTGTCTGGATGGTGACAGATGGGAATCTTCTCCAGTGACCAGAATCCATGCCTTACCTTGGGAGCCCAAGGTAAGCTGCATTTATTTCCTTGGGCGCTTTCTGAGTATTGGGTAGAAAGGGGCTTTTTGAAATATTTGAAGGTTACTTGGGTATAAACATTTTATGTGTGAATGGCTTTCAATTGCTCTCTTTGTTAATCACAACATATATGGTACTCAAAACCCAGGAAAATATACTCCTAAAGATGTTCAAATTCCCTTATTGTAACTCATCGAAATGTTTTATGGACTTGGAAATTTTTATAAGCGATTTAAAGAATACAATTATGTTTATAAAGAATTTGACTGCAGTAATTTGTAATCTGATATAGACCACATTCAGTCAAGTTGTACATAAACACTTAAGAGGTAATTAAGGTAGAAAGAAGATTTCTTTCTAAGGGTAATTACTTGGTAATTAGAGAGAGTCATTGCAGATTTTATTTTCAAAATACTTCAAGGAGAATGGAAAGTTCCAGAATAATGATTATGCATTAGTCAGAAAAAGATATTTGGACCGAAATAAATATTTGTATTACTTGATTCCTTGCCTTGAATTGGCCTAGTAGGAAACCAGGGAAATTATTTGACTGTCATAGGAACACCAACCTCCTTTTTTTTGCCCATCTCCCATCAGAGGGTCTAGAAAAGAGTTGCTGCGGATTCTGTTCTAGTTACTTGAGAAAACAGGAAAATGGCAAGGAGACATCAGTCATCAATCTGGTTGTTCCCTGTTTCCTTTCTTAGAAATTTTGCTGTGAGAATTTGGTGTTTAGGGCTATGGTGGCCACCTTTCAGCTAAAGTGAAAAGGCCAAGAACCTCACAGAGTGGTTGACCCAGAGTCCTGGAGGGATCAGCTCTAGAATCATCTGTGCCTAGACTTCTCACAATGTGTGATTACTAAATGCCTCTATTTTAATAAACTTAATTCAACAGATATTTATTGACATCTATTATCTGTTAGTCACTGTTCTAAGTACTTTACAAATATGAAAAAAAATCACTGAGTTCCATAGGGCTATCTTCTAGACGCTTTAGTCATATACCCTGTTACCTACAGCTTAGAGCATTCCCAAAAGTCCATGGTATAACCTAACCTATTATGGGTTTGATGGCATAGCATGCTGGAGCTGACTTCTAATAGCTTGCAAGAACTGATCGTTAAATTTTCCAGAATTTTTAGCCCTTGTTAAACACAGCAGGTTTATTAAATTGTCTAAACTTGTAATTAAATTGTATTAAAAATACAGTACTCAAAGCCTCAGTACTTTCTACTTATTTTAATATCATCTGACCTTTTGAATTACTTACATTTATTGCACTTATATCATCCAAATAGTATATCATGGGGCACTACTGGGCATCTCTTCCCAAATCAAGGACATCAGCTTGGTAGCTTAAAGTCAGCCATAGTGGGGATATTTGTGCCATGGAAATTGGCAACTGCTATAAATCGAAGCTTGATTTATTGTTCTGATGACTCTTAATGTTATCCATATTAAATTTAAAGATTGTCATGTCTGTAGCCATTACATTGTCAATAGCACAAAAATTTGAGGAAATATTCTTTTAGCATTAGAAAACTGTTACCTGAATCAGCAAAGAAGTTGCTCCAATCATTGATGATCAGGTAGTGTTTCTACGTATATCTTCATTATTTCACCTTCACCATACTTATTAATGCAAGCAAAAATGTCAACATTCTAATCAAAACTGCACTCATATATCAGCTGCAAACATAGGTTGGCTATGAAAACAAGAGCTTGGCAAAAATCAAGAAAAGCATTGAGAATCAATGAGAATCAATGGGCTATATGGAATTTACAATGAATTGTAGACTTTATTATCATTTGTAAATTGTATGATACACATTATGTATATCAGTAAAATCAGTAATCACCTCATGTATGTATATATTTCCATGCATTATTTGGAGAGCCAGTTGTTGAACATTTACTAGCACACCACTGGTTGGGTGGGATCAAAGGGGAAACAGGATAAGAAAGTGAGTAACAGCAATGGACATTGCCTGACTGTTCAACCCAAACCATTTTGCAGGATTGCTCTGGAATCCCTGTTCTTAGAGGCCCACACATGTTGCCAGGCTTTGAATCTAGCACTGGAAACAAGTGTCCAAGCTGGTCAGAGACATTCATCTAATCCCACTAGTTACTGAGCCCACCCAAATAGTCACCTACCAGAAGAACTATATAAAGTACACACCAGATGACTTTGATACAGTGCATGTGATTTGGGCTATAAAACTGTCCACAGAGCCTTTGACCCCAATCATTCAGGCCCTCGAAGTGTAACGTGTCTTCATGACACCCACCACCATGTACTGTATTAGGCCATACCTGTGGAGCAATGAGTATGTTGAGAACAAAAAGTAAAACACACACAAAAAAACACATATAGATATAAAAAGGTGTTCTGGGACAACCTTAGTCAGATTGCCCCTTATGAAACAAGGACTTCACTGACAGTTTCTATGCATGGGATTATTTTTCCTTCCTGGGGAAAAAGATGGAATATATGAATCCTGATTATTAAACAAGTTACCACATGGCTGTGTATGTCCTTCCTCAAAAAACAAATATCTCAGCATGAGAAGAATGCGTAATGTTTGCAAAATTCCTTAGAATTTTTAGAATTTCTTCTTTGTTTAACAGTGTTGATGACTGATGGTTGATGTAGCCACTGGAGAAAGACTGCCCATTAGGCTTTATTAAATAGATATGATTGGATTCATCATGGCACAGGCTTCTACTGTGGGAGAAACAGAGAGACACCTTCCCTTTGGGAAGCAGCTGTCTGATAGAGTCTGTGGAGTTGGGCTGTGACTTACTGCAGAAGCTTCTTGTCCATTACAAGAAAAGCCCAGGTCTATCTGAATATCTACACAAAGAGAAATTTATCTCAGAGGCAGAGGACTGAAACCAGTGTGTATAATTTGTGAATCACTTGTTTTGCATTAAGAATTAACAAAAGAGGAGAACAACTGTTGACCGTTTTCCATTTCTTGGTGTATTGAAACTTACTTCTCATTTCCCTTTGCCTACCCGCCCCCAATCCTCTTGCTTTTTTTCTTTTGAATCCCATGTCTTTATTACAGTTACCATGAACAGAACATAACTGCCTGGGCTTGAGTTCTTGTCTATTAACAAAAAAATCTATTTAATTCGTATGTAAGGTCTAACATGGAGTGGGGAAAGGCAGAAACATCTTTTATGGAGACAGATAGTGAATGATACCTTCCGAATGGTAAACATGTACTTGTTGGAGATGAGCTCAGCTCACTCAGAGATCTCATGGGAATGAATGCTTCTCCTGATTTAAGAGCATGCATATCTTATTTCCACATTGAGGGAGAAAAGAATCATAGTATAGTGGAAAGAAGAATTGGACAGATTCGGGACCCCACATTTTCCTTCTGCTGCTTGCTGCATCAGCTTGGGCAAGCTACTTGACCCCTGTGAGCCCTGTTGCCCCATCTGTGGAATGGGGATTATTATACTTACCACATGGGATATTGTGTTTATTACATGAGAAAATGTTTTTTATGGCCTGAGGCATACTGCAACTCAAAGCTGAGTAAGCAATGACAGCTGGTGTGGTGGCTCATGCCTGTAATCCCAGCACTTTGGGAGATCAAGGTGGGTGGATCACAAGGTCAAGAGATCGAAACCTTCCTGGCCGACATGGTGAAACCTCGTCTCTACAAAAAATACAAAAATTAGCTGGGTGTGGTGGCATGTGACCTGTATTCGCAGCTACTCGGGAGGCTGAGGTAGGAGAATCGCTTGAATCCGGGAGGCAGAGGTTACAGTGAGCTGAGATTGTGCCACTACAGTCCAGTCTGGCAACGGAGTGACTCCGTCTCAAAAAAAAAAAAAAGAAATGACACCTTCAAGAAATTTACAGTCTAGCAGACATTTGAAAACTAACTTTGGCTTAATCATAATATAGTGATTTCTTGTTTACCTCTGATGACTATTACTGCACTACCTATTGGAAGATAGATAGTACGGTTGGGTTTCTGTGGGGAAAAAATGGAGATATTTCCTTTGGGACAGTGACTGTGCTTAGAACTGATTACATGAAACATTCCAAGACTAAAATCCCAGTAACCTTTACCTCTCTTATTCTACTGACACCTTCACCACCCCCAAAATGAATAATAAAACACACATTCAACATCAAAACTTATGATTACAACCCAATTTTTAAAATGGGCAAAGCTGGCGTGGTGGCTCATGCCTGTAATCCCAGCACTTTAAGAGGCTGAGGCAGGCAGAATTGCTTGAGCTGAGGAGTTTGAGAACAGCCTGGGCAACGTGGCAAAATCCCATCTCTACAAAAAATACAAAAATTAGCTGGGTGTGTTGCTGTGTGCCTGTAGTCCCAGCTACTCAGGGGGCTGAGGTGGGAGGATCACTTGAGTTGTGAGGTCAAAGCTGCAGTGAGCTGAAATCATGCCACTATACTCTGAGCTTGAGCAACAGAGTGAGACTTTGTCTCAAAAAAGAGGGGGTGAGAGGCAAAAAGAACTTGAACTGACCTTTGTTATGGGCTGAATGTTTCCCCCAAAATTTGTATGTTGAAGTCCTAGCCCCCTGTACTCAGAATGTGACTGTATTTGGATACACGGTCTCTGAAGAGGTAATTAAGGTTAAATGAGACCACTGGGGTGAGCCCTAGTCCTCATAAGAAAAGGAGATTAGAGCATAAACACAGAAGAAAGCACATAAACAATCACAGAAGAGAGACTATATGAAGACACAGGAGAAGACTGCCATTTATAAGCCAAGGGAGAGGCCTCAGCAGAAATTAGTCCTGCTGACACCTTGGTCTGGGGCTTTTAGCCTCCAGAACTGAGAGAAAATAAACTTCTGTGTTTAACCCAGCTTGTGGCACTTTGTTATGGCAGCCCTAGCAAACTAATACAACTTTCCCCCAAGAAGGCATACAGATGGCCAATGAGCACATGAAAAGATGGTCAACATCATTAGTCATCAGGGAAGTGCAAATCAAAATCACAAGGAGATACCACTTCATACTTGCTAGAGTGGCTATAAACACACACACACACAAAACAAAAAATGGAAAATATAAGAGGTATTGGTGAGGATGTAGAGAAATTGGAACCCTCCTACAAATGGTACATTTTGAATGTACCATTTGAATGGTACTATGGAAAATGGTTTGACAGTTCCTCAAAAGCCAAACATAGAATTGGCATATGATCTAGCAATTCCACTCCTGTGTATATATCCAAAAGAACTAAACAGAGGACCTCAAGCAGATGCTTATAGGCCAATTGATATGATTTGACTGTGTCCCCACCCAAATCTCAAATTGTAGCTCCCATAATTCCCGTGTGTCATGGGAGGGACCTGGTGGAAGGTAATTAAATCATGGCGTGGGTCTTTCCTGTGCTGTTCTTGTGATAGTGAATAAGCCACATGAGATCCAATGGTTTAATAAATGGGAGTTCCCCTGCACAAGCTCTCTTTCCTGCTGCCATGTAAGACCTGACTTTGCTTCTCCTTTGCTTTCCACCATGATTGCGAGGCCTCCCCAGCCATGTGGAACTGTGAGTTCAATAAACCTCTTTCCTTTATAAATTACCCAGTCTTGGGTATGTCTTTATTAGCAGTGTGAGAGCAGACTAATATACCAATGTTTATAGCATTATTCACAATAGCTAAGAGGTAGAAACAACTCCAGTGTCCATCAATGGATGGAATGGATAAAATGTGGAATATGTATACAGTGGAATATTATTCAGCCATAAAAAGGAATGAAATTCTAATATGTGCTACAACATGGATGAACTTTGAAGATTTTATGCTAAGTGAAATAAACCACACAAAAGACAACTATATATTTCCCTGATATGAAATATCTAGAACGGACACATTCATAGAGGCAAGGTAGATTAGACGTCACCAGAGGCTGGGAGGAGGAGACAATGGACAGTTATTGTTTAATGAGTAGGGAGTTTGTTTGGTGTGATTAAAACGTTCTGGAGATGGATAGTGGTGATGGCTGCACAACAGTGTGACTGTATGTAATGCACAGAACTGTATACTTAAACATGGTGAAAATGGTACATTTTGTTATGTATATTTCACCATAATTTTGCAAATAATGTAATAGATGCCAAACCATTTAATTAATGGGTGAATTGTATGGTAGGTGAATCATATCTCAATATTGCTGTTGGAAAAAAACTCTGCAATAGATTGTAGTGGGTGAGAAAAGGCAGGTGATGGAGACCAAAAGGCTAAATTGAGGAGACTGCCAGAATTTTCCCCACTTTTCCTTGTTCTAACCCACTGACGAGGCCCTATTACCAGATGAGCTGAAACCATTAAATGGGCTTGGCTTCTCTAGTAGCTCGTCTTTCCTGAGTCTGAGCAATTTTGAGTATAGAAGGTGGTGCGTCCATGACGCCTCCAGGCTGACCGTCCTGTGCCCAGCCAGAACTCAGCTATCTGTTCTCAGCTTGAGCTCATCTCTTGTGTCTCAGTCAGCCTCCCCTATGGTCAGGTGGCACCTGCTTTCTGTCACCGCCTGCACTCCTTCTAGACTCTATAAATATGGACAGAACATAAATAAAAAGCCCAGCTTTGGGGCCTCTGAGCAGGATTGTTATTTACTGTTATGTAGTGTGATTCTGCACCCCCAGGGCTGTAGGCTAGTATTTGCTTTGGGGGCCTGATTGAAAGGTAGTTCTTCATGATCATAAAAAGTCAAAATCATCTCCTGTGATCCAGCCTGCTGCTACCAGCTGCAATCTATGCTTTTACATTATGCATGATTCTCAATGCTTATGGTGCAGGAAAAAGATACACAATTCCATTAGCGATTCCCAGTGTTATGCTAACCACTTCCAGGCTACTGCTGCTAATTAATGTTAATATAGAACTGCTTACATATTTATGTCTTAGTCCATGCATCATGAAGATGGCATGGGGCTCCTCTTGTTTAGGACTGATTAAGCCAATCTAAAACTGATTGAGAGCCACAAGTGATGGCTTTGGAGTGGATGGCTTTGGCAATGCAGCCTCACATTATTAAATGGAGGGGACCTGCGGAGGTGCCTGCTCTGCCGGGGCTGCTGCGCACACACGCGTGCCCAGGCGAGTTTGGACTCTCCCTCTTCCTTGCCCTTCCTGCTGTATTTATAGTGTTTGATAATCAGCATGGGTCTGGTACCTGCACTGATTTGTCCTGTAGACTGTGACCCTTTTAGCGTACAAGCTCCACCATGAACCACAGAGCTGGCTGCAGCAAACGGCCTCTCTCATCCTTTTCTCTTTCTAGGCTCCTTGCCTCTTTGTCTCTCCTCTGCTTTTCTTTATGCTTTCTTCTCTCTGTCCACCTAAATGTACTTATTTTTCAGAGCCTAAATAGTATATGTGGGGGGACAGGGAGAGAGAGAGATGGAAGGAGGAAAAGTCAGTATAAGGTAGGTATGGTTACAGGACGGGCCACTGTTGTTGGCAAGGGGACTCCATCCTGCCCAACCCTTCTGTCCACCTGAAAGTGGTCTTGCAGAGGCGTCTCTCCTCTGTTGCTCCAGGAGCTGTGGGTTCTCCCAGAACTCTCAAGCAACACGTGGAGATATATGGAGTGGGCTCTTTCCCAGGTCTCCCACTGTAGGATCAGAGTGGTGTGGGTGAAGGCAGATATACTGGGCAGAGCCTAGAGCAAGAGAAAGCGACACACAACTGCTGTCCACAGCTGCAGCAGGGGCCACCAGAGGTGCCTGCTAAGCCAGCTGACACACTATCTGGAAGAAGGCTCCATCACAGCCCTCCCATGGAGGCCACACTGCCCCAGGACATCTGGGTGGCTACAGGTGGACTTGTGCCTGCTCTCCTTTCATACCTTTTTGCATTTCCACCATCAATCTCCCCAGGAGGTTCTCCCATTCAGTGCTGAATGCCAGTTCCAACATGGCTCTTCATTTATTCACTCCAGCATTCATTGAGTGCATACAGTGGACCAGGCTCCTTGCAGGTTCTGGAGATAAAAAGAAAAAAGTGCCTGTAATCCCAGCACTTTGGGAGGCTGAGGCGGGTGGATCACAAGGTCAGGAGATCGAGACCATCATGGCTAACATGGGGAAACCCCGTCTCTACTAAAAAATACAAAAAAATTTAGCCAGACATGGTGGCAGGTGCCTGTAGTCCCAGCTACTTGGGAGGCTGAGGCAGGAGAATGACGTGAACCCAGGAGGTGGAGCTTGCAGTGAGTCCGGGTCACACCACAGCACTGCAGCCTGGGTGACAGAGCGAGACTCCATCTCAAAAAAAAAAAAAAAAACAAAAAAAGTGAACAGTCTGTGTCTATCTTAGAACCAAGGCATGAAGACACAGTCCTTGAAACAGACCACAAGAGGAGGCAGGGACTGTAAGGTAACGATGACTTGTGGGGCTCACTCATTCCCCTACTTCACAAATAGTTACCAAGCACTCACTCTGGGCCAGGTCATCTTTCAGACCCTAGGGATTCAGTGCTGCCCAGAACCCACACAGTGCTTGCCTCTCTGGGCTTGGAATAGGGGATGCCAATGGTCAGGATCACAAGTGCAACAGTAATTTATAGCAGAGGAAGATCACGTAGGCTGGAATGATTCAGATAATTTCCTCCTTCTGCCTCTCACTCTCCCTGGTCCCTCATATATACTCTTTAGGCTTTGGAAAATAAGTATATTTATGTAGACAGAAAAGAGCAGCATTCCAAGCATCAAGAAGAGCAGAGGAGGAGGCAAAGCGGGAAGAGGCCTAGGAAGACAAAACGAAGTGAGAGGGTCTTGTCTGCTGAGGCTGGACAAAGCTAACCAGGGCGGCAAGGGCAGAGGTGAACTCCCCTCCCTCCTCACCCCTTCTTGGCTTCTGATACTGGGTGTGTAGGGCTTATATGTCACTTACCCATGCCTGCGAAAATGGTTCAACATTCTTCCCAAAGTCTCATCTCTACCCAGGAGCCTGGAGAGGTTGTAGAGACGCACTATGCTTTGTTCAGGGGAGAAAATCCATGAGTCCCGGGAAGCCAGAGATAAACCTGAGTCCTGAACTGAATAAGGAAAGGATTTTGACTCATGGTAAGAACATGGCATGTCCGACTTCAAAGAAAAAGGACAACCTCTACTTTGATCTCCCTGACACCTAGATTTCACAGGGCGGCGACACGCCAGGCACTTTTTTGGTTGGGCATTTTGCATGGGCGATAGTATATTCTTAGTTGGAATGGGATAAGGAGCCCTGAATGCTTTTTAAAATTCCATGCTAAAACTGTGAATTGGGCCTAATGGAAGCCCCTAGAATGTTACTCTCAAGGATCAGAGTTTTATGTCAGCTGGGACTTTGCAGAGAGTCTTCTGTGCAAGCCCCTCACTGTCAGATGAGGAGACTGAGGCCAAGGGAAGGGAAATGACTTGCCCAGTTTTCCAAGGCTGGTAAGCAGTAGGTCAGCAGTAGCAGAGCCTGGAGCCCCATGATGAGGCCATGACCAAACACAGCCAAGTGAGCAAGACCAGGTACTGGGCAGGACAGCCTACTCCACGGGAAGCCTGCGCTACTCATATGGGAAGGAAGGCAGGAATTAGAGTTCTCCAACCCAGGGCCATTAGGCGCAAGCTCTGGATTATGTGCCATTAGGCACAGCAGAATCACCTGGGAGAGTTGTTAACACAAATGACAGATGCCCAAACCCCACCTACAGACTGGGTGTCCCCCTCCCCCTTTATATGTTGAAGCCCTAATCCCCCTGTGTTTGGAGATAGGGCCTATAGGGAGGTGTGATATTGTGATGGAATAAGCATCTTTTACAGAAGTATAAATTAGACTAAGTTGTTTCCTAAGCCTTTTTATGTGTGTTGCTCAGAATAGTGTTGGGGACTGGAGAGATTGGGGTGGGAGCCCAGGAGAGGCAGCGTCCCTCCTAGGTCATGTCAGATGAGACATAGTCAAATGTGTGGGGTCTCGGTAGCACACTGCCGGTATTCCACAAGTATGAAAGTGAGAAAACCACCCAAATATGAGACAAAGATTCTCTCCTACCCCCGTGATGAATATGAAAATCATCTTATTTAACACAAATACTATCTTGTTCCCCACTTACCTCCAGTCTCCTGCCAGCAGACATCTGCACGCAGGCAACCACAACCACATACACATACACACATAAGCACACACACAAATATACGCACGCTGTTGCACTCAGCTGCTGCAGTCAGCCATCACAGTGGCTGGATTAGACAGCAATGTGTTCCTCATTCCCTGCCTCAGGCTTTTTGCTTTAACCAGAGGTCTAAAAAAGTTTTTTTTTGTTTTGTTTTGCTTTAAAAACAAAAAGGAAATTTCTTTCTTCTGCTAGCTTTTCAGCTATGAATCGAAATGTCCCTCCTGGGTTTTGAGGTGGAGGAACAAGTCTGTAGCTTTCTGTGAGCCTCTTGGCTGCTACCAGGTGGAACTTGGACAAAATAAATGACAGTAATCATATTTTCTTGTTCTCCTTTAGTTCCCCATAATCTGGCATGTCCCCAACCCCTCACACATGGAAAGAGATTTGTCTCTTGCCTGGGTGAAGGTCTAGAATGGTGAGTGCTCCGTCTGGGCTGCCTGACTGCCGTCCCTGTGTTCTCCTGTCCCTCCCTGGCAGTTCATCCATCACCATCCAACCTCCCTGTACCCCCACCCCTCCGCGCCCCCCTCCTGCTCCATGGGGCCTGGGGGCTTTGAGGAGAGAAGGACTTTGATGAACTTCTGAAACATGCAGAGCACGTTAGGGTTCTGCCAGAGCTTCCTCTGGAGCCTGAAAGCTTGGAACTTCTCTAAGACAATGGACAAGGGCTGGGCTAAGCTCAGGGAAACATCGTTTCTCATTTTCCTTGGCGGGGCTCTCCATCAGTGCTGTGCCCTGTGTCTGCAGGCTGGGTGTTCATCTCTCAGCTGCCTCTGCTGGTGGTCTCAAGCTCAAGAGGTCTCCAAACCTTTCACGGGGGCCAGGGGGGCATTGAGATCTGCTGCCCACTGCTACTCTGGGTTGCCAGGGCATCTGGGCTGTTCCTGTGATTGGACGGCAGCTGTTTAGAAAGCCAGGCAAAGCCATGTAAGGTGAGAATACATGTGTTCCTCTGCCCTGGACACTTAAGGAACCCCAAAGGTTGTCTGGCTTCTTCATTTAGCAGGATGACATGCCCCGAAGTGAAAGATGCGAGTGTGCAGAATCCCATCATCCAAAACCCTGCCGCGAGGGCAGCAATAGCAAAGACCCCTCCACAGACACATCCCTGTGCCAGCCGGTGCTGGGGCAAACGGCAAGTCCCCAAAGCTAGGGGCATGGGGGACGTGCATTACACGGAGAAGCAGAAGCTGCTGGCGCATCCGTGACAGCTGCTGGCTGTTTTCCAGTACTGCAGGGCTCCCTGCAGCAGCAGACGAGACTGTAATGCAGAATTTGGAGTTGATTGGTACGGACAGAAAATAGCCTTTACATTGCCAATATACTTGAAGCTCTTTACATTGCTCAATATACTTGTGTTAATTCACACGTTGCTAACTGGATGGCATCGATAGGGTCCAAATGTAGTAGAGAATTGAGGAAATTACCTACATTAGTTAACTCACAGAAAACACTTTTGCTCAACCAGCAGGATATTTCTTTCTGGTTGAAATAATTGGGAACCTTGAATTATATGGTGCTGTGAACTAAACTATGTCCTCCCGGAATTCATATGTTGAAGCCTTAACCCCCAGTGTGACTGTATTTTTTTTTGTTTTTTTGAGACAGAGTCTCACTTGATCACCCAGGTTGGAGTGCAGTGGCATGATCATGGCTCAGTGTAGTCTTGACCTCTTGGGCTCAAGTGATCCTCTTCCTTCAGCCTCCCAAGTAGCTGGGACTGCAGGTGTGCACCACCACACCCGGCTAATATTTGCATTTTTTTGAAGAGATGAGGTCTCACTATGTTGTCCCGGATGGTCTCAAACTCTTGGGCTCAAGTGATCCTCCAGCCTCGACCTCCCAAAGTGCTGGGATTATAGGTGTAAGCCACCACACCCACAACGTATTAGAAATAAGGAAGGAATTAAGGGTAAATGAGGTCATTTAGGGTGGAGCCCCAATCCAGTAGGATTTGTGTCTTTATAAGGAGAGATACCAGAGAGCTCATGTACTCTCTCTGTGCCAAATGAGGACCTAGGGAAGGAAGCCATCTGCAAGCCAGGAAGAGAGCCCTCACCAGAAACTGAGTCAGCTGGCACCTTGGTCTTGGGCTTCCCCAACTCCAAAACAAAGAGAAATAAATTTCTGTTGTTTAAGTTACCCAGTCTATGGCATTTTGTTATGGCAGCCTGAACTGACTAAGATACATGACTATTTAACTCACTTTAGTTGGCATTTGGAGACAGGGCCCATATTTCCAGAAGAAAACAATTTCCAGAGGCATTTCCCCAGAAAGATATGGCTTTAGCTTGTCTCTTACTTTATCCACTTTATTTCTACTATATCATGCGCTAGAAATCTGGAAGCATGCAAGGTGTTTATATTCTATCAAAAACTAAATTGTGTTTCACATGTGTTCTCGCAGCATTTGGGAACTGGGAAAGTGGGATTTGTAAAGCCTTGTTGCTGGCCTCTGGTATTGGATAGTAGACAATGTAAATATCATCTTTAGAAGATAAAACATTTTATCTAAACAGCCTTATGATCCTGTCATTGGGTTGGAAACAGTTGCTTTCAATCTGCAGTCATACACAAGAGGGAGAGAGGCAGAATTCTTGTCTGATTCCCCCAATTCCCCAGGGATGAGAGCAGCAATCACAGATTTTCTCTCCATCACTCTGGCAGCCCTTAGGATGTCCCTAGACCACCACGCAGGTCCTCAAGCTGCCTGCCTTTTGTGTGCATGTGTTTCACAATTTCACATCTGCTGTTAGAACCAGAAATAGGTTTTTGTGGCTAGCTTGAACGTAAGCGCTTCTGGGAGTGTGGCAGCAGGACAGTTTTCTCTGTGTTGATGTGCCAGGAACATCGTAAACCCTCAATAGATGTGTTGCATTGGCTTGAACACAAATATACACCCTGGGTGCTTACAATTGCACAAAACATTTGTTTTCCAAGGATGTTCTCATTTACAGCACCTTTGACTGGTATGATTTGGGCCTGTTCTTTTGAGAATGAAAGAACTCATCTAACGGAACTGACGGATTTTATTGTGAAAACCACTAACCATGGGAATTAATGGAAAAGGGGAAAATTCCCTTTACACAGGGAGACAGCTACTGTGCTCATCTCTCAAAAGGACAAAGGATGAGTTTAATAATTACAGAGCAGCTCGCTTTACCTGATGTAGCTGGAAGTGACTAGAATGCCTCCCCCCAAAATCAATTTGTAATCACCCAGAAAAGCAAAAGAGGGTGCAGAACAATTAGAGCTGGCTTTGTGTGAAGTAGCACACATCAGAGCAGATGAATTTATTTCTGTGAGGGAAAGAGGGACTGAGTAACACAAGGCATGTATAAAGGATATTTAGGCTTCTGGAACCTTTCTACGTGATGTTTTCATCATCAGGCTGGGAAGCTTTGGGCTGAGCCATGCTACTGTTAGGTACAGAGTGAATTTTTGATTATTCTGCACCAGGCTGGGCATGGTGGCTCACGCCTGTAATCCTAGCACTTTGGGAGGCTGAGGCGGGCGGATCACCTGAGGTCAGGAGTTCCAGACCACCCTGGCCAACACGGTGAAATGCCGTCTCTATTAAAAATACAAAAATTAGCTGGGCGTGGTGGCACGCACCTGTAATCCCAGCTACTCAGTAGGCTGAGGCAGGATAATTTCTTGAACCCAGGAGGTGGAGGTTGCAGTGAGCCGCGATCATGCCACTGCATTCCAGCTTGAGTGACAGAACAAAACTCAGACTCAAAAACCAAACCAAAACCAACAAACAAAAACGACAACAATAATTCTGCACCAGTCTGGAGAGGAATACATTTGAATATTTGATTCAGACCTCACAGAGGTCTGCCCTACCCAGGTTAATTTTGCATTGCATCACAATCATTCCTGGAAGACAAGTTGACAACTCTCCTTTCAAGACACACATGGTCTCCTCACTGCGGTGCTGGGTTACTCTTGGAATCAGCAAATCAGTGGTCCTGGCAGCCAGGACTTCTACCCCCGTCTCTAAAAACAGTGGAAAGGGGCAGGTAACCAGATTTTTCTCTTTGCAGGCATAGGGGTGACTCTTGGAATTTGTATTCCTGGAAACAGACATATTGTCTGATGGCAACCCTCCTTCATCAATCCCATTTAAAACTTGTGGAAAAATCCCAAATTTTGTCTTCAGATCTTTGTGACATAGTTTGGAAATTTGCAAGTTACTAGAACCATCCAGGACACTTTAGAAAGCCTTCAAGCCACATGAAATGTGCAGAATATGAACTCCAGGATAGCAGCTCACATTTAGAAAACTGAGCCAGGGTGACACACAGACATTCAGTTTTTATTGCTACAAAAAGCACATTGGGAGATGAAGGAAATCCTAGTTCTGTGTATATATATATAAATATATACACAAATATATAATATATATATTATATAATCATCACAATAGTTATATGATTATATGTTATGTATATGCACACATACGGAATTATATATAGTCATATAACAACATGTATATATGATCATATATAATATATATTATATATTACATGTATAATATGCACATATATAACAGATTGTATATATAATAAATCATATATATATAAAATCTTTTTTAGGAATAATTCCAAATGGGTTATGAAGAAAATGTATTCATTGAATTTGATGTTTTCCAAAAACTCTTAAGATATGTTCACCCAATAAACAATAATAAAACATCAGCAGAACTATCATATACTGAGCAAAAAATCAGGCTGATACCGCAAGCAACATGCAACATAAAAAAGATACAATATAAAGGAAGACAATCTGTTGAGTTGTAAAAACCATCCGAATATGGCCAGGCATGGTGGCTCATGCCTGTAATCCCAGCACTTTGGGAGGCCAAGGCGGGTGGATCACCTGAGGTCAAGAGCTTGAGACCAGCCTGACCAATATGGTGAAACCCTGTCTCTATTGAAAATGCAAAAATCAGCTGGGCCTGGTGTCGTGCGCCCATAGTCCCAGCTACTCAGGAGGCTGAGGCAGGAGAATTGCTTGAATCTGGGAGGCGGAAGTTGCAGTAAGCTGAGATTGCGCCACTGTATTCCATCCTGGGCAGCAGAGCGAGACTGTCTCAACAAACAAACAAAAAAACTCTTCTGAATGAATGAACTCTTTGCCACCAGTACAGAACTAATTAGCTATCAAATCTAAACCACACCAAGGTAAGTTTGTCTGATGTAGGCCAGGAGTCAATATTGGGAGGAAAATAAGTTCCTCAGTGCAAGAGAGCTGAATAGTGTTTTGGAGCATTTCCCTGGATGCTATAGCAGTATTAGAAAATCTTTCTGGCAAGGGAAGGAAATAAATACAAATGGAATGCTACATTTAAAAATCAGCAAACGTCTCAGGAATAAGTGTATCAGTAAAGTAGGAAGAGGATGACTTTAAAACATTAAAACAAATTTTTGGGCTCAACAAACATTCAAAATGGATTTATTTAAAGGTTTTGCTATAGCTATGTCTAGGCATTTAGGCTTATGGGAAGTAAAATTAAAAGAGGACTCTTTTTTTCCCCAAGGAGCATTTCTTTAAAACCAAGCACATTGCTAAATAGCAACATTATACTTGGTAAACAATAATTGGCAATAAAATAAGTTTAATATTCTGCTCAAACCAGTCCTTGATATTGTTTAATAACCAGGATACAAACTGATTTTATTGTAAGTCCAAGATCAAGCCTAGATCAATTTTATCAAAATGTCCCTGGTTAGATATCTAGTTTCATTTAACATTTTGAAAGCTCCTTTGACAGCTGGTCAGGTCTCTCACACAGACCAGTTCCTTGTGTTATGCACGTGGCTTGAACAGATCATGTCCTGTTAGGAGGAGATCGAAGAGCATTTGGCAAATCCTGTGATTCTCAAAAAGCAGCAGCACTGCCTCTCTCAACTCATCTACCAGAAGCAATTTCTGCAGCTCACCTGCTACCTCCTTAATTCTTTCACGATTATTGCTATCTACCACAAATATAAGATATTGGGTATTTGGGAAGTAATACTTCCGGAGAGGCCTAATTCTATCTTGACCACCAGCATCCCATACTGTGAAACGAATGTTTTTATAGTCTACCGCTTCCACATTGCAGCCAACGGTAGGAATGGTGGTGACTATCTCCCCTAACTTCAGTTCATACGGAATGGTCGTCTTGCCAGCGGCATCCAATCCAACCATCAGAATGTGCATCTGCTTCTTGTCAAAGAGGTGGGAGAAGAAAGAGGAGATGGTGAGGCCCGTGGCGGTAGTGGCACTGGCATGGCAGAAGCAGAAGGGGCTCGGAGTGTCTCTGTGATTTCTCCTTTCATACCCCCAGGAGAACTGAATGAGAGGGAAGAGAAAGCTCATTCTTTAAACTTCAGTCCTCTCAATTTTCATCCTCTTGAAATAAACAACATTAATGACCTGGTTTACAACCTTCCATAGTCCTCCTAACGCTCAAACAACATATATACACATATGTAGAGTTTACAGGTTTTGTCCACTCTGAAATAACACCTGCGTGCTTATCTGAAACTCAAGATTATATTAAAAACATTTCCATCTTTTTCTAAAGTCTAGAGGAGGCTAAAAATAAGTTTCTCATATTCAAAATTTGAGAGGGGAAATAAAACCAAATGAGCCAAGTGTGTTTTAAAATAGCAGCTCTTGGGCTGGGTGCAGTGGTTTGTGCCTGTAATCCCAGCACTTTGGGAGGCCGAGGTGGGCGGATCACTTGAGGTCAGGAGTTCGAGACCAGCCTGGCCAACATGGTGAAAGAAACAACAAAAATATAGCTGGGCATGGTGGCAGGTGCCTATAATCCCAGCTACTCTGGAGGCTGAGGCAGGAGAATTGCTTGAACCTGGGAGGCAGAGGTTGCACTGAGATCACACCACTGCACTCCAGCCTGGGTGACAGAGTGAGACTCTTTCTAAAAAATCATAATAAAAAAGCTCTTTAACGGTTTTTTTTTTCACGTATTCTTATTAGATTGATTTTTTGTAATCCTAATTTGCATTTAGTTACTCCAATTTACTATTATAAAGTGCCCCTAACATTTTCTGATATTTTAGTCTATTTCATACCTGTAGTAAAATCTACTCATTCATTCCTAAGAATTATATATTAGCTTATTTCTGATACGTTTTAGGAATTTTCTATTGTAGAAGTCTTTAATAGGTTTTAGTTTTTTATCATTCCTTTCATAATTTGTCTTTTTTATTTAACCAGTTTCAGCTTTTACCTTTTTAAATCAATCTTCCTACTTCATTTTGCATGATTTTTATTCTCATTTCCTAATTTGAAAAACTTAGGGACAAGCTAATGCAGTGATTATGTTCATAGATGCTGAACACGAACTGCTTTGGCTTAAAGCCTTGTTTTGTCATTTACAAGCTGTGTGACTTTGGGCAAGTTACCTACACTCTCTGTGCCTAAGTTTCCTCACCTGTAAAATGGGTTGTGAAGATTAAATGAGTAAATATATGTAAGCCCTTAGAGCAATGCCTGGCACATAGTAGCTACTTGATAAATAGTTTTAGAAAGAAAACAAATGAACTCCTTTAAACAGTAAGCTCTAAGGATAGAACAATTTTGAATACATTTTTAGCTGTGGTTTTGGTATGAAACCTTCCTTTCAATAGCTTGTAGATGTTTGTTTATTTCAGTTTTCGATATATTTCTTCCAATATTTTATTATAAAAAGTTTTCAAACCTGTAAAAAAGTTGAAAGAATCATAGAGGGAACACCAGCACTAAATTCTACAAGGAACATTCTGCTGTACTTATCGAATCACCTATGCATCTAACTATCCAGCTGTCTCATCCTGCACTCCAGCTTGGTTTTTGGATGCATTTCCAGGTAAATTACGAACAAGTTTTGACGTATTTTAAATAAGGGGGCCAACCAAAGGAGTGTTTCTTAATTCTAATAATGTAATTTTGAAATTGTCCGTTCATTTCCCTTTATTAGAGTATGAACCAAGAACATGGCTTCTAAAATTTCTGCTTTGGGAAGTTTTCTTTATGGCCAAGCACATGATCAATTTTTGTAACATGGATGCAAAAGATGTATTTTCTGCTTGTAGGAAACACAGCTCTCCCTCCATGCTTACTGTTCTTGTCAATTACATAATTCAAAACCTCTATATCATTATTGATTTTTCTCTGCTTGGTTTGTCAAAATCTGAAAGATGCATATTGAAATTTCCTTTTATAATGTTCAAAAAGTTTTTCTTGCAGTTCCGTAAGTATATGTCTTCTATTTGAAGTATTCTTCTCCACTATTCCATTATAGACCCCCTGACACACTGCTGTGGTCCATCTGGTGTAGCTACAGATCGAAAGTTTCATTGCTCGCCCCCATTTCCTTTCCCCTGATCTTTTCCTGTCTTCAGGTGTCTGATTTGAGTCAGTTGACATTTGGTTAACTGTTTTCTATTTTCATTGGCTAGGAACACTGATGTTAAGATATCCTGAATCCTTGCATATAGGCAGCGAGTAAGAGATATCATGGCCTGATAGCATGGATAAACCTTCTTTAAAACTCTGATCTTTTCCCTTAGGATTTTCATCTTACTGTGTTTTTGCTTTTGGTTGTGCAAAAACCTTGCTTTTGGTTGAGCTCTTGGTCTTTTGGGTCATTAACTTGGTTCTCAGCCATGATCACCTTCTTTTTCAACTCACAATAAATTTTAAAATAAAGATATTGAGTATCTTAGTTGCATGAGCTGCCATATCAAAATACCAGAGACTGCATGGCTTAAACAACAGAAATTTGTTTTCTCACGGTTCTAAAGGCTGGAAGTCCAAGATCAAGGTGGCAGCGTAGCCATTTCTGGTGAGGACTCTCTTTTCTGGAAAGACACAGAGAGACAGATGGGGGAGGAGGGAGAGAAAGACAGCAAGATCTCTGATGTCTCTTCTTCTAAGGGGGTTAATTCCATTATGAGGGCTTCATCTAAATCTAATGATCTCCCAAGACCCCATTTCCAAACACCATCACATTGGGGATTATGGCTTCAACACATGAATTTTGAGGGGACACAATTCAGTCCATAGCATCAAGTTTTTTGTGTTTGTTTCTCCTAAACTTCCAGAACATATTTTGGGTGCTCTACTTAAATCACCTTGGGGGTTCTCATTAGTTCTCTATTACAAATTATCATCTGGATCTTTCCTGATTTGTCCCTCAAAGGGAGCCTCTTTATTCAGCTGTTCCATATCCTGCTCTTCCTCCTTGTCTCTCTCTCTCTCTCTCTCAGGGCACTGAGTCGTCTTAAACAGTTACAAGTGTGTATTTTTTTAAACTGCTCACTTGGTTGTGCCTTTAGTCCCCACACTGGCCAGGATGTTGAGGCCTACTGAGCAGTAGCAAGTTGGTGAGCCCACAGTGAGAAAACTGGAATGCTGTTAATTCCCCTTGAGTGTAGTGGGGATGATGGTCCTCCGCTGCCACAGACCTGCACAATTTAACTCAGTCCTCCTGGGATCAACAGGAATGGGCAGGCCCTTCCAGAGCCACTGGGTCACAGGTACGCAGAGGAAGAGCTTTCCTGAAAACAATCACAGGCTCTGACGCCTGAGGTCCTCAGCAATCCAGGTATGCCCAGGGCCTTAAGTTGCTGCACACCCTTGTCTGTAGCCACAGGCTCCTTAGCTTTCCCCAGATGCCAACCAGAAGAGAGTCTACATCTGCCCTCTCCTTCAGGGATGCTGAGACCTGTGGCCTCAAATGAACCCTCCAGACCCTTCCAGCTTGATTGGTGTTGGGTTTTATTTATTTATTTATTTTTTTAATATATATGTTATTTATATATAAATGTTACATATGTTTTATATATATATTTGTATATAAATAGAATAAAAGTTTCGTTTAAGGCCTTATTCAGCTGAAAAGTAGTACCAGGGACTGTTCTAAGCATTTCACATATATTAATTTGTGACTCATAAAAATCTGTGATATAGGTACTAGTAAAATGCCCATTTTACAAATGAATGAACCAAGGTGCTGAGATTAGTTAACTTTCCCAAAGTCACAAAACTAGTAAAGGGAGTTTAGCTGTGATTTAAGCCCAGGCTGTCTGGCTCCAGAATCCACCATGTTATGAAGCGACATTTATTGAAAGCCACTGTTAAAAACAACCTTATGGTATCATTAATAACATTATTCTCTTCAATTCCACCTTCTTTCCTACTTTTTGGGTGAAGAAACTGAGGCTTAGAAAATATATCTCGGCCAGGCAGGGTGGCAAATACCTGTAATCCCAGGACTTTGGGAGGGCAAAGCGGGAGGATTATTTGAGCCCAGGAATCTGAAATCAGCCTGGGCAACACAGGGAGACACTGTCTCTCTAAAATAAATGTTTAGGCCGGGCACAGTGGCTCACGCCTGTAATTCCAGAACTTTGGGAGGCCAAGGTGTGTGGATTGCCTGACATCACGAGTTTGAGACCAGCCTAGCCAACATGGTGAAACCCCATCTCTACTAAAAACACACAAAAAATTAGCCGGGCATGGTGGCACACTCCTGTAATCCCAGGTACTTGGGAGGCTGAGGCAGGAAAATCTCTTGAACCAGGGAGGTGGAAGTTGCAGTGAGTCAAGATGGAGCCACCCTTCCCATTAATATCAATGTCACTCCTTTCTCTTTTTTTAAACAAATAGATGCATTTTCTATTCAGCTTTTTATACCTCCACCTGTTTTTTTATTTATTTATTTTTTTTTTTATTGATCATTCTTGGGTGTTTCTCACAGAGGGGGATTTGGCAGGGTCATAGGACAATAGTGGAGGGAAGGTCAGCAGATAAACAAGTGAACAAAGGTCTCTGGTTTTCCTAGGCAGAGGACCCTGCGGCCTTCCGCAGCGTTTGTGTCCCTGGGTACTTGAGATTAGGGAGTGGTGATGACTCTTAATGAGCATGCTGCCTTCAAGCATCTGTTTAACAAAGCACATCTTGCACCGCCCTTAATCCATTTAACTCTGAGTGGACACAGCACATGTTTCAGAGAGCACAGGGTTGGGGGTAAGGTTACAGATCAACAGGATCCCAAGGCAGAAGAATTTTTCTTAGTACAGAACAAAATGAAAAGTCTCCCATGTCTACTTCTTTCTACACAGACACGGCAACCATCCGATTTCTCAATCTTTTCCCCACCTTTCCCCCCTTTCTATTCCACAAAACCGCCATTGTCATCCTGGCCCGTTCTCAATGAGCTGTTGGGTACACCTCCCAGACGGGGTGGTGGCCGGGCAGAGGGGCTCCTCACTTCCCAGTAGGGGCGGCCGGGCAGAGGCGCCCCTCACTTCCCGGACGGGGCGGCTGGCCGGGCGGGGGGCTGACCCCCCCACCTCCCTCCCGGACGGGGCGGCTGGCCGGGCAGAGGGGCTCCTCACTTCCCAGTAGGGGCGGCCGGGCAGAGGTGCCCCTCACCTCCCGGACGGGGCGGCTGGCGGGCGGGGGGCTGACCCCCCCACCTCCCTCCCGGACGGGGCGACTGGCCGGGCAGAGGGGCTCCTCACTTCCCAGTAGGGGCGGCCGGGCAGAGGCGCCCCTCACCTCCCGGACTGGTGTTGGGTTTTAAGTCAGAGAGGGGATCTGAGACATGTGCTCCTACCACCATCTTCTCCCAATTTTCTCAAGCCCATGCTCTTAGCATAATGGGCTTTCTGTGGCAAATAAGCTAACTCCGTGCTGAGTGTGTTTTGTGTTACTCTTCTGTCATGTTTGGGGATGGGATGCTCCACCTTCTATCAATAGAGTTGGGAGAAGTATAGGATTGGGGTGAGGGAGACATCCTGCAAGCTGCATAAAGGATCAAGGTCACTGACATTCTTTTTTTTTTTTTTTTTTTTTTTGAGACAGCATATCACTCTGTTGCCCAGGCTGGAGTGCAGTGGTGTGATCTCAGCTCACTGCAACCTCCGCCTCCTAGTGTTCAAGGGATTCTCCTGCCTCAGCCTCCCAAGTAGCTGGGATTATAGGCGCCCATCACTATGCCTGGCTAGTTTTTGTATTTTTAGTAGAGACAGGGTTTCACCATGTTGGTCAGGCTGGTCTCGAATTCCTGACCTCATGATCCACCTGCCTTAGCCTCCCAAAGTGCTGGGATTAGAGGCATGAGCCAATGCGCCCAGCCTGGCATTCTTACAACTCAAGGCATTTTGGGGATCCAGAGGTTCTCTGGACTAGGAGTAGAAGAATATTGAAGAGAACACTTGAGAATAATTGTAAGAATCAACCAAGATGCTTTTTAGAAAATACCTGGGATGCCAGGAATATTTCTGGACCAAGGAAGAAGGGGATGCGGCAGCCATGGGCAGTCCAGTGATTGGCTCAGCCAATGTGGGTGTGAGTAGGGCAGTCAGGATAGTACCAGTCCCCAGAGACATGGCAGATGCAGGAAATGACTTCTTCCAGGGGAGGTGGCCCAGGCCTGGGACAGTAGGTGACACTGGGAGGGATCAGCATTCCTCCCCGGGTGGTGTGCAGACAGCACGTGCTCAAAGGCAACTGGTGGAGGGGGCAGGTGGGGCTAAAATCCTGAGAATGGGATGGCTTTTCTAATTTGTTCACTCAGAGAGTAGCATTTTGTAATTGTCACAAATGTGGCATAATGCTGGCCATGACCTACTGTAGCAGTCTTGGATAAAATGAGATAATAAAACTAAAGTTTATTTTGTGGTATCAAAAATAAGTACATAGGAGGTAGGAGGTGGGACTCGACTCCAGACCAAATTGAAGACTGGCTGACATGCCCACCAGTGCCATGACAGTTTACCCATTGCCTGGTAACAACACGAAGGTTATCACCCTTTTTCTAGAAATTTCTGAATAACCTGCCCATTAATTTGCACGTAATTATAAGTGGGTATGGATGTGACCGCAGACCTGCCCCTGAGCTGCTACTCTCGATGCACGGCCTATGGGGTAGCCCCGCTCTGCAGGAGCAGTCACGGAGCTGTGACACTGCCGCCCCAGCAAAGCTGTTTTCCTCTACCACTGGCTCACCCTCGAATTCCTTACTGGGGGAAACCAAGAACCTTCTAGGGTGGAGCTCCAATTCTGGGGCTCCCTTGCCCTGTGACACTTAGGCAGAATTATATAATGAGATTTATTATCTGTTGTGTGGTTTTGGACAAAGAATGGTGAAAGATTTAAGAAAGTGCCTCATAAATCACTATAGTGTCTCAGAAAAAGAAAGAAAATCCCACTTTATGCCTTGCACATACGACTTCAGTGACACAGGCAGTTCTGGTCCATGTACAGATGACAATGACAGTAGGTGCTCAGCAAATACTTACTGAACAAACTCATGCAGGAAGACATAAACCCTGAGCTCTTTTTTTTTTGTCAGACGGAGTGTTGCTCTGTCAACCAGGCTAGAATGCAGTAGCTCGATTGTGGCTCACTGTAACCTCTGCCTCCTGCATTGAAGCAATTCTCCTGCCTCAGCTTCCTGAGTAGCTGGGATTACAGGCATGTGCCACCACACCCAGCAAATTTTTGAATTTTCAGTAGAGACAGGGTTTCACCATGTTGGCCAGGCTGGTCTCAAACTCCTGACCTCAGGTGATCCACCTGCCTTGGCCTCCCAAAGTGCTGGGATTACAGGTGTGAGCCAACGCGCCCGGCCCCTGAGCTCTTTCTGTTTGGATTGTTCAGTGTGCTGGTGCCTCTGTCACTTCTGCTCACCTAATCTCCATGCCAAAGTACAATTCTAGTCTCACTGTTCCCACTGTGGAAGAAGGATCCTCATGGTAGGTGTGTGAGTAGCTTCAAAGGCAAAAGCTTTGGCAAGGGAGCTGTGTTACAGCAATAGGCCATGCGGTGTTCAAGGCTGGGGGCATTTTATCGACGGGAAGGGAAACGTCAAACGTTCACTTTTTGTTAGCAATGTATACCCTAAATAGCTAAAAAAAAAAAAAAAGATAAATTGTGATTCAAATAATGCCTTGCATATTTGTGCAGTTTCCAAATGTGTTATAATTGAATTGCAGGAATTACTGAGAACAGATGCTAACAGAGACACTGAACATACCCTACAGTGAGAAAAATGACACACTTCACTCTACTTGCCCAAAATCCATTTAAATTTTAACTTGTTTTAATTGCTGCATATTTCTAGTGCAATATAATGGAGGTTTACAGAAAGATCTGATGGAAAACAGTAGATTTTGTAAAGGGCTTCAGGGTTTTTGCGTGTGATCAACAGTAGCCACACCCACTGCCAGTGACTATCCAACAGGGACGTGCTTTTTATTGCGTTTCTTTTAATAGAAAAATGTTATCACCTACATATCTCATCATTATTTACATTCTAATCACCCTCCAGTGATGAATTCAGAATGCAAGCGTTTTTCATCAGTCAGTTTGCCATGGCAACTCGAGTTGGGGAAGGCCCTTCTGCCGGCGCCGCCACTGGGCCTGGAGCGGGCCTCTTTCTTCCTCAGCTATCATTGACCTCCTGCTAGGAGACTCATCTTCTGATGTGCACTTGGTGGCAAATGGGACCAGAAAACCCCTACAAATTCTCATTTGGAAAGAAGAAAAGATAGTTTGTCTCCAATCTTTGGAAGTACAATTAGATGTTGATAGACACAGACAAGGCTAAAAAAGCAGGGCATTAGTAAAATGCTGTAAAATCTTGTTTCATCCAGTCCAAGAAGGCTAAGTGGAGTCTATCACTGTTGACCCCGACTGAGCTTCCATTAGCATGGCAATTCTTAAGTTGCCACATCTTTTGATCTTTTAAAAAGGGTCCTGGGTTTTTAACCAGTTGTCAGGAATGACTGAAATTATTGGTAAAAAAAAAAAAAAAAATCTGGCTTTCGTAACTTTGTTGGTAGCTGCAGACAAAGGAAAGGTTTTCAGGAATTCATGGGGCCAGTATAACTTAATACATTTTATATATGTTTTGGAGAAAATACACAACTACTGAAGAACAAGTGAGTAGTAAAGCAGATTTTACGACAGTCCAAGGGCTAATGTGAATCATTCATGACTAGATTTGCTCTTAGTTATTCAACGAAGAGTGTCTATTGGTTGTGGACAGTCATGTCTATTATCTGATGTAAAACTTACCTTCAGGAGATTTTTAATATAAGGGAGAAGAGAGGGCCATACAAATGGCAAAAAAAGGAGAAACATGCATAAACATATGCAGATACATATATGCGCACATAGAAATGGTGGTAAAAATATCCAGCTGTTACAAGCATTATACAAGGAATGGGAGTGAGTGGAGTTTGAAAGGAGTAATCTGATAAAATGTCATAGAGAAGGTAGTCCTAGAATAATTGCTCATTATTTTAATGATGACAGATATATACATAAATACAAAGTTTAAATATCATAAACGTACGAAAGATAAAATGACAGTCTTCCATATTACCATCCTCCAAAATAGTGATGTGCAGAGAGCCCCACCTTTTTAATACATATCTAATTATGTTACCAGAAAGGGGTCCTGATCCAGACCCTAAGAGAGGGTTCTTGGATCTCATGCAAGAAAGAATTCGAGGTGAATCTATAAAGTGACAGCAAGTTTATTAAGAAAGTAAAGGAATAAAAGAATGGCTACTTCATAGGCAGAGCAGCGGCTGCTCAACTGAGTATACTTGAAGTTATTTCTTGATTATATGCTAAACAAGGGGTGGATTATTTGTGAGTTTTCTGGGAAAGGGGTGGACAATTCCTGGAACTGAGGGTTCTTCCCTCTTTTAGACCATATAGGATAACTTCCTGATGTTGCCACGGCATTTGTAAACTGTCTTGGCGCTAGTGGGAGTGTCTTTTAGCATGCTAATGCATTATAATTAGCATACAATGAGCAGTGAGGATGACCAGAGGTCACTTTCGTCACCATCTTGGTTTTGGTGGGTTTTGGCCAGCTTCTTTACTGCATCCTGTTTTGTCAGCAAGGTCTTTGACCTGTATCTTGTGCTGACCTCCTATCTCATCCTGTGGCTAAGAACGCCTAACTTCCTGGGAATGCAGCTTAGTAGTTCTCAGCCTTGTTATACCCAGCCCCTATTCAAGATGGAATAACACTAATTCAAATGCCTCTGACAATTATATATTTCTTCCAGTTTTTAAAAATGAAAATGGGATTGGTTGGATGCGGTGGCTCATGCCTGTCATCCCAGCACTTTGGGAGGCTGAGGCAGGAGGATTGCATGAGCCTAGGAGTTCGAGACCAGTGTGGGCAACATAGGGAGACTTTGTCCCTACAAAAGAGAGAGAAAACAAGAGAAAAATAATTAATGGGGTGTGGTATCACGTACCTGTAGTCCCAGCTACTCCAGAGGCTGAAGCAGGAGGATCGCTTGAGCCCAGACTGAGTTGAGGCTGCAGTGAGCTGTGATCACACCACTGCCCTCTAGCCTGGGTGACAGAGAAAAACCCTGTCGAAAAGAAAGAAAGAGAGAGAGAGAGAGAGAGAGAGAAAGAAAATGAGATCAGAAAGCAAGAAGGAAAGAGAAAATGGGATCATAATATACATATTGTTCTGCATCCTGCTTTTCAGTAAAAAAAAAATAACATTGTTAAGTCATAGGGGGATGACATCAGTCATCCTGAAAGGGGAGATATGAGCAAATGGGTGTGGGGTGAAGGCAGGTGAGGGGAACCAAGCTTAAGGGCAAACCAAGTTTTGTCCAGATTATAGTTCTTTCTCCTGGCAAACCAAGTCCTGAACCTGTCGCCAGGCTGTTGTTTAGGCTCAGGGCTTGGATGGCCAGGAGAAAGAACTGTAACCTGGGCAAGACTTCACATTCATTAATATCATCATATGTATTAAGAGGAAATCTGAATTGATTTACATTTCAATTTCATTCAGAAGGCCAGTGGGAAGTAGTGTAGTCTAGGAGATGAGCAGTTCTTGGTGAAGTTGATTCTGTTTATAAACTGAATTACAGGAGAAAGAAGCAGAGGGCAGGGCAGCTAGGAGGATACGCAGGATAGGCCACACCACCCCAATGTGAACATGAAAAAGGAAGAAGTACCTTGTGTAAGGGAGTTAAAATCCAGTCACTTTCTTTTTTTAAAAAAATAAAACTAGTTACCCTCTGCTGCTGCTTTTTCTTTTTGTAAATCTAATTGGTGTGTCCTTCTGAATTCAGCTAAGATGACTCCTCACCCAGAGAAAGGGTTCATCTCCTCTGGCTTTTTTTGTTTCTTCTATTTTCACACCAGTTTTAGAAAAGGCAGGGCCCTCATTTGGAAGTAGCAGACAAAATGGCAGTGCAGGTTTGTGCATTCTTTCAAAAGAATTCTTGATTTTTGGCTGGGCGCTGTGGCTCACGCCTGTAATCCTAGCACTTTGGGAGTCCAAGGCGGGTGGATCACCTGAGGTCAGGAGTTCGAGACTGCCCAACGTGGTGAAACCGCGTCTCTACTAACAACACAAAAATCAGTCAGGTGTGGTGGTGTGTGCCTGTAATCTTAGCTACTTGGGAGATTGGGGCAGGAGAACTGCTTGAACCTGGAGGGTGGAGGTTGCAGTGAGCTGAAATCACACCACTTCACTCCAGCCTGGGCAAAAGAGTGAAACTCCATCTCAAAAAAAAAAAAAAAAAAAATTCTTGATTTTCCTTTGAATGTGTCCTGCTGGCTTTGTGGTGTGGAAACGGCGTGAGAAAACGGCTCCATCATGCTGTTCGTGGGACTGACTGTTCCCAGCAGTGTAGAAACCTTCCTGTTTTATGCTTAGAGCCCGATTCCAGAGTCCGTCTCTCTATTTGTCCTGATTGCAGCAAAAACATGCAGTCTACATATAATCAGAGGATCCTGCTAAACAGTTGTCAGAAAAACAACGGAAATCCTAGCTGCTTGTGATTTCATTACACCGGCCTTGTAGTTGAGTTAGTGAAAGATGAATTTATTGAGTGCATCTAGAACAGGGGCGGCACTTGGCCTAAGGACGGGTGATGTAGAGTACACTTTGTAGCAGTTATTGGTGCGACATGCGATTGAGTATTCGCTGTTGCAGGTATTCTGTTTATTGTATTTCACACAAGGTTAATTCACGGTTTTTTTTATGCTTTCAAAGCAAAAGCTATACAATACAAAATGTACATGTTAGATTTCCATGTCATAAGTAAACAAACTTTTTTTTAACAATTATAATTTTCAGAAACCTAATGAACCTATAATAAAATATTGAGAACAATAATCTTCAGTCCTATTAGGCATCGTGGGAGAACCTGGGGGAAATTTTACTTTTCCTTCTGTCAGATTTGTTTGATTATACTGTAACTCATTAATGGAACGGTTCCTGTGTGTCAGCTGCTGAGCGAAGTGGTCACTGTACATCATTTTTCGTCTTCACATCAAACCCTTTGGGACGGGTCCTATTATGATCCCCATTTTACGGTCTGTGTTACGTGAACCAATGGACTCCACTAAAGAAAAATAGAACATGAAGAATTGAAAAGTTTTGCAGTCAGTTCAGTTTTTCATGGAGCCTCTGTTTTCTCCCTGAACAACTCTGTCCCTTGACCACAGTTTCTTTGAAAATTGGCTGGGTGTGGTGGCTCACGCCTGTAATCCCAGCACTTTGGGAGGCCAAGGTGGGCAGATCACCTGAGGTCAGGAGTTCGAGACCAGCCTGGTCAACATGGTGAAACCCTGTCTCTACTAAAAATACAAAAATTAGCTGGGTGTGGTGGTGCATGCCTGTAATCCCAGCTACCTGGCAGGCTGAGGCAGGAGAATCACTGGAACCCTGGAGGCAGAGGCTGCGGTGGACTGAGATCGCACCACTGCACTCCAGCCTGGGTGACAGGGTGAGATCTGTCTCAAAAAAACCCAAAAGAACAAAAAAACAGGGGTTTTGTGCTGTGACCTCTGCTAGTTTCACCCTAGCTCACTTCCCAAGCATGTGGTTTCAGTTATGGCCTAGGTAGATTATTTTGCTCATTCACAGCTAGCTCATACCTTTCTTCTGAGCTCCAAACACACATAGCCATTTGCCCCTCAGTTTCTCCATAGATGTCTAATGGCACTGCCAACTAACTGAACATTCTTTAAACTGAATTGATGGTAGCCCCTCTGCACTCCCAGCAACAACAAACACACTGCATTCCACCAAATTCCACAAGCAGAAACCTAGTTAGTCGTAACTCCTTCATCTTTGTAACTTTCCATTTTCAATCAATTACCAATTTCTATCAATTTTGCCTCTAAAGATAGTTAAGAATCTTACAGCTTCTCTCTATGCCCACTGCTATCACCCCTGACCAGGCCTCCATCATCTTGTCTGTGATTCCTGCCATAATCTTATCTCAAAATCTTTGAGGTTATGAGTTATACATATTTCAGTCTTCTGTTTGCTCCATTAACTGTGTTTCTTTAGAATTATACTCTTCAGTAAGTTTAGCTCCACTTTCTCACAGGTTTGGTTTTCCCCGCATGTCTGCTGCTTCTTGGATTTCCACTACTTTTTTTTTTGACATTCTCTGTTCTGCTGCCTGCTTGGTTCACTTCAGCTGACCCCAGGTGGTGATGGTGCATTATTTGGAGGGTCTGTCATTTGCCTTTGGGGGCTCCCTCTTCCTTCTGGGAGTCCTGCCTGCCTCTCTGCTCTCATGCACATATTCATTCCTACTCAGCAAGCAACAACTCTTTGCCAGACACTCTTCTAGGCTGGGGGATCCAGCAAGGTATCGAACGACTGTGATAGCCACCCAAGGTTGAGTGTAGAGGTGAGAGTGGCCACAGATCTGTCAGTATTTCCCTGAAGCTGGCCCAGACCCTTGCACTGTTTGGATCCTTGGCTCCAGCTTTGAAGTTTCTTCAGTTTCTTTTGGACTCTGATTTTCCCTATAAAATTTATCCTACTTACATCCATCTTTCAGGAATTTAGTGTCAGTATTATTTTAACATTTCTTCTTTAGGCTTGGCTAATGGGTACAAAAATACAGTTAGAAGGAATAAAATCTAGTGTTCAGTAGCACAATGGGGTGACTACAGTTAACAATTTATCATATATTTCACAATAGCTAGAAGATTTGTAATGTCCCCAACACAAAGGAATGACAAATGTTTGGGGTGATGGATTTCCCAATTACCCAGATTTGATCATTGCACGTTGTATGCATATATTAAAATATCACATGTACCCTATAAATATGTACAGCTATTATATATCCATTAGCATATGAAAAACAAAAATAAATTCCTTTATTTAAAAAATAAAATTTCTTCTTAAAGTAGGTGCTCAGTCATCCTTTTTGAGCTAATCCTCTGAAAGAGCCTTCAAGAATCCATTCCGGTCCAACTACCAGGTATCGTTCTATCAAGATCACTCGTCATCCTCAAGTTGATTCTATCATTTGCCTGCTTTAAACCCTTCAGAAATATGCTAGTTCCCTTAGAACTAGGTCCAAAGTTCTTAACATGGGTCTACAAAAACCCAGATGACTATGGCCTCCGCATACCTCATCTCCTACTATTTTCCACCACTTCTAGCATTCACCTATCCTGAGTTTTCTTAATTTCTGAAATATGCTACGGTTTCAGCCACTACATGTTGACAATGTTTCAACTCCCTGGAAAAGTCTTCCTTCCTTCCTTTATATATTTTTTTAACCTAACTAAAGTCTGGGCTTAAATATCTCTTACTCCAGGAAACTTATTCCAGATCTTCCATACTAAGTTAGGTCTCCTTTAATTGCAATAACTTGTTTATTGTGTTTATTTATTATTTTAATAAGGTCTGTCTTCCTTGCTTTACTGTAGACTTTAAGACTGTAGGGAACAAAGTCAATATAACATTTTTTTCCCCTGGCATATGGAAGAATTAAATAAACATGGTTGGATAACCAAATTGTACCTATATTTCCATTTTTGTGGCTGACTGACTGAATTATATTTAGGGCTATCCAGAATAACTTTTTGTGATGGTAGAAATGTTCCATATCTGTGCTGTCCAATGTGGTATCCCATAACCACATGTGGCTACTGGGTACTTGAAATATGGCTAATGCAATGGAAAAATCTTACATGTTTCTAATTTTACTTAATTTACATTTAATTGGCTAGAGGCTACCATATTAAAGTGCACAGGAAAGATATTTCCACCTTCTAAGTCATATTTCTTTTTTTCTTTTTTCCTTTTTTTTGAGACAGAGTTTTGCTCTGTCACCCAGGCTGGAGTGCAGTGGTGTGATCTCAGCTCACTGCAACCTCTGCCTCCCGGGTTCAAGTGATTCTCCTGCCTCAGCCTCTCAAGTAGCTGGGATTACAGGTGCCTGCCACCATGCCCAGCTAATTTTTGTATTTTTAGTAGAGATGGGGTTTCACCACGTTGGCCAGGCTGGTCTTGAACTCCTGACCTCAGGTGATCTGCCCACCTCAGCCTCCCAAAGTGCTGGGATTACAGGCGTGAGCCACCGCACCCGGCCTACTCTTTGTTTCTGATTGTCTTTTTCAAGGATGTTTTTATGGTGAACAGTCTCGGAAAAGAGAGGTGGTGTCTCCCTGTGGAACAGAGCGCAGGCATGCTTATTGCCAATTTGGATTCCCTAAACTCAGCATTCTTAAGAAACAACCCACTACACTTGCAAGTGGTATCTGGCCCTCTTCACATCACCCTGTGGGATTTGGAGCTTGGGGAGCTGACTTAAAATGCCAATATTCCAATTCCTGCTACTGCTTTGAGTAAAAACTCTCCTTTGTAGCTGACCCAGAAATTTTGTGTCTTCTACCAGCCTCCATGAAATGGTGGCGGACTAACTTGTTAGCTTCCAAATAGGGTCAAATCTACACCCTTCACAGTTCTTGACACACAGACAAAACTTAAGCTCTTAAGTATTTTGCTTAGGATGGTTTTCAAGTTTGTTTCCTCGATGTTCTTCTTCTCCTCTTTCTTAAACTACCAAGGAACATTTTGCTCCTGTTAATGTTGTAAACTCAACCTTTTTGATTTATAAATAGCAAATGACAAGAGAATTCCATTCTAAAGTAACAGAATAACTTTAAAATGTGTCTAATGAGTGGGAGATGTGATTTTTCACACTATCTCCAATTCTCACAGAGTTAGGCATCTGAATAGAGAACCACTGGAACGCCTATTGAGAAGTCATGTTTTGCCTTTTTATCTTTACCAACACAAATAAAGTTCTTGGGATCTATTTGTTTTTATGATATGTATAACGTTACCTGGTAAATCACAGTGGTTATGACATTTTCCCAGACAACAAAGGGAGATTTTCCTTTTTAATATTTCATAATGCCTGAAAGACATGTTTTCTCCAAACACAAGATTTTCAATTCAAATGAATTCAGCAAATATTTATCAAGGCCCTTATTCTACTGATCATTGCTTTGTAATAGAACATCTAAGGAAATGATGACTTTTTAAAAACAATATAGTCAGTAAAAAAAAATTTTTTTTTTTTTGTGACAGAGTCTCGCTCTGTTGCCCAGGCTGGAGTGCGGTGGTGCGATCTCGGCTCACTGCAAGCTCCGCCTCCCGGGTTCCCACCGTTCTCTTGCCACAGCCTCCCGAGTAGCTGGGACTACAGGCGCCTGCCACCGCGCCTGGCTAATTTTTTATATTTTTAGTAGAGATGGGGTTTCGCCGTGTTAGCCATGATGGTCTCAATCTCCTGACCTTGTGATCCGCCCACCTTGGCCTCCCAAAGTGCTGGGATTATAGGCTTGAGCCACCGTACCTGTCCTATAGTCAGTAAAAATTTTACTAAGACAAGGCTGTGGAAAATTCTAAGAATTTGTGGATATTTGTCTTGACATGTTGCTCTTCTGGATCCTGGAATCAATTTAGCTATTGTACTTGCCAAACAAGTCAGATTCCTTAGAGTTGCTTGTTGCAAGGTGTGGCAGATTGTATTCTCCAAAAGTAGCCACAGTAATATTTCTGGGGCCCATTGACAGCTGCAGCCTTTTTCCCTTCCCCTTGAAGCTGGGCAGGATTTTGTGACCGCCACAAATAGAATGTGGGAGAAAAGACACCAGACAGGACAGGACTAGGGTAAGATGAGTGAAACATTCTCACTCCTTGGATGCCATACATAGGGGATACTAAAAAACTCAGTCATAGAAATTGTGAACCCAGAACATCTGAGACAGGTCTCAGTTAATTTAGAAAGTTTATTTTGCCAAAGTTGAGGACGCGCTGTGACACAGCCTCAGGAAGACATGCGCCTAAGCTGGTTGGGGCACAGTTTTTTTTTAATACATTTTAGGGAGGACACGAGACATCAATCAATATATGTAAGAAGCACATTAGTTCGGTCTGGAAAGGCGGAACATCTTGAAGCAAGGGCAGGAAGCTGGGAGGGAGCCTGTAAGTCACAGACAGGTGAGACACAAAAGGTTGCATTCTTTTGAGTTTCTGATGAGGCTTTCCAAAGGAGGCAATCAGATATGCATCTATCTCAGTGAGCGGAGAAATAACTTTGAATAGCATGGGAGGCAGGTTTGCCCTAAGCAGTTTCAAGCTTGAGTTTTCCTTAGTGATTTTGGGGGCCCAAGAGGTTTTCCTTTCACAATGGCCATGTGCTTGGAGTGGCATCTACAAGCCAAAGAATGGCAGAGATTGTGGGCAAACAGCAGAAGCTGCAGCAGGTATGGCAAGCTCCCTCCTAGCACCATCAGAGAGAGCGTAGCCCTGCTGACGCCTGATTCCCGAATGGTGAGACAATACATTTCTGTTGTTTTAATTCCCCCAGTGTGTCGTACTTTGTTATAGCAGCTGAGCAAATGAATCTAACACTTACGAGAGGAGTCTGCCCCAAGCTACCTCAGAGGCAGCTGGTCCCTCGTGTACATCTTATAGACAAGATGGTTTTTGCTGTATTTGTGGTAACAAGTTTGACTTAGCTTGACATGCTAGCTGTGTAGATGATGAACATTTGAGACTTCATAGGTTCGGTCTGCAGCCTGACCATTTTGGAAAAGCAAAACTGCTCTTCTCTTCTGCTTTCTTTTTCCTTCTTCACTTGAAGTTCTCTAATAACAGTGTCTGACATAGAGTAAGCCCTCAATAAATGATGATTCCTTTATCCAGCCATCTACCCCTAATTTCCTTCTTTCTTCCTTCATCAGTGGGGTGGGACCTCCATCTTCTTGGTTTCCAGATATATTTGGTTTTTATTTTTAGAAACAAACTTTGCTTGAGCCTTTGGCTTAATTTCCTCTCCTCAGTCATTACTACTTCCTGTATTTCATTTCCTTTCTCTCTTCTGCTTTCTTCACTTTCTTTCTTTTTTTTCTTTGAGATGGAGAGTCACTCTGTCGCCCAGGCTGGAGTGCAGTGCACGATCTCGGCTCACTGCAACCTCTGTCTCCCGGTTCAAGTGATTCTCGTGCCTCAGCCTCCCAATTAGCTGGGATTACAGGCACACACCACCACACCTCCCTAATCTTTGTATTTTTAGTAGAGATGGTGTTTCACTATGTTGGGTAGACTGGTCTCAAACTCCTGACCTCAGGTGATCCACCCGCCTCGGACTCCCAAAGTGCTGAGATTCCAGGCGTGAGCCACCGTGCCTGGCCTCTTTCTTCACTTTCTAATGTTGGCTCTTGACTTCGTTCTCCAAGTCACACTGTTTCCTGGTGGCCTTGCCTCTGTCCTTATCTCTGTCTTCACCTTTGTTTGTCCCCCACTCACTTCCTGTTTATAATGTGTGTCTACTTATGCCATAGCTATTTGCTTTTTTTTTTTTTTTTTTTTGACGGAGTCTCACTCTGTTGCCCAGGCTTGAGTGCAGTGACACAATCTCGGCTTACTGCAAGCTCCGACTCCCGGGTTCACGCCATTCTCCTGCCTCAGCCTCCCAAGTAGCTGGGACTACAGGTGCCCGCCACCATGCCTGGGTAATTTTTTGTGTTTTTTAGTAGAGATGGAGTTTCTCCATGTTGGTCAGGCTGGTCTCGAACTCCTGACCTCAGGTGATCCGCCCGCCTCGGCATCTCAAATTGCTGGGATTACAGGCATGAGCCACTGCACCCAGCCTTCTTTTTGTTTTTAATAAACCTTCTCCTGAAGAATAACATAGCTACCAAAAAGTGCTCAAATTATTAGTGTATAGCTTGGAGAAGTGTCACAAATGGAAAATTTCACCTGTTTCAGGAAAAAACTCTCACAACATGTTTTTCCTCTGTTTCTCACACCATCAAAATCAACACACAAGACTTCTGTGACCAAATGTGTGGGGGTTGCCCCATCACCACGCAGTGAACAGGAGGTGGGTGTCCTCCGATTCAATTCCAACACTGTTTACCTGGAGGTCGCATCAGATCCCACAGGTTGATCCCACAGGCCCCCAAGACTCCCTCTGACCACCCCTTCAGACACCAGGTGCAAATCTAGGCCTCTGGAACTTCTGACTGACAGGCTTCAAGTTGGGGTTCCCATGACCCCTTCTTTGGATTTGCCGAATTTGCAAGAATGGCTCATAGGACACTGAGAAACACTTACTTAGGTTTACCAGTTTATTATAAAGGATGTCACAAAGGATACAGATGAAGAGATGTGCAGGGTGAGGTATGGGCAAAGGGGCATGGAGCTTCCATGCCCTCCCTGGATGCACCGCCCTCCAGATGAAACCACCTTTGCAAAATTATGACTGAGACAGTGAAAGAGATCTAACCTAACCAACTCCATTTTGCTTCTAACCTTTAAGTTGTCTTTGTTCATTCCTGGGCATAGGCTGAACTAACTTGGGGAGGAACTTTATAGTTGATAGTTTAAAATAAAGATGATAATAGCCCTTTCCTAAAACAGACCTCCTTGCCTGGGGACTAGATTGCCTTTGTATGACTAACAAATTAGCCACGAGATTAGAAATTATGGCTTAGGAGTCATGCCGCTGGAGACCACAAGATTCTGACCCTCCCTAACTGCTCCTAAGATCAGTGCTTGAGATACTTTGCAGACCCTGCACTTGATGGATCAGCTGGCACCACCCAGATTGATGAACTGGCTCATCTGCCCCCCATCCAGGAACTGACTCAGCACAAGAAGACAGCTTCAATTCCCTATGATTTCATCTCCTACTTAACCCATCAGCACTCCTGGCTCACTGGTTTCCCCCCACCCACCAAGTTGTCCTTAAAAACTCTGATCCCCAAATGCCTGGGGAGGCTGATTTGAGTAATAAAACTCCGGTCTCCCACACAGCCCGCTCTGTGTGTATTACTCTTTCTCTATTGCAATTCTCCTGTCTTGATAAATCAGTTCTGTCTAGGCAGCAGGCAAGGTGAATCCAGTAGGCAGTTACACAGGAACCTGCAAGTATTCAGCTACCCAGAAGCTGTCTGAACCCAGTCCTCTTGGGTTTTTAAGGAAGCTTCAAGGGGTCAGCTTTCCTTTTCCCATGGTATTGGGTGGGACCCTCTCTAGGCTGGGTCTCATGACTCACAATCAGACAGTCAAGGAAGATTAGAGTCCTGATTGGGCCAGGTGAAAGAAGAGCAGGAGAAGGTTGGAGAGATTGTTTCCTGAAGCCTGACACACCTAACATTATAACAAAAGACTGTTAACAAGGGCTATATGAGTTATGAGCCAGGAACTGTGGATGAAAACCAATATATTTATGTGTGTAAATCACAACACCACCTTACCCAAATCAAGAAACAGAACCTTCCTAGTACCCTAGAAGCCCTCTCCTAGTCTACCTTCATCTTCTTCTCTAAAAGTAACCAAAATCCTGGTTTCAATGCCACAAATTTTTTTTTCTGCCTTGTTTGCATAAATAAAATGATATAACTATTAAATTATATTATTGTTTTTTGTTTAAGATTGTTTATGAGCTTGTTATGTTGTATGTAGTTCATTCATTTTCATAGCTGTATAATAGTCCATTGAACGAATATACCAAAATTTACTTCCAAATTCTACTATTGGCAGACACTTGGGTGGTTTCCAGTTTTGGCTCTGAGTATTCAAATCTGAGTGTTTTCAGTATATGTACCTAACATTCTTGTATATGTCTTTTGTAGTTCTTATGTATTTCTATGGGACATATCTTAGAAGTGGAATTGTTGTGTCATATGCAAAGGTTCACCATTGCTGGACATTAACATTTTTCTTTATATATATATATTTTTATTATACTTTAAGTTCTAGGGTACATGTGCACAATGTGCAGGTTTGTTACATATGTATACATATGCCATGTTGGTGTGCTGCACCCATTAACTCGTCATTTACATTAGGTATATCTCCTAATGCTATCCCTCCCCCCTTCCCCACCCCACAAAAGGCCCTAGTGTGTGATGTTCCCCTTCCTGTGTCCAAGTGTTCTCATTGTTCAATTCCCACCTGTAAGTGAGAACATGCGAAGTTTGGTTTTCTGTCCTTGTGATAGTTTGCTGAGAATGATGGTTTCCAGCTTCATCCATGTCCCTACAAAGGACATGAAGTCATCATTTTTTATGGCTGCATAGTATTCCATGGTGTATATGTGCCACATTTTCTTAATCCAGTCTATCACTGTTGGACATTTGGGTTGGTTCCAAGTCTTTGCTATAGTGAGTAGTGCCACAGTAAACATACGTGTGCATGTGTCTTTATAGCAGCATGATTTATATTCCTTTGGGTATATACCCAGTAATGGGATGGCCGGGTCAAATGGTATTTCTAGTTCTAGATCCCTGAGGAATCGCCACGCTGTCTTCCACAATGGTTGAACTAGTTTACAGTCCCACCAACAGTGTAAAAGTGTTCCTATTCTCCACATCTCTCCAGCACCTGTTGTTTCCTGACTTTTTAATGATCACCATTCTAACTGGTGTGAGATGATATCTCATTGTGGTTTTGATTTCTGTTTCTCTGATGGCCAGTGATGATGAGCGTTTTCTCATGTGTCTGTTGGCTGCATAAATGTCTTCTTTTGAGAAATGTCTGTTCATATCCTTCACCCACTTGTTGATGGGGTTGTTTTTTTCTTGTAAATTTGTTTGAGTTCTTTGTAGATTCTGGATATTAGTCCTTTGTCAGATGAGTAGATTGCAAAAGTTTTCTCCCATTCTGTAGGTTGCCTTTTCACTCTGTTGGTAGTTTCTTTTGCTGTGCAGAAGCTCTTTAGCTTAATTAGATCCCATTTGTCAATTTTGGCTTTTGTTGCCATTGCTTTTGGTGTTTTAGACATGAAGTCTTTGCCCGTGCCTATGTCCTGAATGGTATTGCCTAGGTTTACTCATAGGGTTTTTATGGTTTTAGGACTAACATGTAAGTCTTTAATCCATCTTGAATTAATTTTTGTATAAGGTGTAAGGAAGGGATCCAGTTTCAGCTTTCTGCATATGGCTAGCCAGTTTTCCCAGCACCATTTATTAAATAGGGAATCCTTTCCCCATTTCTTGTTTTTGTCAGGTTTGTCAAAGATCAGATATTTGTAGATGTGAGGTATTATTTCTGAGGGCTCTGTTCTGTTCCATTTGTCTATATCTCTGTTTTGGTACCAGTACCATGCTGTTTTGGTTACTATAGCCTTGTAGTGTAGTTTGAAGTCAGGTAGTGTGATGCCTCCAGCTTTGTTCTTTTGGCTTAGGATTGACTTGGCAATGTGGGCTCTTTTTGGTTCCATATGAACTTTAAAGTAGTTTTTTCCAATTCTGTGAAGAAAGTCATTGGTAGCTTGATGGGGATGGCATTGAATCTATAAATTACCTTGGGCAGTATGGCCATTTTCACGATATTGATTCTTCCTATCCATGAGCATGGAATGTTCTTCCATTTGTTTGTATCCTCTTTTATTTCGTTGAGCAGTGGTTTGTAGTTCTCCTTGAAGAGGTCCTTCACATCCCTTGTAAGTTGGATTCCTAGGTATTTTATTCTCTTTGAAGCAATTGTGAACGGGAGTCCACTCGTAATTTCGTTCTCTGTCTGTTATTGGTGTATAAGAATGCTTGTGATTTTTGCACATTGATTTTGTATCCTGAGACTTTGATGAAGTTGCTTATCAGCTTAAGGAGATTTTGGGCTGAGACAATGGGGTTTTCTAGATATGCAATCATGTCATCTGCAAACAGGGACAATTTGATGTCCTCTTGTCCTAATTGAATACCCTTTATTTCTTTCTCCTGCCTGATTGCCCTGGCCAGAACTTCCAACATTATGTTGAATAGGAGTGGTGAGGGAGGGCATCCCTGTCTTGTGCCAGTTTTCAAAGGGAATGCTTCCAGTTTTTGCCCATTCAGTATGATATTGGCTGTGGGTTTGTCATAAATAGCTCTTATTATTTTGAGATACGTCCCATCAATACCTAATTTATTGAGAGTTTTTTAGCATGAAGGGCTGTTGAATTTTGTCAAAGGCCTTTTCTGCATCTATTGAGATAATCATGTGGTTTTTGTCTTTGGTTCTGTTTATATGCTGGATTACATTTATTGATTTTTGTATGTTGAACCAGCCTTGCATCCCAGGGATGAAGCCCACTTGATCATGGTGGATAAGCTTTTTGATGTGCTGCTGGATTTGGTTTGCCAGTATTTTATTTATTTATGCTACGATTAAGAAATTTAAACTTCGTTTGGTATGTTTATTGGCCTCTTAAATATCCTGTTGTGAAAAGCCTATTCAACTCATTTAAGAATTTGTGTTTTGCAATGTCTTATTAATTCTTATTAATTGATTAATAAAAATGGATCAGAATTAATTGAGATTTATTAATTCTATTAATCAAATACAATTCTTTTATTTTAGTTAGAACATTTTGTGTCCTGTTTAAAAAAAAGTTTTCCTACCTCAAAGCAATAAATATACTTTTCTATGTTATCTTTTACAAATGTAATGTTTTGCTTTTCACATATAGATCCACCTGTGAAGGTTTTTTCTATATGGGGCGAGGTAGAGGAACAGATTCACTTTTCTCCATCTGGCTGTGCAACTGACTTACCAGCATTTATTGCCCCACTATTGTTGCTGCTCAGTGTTGCTTTGTCATAAAGTAAGTTTCATTCTATATTAGATCCCCCAAGTTTTGAATGGCTGTATTATATTATAGATGCATCACCAATTAAATATCCTAAAAATTAAATATCCTAAACAATCAAACATAAACAAGAAGCCAATAAGCCTCACCTGATTTGGCTAGGTGGTATTCTAACCATAAAACTTCCAAACAAAAGGGATATGGAGGAAAAAGTATGGATTTAGGCCACTTATCCCAATCTTAGCTCATGCTCTTACTCATCAATAATAGTTATTTATCCCCAGTTTTCTCCTCTATAAAATAAGAATGATAATAACTATCTCAGCCAGTTGTTAGGAGGATTAGAAATATCATAGCTTAGAAGGCTTGGCACAGAGCCGGCACCCCAAAAGTCATAGCGGTTATTAATACAGCCAAAGGTTCAGGAAGACCTCATCTCAGTTTCAGAAAGATCCTCGTTATCTTTGGAATAAAGAAAATGCTTTCGTGTGTCTACTTTGAAGAGTTGGAGGTGGCTGAGCACAGGCTGGGACTATGAGTTTTGGCTCCCAATGGCCTTTGGCTTAAAGAACCTAATAGGACCCAAAGATAGCATCAGTTTGAGAAAACACATGAGAATCTTCATTGCTGCCCTCATGGCCTTTCATATCAATACCAAAAACCTACTGTTTTGTGTTTTGTAGTCCTTTTCTTTTTTTTTTTTTTCTGGAGAGACGCAAAGAATATTTAGATAATATTTCTGTAATTATTTACTTAGTCTTGGTTTCTAATTTTCCTCAGAGAAAGGAAAGCATTATTTGAAAATAAAACTAAAGTAGCATTTAAAAATCCCTAGGTGAGGACATTTTTCCAGTGGAAGTTTAGCCTCCAGATTCCCGTGTCACTATTTTTATAGTTTTCAATAGCTTTGGCCCTTCCCAGCAGACTGGGAAGGCCTGGAACATACCATAATGCTCATATTTAAGCAACAAATAAAAAAAAACCCTATTGCTGTCAAGATTGTTGGTATTGTATTAATCTTTATGTTAGAAATCTCCTTGGAAACCTAGAGGGGAATAAAGGTTCTTTACAATGGGATAGAGAACTTTAGATTTATGATGTTTCACCAAACCATCTTTGCTTTGGGCTTTTTCACTGAGTAAATATCAAAGTTAGTAGTAAGGGCAGAAACTTGGTCCTTTTTGGACTCATTATATTGGAAATTGAATAAAATGACTGAAACAGAGACAGTTAAAAGGTGTCAGTTGGGTTTCTTTTTCTTTTTTTCTTTCTTTCTTTTTTTTTTTTTTTGTAGACAGAGTCTCACTGTCACGCAGGCTGGAGTGTAATGGCACGATCTCGGCTCACTGCAGCCTCCACCTCCTGGGTTCAAGCGATTTCCTGCCTCAGCCTCCTGAGTAGCTGGAATTACAGGCGTGTGCCATCATGCCCAGCTGATTTTTGTATTTTGAGTAGAGATGAGGTTTCACCATGTTGGCTGGGCTGGTCTTGAACTCCTGACCTCAGGTGATCCACCTGCCTCGGCATCAGTTGAGTTTCTAATCTTCATTTTTATTAATTTTATCCTGAATACAACATGAGGCATTATGGATCAGAGACAAGATTTCTTATTACAGCTCAGTAAATAATAAACATGTCACCCCCTTGCCCCATTGCTTACCCCTGGGTGACACATAAGAGACAGTGGGAATTTTCCCCGTGTTAGTAGTGGACATTCCCTAAGTGAGGGGGTAGGAAAAACTATTTGCTCTGCTTACAAAGGGAAGGAGGCAGCCACTCCTCTTGCCTTCTGAAAGGCTCTCTTTGGAAACATAAAGGGCAGAAATCCTAACTCCAGCCTTTGCCATGTAAATAAAATCTCCTCAGGTACCTGGTAGCCCCAACTGACTAGGCTTTTACACCTTACATCTAAGAAGATAAATCTCCAGTATCCCAGGCACCTTTGGAGTTAACCTAGGTGTCTATACCAGGATTTAGTCTTTTGGCCTTTGGGGAGACAAGAGATGTTTTATTTTCCTTTCAGATCAGAGCACTTAAGTAGACAAATGGCTGTGGAGCTAACTGTCATGGTGTTTGGAGAATCCCAAAAGGCCAGGGATTTTACTAAAGCATTGAGAGTGTTCCTTCCATCTGAGACATCTGCTTGCAGAAAAGGAAACAGTCAGGTGACAAGGGGCTATTTTCTCCAGTGGCCACAGGATTGCTACAGCTAGGATGAGGGAGGAATATGATGTCTCTTGGTGGGGTGTGGTGGGGGAGATTCCCCTCCCCTCTATAACATCTTTTTATGTGCAATTTACCAACTGTCAATATGACACAGAGTGTCAATAGCTAATGACTATTATATATACCTATCTCCTGGGAGTCCTTTTATCCCATCTGTTTAGGTGAGTTGATTCCATTTTTCACTTTGGAAATGTGAGTGGCATCAACTTTATCTGTAGCAGAGGGAATTTGGGTTACACCTTTATTCTGTGACACTCTAGTTCAGGGGTTGACAGTCTTCCTCTGTAAAGAGCCAGATAGCAGATATTGTAGGCTTGGCTGTCCCTAGACAGTCTCTGTGGTATATTACTTGTTCATTTATGATGGTTAAACATGTCAAAACCTGTATAGAAGCAGGCTGCGGGCAGGCTTTGGCTGTCCAAGTTGTGCTTTGTTGATCTCTGCTCTAGTTACCTTCTCCTATTCTGTCCATATTTCCCATGTTCCAAACCTCCAACTTGGGGAAGGTGAAACAATCTTTATACTCATGATATTCCCTGGTTTTCAGATCAGAAAAGACAGGCAAACTATGATGTCTGATACTTGGACTTTGTCATGGTTCTATATCAATGTCAAGTTACCTAGTCTTTGCAGCTTGATTCAAAGCTGAATTGTTTGTATTTCATGGCAGTCAGGTGGAATTTGGAAAGATATAAATATTCATAAAGATGCCATCACATTGGTGATCCAAAGACAAAGGAGTAATATAGTATCTGCTTTCTATCTTCTGAGAATTAAATCATTGTAAGCTGGGATGGAGTGACATAAAATATGCATTAAAATTATATGCTCCAAAAACATTTCATTGTAACATTTCCTTTCAATATGACCATTTAGCCATAGTGAGAAGATATATTAGGCCAACTTATTAACCAGCATACAATTAAGGGTTCCCAAAAGATTACATTTCCAAAGCACTTATTTTTCGATCTGTATTTGCTTTGAGGCTGGCCAGCAACTTTGAGAGACTCTCCGAAAGTCCAGGGCTAACGTCCATGGTGAAGCCTCCTGGGTGGCTGAGATTACAGGCATGCACCACCATGCCACCATGCCTGGCTAATTTTTGTATTTTTAGTAGAGATGAAGTTTCACCATGTTGGCCAGGATGGTCTCGAACTCCCGACCTCAAGCAATCTGCACGTTCGGCCTCCCAAAGTGCTGGGATTACAGGTGTGAGCCACCTCACCTGGGCTTATATGGTATTTTGTGTCTTTGATTTTGAGATTCACCCATGTTGTAGCCCGTATCAGTACTTCATTCTTTTCATGGCTGGGTAATATTCCATTGTACAGATCTACCCCATTTGATTTATCCATTCATCAGGTAATGGACATTTGGCTTGTTTCTGCTTACTGAGTGTGATGCTGCTCTGGACATTTGCACACTGCTTTTGTGTGGACGTACATTCTCCATTCTCTTGGGTACATACCTACATACGTAGGAGTGGCATTCCTGGGCCATATGGTAACTCTATGCTTACCTATCTGAAGAACTGCTAATTTTCCAAGCAGCCATATCAATTCTTCAATTTCCCCACATCCTTTCTAACACTTTGGTATTGTCCATCTTTTTTATTATAGCCTTCCTAGTGACTGTGAAGTGGTTTCTCAATGTGTTTTGTTTTGAGATGGGGTCTTGCTCTGTCACCCATGTTGGAGTACAGCGGTGTGATCTCGGCTCACTGCAACCTGTGCTTCTGGGGGCTCAAGTGGTCCTCCCACCTCAGCCTCCAAAGTAGCTGGGACCACAGGTGCACGCCACCATGTCTGGCTAAATTTTTGTATTTTTGGTAGAGATGAGGTTTCACCATGATGCCCAGGCTGGTCTCAAACTCCTGGGCTCAGGCAATCTGTCTACCTCAACCTCTCAAAGTGCTGGGATTACAGGCGTGAGCCACTGTGCCTGGCCTCTCAGGGTGGTTTTGATTTTCATTTTTATGATGGCGAATGATGTTGAGCATCTCTTCATGTACTTACTGGCCATTTACTATCTTTTTTGGAAAAATGTCTAATCAAATTATATGTTGTTTTAAAATTAGGTTATTTTTCTTTTTATTGATGAGTTATTTATAAGAGTGCTTTATGTTTTTGGAATACAAATCCCTTATCTGATACATGATTTTCAAATATTTTCTTTTCTTTTATTTTCTTTAAGACAGGTTCTCACTCTGTCACCCAGGCTGGAGTGCAGTGGTGTGATCATGGTTCACTGTAGCCTCAGCCTCCCTGGGCTTAGGTGATCCTCCCACCTCAGCCTCCTGAGTAGCTGGGACTACAGGCCTGCACCACCATACCTGGCTAATTTTTGCATTAATTTTGTTTGCTCAAGCAATCTGCCTACCTTGACCTCCCAAAGTGCTGGGATTACAGCTGTAAGCCACCATGCCCAGCCTGCCAATATTTTCTCCTACTCTGTGGGTTGAATTTTCACTTTCTTGGTGGTATTTTTTGAAGCACAAAAGTTTTACATTTTGATCAACTCCAATGTACTCTTTTTTTCTTCTGTCACTTGTGCTTTTTGGTGTCATATCTAAGAAACCATTGTCTAATCTAAGTTCATGAAGATTTCTTCTAAGGGTTTTATAGTTTTAGCTTACATTTAGATCTATGATACATAGGACTCCTCTTATAACCACTGTAAGTTTATCAATTTGAGGAAATTTAACATTGACAAGATACTTGTATGTAATCCCCCATTCATATTTTGATTTTCTCAGTTGACCTAATAAATTCTATAGAATTTTCTTATTTCTTTCAGTACCTGTCAGTCCAGAATTATATATACATTTAGTTATCTTGTCATTAATCTCCTTTAATGTGAAACTGTTATCTTTCATGATATTGATATTTTTAAAGATATCCCCCCCCCCCGCTTCTTTTCATTAGAATGTTCCTCATTTTGTGTCTGTCTGATGTTTCCTCATGATTAGATTCACGTTATGCCTCCCCGGTCAGCCTGAAAGTGATGTTGTATTATTTTGTACTTGTGTTTAAAACAAATAATTCTTTTACAGAGTGAATAACTAGATCCCTACATTGTTTATGTTTAAATACATGTTCAGATACCTGGTTTGGGACCAGGTGCAGTGGCTCATGTCTGTAATCCCAGCACTTTGAGAGGCTGAGGCAGGTGAATCGCTTGAGTCTAGGAGTTCGAGACCAACCTGGGCAATGTAGTGAGACCCTGTCTCTATTAAAAAAATTTAAATTTAAAAACAAAAACAAAATCCACACACCTGGTTTGGTTACAGCCAGGGATAATTCTAATTTGATTCTGAGCACCTACAGTTATTGAGCATATAAATAAATGGGAAGTTGTGGGTCTTATGATGGCTGTTCTGGTCTCTTGGCTGAATCCTCATGCCTGGGCCTAGCGCAGAAGTCTCTTTTCTGTGCTTTGTGCTAGTCTCTGTGGACTAGCTGTGTTTTTTTCTTCCTAGGTAGTAGTATTCTCTCGTCTGCATCTGATTTGATGTTTTGGTGATCGAACAATATGAAATTAAGTGACTCTATAACATGACTTGGACTATTCAGATTTCCTTAAAACTTTTTCCATCCACTGGGAAGAGTATATAAATATATATCCAGTATATATATTCAATGTGTGTGTGTGTGTATATATATATATATATATACACACACACGTATATACATATACACATATATATATATTCAGTATGTATGTGTATTTTTTCAGTACATATATTCAAATGAAATACTCAGCAGACTCCAATAATCCAGGCAGATAAAAACATAACTGCTTAGTTGAATCAGACCTGACCCTACCTTCTAAACAGGAACCTGCACTTATCTCCTGCTTTAAACTGTGAATATTTCCTGCTTGTCTCTGGGATTTTCTGAGTCTCTTTTGGCCTTTCCATCTTTAGAGGAAGTTTTATTCTTGTGGTTCAGCCTTCAGAGACAGAAATCTGGTAGAAATGAGGGGAACATTCAAAGACAGTTGTTAAGAGAGAAAATTTCTTGTTGCATGTTGGCTGAAATACATCGAGAAATATGTCAATAATGTTAAAGGAAAAAGTTGAAACTGTATCTAATTTTGGGTTTGCACTTATCTTTCCAGGAAGGAGATGAGTCTTAAAAAACAACAATCTCTACATTAACAAAAACAACAACAACAACAAGTCGCATTAAGCAACAGCTGTTTAGGGTGAGGTATGAATGTAGGACTTAAACCGTGTGATGTCTAAACTCCGTTCCATGGCCATGAGCCTGTGATGCCTGTGTTGTCTATAACCTGTCAATATTTTTCTCTCAACAATTTCCAGCTCAATAAGTGGGCGAGACAAGGTTATCAATAACAAGTTGGTTATTAAAGGTTACCGTCTATTCACGTGATAGCTTTCCATTTCCATCATTGAATTAAGGTCTCAGTTTTTATTTAGTTAGTTTTTTAGTTTTGGTTGAAAGGGGTTTGTGTTTATGTGACTTATTTGGTTAGTGGGTTATTTTGGGGGAAAAGAGGATCTCCTTCTTTTGCTGACTTAGATAAAAAATTCTTGCCTTATGAAGGCTCTGGCTGTGCTGTTGGACTTGCTAACGTGTGGAGAACATGGCTATTTAATTGTAAAAAGTTGTCCTGAGGAAAAGCCTGTATTCTCCTCACCCAGTGACTAGAAAGGATGGTGTACCATCAGTAGGCTGCAGAGAGAAAACCACTCTTTTGTGTTTTCCTTTCTTTCTACCAGGTGTAAATGTGTCAGGAAGTCCAGGATGGGGCTCCTAGGTTCAGCATTGTTATGGGTTGAAGTGTGTCTCTTCCAAATTCATGTGCTAAAGTCTGCTATAGTTTGAGTGTATCCTTCAGAATTCATGTGTTGTAAATTTGGCCCCTGGTGTGGTGTTGGGAGATGGGGCCTTTTTGAGGTGATTAGGTTGAAAGATGGATTAATACCACTCTTGTGGGACTGGGTTAATGCTTGTGGGACTGGGTTAATGCTTGTGGGAGTGAGTGTGTTCTTGCTTTTGAAGGACAGGATTAGTTACTGTGAGAGTGGGTTGTTATAAAGTGAAGCTGCCCCTCATGTTTTGCCCTTTCAGGCATGTGCCTGATTCCTGTTCTGCTTCTGTGCCACATTTCTGGTGAACACAAGGCCCTCACCAGAAGCCAACCAGAGGCAGCTGCCTGATCTCGGACTTACCAGCCTCCAGAGCCATTAGCCAAAATAAACCTCTTTTCTTTTTAAATGACCCAGTTTCAGGTATTCTGTTACAGCAACAGAGAATGGGCTAAGACAAAGTCTTAACCCTCTTTCAGAATGTGACTGTCTCTGGAGATAGAGCCTTTACAGAGATAATTAAGTTAAAATGAGGTCATTAGAGTGGACCCTAACCTAATATGACTGGTGTCTTTATAAAAAGAGGAAATTTGGATGCAGACATGTACAGAGGGAAGATGATGTCAAAACACAGGGAGAAGATGGCATCTACAAGCCAAGACCTGGAACAGATTCTTTTCTCATGGTTTTCAGAAGGAACCACCCCTGATGATATCTTGATCTCAGATTTCCAGTCTCCAAAACTATGAGACAAACATTTCAATTTTCAAGCCACCCAGTCTGTGGTACTTTTTTATGGGAGCCCTAACAAACTAATAAGCATCATGGGCAGATACACACCTGGCAGGGGAAGGGAATATCTAGGGGAGCCCAAAGCTGTTCACTTCATGGCTATTCTGGTGAAAGCTTACTTAGTAGGTAGACTAGAAAAGGACTTGCTAGACCTAGGGGAGATTAAATGTGGTAGAATCAGAAACCTGCACTTGGTAAACTGGGCAGGTCCCATACCACCTGTGTTCTCTTTGAATGATCTAGCTTATCTCAGCTTGTAGAAGGTAACCATGGCAAGCTAACCCAGCCAGTAGTGGGGAAACATCCCTCTAGGGAGCAACCTGCTCCTGCCGGTGGCTAAGGTCATGGAGGAAGAGGACTCAGAAATTAGGATCAATCCCATAGGTCAGTTAACCCTCTCTATTGTGAGTTTTAATTTTTTTCCTAAATGCTAACTTTGAAGGTTTGGATTTTGTTTTAATAAGGCTTCTTCCCTTAGGAGAATAGAGAGGAAAAGATGCTGTTTCTCTAGGAATCCCTGTAAGACAGAAAGAAGGACTTAAAACTTTTCTGTCTTCAAGGATTTGCACATATACAGGTGCCATCTCTTCTGTCCTGCCTTGCTTCAAGTTCTGCTAATACCACTGCAGGAATCTGGGCAACCCATTGTTGAGTGGTTGCTCATTCTTCTAGTGACAGGAAGTCCTTTGTCTCTGAAGACAGAGTCCTTTCTCTGTTGGACACCTCTGAAGTTAAAAGGTGCTTCTGTCTCATTTCAAATAACTTACTCCCAAAGTTTGAGAACTCAATCCATGTAAGTTCGGGATTGCCTACAACTTGAAAATGCCTACTGCTGTGGTTTAAAGAATATATGCCAGAAATTAGAAATTGTTGTAATTAAAGGAAAATGCGTCTTAAATAATTGTCTAGCAGAGAGAAATCTACATTTGCTGTGAATAGAGGCTGTCCTCAGCCTGAGATCTCAGCAAGGCTGGGCTGCCAAGGGAGGAGGCAGAATAGAGTGTTTGTCAGAGCTCTGGCAAGTGGTTAGAAGTGGGGAGAACACACAACAACCTCCCCCTCCTGAGCACACAATAACCAACCCCTTTGATCTGGGAACAATTCCAGATCTTAGTCCTAGACCAGCTGGGGCAGGATGAATGTGGAGAGGAGACATTCTCCTTCCGGAAAGTAAAGGAAAGAGGCATGAATTGCTCTTGAGTGTCTGGCTGTATGTCAACAAGTGGCCTCTCTGTTCCTTGGTTTCCAGGCGCTGGCCATGTGGTCTGTCCAGGAAGGAGAGTGTAAATGTGATAATATTGCCTGCTACACAAGAAGCATCAGCCCTAGGAAAAAACCCTTCATTACAGGAAGGAAGAAAGATCTAGGGAACTCTCCCAGTGTCAAGGAACCTGGGGAGGGAAATTAGCCACAAGAGAGTCACTTGCTGAGCATGGAATCAGTGCATGTTTTGGTGGAGGATTCTGTTGGCTGCTTGAGGTTTTTTTTTCTCTACTTTATGGTAGCACCACCTACCTAATGACCATCTGGCACAAAGTTTTCCTTTCTGAAACTGTGCAGCTTAATGCTGACAAATTCTAAGCCGCAACTCTCCTTTTTGTGATATCATTTCTTACAACTTAGAGAAACCTGCGGTTTCAGGGTCCTTTACTTCCTATGTGTCATAGTTATGATGACAGCTAAATTTACTTTAGTTACATTTCACATTGGCTACTTCTGGACACCCCAAGTCATCAGTCAATTTTCTCTGCATCACACTGTAGAATGGCTTGTTTCTGGGGAGGTTCGTGGACATGGCTAATTCCCCTCCTTTTTTTTTTTTTTTTCCCAAAAACCCGTTTGCACTCCTAAAAGATGGCTAATTGTAGCCATTATTTGCTGCTTCTAGTAATCTCTCTCTCCATTCTGAAAGAACAATTTAGCTTCCCAGCTCGTAGCATATAACAATGGCTTGCAGAATTTCTTATTTTGACTGGTGTGTGGGGTGTGTTTATGTATGTGTTTGTTTAGGAGAGAAGAATTATGGCCAGTTTTTTATTCATGACATTTATCATCTTTATTTCTCCATACTGATTCTAAAGATTGAAAATGCTTTTAATTTTAATGTTAATTTTTTTGTACATAGTATTTATGTCTTTAATATAACATGTGCTTATTTATTACTGTATGCAAGTGACTTAAATATTGAACCTTTCAAAATAAGAAATTTCTTCAATTTTTATCATTTGAGAAAAATATACTCTTTCTGGGGAATGATTTCTGTAATAGATACGGTTTATTTTAATTGTGGTGATAAACCATGCCTTCAGTAGAGACCTCTGAGAGTAACAATAGCAGCTAATTTATTTTTAGCTGTTATTTGCAGAGAAGTGTAGTTTATAAGTTATACATGATCTTATTTGATATTCACAGAAGCCTAATGAGGCAGGATGCATTCATTCCTTCATTATTTTATTTATTTAACAAATTCCTACTAATTGCTAGTGGTGTGCTGGGCACATCCAGAGGTGCTGTTGACACAGTAGTGAGCAAGGTAGATCTGGTCTTATCCTCAGGGACTTTATAGTTTAGTTAGAGCTGGTATAATTAACATTCCTGGGCTAGGTGCGGTGGCTCACGCCTGTAATCCCAGCACTTTGGGAGGCTAAGGCGGGTGGATCGCTGAAGGTCAGGAGTTCGAGGCCAGCCTGGTAAACATGGTGAAACCCCATCTCTATTAAAAATACAAAAAAAAATTTAGCTGGGCGTGGTAGTGGGTGCCTGTAATCTCAGCTACTCAGGAGGCGAATCAGGAGAATCGCTTGAATCCGGAAGGTGGAGGTTGCAGTGAGCTGAGATGGCACCACTGCACTCCACCCTGGGCAACAGAGTGAGACTCCATCTCAAAATAAATTAAAAAATATATAATTAACATTCCTATTTATCAGTCCAACCAGAGTTCAGATTGATTTGTATCTGTCTGTGATCCAGGGTCTCTGAGACCTCATTTATATTTAGCTGCCTGATCTTGCTGAGGAAAGGCACCCTGTGAAGAGGTCTAACTCCAGGAAGCTTCCATGGGGCATTTGTGCAGACAGAAACTTGGAAGGTGCTAGACATTGTGTAAAGGCAGCTGGTGAACAATGCCCTTCCAAATGTGAGATTATTTTTGGGAGGGCCTAAGGGATAAGACTTTATCATTCTGATTTACTTGCTTGAGGATATTGTCCTTCTCTGGGATGGAGACTTTCAAGAACCAGAGTTGGGGTTTTGTGTCTGTATCATCCCTGGATCTAATTTCATTCTAACTGGCACCTGCACAGAGGTTTTTACTTACTGCACCTTGACGAGGAGAGGTGTGCTCAGTTTCACTGTCATAAACCAAGTGGTTATTGAAAGAATTGAGAGACTGCTAGGGTCTTGATATTGTTTGGCTGTGTCCCCACCTGGATTAGTTTGTTTTCACACTGCTGATATAGACATACCTGACACTGGGAAGAAAAAGAGGTTTAATTGGAATTACAGTTACACATGGCTGGGGAGGCCTCAGAATCATGGTAGGAGGTGAAAGGCACTTCTTACATGGCAGAGGCAAGAGAAAATGAAGATGCAAAAGTAGAAACCCCTGATAAAACCATCAGATCTCGTGAGACTTATTCAGTGCCATGAGAACAGTATGGGGAAACCACCCCTACGATTAAATTCTCTCCCACTGGGTCCCTCCCACAACATGTGGGAATTATGGGAGTACAATTCAAGATGAGATTTGGGTGGTGACACGGCTTGGCTATGTCCCCACCCAAATCTCATCTTGACTTGTTGCTCCCACAATTCCCATGTGTTGTGGGAGGGACCCCGTGAGAGGTAATTGAATCATAGGGGGCAGGTCTTTCCTGTGCTATTCTCATGATAGTGAATAAATCTCATGTGATCTGATGGTTTTATAAAGGAGAGTTTCCCTGCACAAGCTCTCTTCTCTTTTCTGCCACCACAGGAGATGTGTCTTTCACCTTCCACCATGATTGTGAGGCCTCCCCAGCAACATGGAACTGTGAGTCCATTAAACCTTTTTCTTTTGTAAATTGCTCAGTCTCGGGTATGTCTTTATCAGCAGCATAAAAACAGACTAATACAGGTCTACTGGGATAGAGGTCAGCCTACCCCCAGGACAAGGAAGGATGCAGATGCCTCTCTGAGGAGCTCCCAGTGGTGTTGGCAGTGAAACAGGTGGCTGGCCATGAAGATAAGCACATCTAGATTTTAAAGTGCCCATCAAGAGTATAGAAGTCAGCAGCTGACACCACACGGTTGGGACATTCACTGGCTGGGTACACAGTCCTTTACAGGGTGGACTTGGCAGGGAAGTGTTCTTTTTTTTTTCTTTTTTCTTTTTTTATTTTATTATTATTATACTTTAAGTTTTAGGGTACACGTGCACAATGTGCAGGTTAGTTACATATGTATACATGTGCCATGCTGGTGTGCTGCACCCATTAACTCGTCATTTAGCATTAGGTATATCTCCTAATGCTATCCCTCCCCCTTCCCCCCACCCCACAACAGTCCCCAGAGTGTGATGTTCCCCTTCCTGTGTCCATGTGTTCTCATTGTTCAATTCCCACCTATGAGTGAGAACATTCGGTGTTTGGTTTTTTGTTCTTGCGATAGTTTATTGAGAATGATGATTTCCAATTTCATCCATGTCCGTACAAGGGACATGAACTCATCATTTTTTTATGGCTGCATAGTATTCCATGGTGTATATATGCCACATTTTCTTAATCCAGTCTATCATCGTTGGACACTTCTGCACAGCAAAAGAAACTACTATCAGAGTGAACAGACAACCTACAAAATGGGAGAAAATTTTCGCAACCTACTCTTCTGACAAAGGGCTAATATCCAGAATCTACAATGAACTCAAACAAATTTACAAGAAAAAACCAAACAACCCCATCAAAAATGGGCGAAGAACATGAACAGACACTTCTCAAAAGAAGACATTTATGCAGCCAAAAAACACATGAAAAAATGCTCACCATCACTGGCCATCAGAGAAATGCCAATCAAAACCACAATGAGATACCACCTCACACCAGTTAGAATGGCAGTCATTAAAAAGTCAAGAAATAACAGGTGCTGGAGAGGATGTGGAGAAATAGGAACACTTTTACACTGTTGGTGGGACTGTAAACTAGTTCAACCATTGTGGAAGTCAGTGTGGCAATTCCTCAGGGATCTAGAACTAGAAATACCATTTGACCCAGCCATCCCATTACTGGGTATATACCCAAAGGACTATAAATCATGCTGCTATAAAGACACATGCACATGTATGTTTATTGCAGCACTCTTCACAATAGCAAAGACTTGGAACCAACACAAATGTCCAACAATGATAGACTGGGAAGGGTTCTTTACCCCCCTCCTACCTCCCTGGAGAAGCTCACAAGAAAGGCATATAGATTTAAAATGACATATAGATTTAAAAGGACAGCAAAAATATTAATTGCATGACACCAGTTATCAAAGGACTCAGTGAGATTAAGTGGGGTGGGAGATGGATTTATAGATTATAACCCTCCCAACACCTATTCACAAATTTACCCCCCAAACATGTGTTGAACATTACACAGAGAATGGGGTTAAAGAAAAGGTCCAGCTCCCACACATTACATTAAAATATATTTCTGATTATGTCTCTTTTGGGTAATAAGAGTCTACATGAATTTTACCACCTGTGTGACTCTGAAAAAATTGCTTGTGTCAATCTTAAATAATCAGATTCAGAAAATAGGATTAAGTAGAGAGCTTATTTGAGAGCAAAGCATGAGCATAGCTACCCATGTAACATAGACTGCCAAAGAATGGAATCAGTGCAGGAAAGTTAACTTCCCAAAGCAAAGAAGTTAAGTTTTAACTTATACAGCCAGAAGCAGAGAAACTTAAGAGTTGAAACATATTTCCGCTCAAGGCCAATACATATGTTACAGTAATTTGATTGGTTACAGTTTGCTGCATCCCAAGAAAGATTGCTTTAACATTCCCTACGGAGGAGGAATGGACTCCAGGGGGTCTTATCTCTGGTGTCTTTCAGTCTTTCCTAATCATCTACAGCAGGGGTCCCCAACCCCCACCCCCAGGCCACAGACCTTTACCAGTTTTTGGCCTGTTGGGAACTGGGCTGCACAGTAGAAGGTGAGCCAGAGAAGCTTCATCTGTATTTATAGCCACTCCCCATCACTTGCATTACCACCTGAGCTCCACCTCCTGTCAGATCAGCGACGGCATTAGATTCTCATAGGAGCACAAACCCTATTGTGAACTGTACATGCCAGGGATCTAGGTTGCATGCTCCTTCTGAGAATCTAATGCCCAATGATCTGTCACTGTCTCCTAAAAACCCCAGATGGGACTGTATAGTTGCAAGAAAATAAGCCCAGGGCTTGCACTGATTCTGCATTATGGTGAGTTGTATTAGTGTCATTTTTCATTATATATTACAATGTAATAATAGAAATAAAGTACGCACTAAATGTAATGTGGTTGAATCATCCTGAAACCACCCTCCCACACTGGCCCCATCCATGGAAAAATTGTCTTCTGTGAAACCGGTCCCTGGTCCCAAAAATGTTGGGGACCACTGATCTACAAGAATAAGAAAGAGAGTTAATCTATAACTGGGGAAGCAGAGGTTGCGGCTGCATGCTGCATGACCCAGGCTATATAGCCACATTTCTCTCAAGGCTCAAAATAATTCAAAGCAGTTTTAAGTTTGAATTATTTAATGTCACACTTAACCATTCAGAGTCTGTTTTTCCTCTGCAAAGATGGGGAAAATAATAGCACCTTCTTCATGGGAATTTTAACCTATGCTTGCCACTTAGTAAACCCTGGCAAGGCACTCACAGTTGCTCATTTCTTGCCCTCTGCTTTGTCTTGACCCTGTCGTGTTCCCAGTCAGTTTCTCCTGGGAGTCAACTGAGTACAGTGAGCCCAACTTTTCCAGTCCAACTCCATGGATCATTTCCCCTGGCTTGTCCAGTTTTCCCTAAAGATTCTGCTAATCTCTACTTACCACCTCCTTCATCCTATTAAACAAAACTTTTTCAGCTTGATTTTGAGACACTTCCAAACCTTATGATGAAGGCATTCTTTCTACTGCAATAGTCCCGTTCCCTCCCTTGCAAGAATCCTTTTGAATAAGTCTCTCCTTACTAAGTCCTGATCTGTTTCTTTGATAGCACTTAATAAATATTAGCTGGTAACTACCAATACTCAGTTTTAACCAATATCCAGATTCAGCAGGAAAGCCAGGAAGCCTGGGGCTGACCAACTTCTACTTGAGAGTATCCACTGCACTCAGAAATTGCTAAAGGTTACATCTGTAGGTCTGTGTATCTTTCCAAAATGCCTTGCCTTTGGTTGCTAGCTTTTGTTTTCCAAACAACAGAAGATGGTGTATTGATATGGTTTGGGTGTGTCCCCACCCAAATCTTATCTTGAATTCTCATGTGTTGTGGGAGGGACCCAGTGGGAGGTGATTGAATCCTGGGGGCAGGTCTTTCCTATGCTGTTCTTGTGATAGTGAATAAGTCTCATGATATTTAATTGTTTTAAAAAGGGGAGTGTCCCTGCACAAGCTCTCTTCTCTTGTCTGCCACCATGTAAGATGTGCCTTTCACCTTCCACCATGATTGTGAGGCCTCCCCAGCCATGTAGAACTGTAAGTCCATTAAACCTCTTTCTTTTGTAAATTGCCTAGTCTCAGGTATGTCTTTATAAGCAGTGTGAAAATTGGCTAATTCATCTATATTGCTTCACTCTTTCATATCTGAACATTCAGGTCCCCACTTGGTTCAAGAAGAAAATTATTTCTCTTAAGAGTTGTCATTTTGGAGTGTGTGTGGCACCTGCTGTCCAGGCTGGATTCATTGGGTTTCTGAAGAGCAGAGAGGGTCAGTTGCCTCAGGGCAGAGGTGGGGACAAGCTACACCAAAAGTTTACCCCTTGAGGGCTGTCAAAACTCAGAGGAGTGGCTAGGCAGGATGTTAGTCTGTGTTTTCAGCCTCCTGGGATGTTCCTCCCCCTGGAATTGTTTTGCTGAGTTAGGAGGAGAGGGGAATTCTGCTTTGAAACCTGCTCTGCAGAAGCCAGTTTTTCAGGTTTGAGGGTCCCCAGGGATCAGTTTTCATAACAGAGAAGGTGACTGAGTTGTTGACACCCAACAGGCTCCTGTTGTTCCTGCTGACAGCTTAGCGTTCTCCTTGCGGGTCCTCCCAGCTCTCCCTCCTGGTTCCTTTTCTTTCTATCCTGTTCTTGGTTCTCCCTGACTGGAAAATGTCACCTCTTGACTGAGTCTACCTGTCTACACTGCAGAACCACAGGGAGATGGGAACAATCATACATCTCTATATGACCTTTCCCATTTCAGATGGCAGAAATTCCTAAGTGTGGGAGATTTTGTTGTTGGATTAACTGGTATTGGCTGTCCATGCCTTGAGGGCAATCACCAACTCTGCTGGGTGCCTACTGACAGAGACCCTGATTGGCCAAACTCTAGACGTGGTCCTCTGAGCCCCTCATTGATGAAGCCCCATCCTCAGGCCTTGTCCTCAAGAATCTGGTTGTAACAAGAAAACTAGGCCCAGCACAGTGGCTCATACCTGTATTCCCAGCACTTCGGGAGGCCAAGGTGGGAGGATGGCTTCAGTCCAGGAGTTTGAGACCAGCCTGGGCAACATAGTGAGACCTCATCTCTACAAAAACTAAAATGTACCTGAGTGTGGTGGTTCATGCCTGTGGTCCCTGCTACCCAAGAGCTGAGGTGGGAGGACTGCTTGAGCCTGGGAGGTTGAGGCTGCAGTGAACCATGATCATGCCACCGCAGTCCAGGCTGGGTGACAGAGCAAGATTTTTTTTTTTTTTAAATAGTCCTGCTAAGTTAGGAGATGGATATCTAATCACTCTTGATATCTGATTGTGTTCCTTATCCCACACCATTGCCCAGGGGATGTCTTGTCACCCTGGCCTGCCTTCAGCAAGAATCCTGTTAGGTCTGTTTAACCAGAAGCTCCCCAACCCCCAACACCCCCATGTTTCCTCTTATTAATTTTCCATCCACTGACCCCAACTCTACCCTTTGGCTGTAAATCTCCGCCTGCCCATGCTGAATCTGGAATGGAGCCCAGTTCTGCACCGATATCATTGCCCCCTCTTGTAGTAGTTCCTGAATAAAATCTGTCTTTACTGCTTTAACGCCAGTGCAGCTCTGGTTTTCTTTACACTATAATAAAAGCTCTATTAGTTTTTATTAGTTGTTGATGATGATGGCTGGGCAGTTCCCTTTCTTTTAATTGTTTTTACTCCTCCTAACTCAATTTTTATTGTTTCTTTTTAAAAGAAATCTATCCTCCTCTCCCCAGTAAAAATCCCACTCAGACAATTTGTGATCTAGTTGAAGTTTGCTTGCCTAAAGCAAGCTTTCAGAACAACTGGGCTCCCAGAATAATGAGAGAAGGTTGTATTTATAGTTCAAGTTATTATATAGCAGTTGACAGTTTCATTTTGATTTAAAGTCCTGTCTCTGATAATAGGAAAAAGGATCACAGCTTATCTCTGGCTGTAAGGCTTTAGAATGGCCTGTAATTCAAGGCTTATCTCTGGGAATGCACGGCTTTTAAAAATGTAAATCTTTCCTGGGCTCTGGTAGTTGCCGTCTTGTATCAGATGGGGCTAAGCTAAGGATGAGAATGTCAGTTTTATTTTTTCAGGTTGTCTTATAAGCAAATTCTACCTCAAAGGCATGAATTTGACCAAATATGTCTGTTCTAGATTTTCTGATCTAGTATAATTAACTTGATGTTCTTTTTTATTTGGTTGGTTTTGCTTACATAGGCACAGAAAGAAGTAGTGGTTATTACATAAAGACCTCCTTGTATGCTTGATCATAAGATATTAAGGTTAAGGAGTGAATTTGTGTCTGCGACTCCATCACAAAGCCCCTGGATTCATATTTTTGATCACTTTTATTATGCCAGAAATATTCTCTGTTGCCTTTAGTAGTTCATCTATTTCCATTTCAGGAACCAAAAACATGTATTCAGTTTCCCCTTGGAGTGCCTTTAACTGTAAGGTTTATCTTCTTTCTCTGAAATCTTCATATTTACTTTTCCTGGCTGACCAAGAAGTACAAGTCTTGACATCCTGTAAGGCTGGGACTCTGTAAGCCCCAGGGAAGGCTGTAGAGCAGTCTTCCAGGAGGATTCTGTAGGCATCATTTCCACATGAAGTATATAGTCCTTGTTCCTTAATGTCACAGTCTCACCAATGCCCCACAATGCAGCAGTGTCTTGTTGTGAGGTATGACCTGGAGTTCTTTGTCTCATGAACAAGAGAATTAAGGAGCATGGACACAAAGGGAGCGGTTGGAACAAAAGTTTAATAAGTAAGAGAATAAAGCTCTCTGCTGTGGAGAGAGGCCAATTTTTACAGTTGAATGCAAAGGCTTTGGTAGGAAACCAATGAGGTCTGGGTATCTCAATTGCATAAGGTGCGAATTTCTGGTAGTTCCACTCTGTCCTCCTAGTAGTCATGTGATCCCTTAGCTTCAGTTACTCCATATTGCTTTGCTTTGTTCCCCTTACTGTGCATGTGTCAGGGCATGGAATTTTCCATTGTGGGCATGTCTGGTCAAGTCACCTGTGTAGCCTTTTTTTTTTGTTTTTTGAGACAGAGTCTTGCTGTGTCACCCAGGCTGGAGTGCAGTGGTGCTATCTCTGCTTACTGCAACCTCCACCTCCCAGGTTCAAGTGAGTCTCCTGCCTCAGCCTCCCGAGTAGCTGGAATTACAGGCACATGCCACCATGCCCAGCTAATTTGTGTATTCTTAGTAGAGACGGGGTTTCACCATGTTGGCCAGGCTAGTTTCGAACTCCTGAGCTCAGGTGATCCATCCACCTAGGCCTCCCAAAGTGCTGGGATTACAGGCATGAGCCACCACTCCTGGCCCCTGTGTAGTCTTTTTTATCTGTGCAGCTGTGGGCATGTCTTAGGTAAGCCCCTCTGTGTAAATTCCCTTATCTGTGCCTGGAGGCTGTTCTTTTGTTTGAAAGAAATCAACTGAGGACCCACCCTAACTGCCTGTCTGACTGTGTTCTTTCCCTTCTCCTCTGTCATTAATAATGGGCTGGTCAAACTCAATTAAATGAGATTTAAATGAGACGCTTCTGGAACGGTTACAAGTTTGGTTTATCCAATTATATCATTAAAAAGACAGATTTTTTTTTTTCTTTTAAATTTAACTTAAAAAGTTTTTTTTTTTTTTTTTTTTTTTTTTTTTTTATAGTGATGGAGTCTCATTATGTTGCCCAGGGTGGTCTTGAACTCCTGGCCTCAAGTGATCCTCCCACCTCAGCTTCCCAAAGTGCAGGGATTACAGGCATGAGCCACCGTGCCTGGCCCAAAGACAGAATCTTATTGAATCCATGCAAATAACTACATTGCTGTGAAAAGTAAAAGGGTTTAATGAAGGCACTTTGATTGTTTGGGTCAGTTTTGCAGACAAAGGCAGTCAATACCAGTGTTTTCTATACACCCATCATCCTTAAGTTCTTGCTGATTCATTAGCTTATAATTTATATCCAGATATTCTACAGGGTATCTCCCCTGAGTTCTGAAGTAAGATTTGGAGCAACATACCATCCAATGAGTATGTTCTTGCAATTTGCATAGGATTAGTCTGCTAAATTATAGAAAGAAGAGATAGATCAATATGTAAGAAAAATTGTTTCCTCTGCCTCCTGTAAGGAAAAGGACACTAACCACAGTTAAATTACCCCTTTCAGTTCACTTTAGTCCTACACATTTAATTCCTGTTCTGCAGGAGCTTGGGTCAGCAGGTGGCTGTAAAGAGTCACCTGCTTCTGGGCCACAGGGTCCCTGGGAGTCCTGCCGCAGTCCTCTGGCACAGGCTGACGGGGCGTGATGTTACTTCACAGTATTCACGAGTCGTGAATACTGTGGGAGCCAAGGGAAAACTTCCCTGTGCCCTCTGAAGGTTTGCTGAAAAATCAATGTACAAAGGACAGATTAACTGGAGAAAAAGCATGCAAACTTATTAATGTGTACACAGGGGAGAATCACAGAGTAATCACTCCAATGCCCCAAGGCAGTGCAGAAGCTTATATACCATCTTGAGGTTACAGAAAGAATGGAGTTTCAAAGCCTTAAAAGACAAACGTCAGCTGAATTAAAATGTAAAGGAGTTCAGCTGAGCAATGAGTGATTCGCAAATCGGGCAGCCCCCAGAATCACAGCAGATTCTGAGAGTCTTCAGGTATGTGTTGTGATCAGAACAAATTTATAGACAAAAAAAGGGAAGAGATGTACAGACATTGGAAGTGAGGTACAGAAACAGCTCGATTGGTTACAGCTCAGCGTTTGCCTTATCTGAACGCAGTTTGAACGCTTAGCAGTCTATGAGTGGTTGAAGTATGGCCACTGGGATTGACCAAGACTCAGCTATTGTTACAGGTGCATACTCTTAACTTAGGTTTTAAATCTTGTCTGCCTATTAAGCTATGTTACCTAATAGGCATAGCTCCTATGCCTATTAAAAGTACGGAGTCCCCTTCAGGCCATATTTAGCTTCTCAGGCCATGTTTAGTTTGCTTTAACAAGAGCAAGTCCCAAATCATGCCGTGGTTTTGTTATGGTGGTAACCGTATTATGGTGGTAAATCAGGTTATACTGGCAAGACAGGTCATGGGAGGGGGAGGCGAAGAGGCCTGGCCGGCAAAGGTGGTCTTGTTGTATAGATGAAACCTCACAGGTAGCAGCCCTCAGAGAGAATAGATGGTAAATGTTTCTTTCAGTTGTCTCAAGGTATCAGACTCTGAGTTAATCTTGCCTAGATGTGGACAAGGGAAGACCTGGCTGCATTAATGCAGATTCTCTGCAGATGCAAATCTCTCCTGCAAAACACAGCTCTGCAAGATGACTTCTGCCTGCTGGCTCTCTGAACAGCCATCTCACAATATGTCAAAGAAATATTTTTTGGGGTAAAACATTTTGATTTCCTTCCGTATCTAAAACTGTACTCTACTGAGGCTAACATTCTTTTGATATTTCTTCCAGAAGGCTAAATTCCTGATCTGTAGCTTGTAGCAAGGGTCTTTAGGCAAGAACAAGGGAAAAAGGGGAGGTGCCTTTTGGTGTTAAGACTGAATGGTTTTGGTTAATTTAGTATAGTAATGTCAAAGAAAAATAGCACGGGACACTTGTGACAGGGGGCAAGGCAGACTTTACTCAGACTACTGCAGTAGGGGAGACAGACTCCAGGAGCAGCTGAGCTGAGCTGCAGCTAAAACAAAGGTGACTGAGATTTTTAAAGAGAGAACAGAAAGGGAACGAAAGGGGGCTCTAGAGAAATTAAAGACAGAACAAAAAAGAGACCTGGGGGCGCTATGAGGAAATGGAAAATTTCAGAAAGGGTAAGTGGAGAATTATTGAAAGTGGTTTGGCAAAGTGGATTGGGATTACGGGCATTTTATGGTTTGGCAGCATTTTGTTTGCTTGAGCAAAAAATTCAGCATAGAAGGCTGGGGTCAGCTTTAGGGACACAACTTGGTACAGGTGGAGGCCAGGCTCAAATGTAGTCAGGTCTCTTGGCACGGTGTTCTGGTAAGTTCTTCGGGCCACATGGGAGGTCACAGTAACCAGTGGTAAGGGAGTGGAGGGGAGAGTGGAGCTCCCTGTAGGAGTACAGGAACAGTGTTTCAGGATTTTGAAATGACCGATTATCCTGAGGGTAAAAACATTCGTCTCCTGTCCATGTCAAGGATATGGACAATTATCCAGGGCTTTCTAATCCAACCAATACAAATATTTTAAATATAAAGGTATTTGAAATTGAGGAACAAGCTGGGCGCTGTGGCTCCTGCCTATAACCCCAGAACTTTGAGAGGCCAGGGCAGGCGGATCGCTTGAGGTCAGGAGTTCGAGACCAGCCTGACCAACATGGTGAAACCCCGTCTCTACAGAAAAATATAAAAATTAGCTGGGCATGGTGGCATGCATCTGTAATCCCAGCTACTCGGGAGGCTGAGGCACGAGAATTGCTTGAACCCTGGAGGTGGAGGCTTCAGTTAGCCAAGATCGTGCCACTGCACTCTAGCTTAGACAACAGAGTGAGACTCTGTCTCAATAAATAAATAATAAAAAATAAAATTGAGGAACCAGCAGGGTGTGGTGGCTCACACCTGTAACCCCAGCACTTTGGGAGGCAGAGGCAGGAGGATCATTTGAGCCCAGGAGTTTGAGACCAGTCTATGTAACATAGTGAGACCCTGCTTCTACAAGGAAATTTAAAAATTAGTTGGGCATGGTGGCACAGGCCTGTGATCCCAGCCACTCAGGAGGCTAAGGTGGAAGGATCATTTGTGCCCAGGTGGTTGAGGCTGGAGTGAGCCCAGATCATGCCACTGCACTCCAGCCTGAGTGACGGAGACTTTGTCTCACAAAAGAAAAATAAATAAAATTGAGGAAGCAAAGTCTTTAAAAAACCAACTTCTTAATCATTAATGAACCAATCTTTATATTTCATTATGTGATTGCTCTGATCCGTCCCGGAGGGCCTACGATGGTGAAAATGTTCATATTAATACCATTTTACCTGTACTGAGTGATATGGGGGATGCAGCTTCTCTTTTGACTTGAGAGTTCTCAGATGGTTGCCTTGGTAATCAGGTCACCTCTCACCACGGTGCTGAGTCATTTAACAAATTGGAGGGTGTCAACCCTGATTGTTTCCCAGACTTCCCTATTCCCAAGGGCACTGGGATGGGTTCTGTCACCCAGACCCAGATTCCCACAAGATTTCCTGCCCTGCCCTGCACACCTTTGCTCCTACACAGGCTCTGCTTTTCCCCGTCCCCGGAGTGTTCTCAGGATGAGGTTGAGGGATCCAACATCCAAAGACTCAGGGCCTTCTACCTTTCCTGACTCACTTCTCACTGCTCCCCTTGGGGCCCCCCACTTTGTTTTCGGGTTGGCCAAGTGGTTGATACCTGAGAGCCCATCAGGAAGTCTAGATGGTTATATTAACCGTGCCTTTTTCTTTTATGTATTTTTGAAGTTTTGACATCTTGGGGGCCTTGCTAACCTTAGAGATGTCAGAGGCTTGTAAACCAGAGCAACTCCATCTTGAGTAGGGGCTGGGTAAAATGAGGCTGAGACCTACTGGGCTGCATTCTGAAATGGTTAAGGCATTCTAAGTCATAGGATGAGATAGGAGGTCGTCACAAGATACAGGTCATAAAGACCTTGCTGATAAAACAGCTTGCAGTGAAGAAGCCGGCCAAAACCAAAATCAAGATGGCGACAAGAGTGACCTCTGGTTGCACGACCCGTATTGTTACCCTCCCACCAGTGGCATGACAATTTACAAAAGCTGGCAATGTCAGGAAGTTACCCTGTATGGTCTATAAAATGAGAGGCATGAATAAGCCACCCCTTGTTTAGCTTATCAGCAAGAAATAACCATAAAAATGGGCAACCAGTAGCCCTCGGGGCTGCTCTATCTAAGGAGCAGCCATTCTTCTATTCCTTTACTTTCTTTCTTCTCCCCCCTCCCTCAGACGGAGTCTTGTTCTGTCGCCCAGGCTGGAGTGCAATGGCGTGATCTCTGCTTACTGCAACCTGGGTTCAAGCAATTCTCCTGCCTCAGCCTCCTGAGTAGCTGGGATTACAGGCCTATGCCACCAGCCTGGCTGCTTTTTGTATTTTTAATAGAGACGGGTTTAACCATGTTGGCCAGGCTGGTCTTGAACTGACCTGGTGATCCCTCTGCCTCGGCCTCCCACAGCGCTGGGATTACAGGCATGAGCCACCGCATCTGGCCCTATTCCTTTACTTTCTCAATAAACTTGCTTTCACTTCACTCTACAGACTGGCTGTGAATTCTTTCTTGCGTGAGATTCAAGAACCCTCTCTTGGGGTCTGTATCGGGACACCTTTCCTATAACAGACACTGACACTGCCTCTCCTAGGGTGAGCCAGTTCCTAGAGATGGTAAATGACTCACCTGTGAATGCACCTTCCATAGGCCAACCAACCAATCCAGAGCCCACACCCCACACCTGAGCTCTCACACTGCAGGTCACTGTGCCCTCATCACCCAGGGCCAGGTAGTGGACTAACCCCTGGGACCCACAGCCTGCTGAAAACAATTCAAACTAGCCAACCCTATGGCAGTTTACTCTGCCTTGCATGGTCCTTCCCTCAGGAAACACAATAAAGGCTCTTGCTCACGTTTTCCTCTCGCTCCTTCCATCTCCTAACCTGGGAGCTTTCTCGTGGGATCCCACATGGCATGATGGGCCCCCAGCTCTTGGGAACTGGGAGAATAACAATCTTTTCAATGATAATCTCCTAGTCTGTTGATTTTACCATATCTGAATAATAAAGATTAAACTAAAATATACGCACACACATTAGAAACACAAGGTGTTACTACTTCCCCTGAAAATATGGTGAGACTCACTCCCCTATCCCAAAGGAAACAAAATACTTCTCACTTCTTCCTCCTGAGTTGTTTCACCTCCATCCCTCCAGGGATCCAGGGAGAGTGAGGAGGGACTTCTTGTTAGAGGGACTTCTTGTTAGAGCAAGGAAATTCTATAAGTTTTGTCCCACCCTGAGATAAAGCCTAATGGTCTACCCTCATGCATTTCTATTTTCAAATCCTCTTTTTATTTATTAAGAATAGCATTGAACTTGGAGTTGGAGGCTGACCTGCCCTGTGTCCATCTGGCTTGGTGAGCTTTTTTGAGACCCAACTCCTCAGGGTCTTATTTTATGTCACTATTATATATAAGACTTTTAGATAGAATTTCCTAATTCCTGTGATTCTATTTCTTTTGGTTTTAAAATTTTATCAGAATCTCACGCGTTAAGGGACATGATTATGTTTCCTTCGGGAACAGAAGCTAAGCAAATGCAGTATTTATTTATCTTTGCAGATAGAGAGCGGTTGACAGAGGCTCTCCAGTCTGAATTCCAGGGAATTCTTAACTCAAGTGCTTGCTCTTGTTAGTTTCTATTTGTTACTATTAAAGAGGAGATTTTCCTTAATGATTTAATGGGAAGAAATCCTCTTAGTCAACAGGTCATCTGCTTTCACTGCCCACAACCACCCTGGCCCAGAGCTGGGGGCCTCTTAGCCTGGAACTACCAAAGACAAAAGCCTGTAAACCAATTTATCTGCCTCCAACCTCTCTGGGTCACCCTGTGTGTTGGTTTCCAGCAGTTGCTGGAGCACAGTACCACAAACCTGATGGCTTAAAACCACAAACATTTCTTTGTCACAGTTCTAGGGGATGGAAGTGTGAAGTCAGTGCTGGCGGGGTCTTGCTCCCTTTGAAACCTGCAGGGGAAGGTCCTTCCTTGCCTCTTCCAGCTCCTGGTGGCTCCAGGTGTTCCTCAGCTGGCGGCTGCATAACTTCAGCCTCTGCCTTTCTCTTCCCTCGGTCATCCTCTCCCCTTGTGTCTCTGAGGTCTTTCCACGACATTCTCCTCTTCTTATAAGGACACAGTCATTTTGGATTGTGGACCCACCCTGTTCCAGTATGACCTCAGCTTAACGAATTATATCTGCAATGACCCTGTTTCCAAGTAAGCTCACATTCACACTTGTGGGGGGTGAGGACTTCAGCATATCTTTTTGAGGGACACAGTTCAATCTGTAATAGCTTGCTTATAGTAATCTTCCTGCTTACTGTTGTTTTTCTCTGTGTCATTACTATAGAGAACACAAGGAAAGGACCTCGAGGTATTTATAACAAGAACTTACAAATAGAGGGGAGGGAAGTGTCCTCTGACCACTAAACTATACCTAATGGCTTAGTGCAGAGCGGTGTGAAGTCCACCAGAGAGTTGAGGCAGATCCTAATCTAAGACTCACCCGATGCAACCTGCTGCACACGGTGTCTGTGTAAGTGCTGTGGTGGGTTAGTCAGCCGAGGAAGCTGAGAAAAGGGAGAGCAGAGAGGACAGCAAAGGGGCACATCTTTTAGGCATCTGCAGGTCCCCAGACCGGGTCCTGGGAAGCTGGGTAGCCAAATAGTGAAGGGCTGGATGATCCTGGGTTTATATCCTTACTCTCTTCATAAGTTGTATAACTTTGAACAACTTACTTAACCTCTTTAAGCCTCAAATTCCTCATGGGAATGGTTAGACCTCCCTCCCTCTCTCCCTCTCTCCCTCTCTCCCTCTCTCCCTCTCTCCCTCTCTCCCTCTCTCTATCTCTTTCTCTCTCTCTCTCTTTCTCTCTTTCTCTCTTTCTTTTTTTGAGACAGGATCTCCCTCTATTGCCCAGGCTGGAGTGTAGTGGTGCAATCTTGGCTCACTGCAACCTCTGCCTCCTGGGCTCAAGTGATCCTCCCACCTCAGCTTCTGGAGTAGCTGGATCTACAGGCACATGCCACCACACCCAACTAATTTTTATATTTTTCTGTAGAGAGGGGGTTTTGCCATGATGCCCAAGCTGGGCTCAAACTCCTGTGCTCAAGCAGTCTGCCTGCCTTGGCTTTCCAAAATGCTGGGATGACAGGTGTGAGCCACTGCCCTTGGCCTAGACCTCCCTTTGATTGGTCGTGTATATAAAGCACTTAGGAGAGTGCCTGGTACCTACTAAGTGCTGGTAGATGGTGGTCATTGTAATAATGATTTTGCAGCAAGTATGCATTAGGACTCTTGGGCATACATAAGTGGTAGAATGAGTTTATCCAAAAGGCGGAATGTAATGGAGGAGAAATACACATACATCTAGTGTATATGTTGATTACTAAACCCAGCAATAGCGTTTATGTGACCATAATCTGGACAGGGGACCAGCTAGAATCAGGGTCTCCAATGTCACCAGGACTTTGCACTTCTGTGGATTATTTGGCATCTTATTTATAAAATTTTGTTGCCTGATTGGGTAAAACTAGGTACTTTCCAAATCTTGAGAAAGATCAAAGAGTTTTATCCTTTTCTCTGCAAGTAACTACCTATTCCTTCAGCAAAAGGAGAGAGGAGAAAATGAATATTACTGTCATCACTAAAATGGCTACAGTAACAAGAAGTTTAATGATTGAGAAGAAGTTAAAGTAAAACAGTCTCATGAAGTGCCTCTTTTCTCAGCATCACACAACAAAAGTTTCTTTACTTAGATATTTGATTCTTATTTACTATTTGCCTTGTTTTGCTCTCTGTGGCCAATTTGTCACTAGATTCTGAAGCTCTCAGTCATGTCTCTTTTGCTATTCTCATGGGTCCTGAAAATGGAACCCAGTGTTTTTTTCCCTTTGTTTCTTTGACCACACCGGGTTTTGTTTTGGATTATTTAACTGGGATATGTGGTAGAACGTTTCCACTGGAAAGATGAGAAAAGATAAACTACACCAAGACTTCTCTGTTTTCAATTTTGCTGTGACTTATTTCATCTTTGCTCAATATCATTTCTTGCTCTTGGTGAGAAGTGGAGCTCATAATAAATATAGTCTTGTGGGAAAATGATATAACATTATGAAGCCCAAACCAGGGGACACAGTCATCGTGCAAGTCACTGTATGAAAAGCATTCTTAGCTTTGGTTTTCATTCCCTTTAGGCAGTTTCTGGAGGAGATAGGCTATTCTATTCTAAAATTATGTGCCTAATACTGTCATTTTATTTCTTGAGAAGATTTTTGTGTATATTAGTATAATATGTAAAAATACAATATAATAAACACAAACATAATGTATAAATGTAATATGCATGAATGCAGACATGAATGCAAGTTTAGTAACTCACACTTTAATAGGAAGACCTAGGACCCTAAAGAAATGATAGCTTTTGTCAACATCATTGTTCCCCCAGCTGCTTTGGGGCTTTGTCATATTTTTATACAAAGCCCTATTGTGCCTACTGCCCTTCTGACCGTTCAAGGTTCATTGTTACCCTGACAGGAGCTGTGGAGGGGATGGGGCGCATTCATTCCTTTCTTTGTTTGGACCAGACTCTGTCCAATTGTGAGTGGAGACTGAATGGCTTAGGTGCAATTAGTTGGCTTCTGTGTTTGCAGACCAAGAAAACGCTAAGCTTTTAGCTCTGATGGTACCCAAAGAAAATCCTGTTGTTGGTACCAGTTTCTAGTAGCCTCACTTCCTTCTGGGGTTGAGTTATCTTAATTCATGTGGGATATAATAAGATGTCTTTGCATAGATTTTGATAGTGCTTGGAGCTGCAGCACTTAGACACCACCGGCTGTCGATGGTGTCAAATAAAAAAACAAATCCATATTTCAAAAGGATTACTGCAAAGTGGGAAGAAGAAAGGATAATTGCAATCGGGAGAAAGCTATGACCATAAGGTTGGCAGGCAGCTCAAGAGAGAGGCAGAATGGGATTTCTTTTACAGAGAGGAATAAACAAGGCTGGAAGGAACTGGGTATGGGAAGTGGTAGGCTAGTGGATGAGAGAACGTCCTACTCTGAGGTCAGCCTGTTCTTAGGGGTGGCTCTGTGCTGCTCAGGCTGAGGGTGGGTCAAAGTTCCTGTGGAAGGCGAGCAGCTTGACCCAAGCTTGGTTAAAAAGCATTTTGTTCCGCTTGATTCATGAGGACAAGCAGTTCAGCTGATCTTTTGTGAGGCCAAGAATGGGACCTGGTGTGTCTGTGTCATCTCATCCTAGGTAAAACAAAGGGAACACTCATGAGTCTTCTTTAAGTCCTGTGGGGATAGGGAGTTCTTTGCAGGCAGCTGTTTTCTGGAACACAAGAAAGTAAGGGGATTTCTTAACCGTCCCTGTTTTGCAGGATCAGTGGGCTCAGGTAAAATTCAACGTTGTCAATGGTTATGCTTAGAAGTTGTCAAACTAAATAACAGAGCGTGATTCTCCAAAAGAAAAGATGTTTATTTGGGAAGAGAGCATTGCAACGGGAATATGAATGCCGTAATATACTATGTATGTATTCAGGGAGGTAGAAGAAGAAAAAGGCTTTGAAAGGAAAAAATGAAGAGGATTACATCATTGTTTTGAAATAATTATTCTTGGCTACAAGGATCAACAGGGGTGATGCCAGTGTGGGGTTAGACAGGCAGCTACTGGGCAGATGTCTTTCCAGTAGTATTTTTGTGAGTATGGTTGTGATGGTCTTTGTGCAAGGTTGTGGCTTTTGTAGTCTTTTTTTTAAATTTCAACTTTAAAATTTTAGATTCAGGGGGTAAACACACCGGTGTGTTTCATGGGTATATTGTGTGATGCTGAGGTTTGGAGTGTGACTGATCCTGTCATCCAGGTAGTAAGCATAATACCCAGGTCTTTTTCATTATCAGGACTGCTAGCAGGAGAACCCTTTCTTCATGGCCTTGCCTGGCTCTATTTGTCAGGATTTATTTTAGCATTAGTGGCTCCATTTTGATTCAGACACCTTTCACAAAGTGAACGGGTGTCTTTATACATGGCAGGGTGCCAAGTCATGCTCCAGCTTCCCTGGGAGAAGGTGGGTTCCCATCAGCAGTGGCAGACTGATGACACATAGCACAGAGACACCGAGAGAGAATCTCTTTCCAAAGGAGGAACCAGTTTATTTAGGGAGAAAAATTGCTTTGGAAAGAGAAAAACTCTCTCGCCTGAAACCCAAGAAAGGAACATACCAAAACCTTCTGTTGTTTGCTAAATAAGAGCAAAGTTGTGTATAATAAGGCAATTTTAACAGGGAATTATCAGCAGGACATAAATGGACGGTGGGTGGGGTTTCTAATGGGTATCATGGAAGACAGATTTTCTTTGCATTAAAATTTGGTCTTGTTTTGTATTGTTTAATTATGATCATTTCAGATCCACAGTCACTTGAGTTCTTGTAAATAAATCCAGGCTCTTTTGTGTATACTCTAACAGTGGTGGTTCGTTGCTCTATCCTGCCCTGCCGTGGCTTTGTTATATCACAAAATCCAGCAAGAATTTATCTTGCTGCTAATAAAATCAGAAGATGGCCCAGAAGAAGAAGACAAGGATTTTGTCTTCTTTGAGGTTGCCCCATCTCTAACCAGTGACAGAAATGGCAGACCCAATTTAGGTCACCTTCTACCATGTCTCTTAGGATTTGTGCCTGCAGCATCATAAACAAAAGTGGCACATGGAAATGACAAAGACAGCCTGACACAGTCCTTTTGATATACGTGTATTGTTTGTGCTCTATGTTCATGCAATTACGTAAGATATTTATTTCATAAGGAGGACTTTTGAGACTCTAGTGTAGATGTTGATTACTAAGCCTTGACTATCTGTACTTGAAAATAAACTTAATATAAATTTTAATCTATCTTTTATGTTTACATGCATCATAGAGTGATTTTTACATGCAAGATTTTGGTAAAATTGGATGGGATCTTTATTCTGGAGTCTCTGTGTGGCTATAAAAGACATTTTCTCTTTTCCTTTTTTTTTTTTTTTGCCTGGTATGTTGAATCTTTCATATCCCTTAGCTTCAGTATACATGAATTGATGATTGAATAAATTAAGGATAAGCACACTGTTCTGTTCTTCTAAAACCTTTATTTATTGCTGTGATTTATCTGACAATTTACATAAAGTGCTAGTTAGTACAGCTGAAATTATTAATTCTTCAGAGAATGAGATGTTCAACTGTTTCCACAGCTCCAGGCAAATTTTCCACATTGATATGCAGGAATTACACAGACCACAACTCGTTTTTTGAATTAAAATGCATCATTGATGCTAATTTTAAGGAAGTCTGTATATTGTACTCCTATTTAACCAAACATCACATTTCCTCATTAAAATATCAGCATCCATAATGAAGCACTTTGCATTATAATTTAAAATGTCCCACTATGTTGAATGCACATTTGAACATTTAAATGTAATTCTGCTAATGTACTGATTAATTTATGTTATTCTCTTCCACTCACGTGGCAGATTTTAATTGCAATTAGTTAGCTGCTGTCGGGTCTCGGCATGCTGAAGGCTGGGGGAAGTCCTGATCGGGGTAGAACAATTACCAGGACTTTTGAGCAGGGCTGGTATTAGAGGGAGCGAGCGAGAGCACCCATCAAAGTTGTGAATCTTAATTCTCCTGGTAATAGCTATGCTTGGGGGGCCAGCATTTGCTCTGAGGAAAAAGCCAAATAAATGGGAATTATCCGAGCACTATAATACAATTAAGCTGTCACAACAACTTTGGGGACTGATCTTTTGTACTCTTTCCACGTTCATCCCGGCGGCTTGGGGGCTGATGTAGCCGGGAACGTGCTCTCTCCGGCATCCTGGGCTTTTGATGTGTGTGATGTACAGCTGTAACAAGGCATGGGGTACAACACCCGCCTTTCACTCAATGTTGTTGAGCTACAGATTCATGTAATTAATTTTAAAAAGCCATTACTTTGATCTTCATAAATATGCCCAGGATTCAAATGGAAAACCTCAAGGGGAATTTTCTCAGGAGGATGATATGGCCAAAATGCAATTTCATTAGGGTCTACTACTTGTCCCTAAATGAGGCTGCCCCCACCGGCCCCAGCTTTTATTTCAGTGGCTGCTATTACCAGCTGCACTGCTATATTATGCAGAAAATCTGCTTGCTTACTCTGCAAACAAACTGCCTTGGTTCAATGAGCTATTCGTAATGTTATGCTAAGCTTTGTGATATATTGCTATAATTTGGTGTAAAGCACTTTTAGTTCTTACACTGGTTTTATTATGTTAAGTATAGGGCACTGGTGTTTAGAAATGAGATGAAAACATAATCCTTGAGGTATTCACTATTAGTGAGGCACAGAGGAGGGGGCTCTGGGCCCCTTGAACTTGGGTTCTAGTCCTACTTCTATCACTTCATGGTCTCTGTGAACCGCTGTGCTCTTAGCTCTCAGATGAGGATAGAATGAACAATTCCTAGCTCAGGTTTATTTTGTGGGTCACATTACAAACATGGGGAAAAGAGGTCTGTAAAATTAGAGCAGAATGTGCACCTAAGGCTTGATGTTATAGTAGCACCTTACTTTTGTTTTTTATTGGCATGACTTAAAATTCTGACAAAAATACTGTTGAGAGAGATGGAGCTCCAAACTGCCAGCCTCCTTCTTAAGTAAGTAATTTCTAAAAATCCTGGTAAGTAGTAGAATTGAGCAGTGACAGTATTAACTGTGGTTAAATTGTAGAATTTTTGGAAGAGATTATGAAAGCTGACTCTACCCTCATTCAATAAAATGCATCAACATTGCAGATGATCCCCAAATTTCAGTGGCTTAACACAGCAGAAGTATACTTCTAGCTCATGCTGCATGTTCCAGGGTCCACAGGGACCCAGGTGAATGGAGACCTAATTTTTTTTTTTTAAATTGTAGTAACACATGTGTGTTTCTGAGGCCTCCAAGATGGGGGAAAAAAGGGATTCCAGGGGGCTGGGAGATGTCCCCAAACACCAGTGGGGCCTCAACCCCAGTCGGTGTCCAGGCTCTTGACAGCATCTTGAGAAGGAATTCAAGGATGAATTGTAAAGTAGTGAAAGTATGGAGATTTATTGCAATGTGAAAGGTATACACTCAAGAAAGGGGAGTGCAGGAGTATTCAAGAGAAAGCCATGCTCAAGGGGGTTTGGGGCTGCTGCCTTTATGTGTTTGTTTAAACAAAGGAATATTCAGGACAATTCCTGGAAAAAGGTGGAGACTTCTTGGAACTGTGGTGCCACCCATTTTTACACCAAATACTGGTTTTCCCGGAATGGTCACAGCACTGGCTGTGTTTAATATATTAATATATTTAGCATATTAATGAGTGTATCACAAACTCCTAGGAGAAACCTAGGTCAAATCCAGTGCCATGTTGGGTCTAGTTGGTCTTAGTCTTAGCTTGGCCCACACCCTGGTTGTGCAGAGTCTTACAGCCTCAAGCTTCTGCAGCTACTTCAACAGTTTTCCTTTTGCTAATCAGGTTAAACTGCTGCTGGCAATTTTCTATTCTCCTGCAACCACCCTGAATGACCCCTGTCTCAGGGGGACACAGGCACAGGCCCTTACATGCTTACTCCTGGAAAGGATGCAAGAAACCTATGCTCACTTCTCATAGCCCAAGGGACATGCAAGGTATGTAACATGTTGGCAGACCCATCATCCTCTCATGTGCCACCTGCTCTGAGTTGCTGACAGAGCCTGAGGTTAGTTGCTGGAATCCCAGTCTCCTGTATTTGGATGGTGGGGTGACAGAGGAGGGGTCTTGAGGGGACAGCCTCTTCCCTTAGAGGCATTTCCTAGTGGTCTGATGCATTGGCCGAATTTCCTAGGAAGTCCCACAGACAGAATCAAGTGATGCTCCTAGAGCTTTGCAGATATCATCCATAGTCCCTGCCCTGAGATGGCTTATAGTGTATCCTAGTAGACTTCTGAAGAAGCCTGACTCTGACGTGCAGGACAACTAACAGCATAGCATCCTTAGCTCCTCCAGACTGTGTTAATTTCTTATGGCTGCTGGGAAAATTACCAAAAATGTGGTGGCTTAAACAATACAAATGTATTATCTTGTAGTTCTGCAGGTCGGCAGTCAGACATGGCTTAGAATTAGTGATGGCAGCCTCCTTGCTGTGGAGGCTCTAGGGAATCTGCTGTCTTTCCTTTTCCAGAGTCCAGAGACTCCCTGCCTTCCTTTGCTCGTGGCTGCCTCTTCCATCTTCAAAGCCAGCAGCGTGGTCTCCATCATCTCTCACTTACATTTTTTTTTCTTTTTTCATTTTTTATATCTTTCTCTCTAATTCTCTTCTTTTTCCTCCTTCTACTTTTTTGTTTGTTTTGTTTTGAGACAGGGCCTCACTGTTGCCCAGACTGGAGTTCGGTGGTGCAGTCCTAACTCACTGCAGCCTCGACCCCCCTGGGCTCAAGGGATCCTCCTGCCTCAGCCTCCTGAGTAGCTGGGCCTTTTTTTTTTTTTTTTTTTTTTTTTTTTTTTTTTTTTTTGAGGCAGAGTCATGCTCTGTTGCCCAGGTTTCAGTGCAGTGGCATGATCTTGGCACACTGCAACCTCCGCCTCCCGGGTTCAAGCAATTCTTCTGCCTTAGCCTCCTGAGTAGCTGGGACTACATGTATGCACCACCACACCTGCTAATTTTTGTATTTTTAGTAGATGTGGTTTCACCATGTTGGCTGGGCTAGTCTTGAACTCCTGGGCCCAAGTGATCTGACAGCCTTGGCCTCCCAAAATGCTAGGATTACAGGCATGAGCCATGGTGCCTGGCCTCCTCCTTCTACTTTTAAGAACTCCTGTGATCCTCTTGGGCCTACCCAGATAATCCAGGCTCCTCCAGATCTGTCACAAGGTCCACAATGTGGACCACATCTGCCAAGTTATTTTTGCCATACAACCGAACATATCCGCAGGTTCTGGGGATTAGGATGTGGGGTCCTTGGAGGCCATCACTCTGCCCACCATGCAGACAGACAGTAGTGAGGACACCTGCTCTGTGCCAGAGGCTGCACCCCACTCTCTGCATGCATCCCCTCACTTAGCTTGCACAGCAGCCCTGTTAGTGAGGCCTTGTGGTGTCCTTGTTGAGTAGAGGAGGAAATCGAGGCTGAGAAAATGACCACTAAGAAGCTAAGGCAGGCTTTGAATCCGCCTTTCATGGTGGAAAGAACACAGTTTTGGAGCAGGACAGGCGGTGTGGTGAATTCAGCTCCACATCCTGATTAGCTGTGTAATGCCTGGCACTTCTGTGGTTCAATCTCCTTGTACACATACCACGTCCGTCATATGGCATGGGGCATGTGGCCCTCATGAAGAGAGCTGTGCTGTTGGAACAAAGGTGAGACACATTCTCAGTGAAAAAAACCAAATGGAAAAAAAAAAAAACATCCCAAATTCCCCTAGCACCTTGGATGTCATGGTGGAAGGAACATAGGATTTGGAACAAGACTAATTTGGGTTTGAATCCTGACTCTTACTATGTAGCAGGCTCACTTTGCCAGACTGATACGTTTTCATTTGCTAATATATGTGTATATGTTTAAAGGTTTCATTTCTTCTGTTCATTCATTAAACACGTATTCAGCTGCAAGCTGGGACCTGTCAGATGAGAAGACAGGGCATGGTTTTTGTCTTCATTGTGTAGAAGAGTGGAATCCTTTATTTCCTGCCAAGTCTCTGCTCCCTTACTTTTAAAGCTTGCCTCTCTGAACTAGAAAAGGCTGCATCCCAGTTAACTTAATTTTTTTCTCTGCTACACTCCTCAGGAAGTTTCCCTGCTGCTTCTCACGCATACTCCCTTTATTCTCATTTGCAAGATCATTACTCTCCCCCTGCTCCTGGCATCTGGCCTATTTTACTATACCCTGGCCAGTCTACCTCCTAAATGTCTCTCCTCCCCTCCTTTCCATCCTCACTGTCTTAGGTCATTGTCATTTCCTAACTAGGCATGGATCCTCTTAACAGAGTTTCCTGCTTCCAGTCTCCTCCCCTGTGGTCCCTGGCCCACACTATATTTGAGGACCCCTGGGCTCTCTTAATAACATGACATCCCAGTCTACCTAAAAGATGGTGGAGAAGATGCTTTGGGGCTGGGAGGGTCAGCTGGACCACATGTTCCCTGCTCCCGTCCTTGAGATCGAACCTGTCTTTGGGGATGCCATTACTCATGGCTGCTACCTCTGCCGACGTTTATAGCTCTATTTTCCTATGGCACTTCAGGACATAGACCCTTTTCTTTAATTTCCTTCCTCACAGCTGACACCAGATCTGGCACGTAAGCACTTAAAAAAGCCTCTTTCTCTCCGTGGAAAAACAGCGAATGACAATACAAGGAGCTGTTTTGTACTTGTTACCAGAGATGCTCAGAGATGCTGGGGGAAGTGGGGGGTCTTGCTACCTGTTTATGCTCCCTGCTCAGCTTCTTCTCTGCTGTACCATGGCAGAGACCATGTGTCCTCTTCATGCAGGGAGCTCCTTTAGGCATTTGTAGAGATCTCCCTGCCCTTTGGTATCACAAAAAACCTCTAAGCCCTCTATTTCTGTCCTAGAATCTCCAATTTTCCCAAGGGGGCTGATAGTCGTACTCTATTTTCTTCAGGGGCATCCACACTCCTTACCTAGAAGGGTGTGGCCTAGCCCTGTGGTCTCCATGCACATCCAAAAGCCACACTTGAAAATGATAGTCCAGCCTCTTTATGACAGCAACGTGAACAGTAGTTGGGGTGTAGTTTCCTCACCTGTCACTAAAATGCAAATCTAACCAAGTAATTAGTGTTTATGATCCATCAATACCTCTCCATTGCCTTCTGAAAAAAGTCTGAGCTCCTGGCTCAGGCCTTTCCTATCTTTCTAAGAGGCTTCTGACACTGCCTGTTCTCTAGCTGTATTGAAATGCCTGAGGCATTCCGCTCTCTTGTGCCTGTGTGCCTTGCTTCTGCTGTTCTGTCTGCCCAGAATTATTCCCACCTGGCAAATTCTAATTTTTTATTTTAAGAATTATTTTTAGAGACAGGGTATCACCCTGTCACCCAGGCTGGAGTATGCCTTGGCCTCCTGTGTAGCTGGGACTACAGGTGTATGCCATCATGCTTGGCTAATTATTTATTTATTTATATACATATATACATATATATACATATATACATATATACATATACATATATAATATATACATGTATATTATATATATAAAATATACACACACACACACACACACACACACATATATATATATATATATATATATATATAGAGAGAGAGAGAGAGAGAGAGAGAGAGAGAGAGAGAGAGAGAGAGAGAGAGAGAGTAGAGGCAGGGTCTGGCTATGTTGCCCACATGGGTCTCAAACTTCTGGCCTCAAGTGATCCTCCCACCTTAGCCTCTCAAAGTTTTGGGATTATAGGCATGAGCCACTGCATTTAACCCAAACTTCTATTTAATCTTCAACACAGCACAGGCATCCCCTCCCTTTTCTGTGAATCTGTCCCTGAAATTCCGCCCCCGACCTGCCCCCAACTCTTCATAGCGATAAGGATGTGATGGTGAATTCACCACACCACGTGTCCTGCTCCAAAACTGTGTTCTCTCTGCTCTTAATACATATACACATATCTAGGGGTGGGTGGTAGGGCGGGCAGAAAAGTGTTTCCTCTACTCAGACTCAGTAACTGGGGACTGTGAATTAACTGACAAAAGACACGTTAACGGGAGAAAAGGTATGTTTCTTTATGATGTTAATATTTTTTGTGCACAGGAGCTTCACAAGACAGAGAAAACCCCAAGAAGTAGTTAGATTGGAAGCTTATATACCATTTTAACAAAGGGTAATACATTGTGGAGAAGTGACTAGACAAAGAAAAGGGAGGTTTAGGCTTCTGGGGTGGTGGTAAATTGTGGGAAGGTGAATGTGTGTGTGGAAACTCATGGAAGATAAGGGTTATTTTAGCAAGGTTTCTCTCTGCAGACTCATCTTGGTGACCTTTCATCTTCTTCATGGCTATAAAACTGCTGGAGAGAAGATTTATGGCAGTCTTCATTTCTCAGAAGTTTCTGCTTTTAGTCAGATAAGAAAATCTCTGAAAAGTCTTCTTTCTGTATCTGTTGATTCTCAGTTGCCTTCAGCTCATAATAATACATATGCCAAAGTGGCATATCTTGGGGTTGTATATTCTGATCCACTTCAGCTCTTTATTATGGCCTATGTCACATTGTTTTGATAGTCTGCTTATCTGTTTCCTCCTGTGTCTGTGAGCTTATCCAGGACAGAGATATGAATTATTTGTCTTTGCATCCATATACTGATGCTTGGGTTCCACACCCACAGATTCCGATATAATTGATCTTGGATGCTGCCTGGACACTGGGATATTTAAAAGCTCCTCAAGTGATTCTAATCTGCAGGCAGGGATGAGAACAAACTGCCTATGACCAACGTTTTAGATCCTAGCATTCTCCCAGCATTCTCCAAAGCTCTTGGGGAACTTCCTCTCAAAGCATGTCAGTGATGGAGGGGAGAATACTGAAACTAACCTCTGGCTTGAGCAGTAAGCTAGCAGGAGGAAAGGGTTATCTTGGGAGCAGATGCCAACAACAGCATCTTGATCTGGAAGTTGGTACTAAACTGAGATGTGGCACCAACTCATGGAGATGAGATAGTGTTTATTGGGAAAAATCCACTGAGTTAGGGTGGTACAGAGGCAGACATCAGAGTCCACAGGAGGACCCTAACCTTGGGCTGTGGGGCTTTTAGATCGCATTGGTTGGGAAGAGATACAACAGCAATATGATATGGCAGAACTTTGGCTCCAGCGCTGGTCTGCCAACTCAGTGTTCATGGATGAGGAAGTGCAGCGTATCCCCAGGCATGGCCAGAGGGCTGTAGGCCAACCTTTGAGGTTGAATAGGATTGATTGTCTTAAGCACTGAGCTGTGGCTGGTTTCCATGGAGCTTTGCAAGAGGCCAAGTTCTTTTCTGGGAGGCCAAACTTCAGGGTGTCTATCTTAGAAAGTTAACCCTTACCCCACTCACAGAGGATGAACTCACAGACATGAGCCAGCAACAGGAGACAGGATGATCCAAAACAATTCAGAAAAGAACAAAAGAGAACTTCTGAAAATAAAAACTATAATTGTTGAAAAAAATCCTTAGTGGGATAATGAGACAGTGAATTAGACACATCTAAAAAGAGAATTACAAGAAGATATATTTGAAGAAACTATCTAGAGCAGATGCAGAGAAGAGAGATGGAGAATGTAAAATAAAATTTAGGAGGGAGCACAGAATGAAAAGGTATACCAAAAATCTAAGAGTTTCTAGAAAGAGAGAATAGGGTGAATCAAGCCAGACAACATTTGAAGAGATCACTGCTGGGAAATTGCAAGACTGTTGAAAAAGATGAATATATTGATCCCATACCAAGACAAGGCATAGTGAAATTTTACAGTACTGAAGCCAAAGAGAAGACTTTTAAGTTGTCAGAGAAAATGATTACCTATGAAGAATGTCAGTTAGTGAGTGGACTTCTCAATAGTCACATGGAAGACAGAAAATAGTGGAATAATATATTCATGAGAGAAAAGAAATGTTATCTTAGAATTCTATATCTAGAAAAATTATCTTTTAAAACTGAGAGAGAAATAGAGACCTTTTGTTCTTAGATAAAGGTGTGCAGGATTTACCTCTTCCAAATAGCATAAAACAACCCTTTGAAGGGTGTATTTCAGAAAGAAAAAAAAATGATCACAGAAGGAAAGTCTCAGAGGCAAAAAGGAATGCAGAGCCAATAAAATAGCAAATACATACATTGAAGCAAAGAGTTTGTAAATTAGAGAATAATGATTCATTTTCGTCTTTTAAAAAAGTCCCAGAATGGAAGCACTTGTCAAGTGTGTTTGTCAGTTGTATCAGGGAAAGAATAGTGGTTATATAAAAATTTCTCTGAAGTCCTTGTCTCCTTGGAAAAGAGGTTAAGATATAATCTATTACTAAACTTTAAGTTAAAGATGCATAGCACAATTTCAAAGGCAGTAAAATATCAGATTTAGGGTGCTTTAATTTCCAAGCCAGTAAAGGGAATAAATGGAAAATATGATAAAACAAATAAAAATTTTCAGTCCATCCCAAAAGACCAAGAAAAAAGAAAAAAGAGGCATTAAAATTTAAGAAGGGGAAATAAAAGGGGCATAGAAAAGGAGAGACAAATACAAATTTAAGAATAAGATAATAGAAACAAATTTCAGTATATTATTTATCTCAAAAATAGTAAATAAGCTGAATTTACATACCTTAAAAGAGATTGTCAGAAAAACAGATTTTGGGGAAAAACACAAAGAGATCTAGTGAAATGACATTTCTAAGAAATATTTCTTATAAGAACAGAAATGTTGAAAGAGGATGGAAAAATATATACCTGTCAAATACAATTAAAAAGAAAGTTGTGACAGTCATATTACTATCAAACAAAAGTAGACATTAAGGCAAGAAGCATTATTGAGGAATGAGAGGATCGCTTTTTAATAATAAAGATTCAATTTACTGGGAAGATTTAATATTTCAAATGTGTATGCACCTAATAAAATATCTTCAAAATATATAAAGCAAAAATTGTTAGATCTAAATTGAAGAACTATCTGACAAACCCACCACCAGTGTGGGAGATTCCAACACATCTCTGTCAGTTATTGATATGTCAAACAGACTGAAAAATGGTAAAGAAAATTTGCATAACACAATTACCATGCTTGATTTATTGAACATATGTAAAATTCTGCCCCAATATGCATTCTTCACAGGCACACATGGAATGTTTACTGAAATTGACCATATAGTAGGCCATAGGCAGCTATCAATTACTTTCAAAGAACTGGTAATATTCAGACCACATTCTCTTGCCACAATGCAATTAGGTTAGAAATCAATAGCAAGAAGATTAAATTGAAAAATTCCCTATATATTTAGAAATTAAACCACATGTCTAAATAGCCCAATGGATCAAAGATGAAATCATAATGCAAATGAAAAAGATGATCCATAGTTGGAAATCATCCAATCCAGTGTTGTATGCCCTTGACCCAGAGGGCCAGGTGGGAGGGGCCATGGTGAGGGCCTGACAAGGGCTCTGGGAAGATTCTTAGAAAGATTGATCCTCAAGCAATTAAGGCAAAAGCATCCAAATCCCTGACCTGTGGAGATTTCATTTTTCTTTATTGATCTGTCAAATGGTCTAAATTCTCTCACTCAGGTTGCTTCTTCTATAATTAAGGATAAAAATATTCCTGTGTTGCATTGCAGAGTGTCAGGAAAATAGTCACTTGAGCAGACCTTGCAAATGTTGGCTGGACGCCCTCACCTGCCTTTAGGGATGCCTCCGGGGGTATATAATTCCTAAGTAGACACCCATGGTTTCGTATATGGCTACTAACATGTAGGCAGGGCCTCTGGATACCCCAGGGGAAGACCTTTGATGCCTGAAGGCAGCTGGCTGCAGTTTAATCGCCAGGTAGTTCATCTCAGCCATACACTGAACTGTGGGCTTACACCCGGGATGCCTTTGAATTGGAGAGCTACAGGAAGTGACTGTGCCCTGGGCTTCTCTTATTCCCTTTCCAAGCTTCCATTCATCCACTTTCAACCCACATTCATATTCCTGCCTTAACGGCAAGTTGCAAGGAATGAGAGGCATATCTGTGCCAAGCACTGTGCAAACCTGCAAGTCCAGTGTGCACCTGTCATTTTTCACCCTCACTTTTTAGCATATCAACCTGGAGAAACTCGATGCGGCTTTCTGCATTCTAAGGCCCATAGTGCCAAGGTAGGACCCATCACTCCAAATTATTTTTTAACTTATTAAAATTAGAACCTAAGTCTAGATGATAATCTAATTCCTTCCTCCTAATTAATATCATTAATTGAACTGATTAATCCTAAATGATTAATCCTGACATGATAATGGAAACAAAGTCAAACCTCCTATTTCCTAAATACAAATGACTAAATGTAGCACAATGCTGTGTGAGCCAAAATTCGGATTATTTCAGTCTCTTCTGGAGGATGTCTCAATACAAACTCCTTAAACTTAGAGTTGGACCAGCTCATGTTGTCACAAATAAAAAGCACTGCCTGGCTTTCTCATTTGAAGTTTGAAGTACAACTTAATTTCCAAGAAACTTAGATAGCATCACGTGCCTCTGACAAGCAGTTACTAGCCGGTATTTACTCCTCAATACGGAATAAATTTAACAGCAAACGAATTACATCTAAAACCAAATCTTGTAACTGAATTAAGGTAAATATGCTCTTTCTATACAACTAACATAAAGTTTAAATAGGCAGAGAAAAGAGGCATCTTTACTTCTTAAAAGGCAATTTTCAAAAATGAATTGAAGAGTAATACATCTGAATAATAATGTCAACAAAAAGAACAACTATCCCAGCACTTTGGGAGGCCAAGGCTGGTGGATCAAATGAGCCAGGAGTTTGAGACCAGCCTGGCCACAAAGGTAAAACCCCGTCTCTACTAAAAATACAAAAATTAGCTGAATGTGGTGGCTCATGCCTGTAATCTCAGCTACATGGAAGGCTGAGGCATGATAATAACTTGAACCTGGGAGGAGGAGGTTGTAGTGAGCCAAGATCACGCCACTGCACTCCAGCCTGAGCGACAGAGCAAGACTCTGTCTCAAAAAAAAAAAAAACACAAAAAACACAAAAAACAGCTATAGCACCCTCCATGAGCAAATGGAAACATAACGTTGCTGTGTCTCATCCAAGCAATATCTAGGTTCTAGAATAGGGAGGAGGAAGAACAGAGATACATTACTTGAGGCAAGAAAATTATCCAAATGGTGTCTCTTCCTTCCTACCCAGACAAAACTGGTATTATTTCCCTATCTATTTTTCCACTTGCTCCCGGCCAATACTATAATTAAAAGACCTCCCTCCAAGGATTTCAAAGTACTTTAGAGACATGGTCTAATTAATCCTCAGTACATCCTGGTAATGTCCGCAAGCTCCAGGCCCTGCCTCTGCCCATCAGAACCCATTGAGGTGCATGCGGCCACACTTCTTGAGTGGCTTATGGGAAGTGACAGCAGCTGTCTTACCCAGCCTCTCTTTCCAGAAGCCGTGAAAATAGCCTCTCTTTCCAGAAGCTGTGAAAATGGCCTCTCTTGGGTGCCAGGGTCAGTGTTTGCCAGCTGAAGGGCCAAAAAGCCATCAATCAGCTCTGATATGCATAATCTGCATATTCATTCTTCTGAATATTCATTCTTCCGCATAATGCTCTGTTGCCTTAATTAGGGCTGCAGCCTGCGGATAGGTAGAGGCATGTTTTGGAGTCTTTCAGCCAATTTATCTTTTTAAATGAATCTTTTTTGGCCTTAGATGTTGGTCTGTTCCTATGATCACTTAGTTGCCCTTCTTGGCCTCTTCTCTGGGTTTATTTTTTGTGAGGTGGTACACAGCCTTTCTGCACTGGCTGTATTGTTGATTACACTCCCTTTTCCAGAGTTCCATTTTCTATGCAACCCTCATCCAGAAAGCGTAAAATGTCTCTTTTAGTCATTTCAACCCCAACAACACGTCGAGTTAATGGCTTTCAGCAGCACTGTTTACTACAACTCTAGATTTGCTTTCTATATAGAAAAGCTGGAGCTCACCCTAGAACCCCCAGAGTGCTGTCTGCTTGTAATTTCTCCTAAATACTCTTTATTTTCCCATCTGCCACTTTTTCCTCCCCCATATGATTGTGTGAGGTTTGTGAAGGTGATAAAACACTGGGACATTCCTGAAGCATTGCAGAGCCAGGGCTTCTCAAAACCCTAAAGAATGTTTTAAAATGTATTATTTATTATACCATCTGAGAGTCACATAGCACTTTGATATACTCAATATGATCTTAAAATAATGTTGTGAAGAAGGAAGCTCAGAATGCTTCAATATTGTTTCAAGATCACAGAGGACAAATGCAGATTTTCTTTGTACGTTATCAATTTTCTTTTCACTCTTTTTTGTCAATATCCATTCTCTTTCCATCACCACTTGTGATTCATTTGACGATTATTTACTGTATGTCTTTTTTTTTGGTGTCAGACACTGTGCCAGGGCCTAGTATTTGCACAAAAATATATATTTTTGGCCCCCGCCACAGAAAATATTTTTGTATGGGAAAGGGTCATCATGCAAAGGGTTAATGCAATACTGTGTGATGGAGACCTGAATTAGATGTTATGTACAGGTTGAGGGAATTCTTGGATTGGAAATAGAATGATAAGGAGAGAAAGAAAGAGTGTATGCAAACACGTAGAAATATGAATGCAGATGCAGAGTCTGAGGAATTCTAAGTTGTTCAGTTTTCCAGGGCTGGATTGGAAAGCAGCAGAGACAAAGGTGGGGAGACCACTGGGGCTGACATCCTAGAAAGCCTTGTGCATCATCCCAGGGAGTTTGGACTTTGGTCCTCAAGGCAGCAGGATGTCATTGAAATCCTGTATACAGCAAAGTCACATGATCAGATCCGTTGATTTTATCAAGCTCCCTCTGGGTCTTCTTTGAACCTCTCAAATTGGCACAGATGAAGGAAGACGAATATGCTTCATGTTGGGAAAGAGTGCACCGATGTGGAAATTCTCACAGAATGGTAGCAGAAAAATAAAGTGAAAAATGCTTGCTGGAAAGAAATTTGGCAATGTGTGTTAAGAGACTTGAAAGGGTTTATTCTTTTAACTCAATAGTTCTGTTGCTGCAGATATATTTTAGGAAAACGATCTTAAATAAAAAGAATATTCCAGGGCAAAGTTATTGTTTGGGCAACTACTTTTTATTAATAAGCCACTAGAAACAATCTAAAATGTCCAACAATGAAGTAATAGTTAAGAATACAATGCACTCATAAGTTTATAATGAAGCTGGTGAAAAGTTTTAAATACAGTAATGTCCAGCAATTGCACAATGTTTTTGCTACCCAAGATCCATTTACACTTATCCTGGTGAAAGAGCTGTGCTTTCTGTCTGGATCCAGGATTGGAACATGATGTCCTGGTTAAGCCATCTACCCTGCTCTCAGGGACTGGTTCAGGGGGGATCGTGCAACCTGAGCCAATTTAATCATAATGAATCTCAATAATTATTCTGGAAAGGCTGGGACAAGGATGCACCCATTTTCCTGCTGGATGTGGACAAGTTCGTGGTAATTTGTGATATTGACAACAGAAACCTCATATAAATAGAAATGTTAAAGTGGTATTTAACCAGACCCTGGGAAGAGCAACACTTGATTATTGCCAAAGAACATTTTGGGAAATGTGAAGAGACAGCTGCCCCCTTCACATTATTTATCTTTGGAAGGAATGTCAACTCAGCACCTGATTTATGAATTGAATGAGTAAGTAGAAAAAAGATTATTTATTTTGGAAAATCCTCTTCCTATCCCGAATAATACCTGTGCTATGTAATGTACAACAATGAGATGCTGGAGCAAAATATTAAGAAAGTCCCCAAAGATTCAGAGTTAATCCTCCTGCCACACTCCAGAGTAATCTTTGTTAACTGAAATGGAAAAAGTCATTTTCCCTCTAGACTTGCTGAACTTCTGTGATCAAAGCTCCAGGATTGTAGAATATGAAATTTAGGCAGCAAAAAGCGACTCAGAGTATGAATTTGCTGATTTGACTCATGTGACTTCAAGCCAAGTCTCTTAAAGTTACTTCTAAAAGTGCAGGCTGATTTCCAAACCTGAGTCACTTTAGGCTTCCAGTAAGATGAAGATCAGACAGATCTGACACAATATGGAAATGAATGTGGTAGAACAATTTTTATCCTGGGTGTGCATTTTAGCCTGTATTTGTCTCGGGAATATTTCAAGATGCCTTTGGCTTTTTGGGGGTATTAGGGTTGTAAGTGACCAGCATTCCTCGAGGTCAATGCTATTCTCTGCAAAACACAATAAAAGCTTGCAGGAGGCCGAGGGCTGTATGAGAAAATTAAGTATTGATTGAGGAGTAGATATGATGTTGTGAAATGTAGTTATTAGACTCAATTCAGTGCTGTTAATTTGAGGTCTTGCACTTTCTCAGAAGATTACACCAGTTAACAATACATTATTGAAGTCTGAGGAGTACTCTTACCCCGCCTCATGCTCTCTGCATCCTTTCTCTCAGCTTTGGAAGACTGCTTTGCCCAATCGATATGCTTTTATTGAACACAGGTTTATACAACCAGTCAGCTCAAATATGATCACTTTCAGGAGTTTGCGACGCGTGGCAAAGTCAAATTTCCTTCCAAATAATCTTCTATCAAGAAATCAGAAATCCTGAATTTAATCATCCCCCTTTTCACGTCCCATGAATTATAATAGGACCTCGGAAATGAAGAAGAAAATAAATTCATTCTTTCGCTTTCAGTGGTCCTCTCTGCCCTGCTGCTTCCAGTGGAGTTGAAATAAACAAGATCCCTGAACATGGGAAGGGATCAGAGGTATCTGTAACTAAGAACAACAGATGGAAAAAAAAAAAGTCCTTTATAAAATCTTAGAACTGGAAAGGGCATTAGAAACACCTAGTCCAGTTCTTTCACTTTCTAGATGACTCAATTCATATCTAAAGTGGCTGTGATGCGCTCAGACTTCATAGCTAGTCAGTGGCAGAGCTGGGAAAGTAATTCAGGTGTCCTGACTTCGGTTATTTTCACTATGTATTCTGCCTGCACAACTGCCTCGACTGTGTACAGGGCAAGAATCTGAGTGAACAGTCTCTTTAAGAACAATTGCATTTATAAAAAATTAAATTTACATTAGATAATTTTCTTCCAACCCTTAAATGTCAAACAAAGCTAATATGCAGACTTCTAAGAACCTTGCGCATGGTTTTACAGCATTTTTTTCTAACTTTGTTTTGTAGAGAGGAAAGTTTTTAATTATCTTCACTTTACTGATGACAAAATTAAGACCCAGAAAATCCAAATGGCTTATTTTAAGTGGTATAGCCATTTTGGATAGACAGGTAGATACTCAAACCTAGGTCCTTGTACTCTTAGTTCCGTGTTCCCTTTAATGTTCTCTGCAGCTTCCGTTGCTTACTCTAAAATTTGTCTTCTGGCTGGTGTGTTGGCCACAACTGTAACTCCAGTGCTCAATCTGGAGATCGAGGCAGGAGAATTGCTTGAGGGCATGAGCTTAAGACCAGCCTATGCAACATAGTGAGACCCCGTCTCTACAAAATACAGGTTTTTAAAAATTTGCTGTTTGGTGGTATGTGTTTGTAGTCCCAACTACTCTGGAGACTGTGGAGGGAGGATCACTTGAGCCCAGGAGGCCAAGGCTGCAGTGAGCTATGATGGCACCACTGCACTGCAGCCTGGGCGACAGGTTGTTTCTAAAATTTTTTTTTAAAAATTGTCTTCCTGTAAGACTGAAGCACTTAACACTTCTCTAGTTTTGCTACTCCTTTCCCTAAGCCGTATGCCCTGGAATGGGGCAAATGTTTGCTTAATATTTTAGCCTGTATTCTTAACACCCAAGCTTAAAATCAAAGAGGGAACTCTAATAGTATTTCTGGCTTCTCTGGGCATGGCAAATATTGTGTTAATCACTTTACTTGGTGTTTGCAATCTGTTTCATTGTCGCTAATATGAACATGACATACAATATATGAGTCATTTATTAATCTTGCTAAATTCACATTTGGCAATATTCTTTCCAGCCTGTGCAAGTGAGCACGTACAGCCTCACTTGTGATCAGAACCATGATACCCTAGAAACTGTTTCTTCCTCTGCTGTCTTCTGTGACCAGCTCTTTATTCTCCAACTAAAATCACTCGGTTGACAAGAGCTTCCCGTGTTAAGCTTCCTTCCGAAGTGATTGCAGTTTATCTTTTCCAATCAAAATGGGAACAATTTGTGCTTTCTTATGATTCCAGAGCTGCTATAAATCGGGGTAATAGATTTTTCAGTGCCTAGTAAGATAATTGTGCTGGGGAGAAGATTAAAGTGCATGCTGGGAGCCGTGAATGCTGTGTGCCTCCATCCTCCTGTTCTTGTTGCTTCCAGGACGACCTAGAAAACAAGGCTGGAGAAAGACAGCTTTAAATTCCTCATGCTAAATTAGTTCTGAGATGCTTCTGGGCAAAGACTGCCAACTGAACTCTGTTTTGACAGTAGAAATATTTATAATGAAACATAATGAAGTAAAATTTAAGTCCCAAATTACCCCAACACAGAAGCACTAAAATTGCAATTCTGGTTATAGTGACACCTCCAATTACCAAAATGCGAAATAATTCTCTTTAGAAAATGACTTCATTTTGAGGAAATGAATCCTAGCTAAGGATCATGACACACACACCAGGGGCTTCAAATCCTGTGTTACTGCTGACCCTAGAGAAGCAGATGAGATTCTCCACGTCTGTTTCCCCCTCTAGAGGCAACAGTCGATACCAACAAGCCATGTCTGAGGCTTATGTGATGCCCGTGAAGCCTTGTCGAACAGCTCTAGAAATGAAAGCACTGAGTACAGACTGGGAATTTTTGCAGCAGTAGTAACAATTGGTAGGATATAGGATATAATTAAAAACCCACAGGGTTATCACCCTTATGCAGTGATGCTCATGTTTTTTAGAAAGACTCTCATTGCCATTGATTCTCAAGAGCAAAGAAAATTTCTGACCCAGGCTGCTGGTTGTTTTGATTCTTAATGAGTGAATTCCTTTGTTTGTTCCTCTGTTCAACAAATATTTATTGCATACTTACTGTGTACCAGGTGCTATGTTTGACACCGAAGATACAACAGTGAGTATGATTGATGGGGTCATTCCCCAACAAGATATTAAAGTATTATACAGTCAGTTCTTGGTGTTCAAGGTAGTTCTGTTTGATGAAGTCACCAAAAACACTGAATTAGCAAATGCTAAGCCATTGCTCCTAGGGGAAATACAAGGTTATGTTCCTACAAGCCTCTGGTCATAATAGTTTCATCAATTGATCAATCCATAACTTTGCCTTATGTGTGTTTCTGTTTAAAGGCACCTTTTTAATAGACATTTTTGGTTCATTAACATTGAACTCACGGCTAACAGGACTGTAACTCATGCCTGAATGAAGCTTATCTGAAATGCATCTTTTCTCCATAAGACACATCATGGCCCTCCCGTGATTAGGAACACTAGCTAGCACTTCAGCACTATGTTTAGGGACCATTTTAAACAGTGAAATCACCAAGAAAAAGCACAAAAATAAAAAGGTGGCACTAGATAGACTGTGAAAAGGACACATTTACAGTATGAGAACTGAAGCGAGAAGGCAAAGAGTTGAACTTGTTCAGCTTGTTGGGAACATGCATATTGGGTGACTCAAATTTTCTGTGCACTTCTGCAAATGACCAAGGAAAGAGCCACAGGTATTGATCCTGTGGTTACAAATACATTTTAGTAAGCAGGCAAATTTGCAAATACAGAATCTGTGAATCATGTGGATCAACTATACCTCCTTGACTTGCAATTTCTTAAGCCTTTTGACCTTGAAGTTAGGGCCACTCAGCCTTCACTGGATGTTACCCCACCCTAACCCCAGACACATCTTGCACATCATAAAAAGGTAGGAGGAGTTCTTGGTCAGAAGGTCCCTGGCACTAGGTTCTATGGTTTTTCTTTTTCTTTTCTTTTCTTTTTTTTTTTTTTTTTTTTTTTGAGACAGGGTCTCATTCTGTCTCTCAGGCTGAAGTGCACTGGTGCAATCTCAGCTCACTGCAGCCTCGACCTCCTGGGCTCAGTTGATCTTTCCTACCACCCACCAGAGGCGCATACCACCACACCCAGCTAATTTTTGTATTTTTTGTAGAGGCAAGGTTTCACCATGTTGCCCAGGCTGGTCTCAAACTCCTGGGCTTGAACCATCTGCCCTCCTCAGCCTCCCAAAGTGCTAGGATTACAAGTGTGAGCCACCATGCTTGGCCTAGGTTCTGCAGTTTTAACTGGGGATTTGGGTTGTAAGAAACAGATTCCCTTGAGTTACCTCATGAAAAGGGATGTTTATTATAAGGACATATTTGAAACTGAAGGCAGCTTGCAGGACCAGCTGTGCTATGACTCTCACAGACCACACAGCTTCTCTTTCTCCAGGCATTTCTGCTCCCTTGTCTGTCCCTTTCATTCTTCTTTTCACCATGTGGCTTTTTGCTGTTTAGATATAACTCTTGTTTCCTCTTAATTCCAGCTCGAGTGTTGCCGTTTGTGGTTGCCCTGGCCCCTCTCTTGTTCCCGTAGCTTTAGCTCCCTCTGAACTGGCCCCAGTTCTCCATGTTTCCTAAGATACACTGAGGGAGAATTTGAGGGGGTCAGCTCATTGTTTCACTTTAGACCATGTCGTTGGTCCTTGCCCAGTTTCTGGACTGCCTGCCTGCCTTTAGGTCAGGTGCTTACTTACCTCTGAGTCCATCAACATGGCTGGGGCAAGTGAAATCATGTGATACAAAACATGGTGACCAAGATCTAGCCTTGCTTCAGTGTGACTGATGCCTGCTTTGTACTTCAGATCTCTCATAACTGTTTCTTCTGCCCCTTTTCTTAAATAAGGGAATTGCTTTTGTATAGAACTCAGCCCCCCTCAGTGGTTAGACATCCTGGCGTCTGAATGCCACCTAACTGGGCCTCCACTGGTTGCTTGCCATGTGGGCCTCTCCAACTGCCTACTATCTCTGCACTGGTTTAGAGATTTGCATCCCATTTCTTTTTCTTGTCTTCCTTCCTTTCTTTTTTTTTTTTTTTTTGAGACAGAGTCTCGCTCTGTTGCCCAGGCTGGAGTGCAATGACCTGATCTTGGCTCACTGCAACCTCTGCCTCCTGGGTTAAAGCGATTCTCCTGCCTCAGCCTCCCGAGTAGCCTGGGATTACAGGTGTCTGCCACTATGCCCAGCAAATTTTTGTATTTTTAGTAGAGACAAGGTTTCACCATGTTGACCAGGCTGGTCTTGAACTCCTGACCTCAGGTGATCTGCCCACCTCAGCCTCCCAAAGTGCTGGGATTACAGGTGTGAGCCACCGCACCTGGCAAATTTTGCATTCCATTTCTCCTTGCCTCATGGACTGATCTTCAATGTCAGACCTGCATTTGAATCTTATTCTTGTCTACTTATCCTTAAAAGGAACCAATGATGGTCATGTTTCATGGTCATTATTTCCATCTCCTTGACCACCAACATTCTTTGTTTTTTTTTTTTTTTTTTTTTGAGACGGAGTCTCGCTCTGTCTCCCAGGCCGGAGTGCAGTGGCACGATCTCGGCTCACGGCAAGCTCTGCCTCCCGGGTTCACACCATTCTCCTGCCTCAGCCCCTGAGTAGCTGGGACTACAGGCACCTGCCACCACACCTGGCTAATTTTTTTTTTTTTTTTTGTATTTTTAGTAGAGACAGGGTTTCACCATGTTAGCCAGGATAGCTTGACCACCAACATTCTATCAAAGTCCACAGATCTATCTAGACTCTTGCACTGTGTGCTGTGTTTTTTGACCTTGTCTCATGCCTCTTGAGTCCCACGTTGAGTCCTAAAGCCTGTGAGGTCACTATCACTATCAATATCAGTGCTCCCAAGGATATTTAAACCATAGTTCCCAGGGGGTCATATTCCTGGCACCTTATCAGGCATTCCACGCATAGCCTCTTCTCTGGAAGCTCTTCTGTGTGTGTTGGGCTAAAGCCCTCTACCAGAACATTCTCATGCACAAACTGAAACTTGATATTTTTTTACCACATGTCATCCTCACCCTGAAAAGTCTTTCAAGCTCCAGTACTTCTGTCTGGAGTCACTAGCAAGTCAAGGGCACCATGTATGTGCTTCCACATCCTTGGCTCTGCTACATCCCTTCCTGAGATGCCATCTCTAGGTCCTCGTTGGACTTGAAGTCTCCGGAGCAGTAGTTCTCGTGGCAGTGGCTTAATTCTAACATTCATCTACAATCAAACAATCTTGTGCTTGCAGTTTCCTCTGATGCTTAGAGCCTCTTCCCATCTCAGCAGCCTCAGAACCTGGCTCTCTTCCTTGGTAATGAGCTCAGGAAGACCCGTTTCTGTACTGAACCTCAGCCTACTGTCCCTGGCTTGTCATATTCCAACTACAGAAGGGTAGTCACCCTGAGGAAATGGAGTGTTGGACTGTGTGCAGTCAACACCAATGACCTCAAAGAAGGCATACCTTCTGTATTAGTCCATTTTCATACTGCTATGAAGAAATACCCAAGACTGGGTAATTTATACAGAAAAAGAGGTTTAATGGACTCTCAGTTCAACATGGCTGGGGAGGCCTCACAATCATGGCAGAAGAGAAGGAAGAGCAAAGGCACATCTTACATGGTGGCAGGCAAGACAGTGTGTGCAGGGGAACTGCCCTTTATAAAACTATCAGATCTCATGAGACTTATTCACTATCATGAGAACAGCATGGGAAAACCCACCCCCATGATTGAATTATCTCCTGCTGGGTCCCTCCCACGACAAGTGAGGATTATGGAGCTACAGTTCAAGATGAGATCTGGGTGGGGACATAGCCAAATGATATCACCTCCTAATTGGAAAAGAGATCCTTTATATTTTTATATACCCTACTTAGACTGGTTAATATTCCCTATAAAAGATACCAGAACATCCAGCATTTTCAGAAATGTCTTTTTCTAGAGTTTAGGGCTATAAGAGAACTTCATGATGTAGATTTTATCATCTTATTCTATTGAGGAAACAACTGAGCTACCAAGAAATAAGGTCATTCTTTCAATGCTCCACAGTGTTGGTGTTGGGAGTAAGACTAAAATAAGCTTGGTATAGGGGAGGGACTTCATGAATCAGATGAATGAAGAAATTAATAAATGAGGGCATGAGTAAATGACTCTGATTCCCACCATACCAGGGTCCTGCCACCTGGTCTTAAGTTTGGACATTTACCTAGGGCGGTGGGTTCAGTTCTTAGATTTCAAAGTCAGATGGTCAGCCCTCCCATCTAGCATAAGCCGAAAGTACTGAAGAGAAAGTATTTCAGAAAGTGAACATCACTATAACAACTCAAGGTGGTATTTTGCTTTGAAAGCTCAGATGGATCTGTTTATTGGGACAGTGTAATGTACATTCCTTCTTCTTTCAGCTATACAGCAATTGAATCCTTTTTTATGTTTAAGGAATCTCCTACAGGTTGAATTTTGTTGGTAGGCAAGGCCCATGTCTCTCTATAAAATCAAAAAATTGTGTGAGGTCATCAGGGTGGGCCCTGATCCCATACAACTGGGGATTTGGAGGCACACATGCACACAGGGACAGCCACATGAAGATGAAGGCAGAAATTGGGGTGATGCTTCTATGCCAAGGAGTGCCAAAAGATTGCTGGCAAACTACCAGAAGCCAGGGGAGAGGCGTGGGACAGATTCTCCTTCCCAAACCTCAGAAGGAACCAGCCCCACTGATACCTCGATCTCAGACTTCCAGCCTCCAGAACTGTGAAACAATAGATTTCTGTTCTTTAAGCCACCCAGTATGTGGTACTTTGATCTGGCAGCCCTCAGGAAACCAATACGTAGTGGACTCCCAAGAGCCGGGAGGCTGAAGGACCTGCTTTGTGTCTAGCAGGCAGCCTCTTTCCGCAGCAGCTCCGGTGCTTGGTCAAAACACTCATGATAAAATGCCCTTGATGGAAAAGGTGAGTCGTGACTTGGCTACCCCCATTGCCAAGTGTCCACTTTGCTAATAGCAGTGTCCAGCCCAGAGTCTCTGATGTATCCTGGGGGCTGAGAAGTGGGCTGGGGGATCAGTGTCTTTGTGGATGGTTGCTTACATTGTGGAGATGGCAGTGATTTGTCTTCAGTGGAATGGATTCTTATTCTGCATTTGGGTTTGCTCTGCAACTAAGCTGCCTGAGTGCAAATCATGGCTCTGCCACTTACCTTGGCAGGTTCCCTCATCTTTCCATGCTTTAGTTTCCCCAGTGCAAAATTAGGATAGAAATATTATCTACCTGTATTAGTTTCTTGGCACTGCTATAATAAATTACCGTAATTTAGTGGCTTAAAGCAATAGGAAGTGATTCTCTCAGAGTTGTGAAGGACTGAAATCTGAAATTACAGTGTTGGCAGGGCCATGCCCCCTCCAGAGGCCTGAGGGAAGAGTCCTCCATTGTCTCTCCAGCTTCTGGTGCTGCTGGCATGCCTGGGTGTGCGTCCACATCACTCGAATCTCTGCCTTGTCTTCTTCTGTGTATTTCAAATCTCCCTCTCCCTCTCTCTTATGAAGACATTTGTGATTGAATTTAGTTTGATCCTTGATAACCTTCCCCAGCCAAAGTCCTTAATCACATCTGCAAAGACGTTTTTTCCTCGTAAGGTGACATTTACAGCTTCCAGGGATTAGGAGTAATATTCTTGGGTGGAATATTTTGCGTGGCCTTTATTCAGCCTGCTCTGTTGCCTCATAGGATTGTTGTGAGAATTATATTAATTAGTTCTTGTAAACCTTTTAGAACAATATGACACATGATAAGCCTCAACAAATGTCACCAGTGAAGAAGAGTATGACAATGGTCTTAGACAACCATAAGTGTGACTGTAATTCTGCAGCCTTCTGGTAATTTTGTGAGATGCTCAATATTCTTTCAGAAATGCTGTTCTTACTTAAATGAGACAGAGATCATTCTGCAACAAATATTTGATGCAACAAATAATCCTGACTGATATCAACAATATGGGCATTATCAGCAAATGTTACTACAACTTCCCTTTGGGGTAGGAGTCTTCTTTTTAAGGGAATGTGGCCAGTGTACTCTCAGAGTTGAAATCAGAGTGGGCTGCCCACTCCTGAGAAAGGGTCAAATTGTTTCAAGATTGATCTTGCTCCAGGGACCTGAATATACATATCTGAATTGGGAAAAAAAATGCTCTCAATAAACTCAGATTAAGGTAAGCTATTCATTGATTAGCAAAAGACTGCCGTGTCTATGCCATTTAGCATTGCAGTAAAGTGTTTTGAATTAATTACTTGGAAAATCTATGATACTTTGAAAACATTTTATAATCAGTTTAATTAATCACTTTTTATGTCCTTCTTCCTGACATTTAATAAAGTCATCCCTAATAGGACAATATTTTAACACATATTGCAAATAAGAAAATGATGTTAAGCATGGTGATAAAATTAAAGCTAAAGGAGAGAATATACAACGTGTGGATTCCTGAAAAGACAGAGAGCATATGCTAGTACGTCCTGCTTTTATCTTTAATAATCTTAATAATCTTTTTTTTTTTTGGAGAAGGAGTCTCGCTCTGTCGCCCAGGCTGGAGTGCTGGAGTGCAGTGGCGCGATCTCGGCTCACTGCAAGCTCCACTTCCCGGGTTCACGCCGTTCTTCTGCCTCAGCCTCCCGAGTAGCTGGGACTACAGGCACCCACCACTGCACCCGGCTAATTTTTTGTATTTTTAATAGAGACGGGGTTTCACTGTGTTAGCCAGGATGGTCTCAATCTCCTGACCTCGTGATCCGCCCGCCTCAGCCTCCCAAAGTGCTGGGATTAACGGCGTGAGCCACCATGCCCGGCCTAAAAATCTTCTTTTTTTTTTTTTTTTTTTTTAATCACTGAGGCCCAGTGATTTGTCTTATACAACTATCCAATATCTTTAGGACATTAATCTTGCTTTGTAAGAAATTCAGTATTGAGTAGAATTTTTATTTTTTTAATGGTATTTTAAGCATGATTTCAGTTATACTTTTTCTTGATAGCTTGCTCGAAAATTTTTTAAAAGAATGAATTCTAATTTTGTCTTACCATTTGCAAGTATCGTTTTCACATATATTGAGAATTGAGTCCTGTGTTGTGATGACTCACAGCATGAGCCTATATAATGTACAAAGGAATATAGTGTTCTCTTGTACAGGAAATTCCTTTATCATGGCTCAATACACTTTGAAAATATAACTCAAACTGAAATTTAAAAGCCGTATGGAATTTTACTTATATTTAACATCCAGTTTTCACCAGGAAGCTACACGTGCGTGTTCATTGTTGTACATGTTTTTTGCCAATAAAATATAAGATGGAACAATTTAGAAATATGTATATCATCAATACTTCTCTCTATATAATATTGTATATATATTACGTGACATAATATACATTATATACATACATTATATACATTATATGTAATATCTACAAAATTGTATATAATATAGTGGTATTGTTGATATAGATATATCTAAATTGTTTCATCTGGCCAGGCGCAGTGGCTCATGCCTGTAATCCCAGCACTTTGGGAGGCAGGGGGGCGTGGATCACCTGAGGTCAGGAGTTCAAGACCAGCCTGATCAACATGGTGAAACCCCGTCTCTACTAAAAATACAAAAAATTAGGTGGGTGTGGTTGTGGGCACCTGTAATCCCACCTACTTGGGAGGCTGAGGCAGGAGAATCATTTGAACCCAGGAGGCGGAGGTTGCAGTGAGCTGAGACAGCACCATTGCACTCCAGCCTGGGTGACAAGAGCAAAAAACTCCATCTCAAAAAAAATAAAAAATAAAATAAATGGTTTCATCTTAGATTTTATTGGCAAAGAACATGTACAGCAATATGTGTGTGCATATAAATATATTGTATAAATATGTAAAAATAAATAAATAAAAATCTTGATGATGGCAAGAGTTTGGTGGGGGGTGTGGTCACTGCATATATTACTGAGAGCTGAATTCTAGCATCTTAGTGATAGTCCTTGTCGCTAAGTTAGGTGTGAAGGGAGTGCATATTCTAGGAAGAAACAGCCAAGCTACACACCCTCCAGCAAGCTCCACCTTCCAGCAAGCTCCACCCTTCAGCAGATTTCCCTGGGGGGCATGACTAACTCCACCAGACTCCCGCCACATCTCAGGAAATCTCCTTCCTTCAAGCAACCCCCTCACAAAATGATTGAGCCCGGATTTTCATCCAACTGTAGCAGGTTGCGATTGAGTCATTTCTATTTTGTTTGCCAAGCAAAAGAAAGATATCATCTCCTATATTTTGAAAGTTGCAAAGCAAATTCATATGGCCTCCTAGTGAATTAAATAGCCATCTTGGTTTTATTTCTTTAGATGATTTTTTTTTTGCTAATTCTTGCATGTATAGTGTTTATTGTATTTTATTATATTACTTTTTTTTTATCAAGGAAATTATCAGCTTTTAATCGTCCTTAGAAGATTATTAGTTACCTTAAGAGGAAATTTCGGCTTGGTGAAAAAAATTGTGGTAAAAATATAACATAAAATTTACCATTTTAACCATTTATAAGCGTACAATTCAGTTGCATTAAATACACTCACGATATTGTGCAGTCATCACCGCTATCCATTTCCAGAACTTTAAAAACTCTTCCTAAGTGGAAATTCTGTGTCCCTGAAATAATAACCTCCCATTCTCCTTTCCCCAGGCCCTGGTAACTTCTACTTTCTGGCTTTATGAATTTGCTTATTCTAGGTACCTTATATAAGTGGAATCACGCAGTATTTGCCCTTTTATGTCTGGTTAATTTCCCTTAGCATAAAGTTTTAAAGGTTCATTCTTGTTATATCATGTTCCTGAATTTCATTCCTTTTTAAAACTGAGTAATATTCCATTGTAGGTATATACCACATTTTGTTTATCCATTCACATTACATTGTATTTTTGTTCCAATTCCCTTCAACACTGAGTTTCCAGAGCACAGAGATAATGTATAGTATGTCTCTGTATTCCCAGCAGCTACCACAGTTGAAGGAAAGAAACGACAAATGGTATCTATTAATCATTCAATGGTAGGCATGGAGTTATAGTTCATTCATCACTCAGAGGCACTTTAACTTGACAGTAGGCCTGGATCTATAGTCCTGAAAGATGAAGCTGTCATTTTCAGCTGTGACCTAATAGTACAACCCTCAGAAGACCCAGTGCTTAACCCTATCCCTGCCTCTTGAGGAAAGACCACAGCACAGTGACCATTCCTTAGTCTGGGGCCTTTACTTATGCACAGAGAGAAGAGGCTGAGCTAGGCAGAACTCAGGCAGGGCAGCCTCTGACTCTGCTTTGCAGTGTTAGACAAAATGTAAGTGCAGAAATATATGCTGAAGGCAAATTTAATTTTTGCCTTATCTTGCATTTTCCAATACCCTCTTTTAGTTCGGATAATCAAATGTGAGCTTTGGAGCAGATCTAGTATCAAATGGAATTAAATATAATTTGGTCCTGTCAATTTAGTCAAAGGTGGCTTAGTAAATGATATGCCTCAGACTTTAAAAACAACTTAGGAAATCTCTGTAAATACAGAAATAGCTAAGCTCCTGTGCCACGTGACAGCAGAAAATATTCCCTTCTGTCCTATAGATTGGTTGTGCATTTTATCTTTTCCTGCCTGGACTCACAGGTACATTTATTTCAAGTTTCAAATATGACTTTATTAATGCCAGAGAAAGAGAACTGTGGCACCGATAATGCAAATGTGTGGATAGCGAAACCATGGAAACTTTGTGAAGGGGCAGAGGCCTGGTTCCCTGTGTGAGAGCCCTGGACCCCATGGGCATGGCTGGGAGTGGAGTGGGGGAGGGGGATGACTTTGGCATCTGCTGGCAGGCAGACCTAGGTTTGCATTTTCAGTCTGCATTTCAGTGGCTGGGTGACCATAGGCAAGTTACTCTCTGAGACTGAGTTTCTTCCTTGCAGGGCTATTTGGAGGATTATAATATATATAAGTGGAAATAACACATGAAAAGTGATGGCTTTACAGTGGCTTTAAAAATTACTGGTAACAATTATTAGTGTTTGCAGATGGCTATGAAGTGTTCTCTGCCAGACTAGGGAACAGTGGACCTTGGAAACATGTCTGGCCTTTGGATGGGAGAAATGTAGAGCTGCTTGTATAGTGTAATTTGAGTGGGTTCAGGTAGATAGGGGTGTCAGATTTATCTAATAACAATACACCCAGTAAATATCAATTTCAGATGAGCAACAAATAAATTTTTAGTATAAGTATATTTCATTCAATATTTGGGACTAAAAAATTATATTATTATTTTGAGTTGCAGTCTTGCACTGTCAACCAGGCTGGAGTGCAGTGGTGTGATCATAGCTCACTGCAGCCTCAAACTAATGGGCTCAAGTAATCCTCCCACCTCAGCCTCTTGAGTAGCTGGGACTACAGGTGCACACCACTGCATCTGGCTAACTTTTGTATAGATGGGGTCTCATTATGTTGCCCAGGCTGGTCTCAAACTCCTGGGCACAAGTGATCCTCCCACCGCAGCCCCACAAAGTGCTGGGATTACAGGTGTGGGCCATTCTGCCTGGCCTAGAAAATTATTTGTTTTTTTGTCCAAGATTCAAATTTGACAGGACATCCTATATGTTATGTTGCAACCCTAAACACAGGGAACCTTATCCTTTATCTGAAAGATCTACTTTAAATTCATTCCTGTGGTTCTTAAGGGATTTTTTTTTAGTTTTTCAGATCAGTTATTAACATACTGTTTTAAGCTTCCATTGTGTATAGGGAAATAGTAGCTTTGATGGGTTCTAGTTCAGAGCAAGGCATTGTGGGAATGAGGCCTGAACACTGTACTGGGGGCTGTTCAGCGTGTTCTGGAAAAGGAGAAGCGCAAGAATGGGCCATCTGAAACTGTATCACTTCCAGTTCCCATAACGAGTCTTCTTCTTAAAGCATTGTGAACCTTTCATATTCTCCCATCCCAGGGCGCAGGCAAACCTCAGGGACAGGTCGTGAGGAAGGTGGCAGCTTACCTGCAATATACAAATATACAAGTAATTTTTTAGTGTAAATATGTCCCAAATATTAAATGGGACATGCTTATACTAAAACAATTATGTGTTGCTCATGTGAAATTGATATTTAACTGGGTAGGACTGGCCTGGCAGCAGCCATTTCCACAGCTACTCTTGTGCTGTCCAAACTGCTTGGTGAAAGTGGCACAGAGACTATATGAAGGATGCAGGGGACTGTGGGGGCAGTCATGGCCCTCCCTTCATCCTCTCTGGAACCTGCTACATGCCAAATTCAGGTTGCAGGTGGAATTAAGTTTGCTAATCAGCTGACCTTAAAATAGAGAGGCCAGGCATGGTGGCCCACATCTGCATTCACAGCACTCTGGGGAGGCAGGGGGATCACTTGAAGCCTAGGAGTTTGAGACCAGCCTGGGCAGCGTAGTGAGACCCCATCCCTACAAAAAATAAATACAAATATTAGCCAGGTGTGGTGACACGCACCTGTAGTCCCAGCTACTTGGGAGGCTGAGGCAGGAGGATCACTTGGGCTTAGGAGTTTCAGGCTGCAGTGAGCTATAATCATAGCACTGCATTCCAGCCTGAGTGATGGAGTGAGACCCTGACTCTTAAAAAAAAAAATAGGGAGATGATTCTGGATTATTCAGGTGGTGGTCAGTGTAATCCAAGGAGGCCACACAAGGAGAAGAGGGAGGCAGAGGAGAACCAGGGTGATGGCAGTGAGAAAAACTTGACCTGCTGTTGCTGGCTTTGAAGACGGAGGAGGAAGGCCAGGAACCATGGCATGTGAGCACCTTCTAGAAGCTGGAAAAGTCAAGGACATGGATTCCCTTCTAGAGCCTGCAGAGAGGAAGACAGCTCTGTAGACAGCTTGGTGTTAGTCCAGTGAGACCGTTTCAATATTTGACCACAGTACTGTAGGATGATGATGCATGGTGTTTGTAACCCTCAGGGTGTTTGTGGTAATTCGTTACAGCAGCAGTGGGAAACCTACCGAGGAACCAAAGTGGGAAAAGATGAAATAGCCAATGAAATGGCTCAAAGAGTAACTGGAGTGAGAGTGTGCCCAGGTGTCTTAGGCGGAAAGCTGGTGAAGAGAATTGTCCGGACTGAGAGGCCTAGTAGATTCAAAGCACATCTTAACCACAGAAAACCATCAGTTAGAGGCCAGAGAATGTCAGACCTGGGAGGAATCCTATGACCATATGGTCCAGCCTCTCATTTCTTGGGTGAGGCATCCAATGCCCAAAGATATAATGGAATTGTTAGAATTCACAGAGCTAATCAGGGAGTGAATGATCTAGGACAAGAATCCTGTTCTTCTGACCCTTTGGCCAGCCCTCTGGGTACCACACCACGCTCACAAAAACAATACTTTACCGATGGCTCACAAAAACAATACTTTACCGATGGAGGGATTATCTATTTAAACTTCAAAGAAATTCTTTTGGAATGTTTTTGAGCCCTCCAATGCTAATTAGTGAATTGACTCAGAGTAAGACAGCGGCTCTGCCTCCCGACTCCCCAGGGATGTGTCTCTGCCATGGGGTCCCCCACCCTGTCTTATTTGGACCCACAGCTGCCCATCCTCAAGACTGTGCTTGCCCAGAGTCACCTGCTTGAGGAAGTAGAGTATGGCAATGAAGACAGCATGGGTGGGCCCTGGGTCTAGACAGGCCTGAGTTCTAGCTTTGGTGTTGTCCCTGGTGTGGACTGGTGTGTCCTGTGGAGTGACTTAGGTAATCTCTTGAAGGCTCAGGGTCCTGGTCTATAAAATGAAGAGAAGAATATAATTTAATAGGATTCAATAAGATAATCCATATAAAGCATTCAGCACGGGGTCTGGAGGCAGTCAGCGTTCAGTAAAATAGCAACTATTGTACTTGTTTTTAGAGAGACCTTCTTTGGCCCTGCCTATGGCTTCCATATCTGTCTGCATTGGGCACGTTGCTGTGCACTCCCATCAGCCCTGTGCCTGCCTCTGTTGTTCCATTTATCACATGGGGCTGCTGTATGTAATTTACTTGAATATCTCCTTGCTCTAGACTGTAAGCGACTTGGAGTCAGGAATCAGGGCTTTTTTGTGTTGGTATTTCCCAGCATCATAGATTGTACCTGACTCACAATTTGACTAGAGGAGTGGGAGTGTGCATAGGTGTCTTAGTAGGAAACCTAGAGAAGAGAATTGTCCTGACTCAGAGGCGTAGTGGCATGGGGCATCCGAGATGTAAAAAGTAATAGTCCCATTTTATAGGTGCGGAAACTGAGAGCTCTCATTTCTCCAGCCTTTTCATTGATTTCCCCCCTCTACATTTCAACCCCTTGGCAAGTTGTCTTTTGCTCTTGGACAGATCATTTTCTTCTGCTATGGAGGTTCTCTGGAGAAACATGGGGAGGCGACTGCTGAGGCTGGAAGAGCCAATGACAAATGACCAGGGGCTTATATCCAGGTGGACAGAGGCTTTTCTTCATTGCCTGGTGATTCAAAAAATGTCTATTGAATGAATTAACAAATGAACAGCTTATATACTGGATAAAAGCAAAACAATCAAGAAGCAAATGAAAACAATGAATAAAGGAAGCTACTGTAGCTTCCTCTAACACTCTGAAAATAGCTCAATCTTTAATGGGGCCTCATTTGAAAATAAAGTACCAGTGTGTGAAATCTCCTGGTGTTTATTGTCTAAGTTCTGGTTGGTTTTTCAAGCATGGCAGACAGGTAATGACTACTAATTCCTTAGCTATTGATTTTTTGGGCTTTGCTTTCACAGGGTAGGTAAATGAGCCCCTCAGTGAGGATGGGAAGAGGAGATGCTCTGATTTCCTTAAGCTCTTTGACAACATCTTTCAGGAGTCAACTTTTTTATATTATAGGTAGGTGTAATTGGAAATTTGCTTTCTTGCTACTACTTCTGTTCTAGCCAAGATTAGATATTTAGTGTGCAAACATTCCTGCGAAACGTGACACCCGAGGGCTGTAACTGACAGTTCTCAGTAGAGTCTGGGAATTGTTATTGCTGCTGAATTCCCTATCAGACATGCACCATAGTCATCCAAGTAGGCTAGAGAGTCACATACTGTCATTTGATGTGGAAATTTGTTTTCAAATGAACTCTGAGATTTGGAGAATGCACTGATCCTTCACTAGGCAGAGAGAATAAAATCTTTATAGTTTTAGACGTTGCAGAAGATTCTGGAAAGAGTCACCCTTATTCCCAAGGGTAAAAATTAGCTGATACTAATGAGACTTCTTTGAGTCTTCTTGTGGCTAAAATTTCTAAGGGGAGTGACACTTCATCTTCATAGTAGGAGAAGTGGTTTGTTGAAGTTGCTGGAGCTGGTTTCAGATGGGAAATGCAGTGAAGTAGCCTCACCCTGCTCTTGCTGCATGGTTTTATGCCTCTAGTTCCACAAACTGAGCCCAGGCAGTGTGTCCAGCCATGGGCCCGCATTGAGCATGGGAGGAGAGGCCTGACCTGCCTGAGAAAGTCCGCCATGAGGAGGAATACTTATCACGATGGAAATGGTTTTTAAAACATCTGTCTGTAGACCTATGGATGGAGAAAGAGTGCTGGAAAGGATTCAGAGAAGAATCACAAAGTGATTAAAATCTTGGAAAAGAGGGTTTATGAGTAAGAGTCTGTAATTATTCACAAGGCAAGGTCAAGGAGATGAAATAACGCCCTAAAGTAGAGAGAGAGGTGTTTTGCACACCACGGAAGACAAATGCGCCAGGGATGAGTACAGGTTTTTCTCCAAAGAACTAATGGTTGCTCTACCTGATTAAAAGATGGTCAATGTCAGGAATCGGGAAAAATGACAATTAAAGGGAAAATGTGAAATGCTTTTTCATGTATAACACTGGCAAAGACTAGAAAGATCTGCTCTTACCCAGTAGGCTAATGGGAGGAGGAAGGGAATACCCTCACCCCAGATACTGCAGAGGCTGATGAGAGCCTACATTGGCCAACTTTGTGGAGAACGATGAGGTAGTTACGTTTCCAAATCTTAACAAAGAGGCTCCTTTGCTCCAGCAGTTCCAGTAATAGGACTTTATCCTAAGGGAAACTTTGGTCCAGCGATAAAAGCCGTACATAGGTTGTTCACTGCACTGGTGTTTATCCCAGATAAATCTTATAAATGCCAACGTTTCCATCAATCTGGGATGAATTAAGCAAATTATGATATATCTATAACAGGGGTCAGCCCTTTTTCTTAAAGGACGGGATCAAAATATTTGGGGTCAGGAGGCAAAATTGAAGATATATGTAGGCACTAATATAATAATTTAAAAGTAAGGATTTAAACATGTAAAAACCATGTGTAGCTTGTGGGTTACACAAAAACAGGCAGTGGGCTGGATTTGGCCCCTGGGACTAGTTTGCTAAGTAGTTTGCCAATCTCTGGTCTCTACCATGGGATACTATAAAGCTGTTGAAAATGATGACATAGATCTATATTTATTGGCATGAGAGATATCTACAGTAAGTTACTAAGGGTAGAAAAGCAGGTTACGAAACAGCATGCAGTTATGACTCTATTTTTGTAAAAATCAATTTTTGTATATGAAGGTTATAGACTAAAATATTGACTGCAGTTAATACTCTAGGTTGTGGATTGGGGAGATCTTTATTCCTTCTTTAAATATTTCTGTATTTTGGGAAGGTAATAAACGTGTGTTACTTACAAAATTTTAAAATAACATGAAGTAATTAAAAACTGCAATGCCTCCAAAAAAGAAACACAAATAAATTAGAAAACAAAGCACTATTATACAGAATATTGCTAACTTCTCAATATTCTACCTCAATTTGGTGGTAGGAAATAAAGTGAACTTAAATTATTTTTCAGATAATAGATTAGGATAATATCTGACACTGAAGGGGTTAGCAGGATTCCCCCCACAACTTTTCCATATCTTAAGAACTTGTAAGTATAGATTGGGTGTGGTGGCTCATGCATGTAATCCCAGCACTTTGGGAGGCTGAGGTGGGAGGATTGTTTGAGCCCAGGAGGTCAAGAGCAGCCTGGGCAACATGGTAAGACTTCGTCTCCACAAAAAAATTTAAAAAATTAGCTGGGCATGGTGGCATGCACCTGTAGTCCCAACACGCAGGAGGCTGAGATGGGAGGATTGCTTGGGCCCAAGGTCAGTGCTGCAGTGAGCCATGTTCATGATATTGCACACCAGCCTAGGTGACAGAGAAAGACCTTGTCTAAAAAAAAAAAAAAAAAAAAAAAAAATAAGAAGGAGGAAAGAAAAGTCATAAGCACAAATTTGAAGGTAGGGAACAGTTGACTAAACCCTTAATACTCTTTCCAAACATTCAATTATTGCCATTACCTGTGTTAAATACAAGTTTTAGATTCATCCTGTTATGAAGTCTTGTTAGACAACCTTGGTGGGAGTGGGAGGTATGTTGACATTGTCTGCCATAAAGGAAATGGAAAAATTTAAGTTTAATCCCAGCATTTGGTTTTAACATAAGAACATTGCAAGCCAGGGAGATACCGTCATGCAGCCTGAATCAGACCGTGAACAGGGAACCAACAGCTCAGAAATAAAAAGACAAAGCTATCTAGCTAAAGTCAATAAACAACTCATTTTAAATTGCAAATGAATTAATTATCCAGTGCTTCTAAAATGTCCCTCTTGGATGCATTCCATAAAATTAGCTTTTTCATTAGCAAAGTTTTCATTGCTACCATCAGAAGAAATTCTCTCTGTGAGTGAGTTGTCTGCATAATTGGTTATCTCCAGTGATGATAGCAGCTTGTTTTCTGTGGACAGTGCAGGAGTGTGAGTATGTCCAATAAAAATTCTCTCACCAATAAAAATGTACTGAATAAGTAATGATCCCTAACATCGAGGAGGTTTTAGTTTGGTAGGAAAATGGACATTAAATGTATTGAGCTAAGTAATTCTGTTTATGTAGCAAGCCAAATAATGATAGCAGTGATAATAATAAAACCTTTGATTTATTAAGTGCCTACTAAGCCCCAAGTACAATACCAGATAACATGACTGCTAGGACATGGGCATTACTATGCTCTTTTAGATGGGGAATTAAATCTCAGAGAGGTGAAATAACTTTTTTGAGGTCACACAGCTAATAAGTGACGGGAGACCTGTTTTAATTTTGTATACTTTCCACTATGCCAAACTGCCTGCCAACTATAAACTATAAACTACTATTGTATTATCTATTAGTCTGTTCTCTTCGATCATCAGCACACATAATTGTGAGTTTATTACTGCTACAAAACCATTTCCAGGAGGATTACTATGGAGCTTATGAAACCACTTTGAGACTATTGAACTAAGAGGGACTTAGTCTTGATTTTTTTTTTTTTTTGAGACTCGGTCTCACTCTGTTGCCAGGGATGGAGTGCAGTGGCACAGTCTCAGCTCACTGCAACCTCCAACTCCTGGGTTCAAGTGATTCTTGTGCCTCAGCCTCCTGAATAGTTGGGACTACAGGCATGTGCCACCATGCCTGGCAAATTTTTGTATTTTTAGTAGAGACAGGGTTTTGCCATGTTGGCTAGGCTGGTCTTGAACTCCTAAGATCAGGTGATCCGCCTGTCTGGGCCTCCCAAAGTGTTGGGATTACAGGCGTGAGGCACTGCGCCCAGCCAGTCTTGATTTTTAAAAGACAGCAGTCATATGCATGGCCTCAGTGAACATTCACTGTCATCAATTCATTCTTCCTTCTCTCAGAAATACGCTCTTGACATCATGTAGCGCCTGGTTGATGGAGAGTGCCTTAGACTCCTTTATGATGTGTGCTACAGACCAAGGTCTCAGAGGGGTCAAGAGCTTGCATTTCATGGACTTTTGCTCCTGTTGCTGCCTGATAAATGGTTAATTGCTCCTTAGGTAGTATTGGACTAAAGAAAAACAGATTTGGACTTGCAATTTCATGGTAAGAGAGGGGAAAACCCAAAAAACAAACAACCCCCCCCCCCATTATTCTTTGCACATAGACAGTAAAACATATTCCAAGTTTTACCCTTGAATTTCCTTCAAAACCATTCATCTGTCATGTTTCCTCCATTTTTTTCAAAGCTAGGAGCAGCATCCATTTAATTGTGTACACCCTTAGTCCTCACTCATTCATTCATTCCACCATCATTCACTGAGTACCTGGTCTGTGATAGGCATCATTCCAGACAAAGGGGCACAAAGCCAAATGAAAGATGGTTCTTGCCTTCCAGGAACTTTTGGCTTTGTGTTGTATAAACAAAACATTTGTATTGTAACTACAAGGACCACAATGTGGATGAAGAGTGGAAATTCATGTAATGGTTAGCTGTCGCCACAGTGATACTGGGTAACATACCATTCCAAAACTCAATGGCTGCAACAATAATCATCTACACTTTTTCATTACACTGTGGTTGGATGGTGTACTCGTTTGGTAGGGCTGTCATGACAAAATACCACAGACTGGGTAGCTTAAATAAAAAAATTATTTTCTCATCGTTCTGGAAGTTAGAAGCCCAAGATCAAGGTGTCGGAGGCTTGGTTTCTTTTGAGGCCTTCCTCCTTGGCTTGCAGATGGTGGCCCCTTGATGTGTCTTCAGATGGTCTCTGTGCACAGACATGTCTGTGTCCTAATTTCCTCTTCTTCTGAGGATACCAGTCCTATTGCACCAAGGTCCACACATATGACATTGTTTTATTTTAATTGCCCCTTTAAAGGTTCTGTCTCCAAATAGTCACATTCTGAGGTACTGGGGCTTAAGGCTTCAACATATAAATTTTGGTGGGGGAAATAATTCATCCCATAACAGATGGGGTTTAGTTGATTTAAACTGGGTTCTGGTGGGCTTGGCAGGTCTCACATTTCTCAGTCTCCTGGAGAAGTGGGCTAGCTGGGGCATATTCCCTTCATGGCAGAAGTTGGAAGCTTCCAGAAGAGTTAGTGGAAGCATGCAATGTCTCTCAAGGCCTTGGCTCAGAACTTACACACCATCACTGTCACCCACATTCCATTGGCCAACATGAATCCTGTGGTCAAACTTGTGTTTCATGGGACAGGGAATAAACTCTCCCTCCAGTAGAAGGAAGTGCAGAGTCACAAGACAAAGCTTGTGGCCACAGGGAGGCGTGAAGAATTGGGAACAGTAACGCCGTCTATCCCAAGAGTCGGGTGCATGAATTCAGGCTGGAGTTTCTTCGACATGAAGTGAACTGAATATTTATTTTGCTTCTGAGTGTTTAGCATTGAGTAGTTTTGTTCAGGTGCTGAAATGCGCAACAGTATACCTGTCCAAGAGGCCAAAAAGTTATTTTCTGAAACAACTGCATGAGCAGTCACATTCGTTGTGTGCAAATGATCACAACCTAGTACGACTTGTACCCAGTATTGGGAGACAGAGCTTACTGCACTGAGGCTGAGGCCCCAGGTACACTCTACCCGTTGCTGCTGCTTTACGGCTATAGATTCTCTCAGGAGATATTCCAGGTCATGCAGTAGGTAAGGAAAGACCAGCAGATGTTCACTGACATGAGACTGACATGAGAACATGTCAAAGTAGATGTCCCCTGACAAGGAGTCAGTATATTTAGGTCAACACAATTAGGCAATAATGTGGTGTAAATCATTCAAAGGCCCTGGAAGCAATGGAAGTAGAGTGGAGGGAGCACTGTGAAAAAAGGAAATAGCATCAGTGCATTTCCTGAGCGAGAAAATGAGAATGGCGCCTCCCGGAGGCAGCTCTTGGCTTATTAAACGTATCCACTCATCCCGGTGGCCTGGGCTCCACTAGAGAAAAGGAGGAAAGGATTCCTAGGTGGCAGATTAGCAGCTGTGGGATTTGCTGTCAGACAAGAGAGAGGGAAGTAAAACAGATTGGACCACCTTAGGGAAGAAAAGGAAATTTATGGAAACAAATTAATTATAGCGACTGAAGTAGAGAAAAGAAAGGGTAGAGAAATCAGCAAAGGCTAGACTAAAATTTCCCAGATTGGCTTTTCTTGTCTCTGTGGGCTATGGTTAAACTCTCTAGGGCCCATGAGTTTTATGAGACTTCACCATTTTCATTTGATGGCAAGCTAAAGAAAAATTTGCTGAAGAATATGCTGGGTGACAGATGAGTATCTCTTAACTGGGTGTTGCTGGGCAATTTCAGGTCTGCATTTGCACTTCTATTTACTTTCATATTTGTGATAACTGGAAGCAGAAAAAAAACATTCTAGGACACTGGATGAAAAAGTTATTCATAGCAGTTTGATTGTGGAGAAAGTGGAGGCCGAATGAAGTAGCATATGGGATGTGGCTGCTCAACACAAAAGAACCAACACATGAAAGTATTTATTGATATTATTCTGAACCTGAATGCATACATAAGTTTTTGTAATTATTAGCAATTGTAGTGTTAAATATGAAATTATGATTTTTTTCTTTAAATGAACACGTGGAAGATGACAATATTTTGTTCTGGGATATACTATTACATTGCATGGCCTATCGATAAAATGGTTCAGGGCTCAATTTTAGTTTAGTGTTAGAAATGAAAAATAACAGAGATAACAGTGAGAGCTTCAGTGATGATCTGTCTTGCTTAAAGTCACAAGAAGCAAGTCAATAATCAGCAAAATCAAAAGGGATGTATATATATATCTTTCTTCTATGAACCACAGTGTTAGTGATTTGCTCTCAGTAAATACCATCCATCACAGCAATGATTTTTGAAAAATTGTATTGGGGTTGTAGTTTTATTTGCATTTATTTTATAACCTTATTTTGGTGGTAGAGCTGTCTAAGAGCTATATGCACAGGAGTTTTTACTTGTTCAATGTTTGTACATGCTTTAAAAATTACAACAAAAACTTATTTAAAAAGATGTTTGAGAATTCCTTTTTCCTATAGAAGTAATTTGTTCATGAGGTTGATGAAAGAAGGAGGTGAGAGGAGATAGGTGATGAAGAAAAGGTTTTCTAGGAAAAAGGTAATGCATAGTCAAAGGGTTTCCTATTGCTGCTGTAACAATCACTACAAAGCTAGTGTTGTAAAACAACACAGATTTATCCTCATACAGTTTTGGAGGCCAGGGGTCTAAGCCCAGATCACTGGTGGTCAGTCAGCTGGTTCCCTCTGGAGGGTTTAGAAGAACATCTGTTTCCTTGCTTTTTCCCACTTCTGGAGGCCACGTACATTCCTTGGCTTGTGGCCCCTTCCTCAAATCACTCTGACCTCATGTTCTGCTGTCATATCTCTGACCTCTCCTTTGACCTACCTCACTTTTAAAAGGCCTTTGTGATTACATTTAGGGCTCACTTGGCTAATTCAGGATAAACTCCCCACCCAAGGTCCTTAACTTAATCATGCCTGCAAAGTCTCTTTTGTCATATAAGGTAATATTCAAAGGTTTCAGGGATTGGAATGTGAGCACCTTTGGGGACTATTTTTCAGCTTACCTCAAGGGGACAGAGTTACATTAAGACCCAGGTTAGAAGAAGGATCAGAAAAAGTATTGTGGCAAGGCAGGGGCCCTGCATGGAATTATGGATCCAGTTTGAGTCTGAATCACTTGATAGATGAAGCAATACTTGTAAGTAGACTCTTCAGAAAGAAACATTGAACACGGGGAAAAACTTGGAAAATAAAGTCTTAGAATAAGAAAATATAAGGGTATTGTAATTTTTCTGAAATGTAGAAAGAGCTATAAATGTTGATAATTAGCCATTCTTCTTATAACAACTGCTGGATGTTAGTAACCACCTATTGTTCACATAATCCCAACAACATTGATTTATATTTTAGAGAAAGCTCCTCTGGTTTATTTATTTTCCTTTTTATGTTTTATTTTTCAGTTGTTTTTAGAGATGAGGTCTCACTATGTTGCCCAGCCTGGTCTCAAAGTACCTGGGCTCAAGGGTTCCTTCTGCCTCAGTCTCCCAAATAGCTGGGACTACAAGTGTGTGCCACGGTACTGGTCCCCTCTGATTTCTTGACTGAATGGAAGTTATTAGCAATTATAGGAAAATTGCTATAGACTGAATGTTTGAGTCCCATTAAAATTCATACTGAAATCTTAATCCCCACGGTTATGGAGTAGGAAGTGGAGTACTTAGATCATGAAGGTGGAGCCCCCATGAATGGCATTAGTGCCCTCATAAGGGATGAAAGAGTTGTCCCCTGCCATTATGTGAGGTTACAGTGAGAAGATGGGCTCCCATCAGACACTGAATCTGCCAGTGCTTTGATCTAAGACTTTTCAGCCTTCAGAACAGTGAGAAATAAATTTTTGTTGTTTGTAAACTACCCAGTCTATGGGAGTTTGTTGTAGCAGCCTGAACAGACTGAAACACATAGATTTCTAAAACTATTTTGGAACTTTCTGGAAAATTTTAGGACTCACAACACTGTACCATTGAAGGTAGTAGGAGACTGTCAGGAGAAGCATAGTTCAGGATGACTTTAGAAGTTTTCAAATGCCATTAAGTCAGAGGTGGCCTTTTTTTGTAGTTCTCGTCTCCTCACCTCCCCATGAGTTTGTTCTTAGCCTTTCTGATTGTTCAGCTGACTTGGAAGAACTTTCTGCCCAACAGTGAGTGGGTATGTGTTCTGGGAGGCCAAGTTACAGGATTCTGCCAAGAGCCAGTTGAGGCTTGGATAGTCACGTCCACATTCACAATAACACAATGGGCGCAGTGGCTCACGCCTGTAATCTCAGCACTTTGGGAGGCCAAGGCAGGTGGATCACCTGAGGTCAGGAGTTCAAGACCAGTGTGGCCAACATGGTGAAACCCCATCTCTACTAAAAGTACAAAAATTAGCCAGGTGTGGTGGCACATGCTTGTAATCCCAGCTGCTTGGGAGGCTGAGGCAGAAGAATTGCTTGAACCCAGGAGAAGGAGGTTGCAGTGAGCCGAGGTCATGTCACTGCATTCCAGCCTGGGTGACAGAGTGAGATTCTGTCTCAATTAATAGTAGTAGTAGTAATAATAATAATAATAATAATAATAATAATAATAATAGGGTAGAGTCACTGAGTTCCTCCTTCACTGTGGATAGCAGCCTCCCAGAGGAAGGAGCCCATCAGAGCTGCTGCATGCCCCAGAGCTGACTGCATACAGCTTCTACACAGGGCCAGCTTCATGCATGTGTGACCTGTGCAATCCCACAGGGCCCCTGTACTTAGGTTTCATGCTCTGCTGGTGATGTCTTGAAAATCTTAATAACTTTGAACAAGAAGACCTGCATCTTCATTCTGCACTGGGCCCTGCAAATTCTGTAACTGGTCCTGCCTGCACAATCTCACTCAGCATCCCTGCTAGTGGCCTCTGTAGGGCCAAGCCTCTCCAAATTGAAATAGAATGAATCCACCTGCAAATCATATAATGCTGGTAGCAGAAGCAGCAATGTCAACCATCAGTATGTGCTCAGTCACAATCATCACCTTGTGCTAAATTATTACATCAAGAGCTACTAGGCAATAGTTTCCTTTTTCCTTTACAGCAACCCAGCAAAGTCCATGTTACTACTATTTTGCAGAACAGAAAATAGCTCTGACTGCAAGAAAACTTGCCCAATCTGTTACAGAGCAGGTACAAGGCAGAGCCAAAAATCAGGCAGAAATGTGTGGCTCCAAAGTTCATGTTTCACCAAAATTAACTGTCTTCTCTGACATTTGCCTGACAGGCACCGTATTTTAGGAAGGGCAATTGCCTTGGCAATTTTCATTGAGAACTCACTTTACCTTGGGACATATCCAGCTGCCAGAAAGTTCTTACTCATTCTGAAATATAGAGAAAGCTTTGCACAGTGATACTCATCACAGCAGTTTAAATATTTAAAACATTTGGAAGCAGCATAAATAGTCAACAATACATTGTCAGCTAAAGGAACCAAGTTACATAGACAAAGTCAACTGTTACATAGTTATATAAATTGCATTTATAAAGATTTTAATAGTATAGAAAATAATTTTTTATAATATAAATAAATTCACCATGTGAAAAGTGCATAGATAAAAGACTTGGAAATATGCTAAGATATTAATGTAGATCATTTCAGGATTAAGGGTAACTGTGCTTTTCCGCACTTCCCAAATTTTTTACAATCCATGCAAATTTCATTTATAACTAAAAAAGATGGATGGAAAATACGTTATGCTATTGATACAATAAATATTCCTTGAGCACCTAGGATGTATTAGGTACTGTGCTTGGCACCAGCAGCAAATAAGACAAAATCCTTGCCTTCATTTTGCTTATATTATAGAATTGTTATTTTGATGAAACCTGTTATCATCATGTCGGCATCCATGTCAAGCTAATGGGCACTATTGGACTCACAGGCAACTAAAACTTACTTTTAAAAGTAAACTGTTAAGTTGATCCTGTCCTTGGAAAGTGGATTTTTTTTTTCATCAGATAGGTTCAGTGTCTTGAGATGTCTGTATTTCAGGAGTTTTAATTCTGACAAAAAGTATACTAGTTGTCCTTTCTAGCTTTGAGACCCTTGTGAATTATTCAAGCATATTTTCTCTGGCTTTATTCAGGCTAACACTAGAGGTGTTGACAGAATAGCACCAAGTTTGGGGCTCTAGAGAAGACCTCAGAGTCCCACATTCAAGTCCTGATGCTTGAATACACTGCAGGTGTGTCTGCTCCAATAGTGGATTCATGTACTGTATACATCTACTAGGGAGTTATGAAAGATTTTTCCAAAAGATTTACTTACAGTAGGAGACGTTGTACTTATGGCATCCTCCTATGAACCAGTTTAGCAACTCTGTCAAAGAAGGAAATGAGGTCTGATGAGCCTATCTCATTCTTTCCCATACCGTTTCTTAGAGTCCGCTGCCTGTGTGCAAAATGTTTTCTAAATACCCACAAACCATCTGTTAAGTAATTCGTTATAGCATTTCCCTGGTGAATAATATTAAGTTCATCTGTCTACAATTAGGAATTTGCTTTTTTGTAAATCAGAACAATATTTTCCCATAACAAGGTCCTTGATGGGCTGAGTGGAGAATCACAAATACCTTGATAGGTGGTCCTTGAGATGGAAAATCGTCTCTAATCCTGACTAGCCCGAAGACCATGGAAGTGTCTTGGCCTCTCTGTTGTCCTGAAGGCCCTCAGAGAGAGGTGAACTCTGTTAATTAAACACTCTTCATCTAAAACAAAGCATGCCAGCACAGGGAGATTACAGAAGGACCATAAATGTGAATTTTATTTTGCATTTAAAAAGCCATGCTTTATCCAATTGACATGTTGGAAAAAAGATTGATGGGGGGACTTCTTAAGAACACGAGAGGGGCTGGTAATTTGCATATTAATTTATGTACCCAAAATGAATGCAGACAGCCATAAAATGCACTTGTAATAATTATACTACCATTGAACTGTGGGCTTTTAATTAAATGGAATGTTTTTATCTTGTGTTTTTCACGTTAACCATGTTGCTATGGATGTCAAGCTGTTCTTGCAAATCAAAGCGGTGGAGATGCCTGATCCTGGGCTTTCATCACTCCCAGCCGAAGTGGCTTGCATTCCAGGGCTGTGGCAGCTGGGTCTGGGGCTCAGGGACAGCTCTGGGCACCTCTGTTTTATGCATACTTTAAAGGAGGGCAGTGGAGACCCAGCTCGGTCGAACTGGCCCTGAACAGGCATGACAAACCTAGGCTTTGGAAATGAGAAAAGAACGATGCTTGCAACCTGTGAGCCTTTTAAGTAAGTCAGAAAATGAAACCCTGGGTGTGCTTCTTGAGACATGTTTGCACCGTTTGTCGGTGCCGTTATTTTGATCTCCACTTTCATTGTGGGCATATTAGTGTTTAAGACAGCAGCTACGTTATCCAAATGATCATTTTCATGCTTTTCGATGCAGTAGCAAGAATGCTCTCCCTACTTCCCTCCATTTTTTTTTCTCCAAATAGCTGTTAAGTGGAGCCGCTTGTGACTGATATAAATAATTGCCATTGCGTTTTGATGATCTGGGCTGGACACACTTAACCTCTTGTTTTGTAATCTGAGTTGCATGGTACCGGTCCATTATTTTCATGGCAATTGCACAGACTCGGCACATCCAAGCATTGTCAACCAGCTCTGTCTCCCAGAAGGGGTTCAGGGCTCTAGATGAGGGGTTGGAGAATGCCTTTGTTGATAGAAAATGAGTAGCGTACAGGCACTATTCATATGTCCAAGGGAATTAACAAGGGAGAGTGATATCAGATATATGCAAGGCGTTTTTGTTCACTGTGACTTTTGCTACAACTTGGGCACCCAGCAACTTTTTACAGTGGCTCTGCACCGTATCCATCTCTTTTGGTTATAAGTAACAAAAGCAAGTTAATTATTAGGGACACAGGTAGGTGTGTTTCATGCAATTTAAGGGCAGGGATGGCACTGGGATTCAGAAATGATCACTAAAGAAACTGGGAATTTGATAAAAACCCAAAGAATATTCTGCTCCTCTCTTGGCTTCTCTTTCCCTCTGTGGTGAGTGCTTCATTCTTTTCTATTGGCAGAATGGCTTTCCCCACTGCTCTGCCCTCAGGGCAGGCAGAGCAGAGGTGACCAAGGCCTCCCAAGTGCTGATCCAGCCTCACAGTGTGTCACTGTCCCAGTCACTCTTTCACTTCCTCAATTCCAAGTTCCAGAGAAGGGACCCTGGCCCAGCCTCGATCTATTGCCTAGCCTCTGGTTCAGTCTTAGGGGGCCAGGGTGGTTGTGTATGTGCCTATGTGTGTTGTGTGTGTGCGTGTGCGTGCATGCATGCATGCATCTGCATGTGGAACAGGGCGGGCTGGCAAATATGACTGTGAATAGGTGAGGACAGTTAATGACACACCAGGTGTCCTTGTCTGCATGTCTCTACTGCTTTTTAATTTGACACATTCAACTGACTTCATCAAGGAATTTTCCTAATACTTTAGATGATCATGAAAACCAGGATCATCATGGTGAGGTCTTGGCAATTCATATCTTTTTAGAGCTAAGAAAGCGCTAAATACATTATATGTTCTTCAAATGAGTCACTTGGAAGAGCATTAATGTGACCACAGTCTGGTACCCAGAGTTGACAAGTGAGGAGGGAACACAAAGGGGTAGTGACCTCTCAGGTTGAGTCCAAGATGCTTCCGAGAGCTAGATCAACACCAACACACCATTTCTCCCGACGTAAAAGAGAGATTTGGTCAGAGAGCACTCTGAAATTTTACCCATCATACACTGAGCAGTCCGCTAAAGAGTCTGATTATACCTATAGTAAAAACATTGAAAGGAGGGCCACAGATTTTATCTGTCATTCTGCAATCTCCTAAATTTTAGTTTCTTCTTTGCCCTACTGTTTCAACCTCTCCTCTCCCTCTTTTTCAGCATCCCAAGTTGTTGTGAGATGAGGAACATATTTTATGGTTTTTGTACCATATTTGCCTGAAATCCTCAAAAGATGCAAACTTTTTTTAAGCTGTGAAAAGCTGAAGAAGGGAATAGCTGTAACTGTGAAGTTTTAATTATTGCTATTATGGAATGAATTATCAGGGAATAATCAAAACATACATTTCTATCTAACCCAAGACACAAGATAAATAAGAAGCTACAATGGTGCCAGGATTCATCAAGGAACTTGGAGTTATTCTGTCACCTTCATCATTATAAATCCTGAGTGACATTATCATGGAAGGTGCAGAGGCCTTGCCAGGGAAGCTCACACCCAATGGGTGGATGGGGGAATGGGAGAGGGGGCAGGGCAGATGGTTGCCTCTGTATAGACTGTGCGTGCGTGCACATGTTGGGAGACACCAACATCCTCTTCTCCATGTGTTTTTGATTGGCTGGAAAATAAGATAAAAAGAGGCACCAGTGAGAAAATGGAAGGATCACCCTTGTCACTGGTGATCATTAAAAAAAGCTGGGAATTTGATAAAAACCCAAGGACTGTTCTGCCCATCTCTTGGCTTCTTTTTCCCTCTGTCGTGAGTGCTTCATTCTTTTCTCTTGGCAGAATGGCTTTCCCTGCTGCTGTGCCCTCAGGGCAGGCAGAGTGGAGACTACCAAGACCTCCCAAGTGCTGATCCAGCCTCACAGTATGTCTCTGTCCCAGTCACTCTTTCACTTCCCGTGGGCAGGGGGACTGGCAGGTATTGGACATGTGTGAGCCCACATGGGTAGGGTGCCTTTTTCCTCCTCAGTACACTTTGGAAGAGGCTTCTGGGAGCAAGCAGAGTCTGCAGGTGCCCATACTTAGGTAGACGGCTGTTTCCATGAGTCCAGTGAAGAAGAGAAAGGGGGCAGATTCCGCCCTCCTCTAATGAGAATCTTTTTTTGTTACCCAGGCTGGAGTGTAATGGCGCAATCTCGACTCACTGTAGCCTCTGCCTCCCCAGTTGAAGTGATTCTCCTGCCTCAGCCTCCCAAGTAACTGGGACTACAGGCATGCACCACCACGCCTGGCTAATTTTTGTATTTTTAGTAGAGATGGGGTTTCGCCATATTGGCCAGGCTGGTCTCGAACTCCTGACCTCAGGTGATCCACCCACCTCAGGCTCCCAAAGTGCTGGGATTACAGGCGTGAGCTACCGTGCCTGGCTTGAGGAGAATCTTTAATAGTTTAGCTTCATACAATGGAGAATTTGAACCAAACCAACCAGGTAAGTCATTCTACCTGCATGAGGAGGAGCTAGTGGTGGGGTGGAGGCCAGGAGTGTTTGGGTATTTTCCTCACAAAAATCAGTAGCAGGAAAACAGTACAACAGCCACTGCTTTGATCCTCCACTTTATGCCCGGCACAGATCACAGTACCTGGCACTCAGAAAGGATGAATGGAGAAACTTACAAATGCCTGTCCCTGAAAAATAATAGGCACCCCATAAACACTCATTGAGTCCATAAATGCTTAAATGCTCTAGGCAACAAATTGACCCTGGAGATAATTGTAAAATATTATAGTAATAATTTGATTCTGACCACATGCTACGTCCTTTTGGAACTCTCAAGAAAGGCAACCCACAGAGCCTGCCTCAGTACCAGGGACATGGATTTTGGTCTCTTGAGATTCTGATTTTTGGGACTGTGGCAGGCAAGCACCAGCAAGTTGTCTATGCAGGTCCTGAGACTGACCCATCCACATCAGAAGGGCCAAGTGCTGCTGGAACGGGGTTGTGCGTGAGGCAGTCACCATTCAACGACGGGGTGGACGCAACTGTTCTTTTCTCTATTCCCTAAATCCTAATTAACCACATGTAGAGTCACCATCCAATGGCCAATACCATGGCTGCTGATGTTTGGGCTCCAAGCACCCAAAGTGGATTCTGTAGTTATCTTGACTAGGAGGGGGATTGGATACAAATAATTGGCATTAATTTGGTGACTGAAGGTGCGATTATATATCATTCTAGTTTTTAATGCAGCTTATTGCAAAGAAAAGACTTCCCTTTCGTGCATTTCAGTGTTTGAGTTTAGGTTTCCTCATTTCTTAAAGCTCTTTAAGCATATATACAGGAACAGTATTTCTAGGAGTGTAAATTTTGGCAGATCACACCATTTTCCTTCCTCAGCCTCTGGGCAAAAATTTCTGATAGTTAAATGAGACATACATTTAGCAATTATAATTATTTAGTGCAGATCACTTATAAAACCACCTTTTGAAGTGGGTCTAGTTAACTTTTTGTTTCAACGCAGGTACTCTGCATTAGATGGGCAGTGCCAACTGTTCTCCTGGCCACACTGGGCCATGTGGCCCAGTCACTCCTGAAGTGGAGCCACTTCCTTTGCCCCAGAGAGTCACTCCAAATTCAGGGTGAAGTGAAATTACCCTGGTTATAGTCTCATCATGGAAGGCAAATGGAGAGCAGCTCAATGCGACATGGGTTCCAAGTCTGTGAAGCCTCAGGGGACGCTGAAACATTTTCTCATTTGCCTGTGACTTCTGTCGTGTCTTTGAGAGTCAGGAAAACTCGGGCCTAAGGTGACTGTCCTGCTGATGGGGCAGTTTCTCTTTCTACCTCAGCTCACAGGGTATGTTTACAATAAGCTGATATGGGTTGAATTGTGTCCCTCGAAAAGATATGCTAAAGCCCTAACCCCTAGTACCTCAGAATGTGACTTCATCTGGAAATAGGGTGGTTCCAGATGTAATGAGTTATGATGAAGTCATACTCATCGTAGGGTGGACCCTGCTTTAATACGACTAGTGTCCTTACAAGAAGATAGCCCCATAAAGACAGAGACACACAGGGAGAAGGCAAGGGGATGGCGAAGGCAGGGATTGGAGTGATGCAGCTGCCAGCCAAGGATTGCTAAGAGTTGCCAGCCACCCTCAGAAGCTGGGAGAGTCAAGGATGCATCCTATTCAGTCCCAGAGGAGGCATTGCCGTGCCGACACCTGGATCTTTGACTTCCAGCACTCTGAGTAAGAGAATGAGTTTCCATTGCTGCAAGCCACCTAATTTGTGGTGCTTTGTTATAGTGCCATAGCAAAGGAATGCAGAAGCGTTCAGTCCTATAAAGTGACCTCTGCAGCCTCTTCCTTGAGATCTGCAGAGGTCACTTCACAGGACTGAGTGCATCTGTATCAGTTTGCTAAGTGTGTTATAACAAAGTACCTGAAACTGGGTGGCTTCAACAACAGAGATTTATTTTCTCATAATTCTGGAGGCCTGAAGTCCAAGATCCAGGTATCAGCAGGGTTGTTTTCTTCTTGGCTTGTGGATGGCCATCTTCTCCTGTGTGTTCACGTGGTCCTCCCTCTGTGTGTTTCTGTGTCGTAATCTCTTCTTAGAAGGATGTCAGTCCTGTTGGATTAGGATCTAACCCAGTGACCTCATTTTACCTCAATTCTCTCTCTAAAGACCCTGTCTCCAAACATGGTGATGTTCTGAGTTACTGTAATTAAGGACTTCAACATGCAAATTTTGGGGGTGACACATTTCAGCCCTAGCAGTCCCCTGACTAGTATGTATTCGTTGAGGGAATGAACTGTGTTTCATGCACCTGGGTACCTGCAGAACCTCATGTGGAACAAAAGTCAGTGCTTAAAGCCTTTGATTCTTAAGGGAAAAACAAAAATAGGACAAATCTGATTTCTGCTTCTGTGCTCACTCTATATAGGCCCTCAGTCCCACAGTGAAATCTAGGGTCCATGGTGAAAATGTGCATATGGGAAGATGAGGATGGCGGGGGGACGAGACAGACACACTGGATAGGAATAGGTACTCTGGCACATAGCAATAATAGTTATGACATGTGGCTTTTTGTTGTTGTTTGTGTAATGCTCGTAACTATTAGAGTTGTGTAATGGAAATTTGTCCACATACGTATCATGTTTTGTAATCAAGACCACGATGTGATAGAAAGCAGAGGGAGAAGACATGGCCTCCTCCTGGGAGTTCCTGTCTTTCTCTGCTGTTTCCAAACAGCCCCAGCTGCCCATGCTGTGCAGAGCTGGGCTTCAGCTTATCTCTGTAGCTTTCTTCTGCCCACCCTGTTGCTGGGTGTCCCAGTCCAGCCAGATGCACGGAGGTGCTGGGCCAGCCTGTGGCTATTTTACTCTCAGAATTTGTAAGCAACTACTTACAAATATGAATTCATTTCCCCCAAAATACATAAGTAGGAGCAGATGTAGTTGACCTGTGAAAATATGTTGGTGCCGACATGAAAGAAGTGGATCTTTTATTCTTTTTCTTTTATTTTTTAAAAAATAAATTCCATCATGTATATTTAAGGTCTACAGCATATTATACAATACATATAGATAGTAAAACAGTTACTATCATGAAGCAAATTAGTATTCCAACCTATTACATAGTTACTCTATTTTTTTTTTTTGTGGCAAAAACAGCTAAAATCCACTCATTTAGCATGAGTCCCATCTCCAGCACAAGTTTGTTACCTACAGTACTCGTGTTGTACATTGGATTCTCAGACTTGCTCGTCTGACATATCTGCTGTTTCGAATCCTCTGATGTGACATCTCCCCATTTCCTCCCCTGCCCCCAGTAGCCACTGTTTTGTCCTCTATCTCTATCTCTGAATATTTGATTTTTTTTTTTTTTTTTACTCTACGTGATATCATACAATATTTTCTTTCTCAGTCTGGCTTATTTCTCTTACAGTAATGTCCTTCAGCCTCATCCATGTTGTGGCAAATGGCAAGACCTTGTTCTTTTTTAGGGATGAATAATATTCCATCGTATGTAGGTAGCACAGGTTCTTTATCCATTTTCCATTGCTGGATGCTTACATTGTTTCCGTATCTTGGCTGTTGTGAAGAATGCTGCAGGGAACGTGGGAGTGCAGATGATGTCTTTATGAGGTGGTGATTTCATTTCCCTTGGGTATATTCCCTAGAAGAGGAATCGCTGGGCCATATGGTAGTTCTATTTTTAATTTGTTTAGAAACTCTCATATTGTTTTCCATAATGACTATACCAACCTGCATTCCCACCAATAGTGTACAAGAGCTCCCTTTTGCCCACACCTTTGCCAACATTTGTTTTTTTTGACTTTTTGAAAATAGCCATCCAGCGTTGTATCTCATAGTGGTTTTGATTTGCATTTTCTTGATGATTATTAATAGTGAGGGCCGGGTGTGGTGGCTCATGCCTGTAATCCCAGCACTTTGGGAGGCTGAGGCAGGTGGATCACCTGAGGTCAGGAGTTCAAGACCAGCCTGGCCAACATGGTGAAACACCGTTTCTACTAAAAATACAAAATTAGCTGGGCGTGGTGGTAGGCGCCTGTAATCCCAGCTACTCAGGAGGCTGAGGCAGAAGAATCGCTTGAACCTGGGAGGCGGAGGTTGCAGTGAGCCAAGATCACGCCATTGCACTGTAGCCTGGGCAACAAGAGCAAAACTCCATCTCAAAATAAATAAATACATAAATAAAATAATAATGAGGACCAGTTCATATACCTATTGATAATTTTTCTGTCTTCTTTGAAGAAATGTCCATTCAGGTCTGTTGCCTATTTTTTAATTCAGTTATTTGTTTTCCCATTATTGAGTTGTATGAGTTCTTTATGAATTTTGGATATTAACTTCTTGTACATATCTTTTACGAATATTTTTACCCCAATTTGTAGGCTGCTGTTTAATTTTGTTGATTATTTCCTTTGCTGTGTGGAAGCTTGTTAGTTTGATGTAGTCCCATTTATTTATTTATTTATTTATTTATTTATTTATTTATTTATTTTTGCTTGTGTGGCCTAAGCTTTTGGTGTGATATCCAAAAAATCACTGTCAAGGCCAATATCTAGAAAACTTTCTCCTATGTTCTCTTCCATAATTTCTGGTTTTATATTTAGGTCTTTTATCTATTTCAGCTTGATTTTTGTGTATGATATAAGGGTTCAGTTTCATTCTTTTGCATTTGGAAATCAGTTTTCCTGGCAACATTTATCAAAGAGATACCTCATTGTATCCTCTTGGTGTCTTTGCCATAAATTGATTGACTATGTATATTTCAATGTATTTCTGCACTCTGTATTCTGTTCTACCAGACTGTGTGTCAGTGCTATACTATTTTGATAACTATAGCTTTGCTATATTATTTTATTTTATTTTTGAGACAGGGTCTCACACTGTCACCCAGGCTGGAGTGCAGTGGCATAATCTTGGCTTATTACAGCCTTGACCTCCTGGTCTCAAGTGATCCTCCCACCTCAGTCTCCTGAGTAGTTGGGACTACAGACATGCACCACCATGCCCAACTAGTTTTTATTTTATTTTTAATTTATTTTATTTTATTTTATTTTATTTTTTGAGATGGAGTCTTGTTCTGTCACCAGGCTGGTGTGATCTTGGCTCACTGCAACCTCCCACTCCCTGGTTCGAGCAATTCTCCTTCCTCAGCCTCCGAGTTGCTGGAATTACAGGCACGTGCCACCACACCCAGCTAATTTTTGTATTTTCAGTAGAGACGGGGTTTCACCATGTTGTCCAGGATGGTCTCGATCTCCTGACCTCGTGATCCACCTGCCTCGGCCTCCCAAAGTGCTGGGATTACAGGTGTGAGCCACCGAGGCCGGCCTTTTTGTTTTAATTTTTGTAGAGACAAGTTCTCATTATGGTGGAAATATTTTCCTATTTCAATGAAGAATGCCGTTGGTATATTGATAGGGATTGTGTTGAATCTGTGTATTGCTTTGGGTGGTATGGACATTTTAACAATATTAACTCTTCCAATCCACGAACATGAGCTGTCTTTCTATTTATTTGTATCTTCTTCAATTTCTTTCATTAAGGTTTTATAGTTTTCAATGTACAGATTTTTCGCCTCCTTGGTAAGATCTATTTCTAGATTTTTAAAAATGCTATCATAAATGGGATTGTTTTCTTGATTTATTTTTCAGTTAGATTGTTATTTGTATATAAAAATGCTACTGATTTTTGTATGTCGTCTTTGTAACCTGAAACTTTACTGAATTCATTTATTATTTCTAACTTTTTTGTGTGTGTGGATACTTCGTTTTTTTCTTACAGGTAGGATCATGTCATCTGCAAATAGAGATCTTTTACTTTTATTTCTTCTTCCTGTTTGATTGATCTTGCTAGTACTTCTAGTACTATGTTGAATAGAAGTGACAAGAATGGGCATCCTTGTCTTGTACTGTATCGCAGTGAAAAAGTCTTCAGTTTTCTCTCATAGCTTAAAATGTTAGCTGTGGGTTTTTCATAAATGGCCTTTGTTATGTTGAGGAACTTTTCTTCTATACCTAAAGTGTTGAGAGCTTTTATCAAGAAAGACTGCTGGGCTTTGTCAAATGTATTTTCAGCATCATACCAATTTGTTGCCATGTATTTGTTCATAACGGTCCCTTATTATCTTTTTTAATTTGTGAGGTGTCTGTTGAAATTTCTTCACTTTTATCTTTGATTTTATTTATTTGAGTTGACAATCAGTTGAGATGATCATGTGGTTTTAACTTTCATTCTGTTAATGTAATGTAATGTGTTGATTGCTTTGTGTACGTTAAACAAGTCTTGCATACCAAGGATAAATCTCATTTTTATGCTGTATAATCTTTTTGATTTGTTGTTGGATTGGTTTGCTGGTATTTTATTGAGGATTTTTGCATCAATGGCCCTCAGAGAAACTGGCCTGTAGTTTTCTTTTCTTGTGATACCTTTGTCTGGCTTAGATATCAGGTGATGCTGGCAGTATTCCCTTTATATCTATTTTGTAGAGGAGTATAAGAATTATTGTTATTTTTTTGAATATTTAGTAGAGTTCAGCTGTGAAGCCATCTGGGCCTGGGATATTTTTTGATAGGAGTTTTTTTTTATTATTACTTATTCAATCTTATTATTTGTTATTGACATATTCAGGCTTTTTATTTCTTCCTGACTGAATCTTGGTAGGTTGTATTTTTCTATGAATTTATCCGTTTCCTCTCGGTTATCTAATTCATTGGCATATATTTGTTCATGACAGTCCCTTATTATCTTTTTTAAAATTTCTGGGGTGTCTTGAAATTTCTTCAGTTTTATTTTTGATTTTTGATTCACTTATTGGAGTCTTTTCTCTTTTTTACTTAGACTAGCTAAGGTTTTGTCAATTTTGTTTATTTTTTCCAAAAACTATCTCTTAGTTTTTTTATGTTCTCTATTGATTTACTGATTTACTTCTGTTCTTCTTTTTTTTTTTTTTTTGAAACAGTGTCTCCTCCCTTCTTTGTCCCCCAGGCTGGAGTGCAGTAGTGCAATCCCGGGTCACTGCAACCTTCACCTCCTGGGTTCAAGTGATTCTCCCACCTCAGCCTCTCAGGTGGCTTGTTCTGATTTTTATTATTTTCTTTCTCCTGCTAATTTTGGGTTTAGTGTGTTCTTTTTCTAGTTCCTTGAGGCATAATATTAGATGTTTTTCTTGGGATCTCTCTTCTTTTTTTTCTTTCTTCCTTTTTAATGTACACATTTATTGCTATAAACTTTCTTCTTGGAACTGCTTTTGTTGCATCCCATAGGTTTTGGTATTTTGTATTTCCATTTTCATTTGTCTCAAGATGTTTGTAAATTTCCCTTTTAATATTTTCATTGACCCGTTGCATACTTGTGAATTTTCCAAGATTCCTTCTGTTACTGATTTCTAGTTTCAAACCACCATGGTTTGAAATGATACTTGAGATGATTTCAGTCTTCTTCAATTTGTTAAGACTTGTTTTGTGGCTTAACATATAGTCTGTCCTGTAGAATGTTCCCACACACACTGAAGAAAAATGTGTATTCTGCTGCCGTTGGATGGAATGTTCTATATGTGTCTGTTACACCAGTTGGTCAAAAGTGAAATTCTAAGTCCAGTATTTCCTTATTAGTTTTCTGTCTGATTGATTGATACATTGTTGAAAGGGGGTTTTATTGATTATTTGTATGGTTTTTATATTCTTTGATTTATTTCTGTTTTGATTTTTATTATTTTCTTTATTTTGCTAATTTTGGGTTTAGCACGTTCTTCTTTTTCTAGTTCCTTGAGGCATAAAATGTTAGACTTTTTACTTGGAATCTTCTTTTTTTTTTTTTTTTTTTTTTTGAGATGGAGTCTCCCTCTGTCTCCCAGGCTGGAGTGCAGTGCAGTGGCGCCATCTCGGCTCACTGCAAGCTCTGCCTCCTGGGTTCACGCCATTCTCCTGCCTCAGCCTCCCGAGTAGCTGGGACTACAGGCACCCGCCACCATGCCTGGCTAATTTTTTTGTATTTTTAGTAGAGATGGGGTTTTGCCATGTTGGCCAGGCTGGTCTCAAACTCCTGACCTCAGGTGATCTGCCCACCTTGGCCTCCCAAAGTGCTGGGATTACAGGGATGAGGCACTACACCCAGCCTCCATTAACATTTGCTTTAGGTTTTAGGTGCTCCAGTTTTGGATACATATATTTCCAATGGTTATGTCCTCTAATGAATTGACCCCTTTATCATTGAATAATGATTTTCTTTGTCTCTTGCAACATTTTTTCACTTGAAGTCTATTTTATCAGGTATAAGTATAGCTACCCCTACTGTGTTTTAATTACCATTTGCATGGAATATCTTCTTCCACTATTTCACTTTCAGCCTATGTATGTCCTTAAAGTTTAAGCGTATCTCTTATAAGGAGGTAACATATAGTTAGGCCTTGTTTTTAATTTTTTAAATCCATTCAGCCACTCTATGTCTTTTGATTAAAGATTTTAATTTATTTACATTCAAGGTTATTATTGATATGTAAGGACTTACTACTGCCATTTTGTCATTTGTTTTCTGGTTGTTTTGTAGCTCCTTTGTTCCTTTCTTTCTCTCTTGTTCTCTATTTTTGTGATGTGATAATTTTCTGTAAGCTTTGATTTCTTTCTGTTTATCATTTATATATCTACTGTAGCTTTTTGTTTTGTGGTTACCATTAGACTTACATAAAACATCTTAGAGTTGTAATCTACTATTTTAAGCTGATAACAACTTAGATCATGTAAAAAACTCTATATTTTACCCTGCCCTCCCACAATTTATGTTTTTGATGTCACAATTTACATCTTTTATATTGTGTATTCCTTAACAACTTATTGTAGTTTTAGTTATTTTTGACCATTTTGACTTTTATGCTTCATACTAGAGATATGTGTAATTTATATACCACCGTTATAGTACTGGAGTATTCTGGATTTGATTATGTACTTACTTCTACCAGTAGTTTTATACTTTCATATGTATTCATGATAGTAAATATTCTCCTTTTTTTGTTTTTGCTTGAAGAGCTTCATTAAGCATTTGTTGTAAAGCAGGCCTATGGTAATGAATTCCTTTGTCTTTTGCTTGCCTGTGAAAGACTTTATTTGTCTTTCATTTCTGAAGGATAGCTTTGCTTGGTATAGTATTCTTGGCTAAGAGTATTTTTTTTCTTTCAGAATTTTGAATATATTATCCTATTCTCCTTTGGCCTGCAAGGCGTCTGCTGAGAAATCCACTGATAGTCTGACAGATATTTCCTTATACGTGATTTGGCACTTTTCTCTTGCTGCTTTAAAAATTTTCTCATTTCTTTGACTATTGACAGTTTGATTATAATGTGTCTCAGAGAACATCTCTTTGGGTTGAATCTATTTAGGAACCTTTGAGCTTCAAGGATCTGGGTGTCCATATCTCTTCCAAGACTTGGGAGCTTTTCAGGAATTATTTCATTACATAAGCTTCCTATTGCTTTCTCTGTTTCCTCTCCTTCTGAAAATTCTATAATGTGAATATTTGTTCACTTAATGGTATCCCATAAGTTCCGTAGTCTGTCTCCACTCTTTCTCATTCTTTTTTTTTTTGTTTTTCCTCTGACTGAGTCATTTCAAAAGACCTATCTTCCAGTTCACAAATTCTTTCTTCTACTTGATCCAGTCTGCTGTTGAAGCTATCAAATGAATTTTTTATTTCATTGATTGAATTCTTCAGATCCAAAATTTCTGTTTGGTTCTTTTTTGATATCTATCTCTTTTTTGAATTTCTCATTCAGATTATTAATTGTTTTCCTAATTTCATTCAGTTGTCTATTTGCATTCTCTTATATCTCAGTGAGTTTCCTTAAGATTATTATTTTTAATTATTTTTTAGGTAACTCATAAATTTCCAATTCTTTGGGGTCAGTTACCAAATAATTATTATGCCCCTTTGTAGTGTCATGTTTTCTTGCTTTTTCATGTTTCTTGTATTTCCGCATTTATGTCTGTGCACCTGGTGGTGTACCTCTTCCAAACTTTACAGAGTGGCTTTTGTAGGGGAAGACTTTCACCTGCAGATGGGCCTGAGAGTACTGGTTGAACAGAATGTTCACTGATCACTAGTTCACTGTGAGTGTAATGCTATAGTCTCCATGCAGATTCTTCAGCTGTGATCAATGTTAGCCATGACAGCAGGTGCCTTGGTGGCCTAGGCTGCAGGAGTTTGTGGCAATAATGGTGGCTGCATAGGTTATCAGGGCAAGGGCTTTAGGGAATCCTCTGTTATTGCCTTTCTCAAAGACAATATCAATATCCTCTGTTACTGTCTTACTCAAAGTGGGGAGGCTTAGCTGAGGGTATCTCTCTTAGTATTGGGTCTGACACAGCTCACAGGCAGCCACAGTGGCCCTGGGATCCAAGACGCAGGTGCTCAGAGGGGCTGTGGAGCTGGGTTCTTGGGCTGAGGGTCTTGAAAACCTATTATAGCACCTGGGATGTGGGGCACAGATTCACTCTCCAAGGCACAAGTGAATGCAGTTCTTTCACTAAGCCAGGATCTGTTGCTCTGAGGCACACCCCAGCATCTCAGGCCCAGGGGGATAGAATTGTGCTTCTAACCCTTAAGGGCAGGGTATATATAGTACTGACATGGCTCCAGGAAATAAGGGATACTCTGAAGGCTTGGGCCCTGAAGACAGAGCACAGCTGCAATTCGCAACCTGCAGCCATCAGACACGACAACTTGTGTTCTGGGGTATAAGATATCATGCACTGTTACCTCTGGAACCTGATACAGCAGTATCCCAGGCTCTGTGAGGCCAGGTATAGCAGAAGGAATGAACTAGGAATGGCAAGATGCCACCATGGCTTGGGTCCTAGGAGGCAGGGAGCAGCACAGTGATGGCTCCACTCCTTAGAGAGGCAGAGAGCCTCAGCAACTTGGACTACAGGGGGGTAGTCCTGTTCTAGGTAGGTGGAGCTCTGTGGGTATTTGGAGGATAGGGTGGCACAACTCAGCCAAGGCTCTGATTCCCTGGGACCTGAGGCATTGTGTCTACTTGGCCTTGAAAAGTGCAGCTGCATGGGTCAGTGGAGCCTCTGGATCCCTGTGGGTAGGTGCGGCATCAGCTGTGGTTCTGGGAGGTGCACCTGCTCTGGTGTACTGGAGACTTAGAGCCCCTGGAGGTAGAACGCCGCTTCACCTGTGGCATGGGGTGGTGGTGCAAGACAGCTCCAGTGTGTGGAAGGCCTGAGGTCCCTCGGGGGTGGGGTGCTGCCTCAACTGTGGTGCCAGGGCGTATGACTGCTCTGGTAGTTCGAGGCTCCGGGTCCCCAGTGGTGGAGCACCACTTCCACTTAGCCCTAAGGGGAGGGTGCACCACTGACTAGGATGTGGAGGATGTAGCAGCTCAATAGCTTGATTTTAGGGAATAAAGTGTAGCAGCAGTTTTGCTTGGGATGGCACCAAGTGGGTATGGTGCACTGGTGGCTGAGCCTGAGGGATGCAAGAATTCAGTGGCTACCCACCCCCAGAGCAGGACGCACTGTAGTGTGTCTCCAGTTCCAAGATGGCACAGTACAGTAGCAGCTTGGGCCATGGTGGAAGGGCAGGGAAGAGTGTCAGCTCCTTTTCTGTGGGTAGCTCAGCGTGTGGACTCCAGAGACTTTCTCAATGGGGCTCTGAGCCTGTGAGGACTGCAGGAGTCTCCAGTAGTGAAAATTGCAGGTGTCTGCTTTGGTGATGGGGGCTGCTGGGGTCCTCTTGCTGACCTTTCCCCTGCAGGAAGGGGTCCCTCTTGGTTTCAGGCCGATCCCCACTTGTGGGCTGGGGTGGTGGAGGAGAGGTGCCTCCTTTCTTTTGCTATGTGGCCACCATGTGATTCTGTGCTCTGCAGGATTTTTGCTGCTTCTTTGCTCTTCTCTTGTGCTCTTCTTTAGTTATTTGTTGAAATGGAGTTGTTTATTTATTGTTTTGGATTTTTTTTTTTTTTGGCTGGAGGGGCTGGTGGTGGAGAGTAATAGGAGCTTCTAGTCAGCTATCTTGGTGACATTCTGTCCTGAATCCTTTATTCTTTTGAAGTTTTTCATTCATGCATCTAGTATTCAACATGTTGAGACCCCACTGTGTGCCAGATCCACAGTCAGTCACCATATATCTGGAGGGTTTTTCCTTTTTATAATGTAGTACCAACTCTTCCCTTTACTTGTTTTTACAGGTCTTTGTAAACTCTAAGTGAATGCTTCTCAAACTTCTCTGTGAATGTGATTTCCCCAGGTTGCTTATTAAAGATGTAGATTGCTTGTTCTTTATTCCTAGAGAGTCTGAGTCAGTGGGTCTTGTGTGGAGCCTAGGAATTTGAATTTTTAGCAAATACTCCAGGAGATCCCCATACAAGTGGTCCATGGACAAATACCCTTTGAGAATACTACTGTGGGGTTGGAAGTACAGGTGAGGGAGTGGTCCTTACCTTAGCCATATTAGCACATTGCTCTTAACACTGAAGTTGAGCAGCCCATAGAAAATAAGTGTGTTTGGGGCAGGACCTATAGGGTATGTCCATAGGAATGGAGTATGTGTGCATGGGTTGGAGAGAAGGGGCTGTGGGGAAAATGAAAGGGACCTCCTTCAGCTGGGATCTGCCTTCCCTGCCTCTCTTTTCCCTGAGGAGTCCTGGGTTCCAATGGTCAGGCTTCACGTTCTTCCTTTCCTGGCTTTACTTTGCTCGATGCAGCTCACCAGAGTTCAGAATTAAATGGTTTCCTTTCTTAATGGAATTTGATTTTCAGCTTGTGAAAATATAATCAAGTGGCCTGGCCCTTTGACTGTGGCCTACAGCAGCTACTTACCAGTTTAGACTATCTTGTCAGTGTTAAGATTCGAGCTGTACTTGGAATTCCCAGGAAGAGTTTTTCTTTGCTTTTCTGAGAAACAATAGTTTTCACGCCCATTATTTCCAGCTTAATTTAAAATGTTTGTTGCTTAGGGAAATGGCCTATGCTTGTGCTGGGAGGTCTTTTGCTGAGATCTGAGACTTCTGTGTTTACAGAATGAATATTCTAGCTTGGATGGACAGTTATTTGTATCCCATTCCTATGATGAAAACCAAATGGGAAATAAACCTATGAAGACTAATAGGGGACCGCGCCACCTATGGCAACTCATTTCAGCACATAAATTTGTTTTCTTTTACCTTCAACATAAAAATCCTTTGTAAATCTCCCTTGGTAGTATCCAAAATCGCATGTCTGATCTTTTATGTACGAATCACTTCTGAAAATATCCCTGCAATTTCAATGCTATCTGGAGCAGTTACAGTCCATATTCTATGTAAAGGACTGATGGAGAAAGAGGAATAAATATTATGGCAATTATTACTATGAGCTTTTATTTTAAGCTGCAAAGCCCAAGATTTCTATGGTGATATAAGTACATCAAACTGTATTTTTTCTAGTCACATCTAAACTGGGCAATAGTAGCATATCAATAAACTTCAATTACACTCAAGAAAATACTAAAAGTGAATCTCCAGTGATGCTCAATAAAGTCTGCAGGCGCATTAGAGTTACATACAGCAGTGACATCCATCTGGTATTTTTCAGTGACTTCTAGTCAATTACTACATTTCATCCTGTGTAATCCTCTTTTATCTTCAGTTCCTGCTGGTGCAGTAATTCTCACTCTGCTGCATCTGTGGCTTTACTGTGAATTTTTATTGCCCAGGAGTCAGTGCGTCCCTTCCTGCCCCAGGATGTTGTTGAACTGTATCTGTTGAAGATTTAATCGCAATGTAGAGACACATAGGAAATATATAAAGTGACTGGCAACATCACTAAAAAATGGGCATGCTTTGAAATAAAATGTTGCCTTTCAGTCAAGTATGGATTCCATGAACCTTTGGACCTAGAGTCTGGAGTGTTGTTTTTAGCAGTGTTGTTTTTAAAGGGTAAAAAAGTAAACAAAAGAAAACAAAAAGAAGCAAAATCAATCCTGTCTGATGGTGATCTTTCGGAAAGGAGCTTTTGTACACATTTTATATACATGCTACATTTGTGTAAGTGTTTTATGTGTATATGAAAATGTACATGTGTATAAGTGGTATATATTGTAATTTGTATTCATGTTATAAAATATATTTTATATTTTGGAAAGCCGAATGTATTTTTTAAAAATCCAGGCTTTACTTTTTGGAGCAGTTGTAGGTTCACAGCAAAATTGAGAGGAAGATACAGAGATTTCCCATGTACCCCCTGCAAATTATCTCCCACTGCCAACGCCCCCCACCACATATTCTATTTGTTGTAATCAATGAACCTACATTGACACATCATTATCACCCAAATTCATAGTTTACATTAGGGCTCACTCTTGGAATTGTACATTTTCTGGGTTTTGACAAATGTGTAATGGCATGAATCCACCTTAACCTACCTTTCTGGTAGCATATAGAACAGTTTCTCTGCCCTAAGGTCCTCTGTGCTTCACCTGTTCGTCTCTCCATCCCCGCACTTCTGACGACCACTGATCTTTTTCTGTCTCCATATTTTTTGAGGACATGATATAGTTGGAATCACAACGTGTGTGGCTTTTACAGATTGGCTTCTTTTACTCAGTAATATGCATTTAAGATTCTTCCATGTTTTTTCATGGCTTGATAATAGCTGTATTTTTTTTTTTTTGAGTCAGAGTCTCGCTTTATCGCCCAGGCTAGAGTGCAGTGGCGCGATGTCAGCTCACTGCAAGCTGATAATAGCTGTATTTTTAAAAGAATTAATGAGTAATAAAACAGAATGTATTCATTGTTTAGTTTTTGAGAAAACTTACTTTGTTTGGTTTTGTTTTTAAGACAGAGTCTCACTCTGTTGCCCGTGCTGGAGTGCAATGGTGTGATCTCGGCTCACTGCAACCTCCACCTCCTGGGCTCAAGCCATCCTCCCGCCACAGCATCCCAAGTAGCTGAGACTACTGGTGTGTGCCACCATGCCCAGCTAATATTTGTATTTTTTGTAGAAATGGGGCTTTACCATGTTGCCCATGCTGGTCTTGAAATCCTGTGCTCAAGTGATTCTCCCGCCTCAGCCTCTCAAAGTGCTGGGATAATAGGCATGAGCCGCTGTGCCCTGCCAAGAGAAAACTTATTTTAATAAAATAGAGAGCGAGAAATGGAAGAAAATTGTGAGGCAGTCTTTATGTGCCTCTATCCTTCTTATTCCTTTGCCTTCAACATAAAAATAATTTGTAAGTTTACTTTTCCTCTCTCGTTTCCTTTAGTTTGCACCATTTTTGTTCTCTACTCTCATGCTACTCCTCCTCAACCCCCATGAAAGCCCTTTCTAATTGTACCTGGAAGATGTTTATTAATTCAATCATTTGGTCAGTCAGGCAAGGTGGCCTGCTAGAAAGTAGGGAGGGAGGGTGAAGAAGTTTCAGAGGGACCGTCTCACCACGCACTGTTTTCTGTCCTCACCATGTGTAAACATTCTTTTGATGTAAACACCACACAGCAGGCTTGGCTTGATTTGCCTTATTGCTAAATCTTCCTGGGCCCCTGAAGTTCCAGCTGCCAGATATTTACTCATAAAACCTTAAATCCCAAGAAGGGTGATGAGATTGGCCAGCTCTCCTACAATGACAAGAATAAAGAGAAATTGTTTTGGTTCCATCGATGGCTCCCGTTGCTCAAGCTACAGTAAATAAGGGAATGTGCTGCTCCTCCCAGGCTGCTGAGTGGGAGAGCACCCCAGGGCTGATTGGGAGAGCTCCTGGGTGCTCCTGTCCCCCAAGGCCGGTGTGCAGGCCCTGAATTATGGGCCTCTGCTGCCTCTTCTACAGACTTGGCTCTGGCTGCTGCCGCCTGGGGAAGTAGTTGCTCTGAAGCACTCTCCCTGATGGCACCGAGGTTTTCACATCCTCAGGGTTCATGCTGTGGCTTCCTCTTCTCCGTCCTGAATGAGACAGCGTTATGCCACCCTCGACGTCTGGGCAGTCCAGCTGCTGTAATGAACAGCCCCAGAGTCTCAGAATCTTAACACCTTGCGCATGACAGGGTCCAATGCAGGGTGGCAGTGAAACTCTGCTCCACACAGAACTTCAGGGATCTAGGTTCCTTAGATGTAGTGGCTCTGCCATGTCTTAGGCCCTTGGACCCCTTTGGCCAATCACTGTACTCACCTGATGAGGAAAGTGGGAGTATGGAGGATTCTGTGGGAGGTTTTATTGGCTGGGCTAGAAGTGGCAAACATCCCTTCCACCTAGGGTGACCAACTTTTAGAAAAGTCTGTGGTCTTTTTTCTGTATGAGTTTTTGTTACAACCTACACATTGCACCAAACAACTCAGGTATGGTTAGTTCATCTCTTTCTAAGCTCTTATGGCCTCTTCAAAGGTCATCACACAATTTTGGAGAAATAGCACATAAATGTCTGTATTATTATAATCTTTTTCCCTATTCTTATCCTTGATGTATTTCCAAATTAGACAAGGGCATTCTTCTTGTTCCACTCTCTGAAAGTAAGATTTTACGGAAAGCCAACATTTTAACATCTTTTTTTATGGTGGACCACAATTACAGTTATCTTTTAGGACATGTTTTAGGAAGCAATCTCTTTTCACTTTTCCACAAAGCAAAAAGTCTCATGAAGTGTTTTTGCACATTTTGAGTAAATTGTAAAGTGGCCAAAAACTTTGATTAGGAAAGCCTCAGTATCCCAGGTAAGCAAATCATACCTCTTTCCAGCAGTGTCATGGACAAAGGATGTAGGACATTTAGAAATCAGATCTTTTTATTTTCTTTGGTAAGAAGTTTACAGACTGGATGGAATTTTCCCAAATTTACATTTGCATTGTCTCCTGAATGTGCAGACAGATGAGTAAAGCCTAGTTTGTATTTGGACACGATATATCAACAATCTTCTGTTTTGTATTTCCCATGGTTTCCTTAACATCTTCAAAGAAATCAAGAAGTGGATTTGAAACTCCATTTTTTCACATCAAAGTATCTAAGATCCAAGAGGACATTTTTATGTTGCTGTGATTCTATACATCACTTGGTTTACTGTAGAAAATATGATCACTAGTAAGATCTGACAGGATCAGCCCCATACTCAGAGAGGCTAACACATCTGTTATCAAAATTTTCCTCCTTGTTCATCCGTGAAACAGTCTAGTTGCAACTCTGAATCAGAAAGTTTGGCTTTATTCAGTTCTATAAAGCAATCAAGGGAACCATGCAATGATTTGTGTTCATTCCTGTGTTATGCTCTAATTTAGAGCATTAGCACTAATTAGCACACTAGCTAATTTAGCGGCTACAGTTTTTGATAGGGCATTGGTGTCTTTTGGTGAGAAAAGACAACTTTTGATTGATTTAGATATACCTGCCTCTGTCCTTCTGAACTTGTGAGATTCCATCTCCAAATACGCTTTCATGTTCTCTTCTCCACCAGGTCCGATCCCAAATCCTTTTCTACAGATTGTGCATTGTTATCTCTTTTGATTATTTACCTGCTAATTCAGTTCTATGTGTCCTTCCAGCTGGAATTAAAGTAACAGTCATTTAGCCTTCTTTTTTTGTTTATTATTATTATTATACTTTAAGTTCTAGGGTACATGTGCATAATGTGCAGGTTTGTTACATATGTATACATGTGCCATGTTGGTGTACTGCACCCATTAACTCGTCATTTAGCATTAGGTATATCTCCTAATGCTATCCCTCCCCCCTCCCCCCACCCCACAGCAGTCCCCAGCGTGTGATGTTCCCCTTCCTGTGTCCATGTGTTCTCGTTGTTCAATTCCCACCTATGAGTGAGAACACGCGGTGTTTGGTTTTTTGTCCTTGCGATAGTTTGCTGAGAATGATGATTTCATGTCCTTTGTAGGGACATGGATGAAACTGGAAATCATCATTCTTAGCCTTCTTTTCAGTGATGTCTGGGTCATGCTGGTGTTGATATTGTATTCATTCTCATTTTCATTATCTGAACTCTTAGAAAACATGCACAACAATGGGACTAGTTAATTCTAGTCCTAATCACAACATTCACACTGTTAAATAGTAAAATAGCACCATCTTGACTCAAGGCACAATAGGTAATTCACAGGCAAAGTAGGTCTGTGAAGGTTCACAATTACAATGCACTTAAATTGCAAACTTGAGTCATGTCACTCAAAATGATGTAAAGATGAATGACTCATTACTGTGAACCAAAAATGAGGTTGTCAGATCAGTGGTTGGGGGAAAAAACAGTGATGACAGCTATGGAAGGCTGATAATCTTTGCCATATCTTTTTGCCACTAAAAACAGCGTTGCTTCCAGCTTCTATTTTTTGAAGAACTCAATGTATAGTCACCACCCTGGTTTGCCCAAGAAGTTCAAACCCTATCCATTGGGAGTTTGTACTTCTCGTCCCAAACTTCTGCATTCATTGCCAAAAATCTGGACTCTTTGTGTCATGAAGAGGGATTTTTTGGAAATCAGACTTTCAGCACTAAAAAGGGAAATTCCTGGGCAAACCAAAGTGGTGACTCACTCTACTAGCCACTTATATTGTGATAGCCAAATATGGTCACATGAATCCAACCACAACTGAATTTATGACTAGTCGAGTGCTCAGGAAAAGAGCAAATGTGTTTACTAAGTACCTCATAAGACTGCTTTATCTGCCTTTTTGCTTAGCTAATTCCTATTTATTTTTCAAATTTTATTTCATATGTAACCTCTACTGAGAATCCAAACTTGCACAGTCAAATCCTTCTCATCCCATGAGTTTTTCTATCATAATGCAAATCCTTCCCTTTCCTCGTCTTTTCCTCCCATATCTCTCCATCTCCTGCCTTCCTCCTCTCCTTCCCTCTCCCTTCCTCCTTTTTCCTTTCTTTCTTCCCTCATTCTTTCCTTCCTCCTTTCTTTCCAAAACTATGTATCGTACCTCAACTGTGGGCCAGATTCACTGCTAGGTAAGTCTATGTTTACCTTCATAGGAAACTGACAAATTGTCTTCCCAAATGTCTGTGCCATTTTAAATTTCCACTAGCAATGAGTGAGAGTTCCTGTTGCTCCACATCCTCTCCAGCATTTGATGCTGTCAGATTTTCGGATGTGAGCCTTTCTACTAGATGTATACTAATATCTTCAAAGTTCTAGTCTAGCATAGGGCATGCTATTGTTGGAATAAATCAATGAATAATGAAATGGGACAAAAAAGAGTATTTTACTACTTATTCTTCGAGGTTCCTCTGTTACTGAAGCAGGCTGCATTTGGACAGGAATTACAATTAGAAAGGGATTGCAAGCTTAAATGCTTACAAAGGGAAACAGAGTGAGTGTAAGGGCAGGAGAGAATGGGAGGAACTGTGGCAATTTGGAGACCCCAAGATAATCAGTGAACCCAGTTTTGCCAGATTTTCCAAATTTTGAGGTTGAGCCATAAAAGCAGATTTATGGGAAATCTCCCAATTTGTCAATGTTAGTAATCAACTAAAAATTATGAAACACTGTGTGGGATAGACAATACCTGTTTGTAACTAGATTGGAATGGTGAGTTATTGGTTTTTAATCTGTACGTTTTTTAATCTCTTATGCCGTAGCATTCAAGCAATGCATCCTCTATAGCTTAAGAGTTTAGTTATTATCTGGCTATTATTTCTTATTGGACATTATTTTGATTATTTAAGATAATAAAAATGAGTTTGGGATATTGGGGTTAGAACCGATGAGAAGAGGAAAATCAATGTGAAGATTTCTGTGTTAGAGGAGAAGCTAGAAAATGTGGCTTTATGGCCCTTTAAAAGCTTACTTCAGGGAACTACAGTAGTTAATGGTTGATTATTGGAAACTTTGTAAGTGTGAGAACCCTGAGTTAGGAAGTGACCTGGATCAATCAGCTTCATCTTGGACTGTGGATGTTTAATTTAAGCCACTGCCTTAGGAATTTTGAGAATCTTTCTTTTTCCGTAGTGGGGTTTTATGAGGAAAAAGAATTGGACAGGCCACCAAAGTGGGACCGGCCATTTTAATGGCCATTTTTGTTTGTTGTCTTCCTAAACTTTTTTCCTCCTCATGATGTATCAAATGTGTTCATAATTTATGGGGAGAGAAGAAATTATGTATCATATGCAATTATCTGGTAAATATTTATGAATTCTCTGCTTTTTAATATGAGGGTGTGAAAATAACTTAAGTCCTGATTGCAAATTAGCAGTTACATAAGCCTGGAGAAGACAGCAAGAAACTCACGGTTCTAAAAAAACAGGTCTTTGTTTCTACACAGAAATGTTCCTGTTAAATTGTCTCTCCTTTTTTGACATGGTTGATTCCTCTGTTTCATTACTTTTCTAATAAACCCCAAAGCTGTGCTGCAGCAGAACCAAGATATGCTCTAACTGGGAATGACATGATACATGATACAACACGATACAAAATGCATAGTAAATAAATAAATAGTTCTGTGTACCACATGGAATGGACAACCAGTGAGAAAAACACCCCTTTCTAATATTACTTGAATTAAAAGGCTTCCCAGGCTGGTGAGCTGAGTTAGTGAGGGCCCCCTGAAGAGGCCATGTTCTGACTTTCCCAAGGGCCAGTTAATTTGGCTGAGTTCAGTAATCACTGCTTGTGTCTCTGGCTCTGCAAAGTCATTTGGAGAACATGTCTTCTTCATCATTAAAGAAACCAAATATCTGAACACTTGGGCATTGCTACTTCTGGCCAATCCACTTAAGAGTGCAAACCCTATTGATGTCTTTGGTCAATACTGTTATCTCCATACCCAAAGAAAACAGTCTATGGAGAGAACCCCACTTATCTGTGTGATAATGGCCTCCCTTGACCTTTAGAGCCTCAGCTTCCTTCTCAGGTGGTTAGCAGTTAGAATTTAGGGATGTCATGTCTGTCTGTGAAAAACTCTCAAAATGCGAAGGGCTGTACAAATCCCAGACAGCATGGTTGCCTATGGTTTTCACCTTATGGAAGATAATCTCTTGTCATGACAATAGCTTTAAATGGAAAATCTGCATTCTAGCTATTTCAGGAAGTGAGATTTTGGTCTCATTTGGGCTCAATACTATAAACAAGTGGAGGTGTTCAAAAGCTCCCTTTTAACAGAAATCTGTGTTTCTCTACTAATTATCCATTCCATAGTTGTTCAGATACAAGGCCCCAAGACAGCCGTGGTGGAGCCCCTGGCTCACTTTTGGGACTGTCCAATTGGCCCCACTCCAACACGCAAGCTGCACCTTCTGAGGCCTTTTCTACTGTGCTTCCAGCTAAAATTTGATTTAAAGAAAAAGCTTTGTTATTACAAAATTGTGTTTAGAAACCATTGAGAACATTCCAAACTATACCATGAAAATGCAGTGAGCAACAACCAGACTTCAGGAAACCCTACAGGATAAGTGGTCTGGTCACTTTGGCAGATATATTCCAAGGGGAAAAAGGGATGTCCCCATGTATTCTACCTGCTCTCCATCAATGCTTTCCTCTCTCTTCTGCAGAAATCAGTTATTTCCTCTCAAATGAATCTGTGCCATAACATACGGGCATGTTATTATTTTTCCTATCTTAAAAAAAATATTTCACCTGACTTGACTGAGGCTACCAAGGGCATCTCTTCTTTGCAACAAAACTCTTTCAAAGTATCATCTATAATTGCTACCAATTCCTCTCCTCTCCTTCTCTCTAGAAAATACTCCAAACAGGTTTTTGCCTCCATTGAAACTGTTCCTAGAAAAATCTAGTGGTTAATCTCCGAGCTCATTGTACTTGACCTATCAACAGAAATTGACATTCTTTCCTGGAAACACTGTTTGTCCCTGGCTTCCTGAACACATCTCAGCTGATTTTCCTGCAATCATTCTCACTTTTTTTCTCTCTCATTCTTTTAATTTTTTTCCTGGTTTCTCTTCCTCTTCTTGGCCTCTTACATGGTCTCTGCCCCAAGACTCAATTCTTGGAACTCTTCTCTTTGCCATCTAGTCTGCTTGCCCAGGAGAGTTCATCAAAGTTCCTGTCTAAATATTATCCCTATGTCGAGGACTCTGCCTCCCATCGATTGCAGTCCTTTCTCTATAACTGCACACTCTGTCTCACTGGGATGTGTAGTAGATATCTCAAATTTGAACATGACCTGCACGTGGCCCCCACATTTCCCACCCTGTCCTGCAGGAACCAGTTTCTGCTCTCGTGAATGGCACATCTGGTCCTCCGTGTTGCAGATTAAACACCTGCTGTTAACTTCATCTCCTCTCTTACGCTAACACCAATAATCTGGTTTTTAGCAAACCTTACTTTTGGCTCTACCTCCAAAATATATGCAGAATGTGGCCACTTCCCCACTCCTTGCAGCCACTCTGATCCAAGCCACCATTGGATTTGACTGGATTTTTCTAACAGCCTTTGCTTCTGCCGGTGCTTTCTATCATTGGATTCTCACCTCCACAGCCAGACTGAACCTGCTTAAACCCAGGTCAGGTTGCTTCTTTCCCCGATCAAAATCCTCCAGTGATTCCCAACCTAGTGCAAAACTAAGCTTCTCGGCTGGGTGCAGTGGCTCACACCTGTTGTCCCAGCACGGCCGAGGTGGGCAGATCAGAAGGACAAAAGATCGAGACCAGCCTGGCCAACATGGCGAAACCCCGTCTCTACTAAAAATACAAAAATTAGTTGGGTGTGGTGGCACGTGGCTGTAATCCCAGCTACTCAGGAGGCTGAGGCAGGAGAATCGCTTGAACCAGGGAGTCAGAGGTTGCAGTGAGCTGAGATTGCACCACTGCACTCCAGCCTGGCGACAGAGTGAGACTCTGTCTCAAAAACAAAAACAAAATAAAACAACAACAACAACAACACGCTAAGCTTCTCACTTTGACCCACACGGCCCTGGCAACATACTTTACTTCCCTGATGTCATCTCCCATGACATTCCATCTTGCTCAGTGGCTCCAGACATTTGCCTCCTGGCTCTTCTGCAAATATCTGCAGGTGAGCTTTACTTTCCTTAGTGCCTTGCTTCTCCTACCAGCATGTAAATTCCATGAGCTTATTGTTCCTACTCTGTGGAACCCCTGTTCCCAGGACAATGCTTCACACAGGGTGTGCAGGCATTGAATATTTGTTGAATGAACAAATAATTTTCAGTGTTGGAAAATATGTTTAAATATGCATGTTAAAAATTTTAAGGTAATTATTTAGAGAATAGAAGTAATAGAGGTAATAGCCAAGTAATCAGAGGAGAAAAATGGAATAAAGAAAACTTTGTAACAAGAAACAGGGAAAAAAATAAAAAGGGTGCACAATAAACAGAAAACCAAAACAGAATTGCAAAAAGGAAAAACATGTCAGGAATCACAATCTATGCGAATAACACGGCTTTCTCAGATTGAATAAAAAATCCAGTTATGAGCTGTTTACAGGAGGCAAATATAAAACCAAATGATGCAGAAAGGTTGAAAATAAAAAGAAAGAAAAATACAAACCAGGCAAACATTAATAAAAAGAAAACAGAAGTAATAATGCTAAAATGACAAAATGTAACTCAAGGGTAAAAGCATTAAGAAGGAAAAAGAAAAGATGTTTTATATTAATCAAAAACACACCATGAAGATAAAAGAATCATAAAGCAATTTACAGTGCCCATCATAGTTTTGACATATAAATAAAGCAAACAATTGAAAATCTACATTCATAGTGAGAGATTTTAATACTCTTAGAAACCGACAGATCAAGTAGACAGAAAATGAAGATACAGAGTATTTGAAAACCATAACAGGTTTTTTGGGGGCATTGAGTGAAAATTGTGCTCCAAATATATATCTAGAGGATCACGAGGATTTAAGAAACAAGAAGACATATGTGGAGAAAATAAAAATTATCACACATTGTATAGATACTGTCTGAACAGAAAGAGTCAATTAAGAATCCCAATCCATTTTCTGATCTTTTGAAACATCTGGTCCTAACATTGCGTAGAGCAGCGGTTCTTGCAGTGAAAGCCCTGGATCAGTTGCGTCAGTGCCGCATGGCAATTTGTTAGAAATGCAGACTGATGGGCCCTAGCCCCAGCCCTACTGAGTCAGCAGCTCTGGGGATGGGCCCAGCTTTAACTAGCCCTCTGGGGGCTCTCACGCCAGCTCAAGAGTGAGAGCTACTGGCACAGATCAAAACTCAGAAGCCCACCTGCCTTCCTGGGTTTGAATGTCCTTGAAGCAATAGAGAAATGAATGTGCACACACTGTTCATATGTCGATTTCACAATATCCCTGAGAGTCTGCTTCATGGTAAAGGCCTGGGACTCGTCTTAGATCATCCTGACACTTTCCTGGGAAATTATGGCCTGAGTCTTTATAATTAACTTTTCTTTAAGAGAAAAGAGGTAAAATAATCAGTGGCCCTCATGCTGAAAATATTAAAAGTGTAAAAAAATTGAAATAGATGGATTAAAATAAATCAGTTATGATTTCTTATGCCTGAATTATATGCCTGGATTATGGACAAAATTTTCCCCTGTATCCATCTCTGGGTTTCCATTGGTTGCATCTACACTTTCAGCATCTCTAGGAGGTCTTCGGATGAGCCTTCCCCCAGGGAGGACACTGAGGACCAGGCATAACTGGGTAGAGAGGGAAATTAATGCCCTTTTCTTGAGACTCTTCTCCATGCCTGAGTGCCAGCCTTTCTCTGCTTCCCTTCAGGGACATGCTGCCCAGTTGAAATGCCTAAAACTGCTTCCTGGGAGCATTTGCAGTAGTAAGTGAAACACCTTTGGAGAGCATTTGTTTAAAAAAACAGAACAGCGTCATACATGCAAATTAAAATTTGTGTGTATCCGTACAACTATTCAAAGATGCATATCCAACACATCACAGTGGAAATCTGTGGAGAGGAGAGAGTTAGGGATGAGGGTTGTGGGGAAAAACAAAAGAAAACAGGAGTAGGTCCTTGTACAAAATGATTATTGTAATATGTTCTAAATCCAGAGGTATGATGTGATGGTTAATACTGAGTGTCAGCTTGATTGGATTGAAGGGTGCAATATTGATCCTGGGTGTGTCTGTGAGGGTGTTGCCAAAGGAGATTAACATTTGAGTCAGTGGACTGGGAGAGGCAGACCCATCCTTAATCTGGTGGGCACCATCTAATCAGCCACCAGTGAATATAAAGCAGGCGGAAAAGCGTGGAGAGACGAGATGGACCTAGCCTCCCAGCCTACATCTTTCTCCCGTGCTGGATGCTTCCTGCCCTCGAACACTGGACTCCAGGTTCTTCAGTTTTGGGACTCAGACTTGCTCTCCTTGCTCCTCAGCTAGCAGACAGCCTATTGTAGGACGTTGTGATCGTGTAAATTAATACCTAATAAACTCCCCTTTATATATATGTGTATATATATATCCTATTAGTTCTGTCCCCCTAAGAGAACCCTGACTAATACATAAGATTAATTCAAATCTCTGTTCCTGAGGTACTAAAGGCAAAAAAAAAAAAAAAAAAAAAAAAAGGTGGAGTTGAGCTATTCCTAATCTAAAAACTGATGCAATGTGGGAGAGGTAGTTTCTTTTAGAAATAACTTGTACTAGCTAGCTTTCAAATGGAACATAATAAATTTGTAAACTCATTACAAGTTGACTTAAGCTATAGGCCTGGTGTGATTTCAGGCTTGAAAACAAAGAAATAGTTCAGGGTTGCAATAGGGGGCCATGACTCTGAATCTTAGCTGAGCCTCTTACTAGCTGTATTACCGCATACTTGGTACTTAATCACTATCAAATTCAGTTTTCTCATCTAAAAAAGGGATAATTCTATCCACTTTACAGATTTGTGCAATAGTTGAATGTGATACCATACACGAAGGTATGTTAGGTACAGAATAGGTGCTATATAAAAGCTTTGGTGGAGAGAAGTAAGACAGGATGGGAGCCGTACCATCTCAACTGGTTTTTCAGAAGGTAATAGTATTGATTACAAGGAAAAGTTTGGATAGGAATGGTGAAGTCTTTGTGAACTGATTAATTCTATTGGAACCTCATTAGCCCTACAACTCTTCCGAATGATTCTTGATGTCGTGCACCATGCTTTTTGCGGAATTCAGTTATACAGATATGTGAGAAATAAGCCATCTCCCTCTCTCTTCTCTTCCTTCCCTCTATTCCTTCTTCTCTGTCATAGTGAACATGCTTTTCTACTGCGTAGGGCTTGACATATGTGTTATTATGGCTGTCAAAAGGAAGCCAGACCCAGAAGCTGCTGCCACACTGTGGTGTAACTGTGAGTGTGTCCCTTCAGTGCTCATAACAATGGAAGAGTTTATTCTTGATAATCTCTTAGGTCCTATGTCACTCTAATATTTTAGAACTCTGCATTTAAAGAATAATACCCTCTATCAATTCCAAGTCTAAGGAGGAGTCTTTGATCATGGTGAATTAATGTGTTACTTAGCTTTGCTATCCAAAGTGTGGTCTGTAGACCAGCAGATCACCATCATTTGGGAGCTGATTAGAAGCACAGAATTTTAGACTTTACCCAGGTCTCCTGAATAAGAATTTTCACAGGATCCCGAGGTGATGGATGTCTCATTAAAGTTTGAGAAACACTGCTTGAAAAACCACAACTCTTCTTTGTTCATATAAAATTCGCTGCCTTCAGCTTCAAAGTGTGTCTCCAGAAGCCACATAAAATTTCATCAAATTCTTGTGAGGAGGCTCACATTTTGACCATTTTTATAAAGAAAAACCGAGTTGGAGAATAAAAAGGGCTTGCTGAGGACTGGGGAGAACTGTCGCATAGAGAATGTGACCACAATCGTGCTCAGGCAGCCGTTGCCATAGGTAATGTTGGGATTCCCATTGCAGCCACATCTGCCTTTTGATACCTGAGCTAATTAAACATTAGAATATAGTGTGTTGTTTGCACAAAATGACGCCCTTTGAAAGTTGTCGAAGTTTCTTTGACATGAGAGTGGCTGATTTGTACAGTGGCATCTTAAAGACTTGATTAATGTTGTTCTATTTATTTTGACCACCCCGATCTTTAATTATAAAATTATACAGTTTAAAACGTGGCTGTCGGCCCCCGTCTGTGCCAAGTTTAACTGAACACATTTCTGTCTGGTCTCTTGTCACACTGTGGGCTTCAAAATCAATAAGCAAACTGCCTTGTTCTCAGACTCTCCATCCTCTCTTCTGCAGTCAACAGTCATAACTTTTTGAGGACACATGTTTATTGCTGCTGCTGGGGGCAGCTGCTCTTGTACCCACTTTCAAATGGGCTGTGGAAGAGACAAAGCTCATCTGGCTGCTGGTGAGTAGATGAATGTGAGCCGCTTCTCTTAGGCCATTGGTTTTTTTTTTTTTTTTCTTCCACTAGTTTTCTTGGAATGTGAATTCTCCCGCTATACAGAGGGAATTGCAGGTAGGCAATAAATAGTGTGTCTACCTAAACCACCAAGAAATGCATGGGGAAAATGAAAGCTTATGAAAATCCGATAACAAGTTAGAAATGCTATGGTGTGATTTTTCTCTTAAAGTTCTTCCTTTTATTCTTCATATCCTGCTTAGTTTTGCATCATTCGGCAACCTTTCTAGTGCTTGATTTTAAAAAGAAAGTGTCTCTGTCCCATCTTGTGTCCATATTTGACTCCTATGCTCTAAGGAAACCAGAACAAGCTTCAGGATAGAAGTGTGGCCATATCATGGGAAGTAGTAATTGGACAAAGTCCCTTTCAAATACCGCTGAAAGCAGGTGGTAGTTTTAAATGATACATTCCCTAGACACAGTTTTGCTTGATGTCTTTCTCTCTTACCTGTTTTTTTCCTTCCTTATCATTTTTGGATGTATTTAAAATGATTGTATTTTGGATTTCAGTTTTATAAGATGTTTAAAAAAATAATTGGAGGCCAGCCCCATAATTTTTATTGTATAGATAGTTTTGGCTTTCCATTCTTAACTCTTCCAAATAAAATTTCCACCATGCTTTTTAACACCTCATCTCTGGTGAAAATTAAAATGTTGTTTAAAATCACGCCATGGAAATTTTGTGCAAAATATGAAACTTTCACACTCCTTGATGCTATTATAAATCATTCGTATTGAATAAGTGTCAAAAATGACTAGGATTTAGGAGCTTAGGGAATGAAATGTTTTTTTCCCATTCTTTTCCGAAGAATTGTAACGTAGTCTGAAGATCTTGAGAGTTAGGTTTTGCTGTTCTGTGATGATGGAAATGTTCTTTGTGCTGTCTGAAATGGTGGCTGCTGGACACATGTGGTCACTGGACACTTGGAATGTAGTTAGTGCCACCGAGGAACTGAATTTTAAATTGTATTTAGTTTTACTGCATTTAAATTTAAATAGCCACATGTGGCTGCAGCTGCTTCTAAACTGCGACAGCAGAGTTGTATAGTTACAACAGAGACTAGTCTGCAAAGCTTAAAATATTTATCATCTAGGCCTTTCCAGAAAAAGCTTGTCAACCCTGGTCTAGATCAATGTTCAATGGAGTAGGACCCATGGAGAATAGGCAAAAGTAGTCAGGCCAATCTAGAGATACTTCATATTGGGCACATATGGAAAATGTTCATCTTGAAAATTATGTTAAGAGATTGGTAATTTTTTAGCTAGTTTTTTTTTTTTTTTTTTTTAAGACGAAGTCTCACTCTGTTGCCCAGGCTGGAGTGCAGTGGCGCAATCTCGGCTCACTGCAACCTCTGCCCTCCGAGTTCAAGCGATTCTCCTGCCTCAGCCTCCCGAGTAGCTGGGATTACAGGCGCCTGCCACTGCACCTGGCTAATTTTTGTATTTTTAGTAGAGACAGCGTTTCACCATCTTGGCCAGGCTGGTCTTGAACTCCTGACCTTGTGATCCACCTGCCTCGGCCTCCCAAAGTACTGGGATTACAGGCGTGAGCTACTATGACTGGCCTTAGCCAGTATTTTTTTCTGTAAAATGTGGTTAATGATTATGGTAAAATTTCAGGAAAAACAAGTGAAAAGTAAAAGTAAATTTCCACACATCTATATACTATATGCATACATATGTGTGTTTTTGTATTTGTTATAGAACAAATTATATTATTCCATATGTGATGTCCTACATATTCCATGTTGCTCCCATTTAACACTTTATTTGAATATTTTAAATAACTCAAACGTTAATCCATCCAAGGTAAAATCTCATTTCAATGATCATTTCCTTCTTTTAGAAGAGCAGTCTTACTTGCTGAGTAATTTTTGTAGCATTTGTGCTACAAACGTAGAAACAGGAGTTTCAAACGTTTAGCTATGCTTGAAATCTCAAGCGAAGGTTTAATTTAAATTTGGAGTACACATATCCACATATTTACATATGTATATAAACATGTATGTATTTATATGTGTACTCCAAATATATGTATACGTATAGTATACACACATAGTATATGTGTGTATATGTATCTATGTATACTCCAAATTTCAAAGATGCAATTGTAATGATATGTATTATTAGAGTTAAACTGAGAGAACATTTAAACTTACTATTTACTCTTCTATCTGAGAACAAGCAAAGTGAGAAACTTGACATGTGGGACAAGAGATTTTATTTGAATCCTCAAAACAATAAATGCAGGTTTATTTTCTAAATACTGGGATCTGGGCATGCTGTATAAGAAAGACATTGATTCAACCAAATTCTTTGGGCACTGATACGGTGAGGGCTAACAGGGCTAATATAAATGGAAGATATGGTAGTGTCTTGGTTTATGGTCTCTCCGGGCATACAAATCATATGAGGATAAAAAGGTAAAATGCAAGACAATACATAATTAGGAATCACCTGAGTAATATAGTAAATATCAGGGAATATCTCTTGCCAATGCTCAATTTTCACTGTGCTATGGCCCATATATTTCAACTAGACACTTTGGTGTGAAGCGCAAGGACAAGAAATGAGTTGTCAACATCAGTCTGGTTTATGGGAAAGATGAAAGACTTGGTGAATACAGTGGAGGGTAATGTACAAGGGAAAGAAAGCAACACAAAAAGCTGAGTGGTAGGAAAAAAGAGAGGGAGGTTCCAATAATAAAAGGTAAAGAGATAGAGACTGCACTGGTGTGATGGAAGTCCTGCAAAATTTTCAGTTTTCCGCCCATAGTCAAACTTTGCCAAAAATGCATAATATAGATTTAAATTACGTTGGAAGAACAAACCTCTCAGGCTGTATAAATGCAGCCCATGGGGCTAAAGAACCTGATCACGTCCAGAGTAGAGAGATAGGAAAACTTAGGGGAGGCAATTAGCAGCCCATATATACTTAATGAGCTGTTTTAAAGGGTACAGGTGACAATTAGCCTGGTACTTACCCTGTGCCAGAAGGAAGTCATTTCAGTTACTACCAAGGTTGGTCTGTGCAGATTGCTATAAATAATACTTTCCTTTGGCTGGAAATGACTCAGCAATGTCCTTTCTCAACCCCACTGTGTCATTAAGAGGCTGTGAAGGAAACTCATTCCAGATTCCCTTGGGACAAAGTGAGCATGCAGTGAAGGCAGAGAATGCCTTTCCTTGGGGTCAGGAGGGCCCCATGAGCAAGATATGGGCTGGCAATGTGATGACAGTAGTGTCCTGCATTCCTGAATGGGATGACAGCAATGTCCTGTATATCCTGTTTTGGGATAACACAGAGCCATGTTGGGAGACTGAGGCCATGGTCACGTGACCTCAAGCAAGTCATGCAATCTCTCTGCAGATCAGTTTCCCCACCTAGCTCATACTCCGTAAGAGGATATGATCATCAATAATACTTTGAAAAGATAAAAAAGAGAAAAAAAGCCCTATACGTAGTTAAGAAATCACCAATACATGCTTTAGAGCTAGATCCAAAGGTGAAGATCAGAATTAAATATGACCTGGGCTGGGGGAAGAAGGTGTCACTTAAGATATTCATCCCAGATCCAGTTGAATCCTCAGTCTGGAAGCCATGTTGGGATGAGAATCTATTCCATGGATCTATCTTTTGCTTTGACTCACATATTGGTAGAGTCTATAGATATTTCTCTGGGAAAAACTCTACCCTGGGCTAACTTGAAAAGGCATCATCCCATCAGTGTATCTGTATGAAGGTATATGTAGTATTTAGCAATAAGTAGTGGTGTTCCTTGCTTTTGAAACCAGGAAGGGTGAGCCCATAAAGTTAGTTGTGGAAATAAACAGACAACTCAAATAAGAAAAGCAGAGGTGATTTATTCAGAGTTTGATGTAGCAAGAGAGTCAGCCACCATCACTTGCATTTGGCAGAGACTCAAAGGTAGGCAGGGGAGTGGGAGAGCTTTACAGTGGGCAAAAAGGGACAGCTTCAAGTGTGTCCTGATTGAAGGCTGTTGACATAGGGAAGCTGGCTGCAGCCAACTTCCCAGATTACAGCCAACAACCCAGATTACTGGGGTCAACCCCTAGAGTTTCTGCTCCTATAGGTCTGAGGTGGGAAGTGGATACCTGCAGACCGGAAAAGTCTATGTAAGGGGTTGGGGGCATATTTGGCTTTCTTTCTGGTCCTAAGCTGGAAGTGGTGACAAAAATTAGAGAAACTGCCATTCATTAATCAAATCCTCAACATTTTGTTTTTTTTGTTGTTGTTGAAGAAGTGATTGTTTAGCCTGCTGGATTGTTACTAGAGATAGCAGTCTGGCTTCCCGCAAGTCTAGCTTGAGTAGGCTGGCTTCCTTTGTTGTTTATTATAGATAAAGGGTTGGTTTACTGGGCAGGCTGCTGCATTTGCAAGTCAGAGTTCTGTTTTTTAGATGGTCTAGCCATTCTCCATGTTGTATTAGTCTCCCGTAGTTAAGACCAAACATTAATGGAGATCTTCATTTAAATTATTATTTTACTAAGACTTGTGTGACCCTGAGAAAGTCACTTCACCTTTCATCTAAGAATAGGATTGTATTACCTGCCTAGCATAGCTCACAGGGTTGTATGTATATCAAATGAGAAAAATTGTATGCAATATGGTAGCTTGTCTCTAGGATAGGGAATAAATTTTAATGATGACAATGACAGAGACCAGTATGGAATAACAGCTATCCTTCCTTTACCCCTATCTACTCTAAGACATATGAAACCATCTTGTACTTGATTGAAAAAGGTTAATTCATATTTATTTAGCATCTTTGGCACACATTAATATTTGAACCACTTTCTTCATGAAGTGTCCCAGTTACAAAATAAATAAGAGAAAATGCATGCTCTCTCTTAAGTGTTCATATTATTAACCATTTTTGGAATAACGGACCCATTTGAGAATTTGATAAAAGTTATGGATTCTCTCCCAGAAAAATACACATATACATATACACCCAATTTTGCACACTGTTTCAAGGGGTTCATAAATGAGGAATCCATTTATGTAGACTTTTAAAGGCAGAGGTTCTCAACCTGGATTGCATATTAAAAACATCTGGATAGTTTATAAAACTCCTATTAGGTAGGCTGTACTCTTGCGGGGTGAGACCCGGACATTGGTCCTATTGAATGTCTCTCAGGTTTAAACTATTTCTTTAAGGCAGTGGTTCTCAAACTTTAATGAACTCCAGAATCACTGGAGGGCTTGTTAAACCCAGATTACTGGGCTTAACCCCCAGAGTTTCTGCTCCTATAGGTCTGGGGTGGGAAGTGGATACCTGCAGACTGGAAAAGCTCCTTGGTTGATTCTGGTGCTGACCTCTGATTGAGACTCACAGCCCTAGAGGAATGAAATCAGAATCACATCTGAGATGTGGCATTGCATGTACATAGAGGTCAAATTAAAGCGTCCACATGCCATGCTTAGCTCCTCCCATACAAGGCCACATCTGGGTGTGTGCTCTTGGAAGGAATAATAACTGAACCTTTGTTTCTCTAGGGTTCACCAGCCTGGAAGTGTGGTTGCAAAACAGAAGGCACCCCTCAGAGCTCAGGCATTGAAACTGATGGATTTCTAGTCCTATGCTCTCTGCTAAGTTCCATCCCACATGGCCCACTATCTCTCAGGCTGTAGACAGCATGCCCAATCCTGTACTCACAGTTACAGAAGGGCTGTGTTCAATACTCCTGCCCCACCTCACACCCTTTGTGGAAGTTTTTCACTTTAGCTCCTCATGGCATCAATGCCTATTATTGCTGCACTGTTGGCCAAGCAGTGGCCAGGCCAGATTAACCCTTTGGAACAGTGCCCCCTTGTCTTTCACATCCCTGCCTCCTCCTTAGGGGATAGCAGGCTTTCCCTGTCTTTTCTTTTCCTCATCATCCAAGGATATAAAAGGCTTTGAGGGGACTCAGGGTAGGGTTTATCACAGCACATCCCTGGTGAGTTTTGAGGGTTCTTTTTGCTTCAGTCTTTCCCATTTGAGCATCCTGCAATAATTCATTCAAGTGCATTGTACTACAAAGTCACTTCCATCCACCCTGCTCTGTAACCTGATACCCAATCTCCCTGGATTAAGGAGTCAGCCACCATCACTTGCATTTGGCAGAGACTCAAAGGTAGGCAGGGGAGTGGGAGAGCTTTACAGCGGACAAAAAGGGAGTATTAAGGGGAAGGTCAAATAGGTAATTTCTTCGAGTCTAAATTTTCACTGGAAACTGTCTGTCTGACTTCCCCGTTATCCATACTTCTCCAGGGACCAGAAGATTGGGAAGAGCTTGGGTCAATTAGCTTGAACAACCTTAACCCAGAAATATTGGTGTGATTACAGACTGCATTAAGGTACTTCCCTCTTTGGCGGATGTAAGTGAGCACATTCAAGACAAGGTGAAGTCCGGGCATGGTGGTCCACGCCTGTAATCCCAGCACTTTGGGAGGCTGAAGCAGGAGGATCACCTGAGGTCAGAAGTTTGAGACCAGCCTGACCAACATGGCAAAACCCTGTCTCTACTAAAAATAAAATATTAGCCAGGCATGGTGGTGCATCCCTGTAGTCCCAGCGGCTCAGGAGCCGGAGGCAGGAGAATCGCCTGAACCCAGGAGGCAGAGGTTGCAGTGAGCCAAGATCACGCCACTGCACTCCAGCCTGGGCAACAAGAGCGAAACTCTCTCTCTCTCAAAGACAAAACGAAACAACAACCAAAAACAAACAAACAAAAAAAAATGTGAAGAACACCAGAACACTGTCCCCTGACCATTGGTGCTTTTACCAGAAGAATATTTGTGCCCTGACATTTCCTTTTCCTGTCACATTTACTCATGTTTTTTGATTTTCTGGTTTGCTGGATTGCACTGTGTGGAGTGGTAAAAAGAGAGCAGTGTCAGAAAATCCATAAAGTAAGGAAAAAGCCTTCAGCCAGAACTTCTCCTTTGATAGGTGAAAGAATCCTCCAGTTTTGATTGAGGAAGCTAAAAAGAAATCTGGAAATCTGGCTTCATCCAATAAACCATGAGCCATGATCCAATAAGGCACAGTGGCTGGTTTAGATGCTAGAGGTGTAGGACCTAAATAGTTTTGCAATTAAAGGTTATCTCTCAATTTTCCACACTCTTTGGAAAAATTGTAAAGATTCATTTACTCTGTAGCATCAATTCATTCTCAAAAGTATCATATTTAACATATGAGTCTGTTAACAGAACCATTCATAATTTATTCAAGTTTCCTTCAATCCATGATGACTGGTGATTCTCTTGATATCGAGCTGCTTGTAAACTACAAAGATTGATATTTCCAGCATCCCGAGAGATTATTATCTTAGTGTCATTGCTGTTTATATCCATGTTCTATCAAAGTCAAGGACTTCTGAAGTCATCAGTGCTTTGTCACTTTCTAAGCACTTTGCATGTGCCAGGAAGTGGCCAGCATTTCATGTGCATTGTTTCATTTAGTCCTCATAAGAGCTTCACAGATGAAGACACTGATCTTGGAAAGGTGAAGTTCACACAGTGAGGAACATGGCTGCCTGTGCATTCAGTGTGCAAATAAATAAATGCATAACTGCAAAAAATATGTAATTGCAAATATGTGTATTATGGATAAGTAAATACTAAAAAGATGATATTTTCATTTTATTGACTATTTAGGTCACTGCTTTCTCCTGGCTTGAAGAAATATTACAGATTAATTGAATGAAAATTGTAAAATGATTGGGTGGTTGGGAATTGAAGGCAGTGATCCCTATGCTTCAAGATGCCTTGTGTAAGTAAGACATGAAGGCTGACACACTGACGCTTTTGTGTAGTTAGCTATGGTGAGGGCACATTTACTTTTGGTTGGGTTAGAGTTGAGAGAGCCAAGGGTCTGTAACAGGCTTTGGGGCTTGTGTGTGAGAGTGTGTGTGTGTGTGTGTGTGTGTGTGTGTGTGTGTGTGTGTGGTGGGTGAATGTGTTTGAGATGGGCAAGTAGAGAATACAGAGGTAATGAATAGACCAAGAGGAACAGCAAGCTTTAGTTGGGGGAGAGGGCTACACATTATGGAACACCAAAGACCCTCTTTGTTGGCCCTGCCAACCTTTCCAGACATAGAAATTGAGTGGGATATTGCAGTGTCAGGCTCTCAGGGGACTAAGGTTTCAAGTTGGCTTCTTTCCTTTCATTTTCTTAAGGTTGGAACTTTGGAATATCTGAGCCTTGGATTTTGTTCTACCACTGCCTTTGTTCAATCTCAGATCCTGCAAAATGTTGGTTGAGATAGGTAGTTTACCTGTATATGCTTTAGAAATGGACAAGCAACTTCATGGCGGTGTCTCAGCCTTGCTCTGCCAACTGGACATGAGTTCTAGAAGGAGTTAGGGCTGAGGGTCACCCAACTTGCTTAGTCACCCTTTGTGTTCTCATAAAACACAAGCACGTTGTGTCTGATAAAGGTCACATAGTTGTCACCATTCTTTGCTGAGGACAAAGCTGCCTTAGTTATCCCAGGAGAATGCAGTGCAAATGGAGGAAAACTCTTGTTTTATAGCATTTTTAGAGTAGCTATCTTCTCACTCTTGTTGACTCTCAATGACTCTCAATGACTCTCAATGACTTTGTGTCTGGGCCTTGCTTGGGATATGGAACCTGAGCTAGTATTTAGAATTGTGATCATTAGGTAAAAGACATCATTTCCCAAAAAGAAACTCTTATTCTGCTTCTTTGTAATTCTGCTCTTACATACGAGTATAAAAAGCTCTCCCCCTTGCACTGGCATAAAGAAAGTTCTGTTTTCTCATCTCTAACTAAGTAGGCTGAGTTCAGGGTGAGATGAGATTTCAGCTTTTCCCTTTGTTGTAGTCGGGCTTTTCAGACAGAATAATGCATTAATGGATGCACGAACACTTTTATACGATTGGCGAATTGTTCTTGTAGGAGGATAAGATGTAATGTTCATAGAAGTCAGTCTGGTCTGCAGCATGAAACCCACCAACACTAAAGTTCCACGTCGTGTAAACACCTACACCTTCTGACTTACGCTCTTCCTGGGGAGTTGTCTTTGCAGTTCATGCTTTGCTCCTTGTCATGTATAACTTTGGGTTTATTTTTTAAAGAGCATGAATTCCTGAATGGAAACAATGGTATCTTTACTTGGTTTTATATTTACCACAGTATCTTAGAAATGTACAAGCTTCTCAACTTCATGAAAATACATTAAAAAAAAAAAACTGCTGGGAATTGACTCTGAAACTCTGTGGATTCATCTTGCAAGATAATTACCTATCCATCTGCCTTAGAAATGCTAAGAAGAACAGAGAAGGTGGCTTTGAGATCTGATTCTTTATAAGAGTAACATAGGGATGAAGAGAACCCTAAGAGGTTCAGATACTTGCTATAAGGTTCCACTGGCCCTGGAGGCTTGAGTCTATAAGAAATGGGGGTAGGATGTGGGATGCAGTCAGTAGTCTTCTGTGCAATGGACGCTTCCTTGGTCATCTTCAGTCTTTTTATTTTTTATTTGTGTGTGTGTGTGTGTGTGTGTGTGTGTGTGTGTAGAGATGAGGTTTCACCATGTTTCCCAGGCTGGTCTTGAACTCTTGGGCTCAAGTGATCCACCTGTCTTGGCCTCCCAAAGTGCTGGGATTACAGGTGTGAGCCACTGTGCCTGGCCCATCTTCAGTCTTTTTGAAGGACTGTGTAGTACTGGGACTGCTTGTCAAGGTTTACTAGCCCCCATTCTAGCCCGAGAGCTGGAATTAGGTCAGGGCTGGTATGTGAGATGCCTGTGTCTGGTATGGGACAAGACAAGGATGTGTGTATCAGTAATCTATTGTTGCATAGAAAGTTACCCTAAGATTTAGTGCTTTAAAACAACAAACATTTATTGTCTCACAATATCTGTGGGTCAGGAATTTGGATGCAGCTTAGCTGGGTGTCTCTGCTTCTCCCCAAGAGCTGCAGTCTGGGTGGCAGCTGGGAGTGTGTTCTCATCTGTGGGCCTGACTGAAGGTTAAACTTGCTTCCAAGCTCATTCATGGGATTGTTGGTCGACTCAATTTCTTTTAGCTGGTGAATGGAGGCCTGTTTCTTGCTTGTTCTTGACTGAAGAGCTCCCTCAGTTTCCTGCCACATAGACTTCTCCATATGGCAGCTGGCTTCCCTCAGAATAAGCAAATGAGAGCAAGAGAGGGCACTCAAGATGGAAACAGATCTTTTTGTAATCTGATCTCTCAAATTACCTTATTGAAGAAATGACAATTTACCCTGAGCATTCATGGAAGAGATCTAAGTCCTTATCTTGTAATGAATACCTTTTGGCAATCGATCACTGAAAGCTGTGGGGTTGCTTTTCAGGCTAAGGTCCATGTCTGGTGCCAGAACTACCCTTGATAAGGCAAAAGCATCATGTACTTAATCCTTCATAACTGAAATATGGGTAGCTGTAATCTTGAATGTGCATTGAGGACAAACTACTTTCAGCTGCCATCAAGAGTAGGTCTTTGAACCATTTGATTTTCATTGGTGAGTAGGTCCTAAAATTTCCTGGGACTTCTGAGGTTGAATCTGACTGTATATTTTATAAACCAGTGATCTCTTTCTCTCACCCTGGGCCCAACCACCTTAATGGGAAGGGAAATATCTTCATGTCCCTATCTTAGCCATTTTCCTTATCCAAAGGTATTAAATTACAAATTATGCTACTGATATGATTGTTAATATTCCTTTAAAAAGTCTATCTTATTTATAAAGTAGGAAGGAAAGATGGAAACCATGAAAAAAGACAATAGATTTTATGGTGTCATCGAGGCAAAAATGACAAATTTTGCAATTTGTCACACGTGATGGAAAGAAACTCTTGAAGAGAGAATCTTGAATAGAATAATTTCTTTTACACCCAAATTATGCAGATAGATAAATGTTGCATCTCTAATGAACACAAGTAAAAGTAACCATTACCCCACACCGTTGTGTTCATTGCAGATATGGAGGTGAAAACAGTGGGCTGAAAAATGCAAAGCTTCCCCTGAAGAAGTCCTGCTGGATTTGGCCAATTTCCCTTGACATACGTTAGGAGTCATATTTCCATGGCAGGCTCAGAATTTCACAGCTTTTGTGGTTTGTGACATTGTGATTTACATGGAAATTAAAAAGGAATGACACACCAGACCAGAGGAGTGTGATCTATGAGTGAATGTGCCACTATTGAAATAAAGTATGCTTCTTTTTGAGCCTGAACAGAAATTCTGATAGCTTACACATCATGTTTAGGTCTTAACTAAGCCATAGGGCTTTATTAGTCTTTTCTTGAAGGACCTTCAAAAACAAGTTTGTTCAGTTGTACCAAAGTTGGAGGGTGGTGGCGGTGGCTTAATGCCAAGCAAAGAGCCATATCTTGAAGAGTAGGCTTGCAGTGGACATGGTAACCTGACCTCTATTTCTTTGGAAGAGAGATTCTTGAAGTGTAGAGGTAGTGTAGTGTGGTGGGAAGGGACACAGTATAAGCTGTAGAGTCAGAGAACTGGGACTTATACACCCAGCCTTGACCTTCCTGGTTGCATGAACTTGGGCAAGTCAGTCATTACCTCTGGAGACAGTTTTTCTTTTCTGTTAAGAGGAAACAATAATTAAACTGACCCCCATGATGTGATGGATAAATAAAAGATTATTCATAAAATGTGGTAATTATGCACAATGCAGTTATCAGTAATTGTGATTTTCAGAGCATTCAAGGGAGCATCCTCCAGATGGTCTTTTGAAGTATTAATATTTACAACATGATAATATTTGTATTTTTGTTCCCAGACTTAGAATTTATATCACATCAAAATTAGAAAAATTATTTTCATTAATAGATCTGAAGTGTTTGGAGGGTGGCAGGTGGAGTTGGGAAAGATTGTGGGAGTTGACGGAGACTTTTACTTCATGGACATTTCTGCGGATGAAAAATAATTCTGAAAGTGATTGCTTGCTTTGGAATTGATGTAATAGTCTCCTGAAACCAGCTCTGTAGAATGCAGAGGCTTGGGATTGGGTTGGAAGAGGTCTTTGTTACTTCCTATGCTTGGGAGAGAGGAGGTGAAAGTCTTCTCAAGTCTTAGCCCATTCCCTTTTGAGGTTTGAGGTGTTTTCTTGATGCACTAGGTTTCAAAAACTTTTCTCCTCCAAGATGTTAAACAACAAAAGAATTGCCCCATCCACCCCCACCAAAGGTCAATTGCTGGCCTTCCTCACCTTTCAGGCTCAAGTTGTGTGTGTCTTTTACCTGTGGCTTTAGTCCTGCCTACTTCCTGAACCAGTTCTGACCAGAGGAAGTGAGCAGCAGCCTCAGTGCACCAGCTGGAGTCATAGCCCCTTGAGAGCTTCTTGCTGGCCAGATCCATTCACAACACCAGGATCCTTCACTTACCCTGTTAATTCCTCAGCTTCTTATTGGTGCCCCTACAGGGTTGCTTCTTACCTCCCATGCCCTTCAGCTGCTGTGAGGCCCTGAGAGCCCCTGTGCTGCCATCTGACTTGAAGCATTGTGTGCTGCTGCCCTGGAGATGCTAACTAAACCCAAAGTGGCTGTTTTTGTTAAGATTCTCCAGGAAAACAGAACCAATAAGGGAGAGAGAAAGAGAGAGAGAGAGATTTATGATGAGTTGGCTCATGTGATCCTGGAGTCTGGCAAGTCAAAAGCTTGTCCAGTGGACTGCCAGGCTGAAGACCTGGGAAGAGCTGATGTTGCACTTCAAGTCTGAAGGCTATTGGGCGGGAGAATTCTCTTTTACTTGGAGTAGGTCAGCTTTTTGCTCTTTTTAAGCCTTCAGGATGAGGCCTACTCACATTATGGAGGGCAATCTGCTTTGCTTAGTCCACTGATTAAAATGTTAGTCTCCCCAAAAATCACCCTCACAGAAACATCCAGAATAATGTTTGACCACATCTTTGGGCAGCCAGGCCCAGCCAGGTGGACATAAAATTAGCCATCACAGTGGTCCTTTTGGATTTCCTTGACTGAAGCCTATCTGTTTATCTTCCCCCTTTATCCTCTGTATTAGATACTGAACACTGGAAAAGAATTGTCTTCCTTGTACCAGGGTGGTGGTTGTTCACTCTCCATCAGCTCAATCCTGGTTTCCTTGCCTTTCTAACTCATAATTCAGAAGTCCTAGCATGCTCATGTTTGGGAATGTCCTAATGACTGGTAAAAATAAAAAATGAAAATGGAGTCTTGTTTCTACATAGGGAGGCCAAGTCTTAGCTATCAGTTAATTACCCTCTTAATTAACTGCACCATCAGTGCAGGAGGCTGAGTATATTGGAATGTAGGTAAACTTTGGATCAGACAGACTTGGGTCTAAATACTGACCCAGCTTTGTGCCCTTAGCAAGTCACCCAGCCTCTCTTAGCTACCATTTCCTTACCCTTAGATGTGGATAAGGATACTAAATCTGCAGGATTTTTAAAAGATTAAATGAGACAATGAAGGTATGCAAGCTAGCTGGCACATAGGAAATTCATAGCAAGTGTATTTACACATCATTATTATTATTGCCATACCAATAATTACTACTGAAAAGAACAAAGATATATAATATCACTTTCTAAATAGGATTTTTAGTAGGGTTTCTAAATAACTCCAGCTAGAGAGCAGGAAACCATGGAAGATTTTCATAAAGAATCCAAATGTTAAAAAACTTAGTCAAATTTATAATTCTTCCTGGAAGGAAAATAGCTTTTTTATTTTATGGGAGAAAAAACCCTTGAAATTTACTTATTGAAACATGTCATCAAGTTCTGAGGAGAACATGAAGAAAGATTACAAAATATAGGACATATACTAGGACATCAAATGATTAATTCTGACTAAACTCAACAGATGTTCAGCAAATCAGTGATTCATTTAAAAGATGGCCCTGTTGTGTTGTCACTAGTGCTCACACAGGCTCAATAAACTAGTCACAGGAAAAACACTTAATGTGCCTAATTTGTCTTTGAGACACCATCGTGTCTAATAAGTACACAATGTCTGGGCTCTTAATTATAGGAATTTTTTTTTCCAGAAAGTAGACAGGTTGGTATAATCACTACTAAAGAAATATGAGACACAAAGAGGCATGGAAGCCTTATCAATCTGGCAGAAACATCTGGCAAGGATATGATGGAAGGAATGAGGTGATGGGGCCAAGTTCCCACAGCCTCATCACCTGCTTCAGGAGGAGAGAAACCACCCACTTGAGGATATTGTCATCCTTGCAGCTGAACCGAACAGTGTGATTTGGCCACTCGCAGTCAGATTATGTCAGCAAAGGAAGAAGGCACTGCTCTTTGGGAGTGTCAGACATTCCATGAATTAAGAATGAAATAGGAAATCATTAGGAAATCTTGATATGTCGTAATGTAATTGAAAACCTAATTTAGAGAGATGCTCGTTTTAATTTTGACTTGTCTTAGTAATTAAAGATAACATAGTTTACTGATATAACCAATATACCTCAATGTCAGAGTGCAATAAAATATCTATGTATAAAGAATAACAATAAAATGAACCCCTGTGAACCAGTACTTTAGAATTTTCTCTGTGTGACCTCTAGTCTGACAAAATCAGATTTACTGGCCCATTGCAATGAGGAAAACCACATGCTGAGAATCATAAGATGTCTCACCAAACAAAGGAAAAGATAGAAGTATTATAGGATTTGGGGGAAGGATGGAGTTTAGGCTCAAAGCAGCATCAGGTAACCCAAGGTCCTATTTCCTTGGAATCTACAAAGTTAAGATAGACATGGAAGGCTGAGTCCAGAAATCCTTTATCTGGTGCTCTGTAGCTGAGTTGTGAATCAAGAATGCTGCTCTGCGTCAAAGTGACTTAGATCCTCAGTCAAGAGCAGAATGTCTCATATTGATTTAATTTCAAACGGCAAAGCTTTTGATAGTCTATGATCTTAGAGAACAAAGTTTCTCTAAACTATGTGGTAAGTTCATTGGTGACAAAGAAAAATCAACCAAGGAAGAGGGATAGTGAATTCTGATGAAGGGGTTTCATTTTAAATAGGGTAGTCAGGGAATGTTTCATATATAAGTAAACCAAGGAATGACTCATGCAGATGCCATGGAGAAGAGCATTCTGGGCAGACAGAAGTGTGAAGGCTGAGGTGAGAGTGGGTCTTCAATGTTAGACGTTAGAGGCCTGAGGGTGTGGAATGGAGGGTAGGTGAGAAAACGCGGTAGGATACAAGGTTATCGCAGTAAGTAGAAGCCAGTTAATGCAGGATCTTGCAAATCATTGTGATAATTTTGGCTTTTACTTTGAATGAAAAGTGAAGTCATTGCAGGACTTGGAGCAGAGAAACACCAAGATCTAGCTTCCGTTCTGACAGGACCACTCTAGTTTCTGTGTTGACAGTAGACTCAATAAGGGTAGAGTAAAAAAAGCAGGGAGACCAGTTAGGAGGTTGCAACACTCACCCAGGTGAGAGAATCCAATGTCTTGGACCTGAGTAGGTGGCAGAAGAGGTGAAGACAAATGGTCAGATTCTGAATAAATGTTGAAGAACTGATAGGATTATGATGCTCTATGTCTATTCTCTTAGTGCTCACAGTAACTATTTTAATGTGCTTACTCAACTTATCAAAGTCTAAAGTTTATCACATGCTCACTGTATTCTGTAGTAATTAAAGATGTTAGAATACTTTAACTTCTTTTAAACTCTTTTAAGTCACATGTTATGACCGTCTACATTTTTATCGTCTATTCTATTCTCATATATATTAGATATTTTATTGAATACAATTGATGTTTGTTTATATTTATCTATATTTTCTTCATGATTATTTCTTCCATCTCAGATATTTAATCTAGTGTTATTTCTTCTCTGCCTAAAGTATATTCTTTATATTCTAAATATATCCCAAGTCATTTTGTTATTTCTTTCAATTTTAACAAATTTCAAAATAGTTGTAGATTTGTAAAACAGTTACAGAGAGTACAGAGAATTCCCATATACACTACATGGTGTCCTCGTTTTTAACATCTTATATTACTATGGTACATTTGTAACAATTAATGAGTCACTATCAATACATTATTATTAACTAAAGTTCATACATCCTTCAAATTTCTTTAGTTTACCTTTAATGGCCTTTTTCTGTTCACAGATTTCATCTAGAATGCAATATTACATTCAGCTGTCATATCTTTGTAGACTCCTCTGGACTGACAGTTTCTTATACTTTCCTTGTGCTTTAAGACCTTGAGACGTTTCAGGAATTTTGGTCAGATATTTTATAAAATATCCTTCAGTGGGAATTTGTCTGATATTTTTCTTATGATTAAACTGGGATTTTGGATGGAAGACCACAGAGATAAAGTGCATATTAGTGCATTTTATCAGCATATATTACCACTATCGATGTTAATCTTGATCACCTAGCTTAAGTAGTATTTGTCAGGTTTCTCTGCTATAAAGTAACTCTTTTTCTTCCTTTCCATATTGTGCCAGAGTGAGGAGTTATACTGCACCTCCTAGAAATGAGGATATGTACATAAATTATTTGAAATTAATCTCTATGGAAGATTTGTCTCTTTTACCCCATCTATATAAGTCTGGACTCATGGAGATTTATTTGATACTTTGGTTTTAGAATCCAATACTACATTATTTTGTTACTTACGTTGTTCAGCTGTAGCTGTTGATAGTTCTTTCAGGCTGGCTCTGATGTCCCTTTGACATGCCTCTGCACCGTCCCCCCCTACATCATTTTGGTTTCTTGAGCCCTTTCTTACCTTCTGGCACCATGAGATGCTCCAGGCTCCTCCTGTATATTGTCCTGCCCCAGTCCTAGAATCAGTTGTTTCTCTAAGGAACCATGGCTCCTTTTTATTGGAGAACGGAATTAGAAACCAAGACCTGGAACTAGATGTGCTCATTGCTACTGGGATATTAACGCTTCTAGGCCCTCTGAGCTGAGACAGCAAGAAAATATATGTGGGTATGCCAACTCATGTATACAGTATACACGTATCTATAAATATTTCTATATGTATCCATCTGTGTGTACATTAAGCTAAACATGAGTCATGTGGATTACTACGTGGATCATTCTAGCCTTCTTCTTTTGCTTATCTGTAACCTCCCACTCCAACAGAAAGAAACCTGTTTCCCACCATTAGGCATCCACTCACCTAATTCCATTATACATATATCATGGTTTCAGGATTGTTAACCTGTGACTTGTGGAAAAACTTTATCTAGGAGAGTACCATGCTTATATACAGTTTCTTTGGTCTTCAGTCTTGTAATCTACACTCACTTCCAAAGTTATTTAGATCATCCACTCCCCCTTCCCACAACCTTTTTCTGTGAGGTTTTCTCAAACATTTGTAACGCAGTTAGATTCTTTTGTCTCCATCCCACCCTGACATACCTTGACCTTCGAAATAATATTTTTTAAATTTGCATGACTTAAGGTTCCTTCTTTGTACTGTCAAATACTATGCACTTGATGAAATTGTCTTCTGAAGTGGTTATATCATTTTGTATTCCCAACACCAATGAATGACAGTTCCTGCTGCTTTGAATTCTTGGCAGCAATTATCATTGTCAGTTTTTTGGATATTAACTACTATAGTAGGTGTGTAGTAGTGTTATTCATGTTATGTGTCCTTTTGTGTCTGGCTTATTCCATTGAGCTCAGTGTTTTCAAAGTTCATCCATGTTGCAATATGCATCAGGATTTTATTCCCTTTTAAGACTGAATAATATTTTATTGTATGGACAGATTATATTTTGTTTATCCTTTCATCTCCTGATGGCCACTTGGGTTATTTCTACCTTTTGGCTATTGTGAATAATGCTACTGTAATCACTGTATACAAGTATTTTTTGAGACCTTGCTTTCAATTCCTTTGGGTATGTACCTAAAAGTAGAACTGCTGGGATATATGGTAATTCTATGTTTAACTCTTTGGGAAACTGCCAAACCATTTTCCACAGGTGCTACACCATTTTAAATTTCCACTATTAATGCATTTTTCTTCACTTTTATAGGTTAATTTCATGGTATAGAGCATTCTAGGTTAGTGTTTTCTTTTTCTAAACAATTTAAATATTTCATTCTACCCTTTTCTTGCTTGCATGTAATTCTTATCCTTGTTTATCTATAGGTAACTTTTTTTTCCTTCTGCCTTCTTTCAGTATTATTTGTTTTGACTTTCTGCAGTTTGAATATAAGCCTAGGCATAGGCATTGCTATTTTTTTTTTTTTTTGTATTTATTCTGTTTGGTGTTCTTGGAGCTTCCTGAATCCATGCTTTGGGTCTCATGAATTTTGGAAAGTCCTCAGCCATTTTTACTTCAAATATTTCTTTTGCTTTGTTTTCTCTTGCTTGTCCTTCTGGCATTCCAATTATGTATATATTGCAGATCTATCTATGTATCTATGTACATATCTATGTATCATTTCCTTTTGATATTGTCACACAGTTTTGAATGTTCTGCTCTGTTTTTTCTTTCTTTTTTTTTTTGTCTTTACATTTCAGTTTAGGAAGTTTATATTGACCTATCTTCAAGTTCACCGAATCTTACCTTGGCCTTGTCAGTCTACCAATGAGCTCACTGGAGGCATTTTTCCTTTTTGTGACTGGGTGTTTGATTTGTAGCATCCTTCCTTAGAGTTTCCATCTCTCTGCTTACCTCCCCATCTCTTCCAAGTGATCTACTTTTTAAATTTCAATGCTTAACATATTAATAATCATTTTTAAAAATTCCCTGTCTAACCATTACAAGATCTGAATAAAACCTGAGTATGTTTCTCATAACTGCGTTCTCTCTGGAGACTGTTTTGCCTGCCTTGTGGCATGCCTTGCAATACGTTGTTGAAAGCCATATGTGTTGTATTGGGTAGAAATTGAGGTAAATAAGCTATCTGAGGATGAATACGTTGAACTGGCTGTGAGTGGGCTGTGCTTAATGTCTGCTGCAGCTGTGTGCACCATAGGCATCAAGTACCTCCAAGTCCTTGTTGTGTCTCTCCTCTTGACTTTGGGTTTCCCTATGTGCTTCTCCTCAAACAGTCTGTGTCTTATAGCTCTTTTGGTTATAATCCACTGTTATTATACTGGAGCCTTGTTGGTGTGGTGGTAGAAGGTGGGAGAGGGAGATTGTTTCATAATTTTCCAATTACTCATCAGTGTTTTGATGGGCCTTTGTCTTGGAGCTGCGACCTTCATAAGTATTCCTCCCATGGTGTAGGTGTAGCTTTTTGCCCTCTTTCCCCTTCCCCTACTCCATCTCATGGCTGCAGCACCCTGAACAATTTCTCTGAAGCCTTGACCCTTGTTGACTGCTTTCTGCCTTAACCTTCATTAGGTGAGACAGGAAGGCTACTGTGGGCTGATATGGGGAGTATCTCCCTCCTCCATCTGGGATAAGGTATGGGAGTTGGGCTCTGGCCAAGTCCTTTCACCTGGAGTGTAGGCATTTTGTTGTAGGACTTTCTCCTTAGTTCAGCTAAAACTCAGGTTCTTGTCATACGGTCATGAAAGCTTAGGCTCGCAGAGACTTTGAAGGGTGAGAAAAATGGAATTTATTGGGTGAAAAGGAAAAAAAAAAAAAGGGAAACAGGGACTCTCAGCAAAGCAAGAATCCTGCTAACCAGTTTCTCGCCTCACAGATTGAATTCCAGATTACCACCCAGACCAGGAGAGGCCAGTCTCCTCCCCCCTGCAAAAGACGACTTGAACTTCCCAAGGCTCCACCCTGGTGTGCACTCCTCCCAGTGCACAGGCCTGTGGGAAGTTCTGCCAGGGAGCCCTTTTTACCTGGCTGTCTCAATTTGTTATGGAGAAGGCTCTGGGCATATTTCACAATGATTACTCTTCCCCTCCCCTTGACAGAGCCTTGAAAAGATCTTTGTTGGGTCCTCACTATGAGAAGAACCTTGTAGGGTTCTTGGAGGTAAAGCCCACAAATGCCTGCAGGTCCTCCTAGAGCTGCAGGGTATCCAGGAGTTTCTCACCCTTGTGCTAGTTCACACCCAACCTCCAGAAGTTTGTCACGACTGCCATTTAAGTATTCCTAGCAATCCATGGCTCTAGTTGCTTCTCCTCCAGCTCAGAAGATCTCTGTTACTTTCCCCTGGATGTGCCTATCTCTCCTAATTTGGAGATGTTGATTTGGCCAATGAGCTCAGTTCTGTTAGGCCAAAAAGCAATATTGGTTTCCAGTTTGCCCAGCTTCTCGCTGTAAGGATGGGAGTGGCAACTTCTAAGATCTTTTCATGTGAGAGCTGAAACTGGAAGTCTCTGGTTTAAATTTTTAGTCTTTTGTTTTGAGGACTAGGCTCTGATTTGTTTTATCTTGCCCACATTTCTATCTAAGGGGTCTGGGGAGTCATGCCCTACAAACCATAAGTTCTCATCAGATTTTTTTTTTTTTTTAAATCCTGTATATTATGACTTACTTTCCAATCTGACTCTGACTCTGGCATAACAAGGAAGAAAATAAAAATATTTTACCCCAAATCATGTTTCTCTGCCATATCTTGAAATGGCCCTGCAAAGCCATCCTTTGTGGGGGAAAATCTGCATCTGTAAAGAATCTCTATTAACATAGCTAGATTTTTTTTTCCAGGCTCTCCCAATCCTGAAGAGATTAACTAAAAGTCTAGCACCTTTTAAAGATCTGAATAGGAAAATTTGTCATTTATTGTCTCTCAGAGCAGCCACTATAAGACTTCAAAAGAACTTTGGTCTCTACAATCTTTTATCTTAACCTGAACATTTCCTTTCTATAGATCCCAGGTCTTCCCACCAATTGTCAACCAGAAAATATTTACATTTACCTATATCCTGGAAGTGACAGCCACCCCCAGCCCGCACCCCCTCCACCACTCCCCTTTGAGTTGTCCCGCCTTTTTGAACCAAACCAATGTACTTCTTAAATGTATTTGATTGATGTCTCATGCCTCCCTAAAACATAACAAGCCAAGCTGTACCCCAACCACCTTGGGTACATGTTCTCAGGACCTCCTCATGTACCTCATATTTGGGTCAGAATAAATCTCTTAAAATATTTAAAATCTCTATGTGTCACTCATATTTGGGTCAGAATAAATCTCTTAAAATATTTTACAGTTTGACTCTTTTTGTCAACAGATTCTTATATTTTCAAACTTTTTTCTTTTTTCAAAACACATTTTTTTACAAAAATCAATTGTATCACTACACATTAGCAATAAGCAATCTGAAAATGAAATTAAGAAAATAATTCCACTTATAAAAGCACCAAAGAACAAAATACTTAGGAACAAATATAACCAAGTAAGTGCAAGATTTGTACACTGAAAACTACAAAATAGGGTTGAAAGAAATTAAAGAAGACCAAAAGTAACAAAGACTATATGTGTTCATGTATTGGAAGACTTCATATTGTTAAAATGGCAATATTCTCCAAATTGATCTCCATATTCAGTGCAATCTCTATCAAAATCCCAATCTTTTTTTTTTTTGCAGAAATGGATAAACTAATTTTCAGTTCATTGGAAATACAACAGACCATTGAATAGCCAAAATAATCTTGACAAAACTAATGTTCAGTTCATTGGAAATACAACAGACCATTGAATAGCCAAAACAATCTTGAAAAAGTACAAACTGGAAGACTTACATATCCTGATTTCAAGACTTATTACAAATCTACAGTAATCAAAATAGTGTTGTACTAGTATAAGGATAGACATATAGATTAATGGTTTAAGAATTTAGAAATAAGCCCATACATTTATAATCAGTTGGTTTTTGGTAAGAGTGCCAAGAACATTCAGTGGGTGAAAAAATAGTCTCTTTAATAAATGATGCTGGGATAACTGGAAAACCACATGTAAAAGAATGAAATTGAACTTCTGTCTCACTCTATATACAAAAATTAACTCAAAATAAATCAAAGACTGAAATGTAAGAGATAAAACTATAAAACTCTTAGAAATAAATGAGGTGTAAATTTTTACGACCTTTGATTAGGCAATGGTTTCTTAAATATAGCACCAAAAGCACAAACAGCAAAAGAAAAAGAGATGTTATACTTTGTCAAAAATTTAAACTTTCACTTATCAAATGATGCCATCAAGAAAGTGAAAAGACAACTTGTAGACTTGGAGAAAATATCTGCAAATAGTTTAGCTGATAGGAGTCTACTATCCAGAATATATAGAGAACTCTTACAACTCAACAACAAAAAGACAATCAAATATAATTGATTTTTGTAAAAAAATTCATGTATTAAAAATGGGCAAAGAATTTCAATAAACATGTCTCCAAAGATGATATGCAGGTGGCCAAGAAGCACATGAGGAGATGCTCAGCATCATTAGTCATCTGGGAAATGCAAATCAAAACATCCAGGAGACACCACCTCACACCAACTAGGATGGCTAAATAATAAACAAAACCAAAACCCAGAAAACAAGTATTGATGAGCGTCCAGAGAAATTGGAACCCTCATTTGTTGATGGTGGGAACATTAAATGGTGCAGCCTCTATGGAAAACAGTTTGGTAGTTCTTCAGAAAGTTAAACATAGAATTACCATATGACTCAGCATTTCCACTACTAAGTGTATGCCCCCCACAACTGAAAACATCTTCCAACAAAAATCTGTACACAAATGTTCATAGCAGCATTATTAATAATGTCCAAAAAGTGGAAACAACTCAAATGTTCATCAACCAATGAAGAGAGAAACAAAAGGTATATATCCCTACAATAGAGCATCATTCAACCATAAAGAGGAATGAAATATGGATACAAATTACAACTTGAAAACATTATGTTCAGTGAAAGAAGCTAGTAAGAAAAAAATCACATATTGATTCAATGTAGATAAAATGTTCAAACGGGCAAATCCACTGAGACAAAAAGACTAGTGGCTGTCAGTAAATGGGGAGGGGAGCATTGGGATATATGAGTTTTCTTTTTGGGGTGATGAAAATATTTTGGAATTAGACAGCACTGATGGTTCCATAATACTGTAAACATGCCAAAAACTATTGAAATGTTTAATAGTGTTCAACCCTTTAATATGGTTAAAACGGTGAATTTTGTGATGTGAATTTTATCTCAAAAACAATTTTTTAAAAACATTCATAATAGTTATTTTATATTCTGCATCTGTTAATTCAAAATTCTGAAGTCTTTGTTGATCTGATTCTGCTATTTTTGTCTTTGCTTCACTCATGATGTTATTTTCATGTGTATTTTCTAAGTTTTGACTGCAAGCTGGTCTTTTTCCTTGGAGTGTCGTTTGTGGAATTAATTTGAAAATTTGATTGAAATTGTGTTTTTTTCAGAGTAATTTCGCATTTATTTCTTGCAGATACTGAAAACCTGGGACGAATTGAAAATAAGTTTGAGTTTGTTTTTGTACTCTCAGTTATTGTGGATTAGATCACAGGCCCACGAGAGCTTATTTTTTGGTTATGCATTCTCAAGGGAAATTCCTTCTCTCTTTTACCTAGTGCCAAAGTCAAGATAAGTTTCCTTGATGTCTTCTTCTCAATGACCAGTTTATTTCTCTCCATCTTTACCATCAGGCACAGTTCTTCCATATCTCACGTGGTGATTCTTCTTTTAGCCTCCTGATGTTTGGTGAGTCCTAGGCTTCATCTCTTCTTCTCTCCAATCTTGCCATCATCAGAGTGTAAACTCAATATATTCAGGGTTCAGCAGAAACCTTCACAAAGAAAGAGCTAGCTTTGGTGTTTTCTTGTCTTCAGGGTTCCTGCTTTTATTTTATTTTTGGTCATTGTGGATTGTTTCCCTTCTGCCAACTCATTGAAAAGGACATTTAGCAAGTCTTAACCTTTATTTTAGTGGTTTCAGTGGGAGAGTTGTTCAATCTAACTCCTTAACCATTTCACCAAAAATAAAAGTAGAGGTTCATATTTTGACCTTGTTATTGGTTAGAAGAGGGTCCCTGTTGTTGGTTTCCTACAAGTCAACTGCATACGTGGGTCAGAAGCACCGACACAATACTCAGGTGCTTCTTGCCTTCTACTTAGCCAGTGTCATCAGCCTAGGCTGAGGGATGGGGAAGAAGAATGCAAGGCACATGCTCAGTGATCCTGGACAAACTCTGGCCTTTGCCGTGCTCTGGTGATGGGCTGCTGTTGAACTCGGGGCCACGCAACAAAGGCTTCACCTGAAAGCTGTGCAGTCTTCTTTCCCATGGGTAGAAAGGTCTGAAATAAGCACTTTGACCTGTTTAACTCCAAATCATTGTCTCTCTATCCAGAGGATGTCCATACCAGGACAGTAGTACATGGGGTTGGGCAGCAGGTAGGTGGGAAGTTTTTTCTTCCAGACACATTATCTCTCTCCGCTGCTCTTGCCATCTGCATTATTTGGTAGATCAGTCTCTATTTGAAAGCCTCCTCATCACCCGTTCAGTTTCCAATCCAATTCCACCTGGCTTCTATCCCATTCCACTCCAGAGAAACACCTTTCACCATGTTCATTAATTATCTTTTAGTTTATTCAAAATTTACTTCCCATTCTCATCTCACTTGGCCTCTCGTCACTGGATGCTGCTGAACACCTCCTCCTTCCTGAAATTCTTACATGCCTTAGCTTCCTGGTTTTCCTCCTATCTCTATAGCCATTTCCTCTCAGGGAAATAGTTTCTTTCTCTCTAAATGACATATATCTTCCTTTCTTTCCTTTATTTATTTATTTTCCAAGGACAGGGTCTCACTCTGTCGCTTGGGCTGGAGTGCAGTGGTGTGATCACAGCTCACTGTAACCCTGAACATGTGGGCTCAAGGGAGCCTCCTGCCTCAGCCTCCCAAGTAGCTGGGATTACAGGCTTGTGCCACAATGCCTGGGTAATTTTTAAATGTTTTGTTGACCCAGGGTCTTGCTATGTTGCCTTGGCTGGTCTTTAATTCCTGGCCTCAAGCGATCCTCCTGCCTTAGCCTTACAAAGTGTTGGGATTAGAGGATTAGAGGCATAAGCCACTGCACCCAACCCACCAAATAACATTTTTCTTATTCTCTAGGCATCCTCCCATTCTTCCATCTCCATCTTTTTAACAAATACTTAACAAGCTCTGTGTTTGAGACAGAATTGACAAGTGAATAAGATAGGCATGGTCCCTGCTTTAAAGTGTTTGCAATCTAGTGTGGTATAAACAAATATTAAAGTGAGTTATGGGAATACATCACCAGGGACCCTAGTCAGTTCTGGGAGGTTGACCTCAAAACTCATATCTAAAAGATAAGTCATAGCCAGTTGGCCATTGTGAGTAGTCAGGTATGGGAAGCAGCACATTCAAAGACCCAAAGGCAAGAGAGAATGTGTGTTTGAGGGCTTGAAAGCAGCCTGGCATGGACAGAGCAAAGGGAGGAGTGGTGAGAGATGAAGCTGGAGAGGTAGGCAGGAGTCACGTTCATAGTCTTGTGTGCAGGTATGGAGAATGAATTGAAGGCTGGCCAGAAGGAAAGTGGCGAGAGTAGTTTGGAGCCCGTTGTAGAACCTCAGAAGGGAGATAAGGATGATTTGGCCAAGGGTGGTGCAGTGTGCCAAATAAAAACAAATCCAAGTTAGGTAAGGGGGGACTTTATTGAAAAGGATGATTGCAGTGGGGGGTAAGGAGAACTATTGCAAGAGAGAGAATCTCTGACCGTGACATTTGTAAGTGGATCCCAGGAAAAAGGCTTTTCTTTTGTAGGGAGGAGTGAATAAAGCTGGAAAGAACTGGGTGTGGGGAAGTGGGATGAACTGGGGCAGGTGGAGGGATCAGACATTAAATCTGAGAATGCTTTATCCTGGGGTCAGCCTGTTCTCAGGAGGGTCCTCAGGCTGAGGGTGGGTCAATGTTAGGGACTGAAGAAAAGAAAGAAACCTAACTAAAGTTTGGTCAAATAAGATTAATGGGCATCTTATTTTGATTGATCAGTGGGGACACACAGTTCATGTAATGGTTTATGAAGCAAAGAGTGGAATTGGAGGGTCTGAGCCTGACTTTGCCATAGTAAACAAAGGTGGGTGGGGGGTATCTGAGGGTCTTATCTAAGTTATAGAAGAGGATTCTTTGCAATAAGTCATTTTCCAGAGCACAAAAGAGTAGGAAATCTCTTAATCACCACTGTTCTCTAGAAGCATGGGACTCAAGTAAAAGTCAACATTGTAAAGTGGGTTGGAGGGAGTAAACTTACTTAAGAAATAATCAGCAGTAGGTAGGTTCACAGGTTGTGCTGATAGATTGAATGTCAGAATGAAGAAAAGAGAAGCATTAAGGATGTCTCGAAGTCTCTGACTTAGGGACTGAGTGAGTGACAGTGTGCAAATGAAGACAGTGACATAGAAATAAAAAGTAATTTGGTATGATGGCAAAATGGAGGAGATACCCATAGATACTGTCAGTTTCTCGTCTACTCATACCCTCTTGGTCACCACATTATTTCCGTCTTATCTCTTAAATGTGTCTTGAAGCCAACTGCTCTGCTCCTGCCTTAGTTCACACTTCCATCCTCTGTTGCCTGCACTATTAAATTCACTTTCTAACCAGGCTCTTTGCACCCAGGTGTGTTCTCACAATCCCACACGCATCTTCCACAGTCTGCTGGGATAACATATCTAGATGGATTACAGCATGCCACTCATGCTTTCAAATCTTCCCAGTTGCACATGTGTGTGGGCCTCCAATAGACTTTATTCCTTAGTCTCCTTAAACTTAAGGAGAGTTTGGAATGATAAATACAGGTTTTAAGACATATCTCACCCTGGCCCCTCCCTAAATGAGTTACTGTTCCTCTTTAGAAATTTATCTTTACCTTTTATTTCCTTTAATAATTTTTGTTCCTTTGTAATTTCTTTCATTGGATTTTGAGTCCCTTTAAGGAAGGTCCAGCGTCCTTAACTTTTGTCTCCTCAGTGCGAACAGAGTGGCTTGCAACTAGTAGGTGCTCAATAAATCTTTGTTGAACTTTTGATTAAACTCTAGGTGCATAGAGATCTCCTTGAGGTTGTTTTATACCAGCTTCTTCAGCTCCACTTTACCCGTAAGTAAGGAACTCTCTCTCCTATTGTGATTTGAGAGGAATTGTGAATTTCCACACTCTGTGATATTTTCAATCTCTCCATAAACCCTTCCTTTACTTCTTTTAAGATTTTCTCTCTTTCCTCTTGCCTCTCTAGAAGTGACATTTGAGAGGGGAGCCACAATAGCCCCAGACCTGTGAGTGTCAAGGAGTCGATCTGGTAGCTTTTCTCGTTGGCAGGAGGGAGTATTTTGTGTTTGGGGAGTGGGCAAACAGGCAGAAGGAGGGAGTGGAGAATGCTAAAAACAAACTGGATTTGAATCTCTGTAGGTGGTCCTTTTAGAAGCATTATTTTTTACTGGTAATTCACGACACCCATTACTATTACTACAGGCATTAGCATTGAATGGCGGATTTCAAACTGTGTTCTGTGGAGCCTTAGCCTTCACTGAGGGTGCTTCTGAGACTTCTACCCCTGGTGAGTGGGGGTGGTACCCAGGGAATAGGGTCCCAGGCCTCTCACCATTGGCCCCATTCAGCCAGGGTGCCTCACTGGATTCAAACCTGGAACACACCTGCCCCATCTTAGCTGGTAATCTATGGATACCTACTTGATTTTTATTTGTTTTTAATGTTCCCATCCTCCCTGGGAATGACAGGTTCTGTTTTTCCCTTCAACTATTTTAGCACATGGAGTTCACAACTCATTCCAGCTACAATGGGAAATGTTTAGTCCCGACTCCCCTTGCACAGTCTTTCCCACTAGGCTCCTGGTTCTGAAGATTGGCAGGAGGGGCCTGATTCTATTTCCCAAGATGTATAAGGTGTCAAAAGAGGCTCTAGAAATCTCAGAAACAGACCAGATAAAGAGTTTTTAAAGCAGGCTCTTTTGAGATCTAGGGTATTGAAAAGGCACTTAGGGTCTCCCCGGGGTGCTGTGGACATCACCCACATCTGTGCTTTAGCCAAGCCGTGCTCCTTTTATCTCTTAATTACTGGGACTTTATGGAATATTTCACTTGGAAGCAGGGTTCTACTGCTAATGGGAGTTTGAGGCCTAGAAGATCATTAAAGCCTTTTTCAGCTAAGATATGCCCATGTTCTTTCTTATGAAGCAATAATGAGGGGGACATTGTTATCGTCTTTTCATTGTACGGAACATAAATGATCACTCATGAGGCACAGGGGGTTGAGCCCTGGATGGCTTTGCCACAGAACAGCAGATCTGAGTCCCTCATACATAAGAAATAGAATCTTAGTTGTTAGGAATGCATGGTGCACTCGACTTCACGAACATGCGTTTTAATGCCAGTGTCAGGGCAAACTTCTACCAGCTGTCTAAACATTTACAGAACAAAATAATAGCATGCAAGATATGTAGGTTTCAGATATTTGTCATCTTAAAACAGCACTTAGTCATTAACTTAATCACAGCTGCTATATGCCAGCCAGTGTACTTTGTTTGTAAACAACACATCTGCTACAGGCAGGAATTGGGAGCTCGGCTGTGGTCGTGCGTAGCAGCCTGGTTAATGCTGGGATGTGCATCTTGAGTGTCTGAAACACATGGGCGCCATGCCTCAGACCAAACCTGCTGACTCTAGTGGGGAACAATTTAGGGTTTATTTCCTCCCAGGTGCTGCTTTTGTGGTTTTTCTCTCAACAGACTTAGATGCTTAATTTGGAGAGATGTCCTGATGTCCACAGTCATGGGTTCATTTGAAATGAGACATAGCCTCCCAAATAGTTGCTTTCGCGTTGTTATGGACTATTTACCACCCTTTCAAATTCATATGTTGAAGCCCTCACCTGCACTGTGACTATATTTGGAGGCAGGGCCTGTGAGAAGGTGATGAAGGTTACCTGAATCACAGGAGTGGGGCCCTAATGTGATGGCCCATTGTCCATATGAGAAGAGGAAGAGACCCCAGAGCTTGCTCTTTCTGCCATGTGAGGACGTGGTGAGGGTGGTCACCTGCAAGCGAGGAAGAGAACTCTCACCAAGAACCAGATTGGCTGGCACCTTGATCTTGGACTTCCCAGCCTCCAGAACTGTGAGAAATAAATTTCTGATGTTTAAGCCACCCAATCTGTGGTATCTTATTATGGCAACCAAAGCTAATAATCCTTATTTTCCTTCTCTAAATTCCTGGGTCTAACTTTTTCTTAATGCCAGTAGCATTGGGACTTCCAACGTCTTAATCTTTGCTTCTCATTTCTCGGCAGCTATTTCAACACATCTTATTGGGCCATGCCATTTGTTTTCTTCCTTTGGTATTAAGTGAAGTTCTTAGTCTCTGCTTGAGAGAAAGTACCTTGACTTCTTGTGGGTTCCTGTAACATGGCTTAAGCCATTTGTGCTCATTGTTTCTGTGTGTTCAGGCCCAAGGGATTTAGAATGACTTGTTTAGACTTTAAGTTGTGTGGTTGACACTGTTAGTTGTCTATGTGATAACCATCCCCCCGTCTTGCTGAAAAACAAAACAAAACAAAAAAAACCCGATTTTGCTCTGGGCAGCAATATATCCCAGCCCTAACACAAGAAATCAAAATTGGTCTAAATCAAGATTGAAATCCTTGATTCTGGCTTTCATTGAGATTGCTATGTGACCTAGTTCTGGCAAAAAATATTGAAGTGCAAGTCTGACAAGGAGTAGGCAGATGGAACTGGTACTTCCCTTGCCCTCTTTCTCCTGCCTTTTACATGGATATGTTGTGTGGGGCTGTGTTTTTGTGACCATGAGGCTGAAAGTCAGGATGATAAGGGTGGTGAAACAAAAAAGAAAGAGACCAGCTATGAGCATCATTGAACTGTTAAACAGTATCAGTAACTGCCTACTCTAGATTTCTTTTTCTAAGCATAATATCTTTGATATTCTTCTATATTGTACAGGGATTTGTTCCTTTCTATCCTGTGCATTCTATTAGGCAGATATATCACCACTATCCAATCTCCTATTGACGGAAATTTGAGTTGTTCCAGTTCTGGGGGATTATTAGTAAGTAATAAACATTCATATACAAGACTAATAATAAACATTCATGTACAAGATTTTTCTGGACATGTTCTCTTCCTTTATTGGGAGAAAATTTCCAGGGGTAGAATATCTGGGTTGCAAAATAAGTGTATGTTTAATTTTTATAAAAGAAATAGCTAAACTTTTTTTCCAAAGTGATTTTTCTATTTTTCATTCCCATCAGCAATGTATGAGAATTCCAATTGCTTCGCAAAAGTCGTCAACACTTGGTATTGTCAGTTGATTCATTTTAGCCATGGTGTGGGTGCCTAGTGGCATACATTGTCCTTTATATTTGCAATTCCCTAATGATGTTGAGCACTTTTTCATGTGACCATTGGCTGTGTGTGTGTATGTATATTTTTGGTGTGACGTGCTAGTTAGTCTTTTGCCCATCAAAATTAATTGGATTGTTTTTCTTTTTGTGATTGAGCTATAGGAGTTCATTATATGTTTGGGATGGAAGTCTTTTATCTGCTGTAGGTAAGGAAATAGTGGTTTGCTTATTGCCCCGCTCAAATAATTTCTGCCATGCCCCGGAGTCTGTGGACAGAAGTATCAACTCTCAGTCCTCGGGCTGGCTGTATCGTTGCCCCCACCCTGCAGCATCTCTTGCTCCCAGCAAGTTGGTTTCCTCATCAGCTTCCTGAAGTGCTGTGTTCTTTTCTGACTCCTGACAAAGACTGTTTTCTTCATTACACTCTACCCAGGCTCCCCTGAGCCCCTTTCCTCCATTAATCCCTGTATTCTGCGGTCAGTGTCCAATTTTGTCGAGAATTTTGCTAAGTCAGTTTAGCAAGAATCCTCCATCCTCGATATCTGAGCACCCTGATACCTGATAGGGTTCTTCATCCACCACCATCCCTCAGGTTGTGTGTGATCGCCCTGGTCTGTCTTCAGTAAGAATCATGCTGGGTGAGTTTAGCCAGAATCTTCCCTTCCCCGTGATGTTTCCTCTTAGTAATTTCCGTCCACTGACCCCCACTCTTCTCCTGGGCTATAAATTTCTACTTTTTCTTGTATTCAGAGTTGAGCTCAATCTTTCTCCCACCACAAAATCCCATTTCAGGGATCCTTATACCTATCATGATGGTCCTGAATAAAGTCTGCATTACATTTCTTTAAAAAGTATCACAAAATAAACTAGGCACAGAAAGATAAACATTGTATGTTCTCACTTATCTGTGGGATCTAAACATCAAAACAATTGAACTCATGGACATAGAGGGTAGAAGAATGGTTACCAGAGACTGGGAAGGGTAGTGAGGGGTTGAGAAGGAGATGGGGATGATTAATGGGTTAAAAAATAGAAAGAATGAATAAGACCTACTGCGTGATAGCACAATAGGGTGACTGTAATCAATAATAACTTAATAATAACTAAATTGTATTTTAAAATAAAGAGTGTAATTGGATTGTTTGTAATTCAAAGGATAAATGCTTGAGGGGATGGACACCCCATTCTCCATGATGTGCTTTTTTTATTATTATTATACTTTAAGTTCTAGGGTACATGTGTACAACGTGCAGGTTTGTTATATATGTATACATGTGCCATGTTGGTGTGCTGCACCCGTTAACTCGACATTAACATTAGGTATTTCTCCTAATGCTATCCCTCCCCCTACCCCTCACCCCATCCATGACAGGCCCTCATGATGTGCTTTTTTACATTCCCTGCCTTTATCAAAACATCTCATGTACCCCATAAATGTATATACATATAGTACTATATAGGTATATATACTTGTAGAACAATGTTTATAGTAGTATTCATAATAGTCAGATGGTTGAAACAACCCAAGTGTTTAGCAACAGATGAACGGTATATCCTTGACATGGAATATTATTTGGTTTTTAAAATAAATGAAATTCTGATAGTGCTGTAACATGAATGATCCTTGAAGACATTATGCTAAATGAAATAAGCTAGTCACGAAAAGACAAATATTGTATGATTCCACTCCTATGAGGAACCTCTTATAGTCAAATGTACAGAGATAAAAAGTAGATTAGAGGTTACCAGGGCCCTAAGGGTGGGAGAATGGGGAAGTATTGTTTAATGGGTACAGAGTTTCCGTTTTGGATGATGAAAATGTCTGGGAATGGGCAATGATGAGGGTTGTACAACATTTTGAATGGACTTAACGCTACAGAATTGTATACTTAAAAATGATTAAAACAGTAAATTTTATGTTAGGTGTATTTTATCATGGGAACTCCCCCCAGTATATCTAAACTGAAAGCAAGAAAGGGAAATCCGTAAGTGTCAAAATTAAAGACAGAATTAGGAGCAGCACGAAGAGGGTGGGTGAAAAGCCTTATAAGGCTGTGAGGCAGGTGGAGGCTGCTCTGTGCTGTAGGAAGTGATTTCAGCCTCAGCTGCACATTAAAATCAACTGGAGAGCTTCCAAAAGCCCTGGTGTCTGGACCTCAACCCCAGAAATTCTGATTTAATTGGGTTGGGGGTGACCTGAGCTTCCTGTATAACTAGCTTCTGGGAATTCCCATGGATTTGAAAGCTCTCTGAATATGAGTTTGCAGCCAACATGACAAATCGTATGAGGAAGGGAGGGAGGGTAGGGCCAAAGCAAAAGAAAACAGGACAGTATAAAAGATAACTTAAAAGTAAGTGTGTTTTAAGCATTCAAAGATTTAAATGAAGGAATAGGAACCAGAGTAGGAACATGACACTGTGACAAGATTTGAAAGAGAACTGAATAAAAATAAAAACTCTGCAAAGTAAATTAGCGAGACCAAAAGACGGAAAATTTGAGAGCATTTATAGGGCTTGGGACAGAGTAAGCCAGTTCCAAGATATGCCTAATAGACATTCCTGGATGACAGAACAGAGAGGATGGAGGAGAGATGCAATGGGGGAATATTCCGTATCAAGGAAAGATGCAAATTCTCAGATTGAAGGAACACACTGTCCTGAAAGATCCCAGATGAATTAAAGTTAAACTGTAAAAAATCAAAAACAAAGAGAAGATCCTCCACTCTGCCTGAGAAAGAAGACAATGACTTAGAAAGATGCCCGTGGGGACAGCTGCTGTCCCCAGCAGCAAGAGGGGGTAAAAGTGGTCTTTAAGAGGTCGGGGAAAAACACACATTGTTCTTGTAATTCAAGAGTTAAGGCAAAATTAGACACTTTCATATCTACAAAGAGAAAGAAAATGTCTGGTCTCCTCTAAAGGAACTAACAAAGGCTGTATGTTTGTAGAACAGACATTGTACAATTTTTTAAATTAAATTCAAGTATTACATGTTAATGCTTGTGAGATGAGATGAACCATTTATTTAGAGAGAAATGTGTAGCCTTACATGCATGAGTTAGAAAACAAAACAAAAAATAAAATAAACAAATAAGTATCCAAATCAAGAAAATGGACAAAAAATCAAACTAAAACCAAACAGAGTAAACCCAAGCAGAAGGGAAAATACAATAAGGATAAAGTCAGAAATTAATGAACTATGCTGGTCAAATGATTATTATGCAGCATATCTAGGTATCTACGCATGTATGTATCTATGTATCTCTCCCCTTTGGAAATCAATAAAAAAGCAAAAAATTATATAAAAGAGAGTAAAATTTATGAGCAAGCATTTCACATGAACAGAAACTTTAATGGTTAATGAGCATGAAAATATGCTCAGCCTCACTCTGCTCATTGAAAAAATGTCAAGTAAGAAAACATTGAGATACCATTTCACACCCATCAAATTATCAAACATTAAAAAGGAAAATTTGTCAGTACAAATAAGGACATGGGGAAGCAGGAACTCACTTCTGCTGCTGACAGGAATGTTGATTACTATCGTGACTTAAGAGAGCAATTGGGCAGCTTCCTGGTAAAGCAGAGGAGGTACACACCCAGCATTTCTACTTCAGCTGAGTGCCTCTGATGCTCGCTGCAAGATGGATTTTGTTATAGCAAAAAATTGGAACTTAGATGTCCACCAACAGAGTTAAGGATAAATTATTATCTGGAATCTCCTGAATGTTATACAATATTTAAGATGAATGACCTATATCAGTATGTACCAACCTGGGCTGATGTTAAAAACAATGTTGATATGCTAAATGAAATAAGCCAGAGACAGAAGGACAGAAATTGTGTGATTATTACATTTATGTGAGGTACCTAGAATAGTCAAATTCATAGAGACAGAAAGTGGAATGGCGATTGCCAGGGGCTATGGAGAGGGAAGAAATAGGGGAGTATTGTTTGATGGGTGCAGAGTTTCTATTTAGAATGATGAAAAAGTTCTAGAAATGGATGTGATGGCTACAGAACATTGTGGATATACTTGATGTTACTAAATTGGATGCATAAAAATAGTTAAAATAGGCATCTTATGTATATTTACAATAAAAACATTAAAAATCCATAACGTGGAGTGGAGAAAGAAATTTGTAGAAAGGTATATATATTTTAAGATAACTAAGATTGTTTATGATACATGCATATGTATTGAAAGTATAACTCATGAATGGCCAGGGTGTACACAGTTGCAAGACAGTGGTTTTACCGGAGAGGGAAAGAGCCAAGTGGGAAGCCTCAACTGCGTGTGATATTTCTTAAAAAGTCAAAGATCTGAAGGAAACATAACAAAATATCGATACATAATTCTTAGCGGTGGTACATGCACCTTTGAAATATTTACATTAAAGAAATCACCAGGACCATGGTTTGGGGAAATTTCCTGATAATTTAGTCGACCATTTCCAACATTTACAGGATCGCCTGGTGATGGGTTGGAGGTGGAGAGGGAGGTACTGCACATCTCTCAAACATCTGTTGACATCTTTCTTACCCCAAGAAATTTAATCACCAGACATTTCCTTGTATTATGGTGGACCAGGTGTGAGAAGAGCGGTCCTCGTATTTTGCCAAATGAAGGTGAGCCAGTTTTCATGGAAGACCTTCCACACAAGGTCCTCCAGGGAAGGGAATCATCTGGGGCCTTCTGGCTGGCTGAATTGTACATGGATTCTAGCTAACCGTAAATAACCATGAACAAAGAATATCTCAGTAGCCAATATTTTTCTCTGCTGGTATCAAATGAAATTCATTTGGTATCAGCTGGAGTTTTTATAGTGCTAATGGAAGTTATTTTCAGTTATCACGTCAGTCCATAAGTATACAAAGGCAGCAATTTCACTGGAAATCTGGAGATCAGTTTGTATGTAGGGTGTATGCTTTAGACTATTTCTGCAGTGTAAGCTTTTATCTTAAGAAATGTGGGGAATCATAAATAAAAAGGGAATGATGAAACAGAACATCCAACAAGGGCGAAGGGCGGGCTTGGAAACGTTTCATAGCATGAACATCTGAACTCCAAGATGTGGTGATGTCCAGGAAGCCCTGGGCGCGATAGGGAGCCCACGCATCTGAGAGCTCATTCCCCCGAATGTTAGTTAGCGCCCCTCCCCATTCCAACGATAGCTCTTTAAATACTGACAGTGTTTGCTTCTGTGCAGCCTCTATTTGATCTCATTCCATGGGGTAGAGGAACGGAGCCGGAACCATCAATTTTTGTTTTTTAATAAACTCGTGTAATTTGACCATACCACCACCAGGTACAAGAATGACAATGGAGCCCTGTAAATAAAAATCTGCTCCCTGCAGGATTTTAATTATTTATATTCTTTCAGCAAACAGAACCCCTGTCTGTTGTTGATGATAGCATGTGCATACATTTAAGGATCAAAATGCAGTGCCAAGGTTGTTTAGCCCAGGGAGGGGCAATTTAATTTTTTCCCCCTATGAACATGGAAATGCTGAATGCCTGATATGGTTGTGCTAAATATCATAGCTAGTAGCATTGCAGACAACTTGTTTTGTAGTAAGAACTCAGAGCTTAAGGGATTTTTTTTCTCCCTGTAAAGGCCAAAGGTAGGGTCATCTGACTCCCTTACTACGTTACATGTCCAACCGTTGATAGAACACTGCTTTTAGAAGGAATAAGCAAGAACTGTCCCCTAAAATGGTTAAAATAATAAATTTTTATGTGATGTATGTTTCATCACAATGTGTTTACCATGGTACAAATGGATAAAAAAAAATCAGTAAGCAAGTGAACAAGGTTAGTTCACACATGTTAGTTAGGCACGGAACACTATGCCAGGTACTGGGTGGGGGATGGTAAAGATTGCTTGGGATAGCAATGCTGTCTCTATTCCTTAAAAAAATTAAACCAACATATAATAATTGTACATATTTATGGGTACATAGTGATGTTATGATACATATAATGTGTAATAATTAGATCAAGGTTATTAGCTACCCATTATCTAATACATTTATCATTTCTTTGTGTTGGAAACATTCAATGTCCCCCTTCTAGCTATTTGGAACTATAATTAACATATTATTTTAACTACAGTCATCCTACATCCGTGCTATAGAACACTAGAACTTATTCTCCCTATACAGCTGTAACTATATCCTTTAAAACTCTCTCCTGATTTTCCCCTTCTCTCTACCCTTCTCAGCAGGCATTCTCCCTTCTACGAGTCATTCCTTTTTATAGCTGCTTTCTCTTATGATCCTTTCCTAGCTCTGAGTAGAGTCCCCGGCTAACAGTGGGCGGACAGATGTTTATTGAATAAAATAAAAGATATGCTCCCTGCTCTTGAAGAGCAGGGCAGAAAGAACATTGTTTTCCAAAAAAATCTAAGGGGGATTATTTATTTGCATGTATCCATCATTTGTTTGAGTGCATCTGAGCCCAGGTCATGGGTGTGCAGTGGGGGCTGTCAGGGCCCCACCCAGATCCAGTCACTGAGCCAGTTCACCTGCCCCAGCTTCTGGGAGCCTTGGTGTCCACAGCTCACAGTTACCCTTGGCCAGACAAGAGCCACTGTTTACCAGCTTCAGATGGCTGCATCCTTGCTTTCTTTATTTTTCAGTCCTATCCCACAATTCTCCTGCTCCTCCTGTGACCTGTCACCCGATAAATCACTCCAGTGAGTCCTCTTCTGAGACTTTGCTTCTAGGAGAGCTGACCAACGACAGCGTTTAAAAGGCGTTCCCTACATACTGAATGAATGAATGAGCACTCCTTTGGTCATCTCTGACGGAAATCACTGCATCCAGGGCCCCAAGTTGGTGCAAAATCCAGGGGTTATAAGAGTGGGATGATCAAGCACAGAATCTGAGGGCAGTAGGGGTTGAGAGAATGTGGGCAGGGAAGAAAAAATTAGGGCATTTTTTTTTTCTTGGTTTCACTCCTAAACTTGAAGATATAGCACAAATCCACATCACTCCCAGCCTCTCAAAATATTGTTATTTCTTCCACTTCCCTTATCATGCAATAAGATAAGGTTTTTGGGAACAAATGGTTTTGAGACAATTTTGTGGTCCAGGAGATACAGGAACACTTATCCCTCCAATCATTGCATGTCTTACACTGCATTCTGTTTTGTAGTTGCTACTTTATACAAACAATTCAGAAGGGTCATGCACCTTCAAATCACTAGCATGAATGCCAGATGTATAATATGATGTTAAATTTTTTTGATTGTTAAAAACCATTTATCACTTGTGATTTAGTTGTTACGTCATTCAAAGCACCCAATTTATTGTCCTCTGCAGCTGACGTGATGCAACTGGCATCACAGTGTGCAGAGTTACGGTCTCCTTTGCATTTTCTTCGCAACTCCCCTGAGTATCTTCAAAGCAGGACCGATACTTCTGCCCCTCACCTCTTGTGTTGCAGATAGTTCTCACGAAAGAAGGGGGCGTTCTGGGCTGGACATTTCTTTTGTTCGGGGGGTGTCCTTTAATGAAGTTCTTTCTGACGCTGTGCTAGAGGGCTCAGAGTTTCAACTTCATCTAGTGTTTCAGAGTCTCAATCTTTGTAAACTGACATTCATCAACATTAACAAATATCACTGAAAACACCATTGCACACTTGGCTTTCCACAGTTTTTTTTTTTTCAAAGACCAGCTCTCTCTGTTGCCCAAGCTGGAGTGCAGTTGTGTAATCATATCTCACTGCAGCTTTATACAAATGAATGACGTAACAACGAAATCACAAATGATAAATGGTTTTCAAAATCAAAAAATTTAACATCATACTATACATCTGGCATTCATGCTGGTGATTTGAAGGTGCATGACCCTTCTGAATTGTTTGTATAAAGCAGGCTCCTGGGCTCCCACAATCCTCCAATCGTCCTGCCTCAGCTTCTTAGTAGTTGAAACTACATGTGACACCATGCCTGGCTAATGTTTTTTAGAATTTTTTTTTTTTTTTTTTTTTTTTGTAGAGACCTAGTTTCACTATGTTGCCCAGACTGGTCTCAAACTCCTGGACTCAAGCAACCCTCCTGCCTTGGCCTCCCAAAGTATCAATATTTTAAATAAAGACCAAACCAAAGGCTTTTGTGAAAACAGAATTTGTATCTCTTCTTCATTATGGCATGGATAGGATGCAAATATCAGCAGGGCTGCTGTCTTTGCCTCAATCTGCTCAATAGCTACCATTTCTGATTGTTTAAGTCATCCTGGTTATATTGGCTTTTTATTTTTTGTGGGGGACCTAGGGTTAGGGTTACCGTAAAATCATACCCAGATGCTGCACTTAAAATGCAAGCACTCAATTTTTAACTATGATGAGATTAGAAACTGTACATAATAAATAGAATTTTGAGAAAAATGTTGAAAAATACTCTGAGGAGGTCATTCTCTGGTGTGTGGCTTGTTTAGTCTAAACTCTGGAGCTCTGCAAATCCCCTGTATGATTTCATTGTTCTTTTCTTTCCTTTTCTTGTTTTTTTCTTTTCTTTTCTTTTCTTTTTTCAGATGGAGTCTCACTCCGTCACGCAGGCTGGAGTGCAGTGGCGCGATCTTGGCTCACTGCAACCTACGCCTCCGAGTTTAAGTGATTCTCATGCCTCACCCTCTGGAGTAGCTGAGGTTACAGGTGCCACCACGCCCAGCTAATTTTTGTACTTTTAGTAGAGACAGGGCTTCCCCATGTTGGCCAGGCTGGTCTCAAACTCCTGGCCTCAAGTGATCCGCCCACCTTGGCCTCCCAAGGTGCTGCGATTGCAGGCGTGAGCCACTGTGCCTGGCCATTGTCTTATTTCCTTATACACCACATTTGACCCTACCCCAATTCCTCATTCCCAACATTTTTTCCAATTGTAAATTTCTTGCTTTATGTTTCCTTTAAAATTATTTATTCACTTTATTTTACGTATATGTAAATTTTACATCTATTTTACATAAATAATACGTATATTTTACATATATAATTAACAGAATAATTATTATATATATTTTATATATATATATATCTCCATCCCCTCAAAGATTTATCCTTTGTGTTACAAACAGTTCAATTGTAATCTTTTAGTTACTTCAAAAGGTACAATTATTATATTATTGACTACAGTCACCCTGTTGTGCTATTTATTTATTTTAAATCAAACAATGCATAAATTTACTTTTGTGGCAAAAACAATAATATGAATCCCCTCCTCCCAATTCTACTTTCTACCACAGTGATCTTTCTTTGGCATGCATCCTTCTAGGCTCTTCTTTGCATTTATAACATATACGTAGCTCTGGGAAACAGTTGAAACTGCACCCCAAGAGGATGGAGGCCATATGAAAATGAGAAGGAGCTTCATTCACCTTGGGGGAAGCTCAAGGTGGCTTATGGCAATGGTCTCCACTGGAATATGCTTCGTAGGGGGTATAAGAACATGGAGAGTTTTAAAGAAATCAGTGTCTAGGTCCCTAAATTCTATAGGTCCTCTTTCCTAAAGCTCATTCCTGGAGCGCTTGCCTGAATTCACAATAGTTCTTCTTCCAACTGGTAAACAAAAAGGTGACCTCTAACCCATCTCAAATCTTATCCACAGATTAGAAGTCTGAAAATCTCTTCAGCCTCCTTTAAACGTTAGTAGAGACACATTGAACACATAGAGATTCCCTGTATTTCTCTGTCTTAATCACTATGCAATTAAGGGTGAAAATTGCTGTTCCAGCTCTGGGTTAGATGATCTGGTTCAGATATAGGAATAGTGGGAGTTAAGACATTTTTAATAATGGCTTTATCTCTTCCATCCCCCTCCTTTTGCCAAAAAATGTAAAATTCTGTGAGAGCAAAGCAAAGTGCACTTTAAGAAATATTGAGTGCTAAAAATGACCTTTTTCATTTATTTAACCATAAGCAATTCTTTTCAGCTATTCTTAGGACTCATTTTTAGTCTGCTTTATTAGCTGGAAAGCAGAGACTGCTTGTTGAAGAAGCTAACAGTAGGTTAGTATTGCAGAATCTTTTAAATGTCACTGGAAGGCATCTAAAACTACAAAAAATTTTAGGATACATTATATAAAACCCTTGGCTAAATCTTTATGTGATTTTTTTTTCAGATTTAGGATATGTTATCCAGTTAGGTAGTTAAAAATTATTTTGTCACATTATATGTATATAGTATTTAAGTATAATTAATCTTACTTCATGTTATAAAATGTTTAATATTTTCAACTTCTTGTTAACATAAAATATATATGCTAGCTTCTGAATGGATTTGCTTTTTAGCAGTTTTGCTTTAAGAGATAACTAATTTCCAATAATTAAATTTCTTTTAATATTTATTCACATTTTTAATATATTTACATTTTTGATCTTTTTTTTACTAATAATTTTAATGATTACACAATATGGAAAGAAGTTTTAATGCTTGAAACATGATCATAGAAAATAAAACATAAAAAAGTTTGATTGCTGTAAACAGGCTTTTATTGAATAAACTGTGGTAGTGGGATCAGTAGAAGACTTCCAAGCATTAAAATATATTAAGCTACAAGTCGGAATGAAGAGTAATGAAAATACAAATAAAAGACAGGAAAGGAAATGTAAACATTTCTAAGGTCAAGAAAGAGCTAGTTCATGTACTGTTAAACTGATAATAGTATTACTAAAAACTGTGAAGAGGCTGAGATTTTACCCTCATTGCAACCTACTAGGTTAGCCTGTAACAGGTTCATGGATGCTGGTAGAAGACGTGTGACTCCTGGATCAGAGACATAAGACTTCATTACTCAGGTTACAGAAGACAGCATGAGCTTCATGTTTGGGCTGATGTCCCCCATGCCTGGCAAGGTCCATGGTGCCATGGCTTTGTGTCTGTTTGCCTAGGCTAAACTGTTCCAGAATTCCCTTTACTGTGTATTTCTGGTTGATGTGGAAGATGTGCAGGGCTGAAGGGAAGTTGCAGCCATTTGTAGATGACCCTCACTGTTCCTCATCTACTGATTCACCTTGTTGATGTGAGGTAGTAACTGGGCCTGTAGGTATTGTATCCCATCTCCCTCTAGATCCTCTTTTAGCTTCTTTGACTCCAGGGCCAGATGTGTGTGTTCACCTCAGGGATGAAGGACTCTGGCTTCTGCAGGATACTGTCATCATCAGAGGCAGAAGCAACAGAAAAGGCAACTGTTTTCCAACAGATGGCTTTCAAACCATTATGAAATTTAGATTCCATTGCATATATTTAGAAGGATGTTGTAACTTTCATTTTTAAATTTCAGCATTTACAATATGCTAAATATCACATTCTTTACAACTATTTAAGCTTATAAAGCAAATGTTTAGATGTCAATTTAAAAGTGTTCACAGGGGTACATAATTTTTCAAAATAATTAAAGAGGTATGTGAGCAATGAAGTTTGAAGGCTTTTGGTTTATAGGATGGTCGTGGTTTTAGGATGGTTTTATAGGATGGTCAAATATAAGCATGTGGACCTTTGTGTTTTTTCTGGTGCCGTTTTGTGACATCTAACATTACTGTAGGGCTGGAGGCTGCTAGAACTCCAATTTCCCTCTTCTAGAAACAGTTCTGTGAGAGTGACTGTGATGGTTAATTTTATGTGTCAATTTGACAGGGTCATGGAATATGGGTGGGTATCACCCTTCCTGTTGAGGGCCTGAAATAGAACAAAAAGGTGAGGAATGTTGAAGTCATTCTTGGCCTGACTGCTTGAGCTGGAACATCAATCTTCTGGCGCTGGTGTTCCTGGTTTTCAGGCTGTCTGACTCGGGCTAGAATCTACACCATCAGCTGTCTGGCTCTCAGGACTTCAAACTATACCACCAGCTTTCCTGGCTCTCTAGCTCGTATATGGCAAATCGTGGAACGTTTCAGCCTTCATAATTGCATGAGCCAATATTTTATAATAATTTCTCTCTCTCCCTCCATATGTGGGTGTGTGTATGTGTATGTATATATATGCTTCATATTTGTGCTGGTCCCCCATATATGTCTCCATTCTATTGGTTATTGGTTCTGTTTCTCTGGAGAACCCTGAGAAATACAGTTGCAATGGACTGAATGTTTATGTGCACCCAAAATTTATATGTCAAAATCCTAACCTTCAAAGTGATGGTATTAGGAGGTGGGGCTTTTGGGAGGTGATTACGTTATGTGAGTGGATTCCTTATGAATAGGATTAGTGCCCTTATAAAAAAGACCACAGAGAAATCCCTCATCCCTTTTGCCATGTGAAGATCTGGGGAGAAGACAGCTGAGTATAAACAAGGAAGAGGGCCTTCCCCAGACAGGGAATCTGCTGGTGCCTTCATCTTGGACTTCTCGGCCTCCAGGGCTGTGAGAAATAAATTCTGTTGTTCATGAGCCACCCAGTCTGTGGCCTTTTATTAAGGCAGCTGAACAAACGAAGACAACGGTGGTGCCTAGAACATTACTTTGAGACGAAAACAGTTCAGTAGAAAATGTAGTCATTGGGGCAGGAAAAAATACTGTTTGTTGATGATCTTGATGTTGAAAAAAATTTCCCGCAAAGGATGTTACCAGAAGTGGTGTTGCAGTAACAGTGCTAGGTAACAATTCCGAGGAGGACAGGTATCTCAGTCTGTTTGTGCATCTATAACAAAATACCTGAGACTGGGTAATTTATAAACAATAGAAATTTATTGCTCACCGATCTGAAGGCTGGGAAGTCCAAGATTAAGGCACGTGCTGATTCAGTGCCTGGTGAGGGCTGTCTGCTTCCTAGATGGCACCTTCTTCCTGGTTCCTCACATGGTAGAAGGGGCAAACAAGCTCTCTCAGGCCACTTTTATAAGGACACTGATATCGCTTATGAGGTCTCTGTCCTCATGGTGTAATCACCTAAAAGCCCCACCTCCTAATATGATTGCATTGGGGATTATGTTTCAACATATAAATTTTGGGGGGACAGATCTCCAGTTCATAGCAGCAAGTGAGCTGGCAGTGAGTATGCTCCAGGCTAGACCATGCTCCAGGCAATGGACCAGGGGTGGACACTTGATCCACTGAGCCAATGAGAATTTCTCTCCAGGGAATTTGTAACAGGAGATATGAAGTCAGAAGAAATGGCTTGAGTTGTACTTTCTTTGTGACCAGGGGAAGTCACTTAACTTTTCTGACTATTTACCTCTCTAAAATTAACAGGACCACATGAGAACTAGATGTAGAAATGTTTGTTAAAGTGCACTGTAGAATGAAAAGTGCTAGAGAACCTAAACTGTGATTCATACCATGTTCTGCCCAAAGCCTCTGTTGATCTGCATCCTGGTTGTGTTAGAATATAGACCTGTGCATTCAGCCTCTCTTTGTACCTGCTGTACAACATTTATTAACAAAATATTGGAAGGTAAGAGGTGCTGATGACCGGTCGAGTAATCAGCATGTTGATCGATCTGCACATAGTAATCAAAAACAACTTGTGTGGTTCTTTTGGATTCGTGTTCCAGATCACAGTCTAGTCTGCATTAATGTCTGTGAATGGATACTCATGTTAAAGATTTTATTTTCTTTGTTCTCTTTGCCAACTCACAAGACAATTTCCCTCAGACTTGATGTGGGAGCCTGAAAAGGTAGCCAGACACCTAGGTATGTATGTCTGTACAGCGTCACGTACTTACGTTGCTGTTGAGGGGCTGCACCTTCTGGACCTTGTTGTAAGGGAGACGGGGCAGTGAACACAGGTTTCACTGCTGCCTCCAATACCACATCCTGGCTCCCGTGGCTCAGACCTAGAGACCTTGCAGGCAGGTACTGTTAGTGATCTTAGCACTGGAGAATAAATTCTGCAAGAAGAACATTTTTCTCTCACCTGTTTCTTTGAGAACAAAGGAAAGAAAAGACTTCTAAGCTTGAATTCTAAGCAAGAAGCTTCAGTTTCATAAAACATCAAGACATTGGTTCACACAGCTTGTAGTATGTGGATACAAGTTGAAATTCTGGGAAGATAATCTTCCAAGTTCCGCAGACATCTGTATTATTTTCTGAGAGCTGTCATAACAGAGTACAGCAAATTGGGTACATCAAAACAACAGAAATTTGTTCTCTTACAGTTTTGAAGGCTAGGCATGTGAAATTAAGGTACTGGCGGGGCTGCCACACTCCCTCTAAAAGCTCTAGGAAGGGGTCCTTCCTTATTTCTTTTTTTTTTTTTTTTTTTTTTTGAGATGGAGTCTCGATCTGTCACCAGGCTGGAGTGCAGTGCTGTAATCTTGGCTCACTGCGGACTCCGCCTCCCGGGTTCAAGTGTTTCTCCTGCCTCAGCCTCCTGAGTAGATGGGACTACAGGCGTGTGCCACCACACTTAGTTATTTTTTTGTATTTTTAGTAGAGATGGGGTTTCACCATGTTGGCCAGGATGGTCTCAATCTCTTCACCTATGATCCGCCCACCTCGGCCTCCCAAAGTACCGGGATTACAGGCATGAGACACTGTGCCCGGCCCCTTGCCTCTTATTCTAGCTTCTGATTTTACTGATGTTGACTTAAAATCATGAGATCCATAAATTTGGAGAAGAGAGCTTTGTTTTTTAATAAAGGTTGCAACCTGCAGGCTGGCCATGCTGCAGGCTGAGAGGCATAGCCCCTGGCAGAGACTGAAAGCAGGCACTTTGAAGGAGGAAGGATGAGACAGGAACTGATGCTGAATGGTTTAGCTAAGTAGACGTATTCAACAGGTTATAGGAGGAACTATGAATATTCACAAAGAGGGGGCATGCATGCTTAATAAGCAAAAATGTATGTTGCATACATCCCATGTTCACTTAGGGGTGGAGACAACATTTAAATGCATTAAAAGCAGGCTTTATATGTCAGAAGATGAAATGGAGGACACAGGGCATCCATGTGCAGCTTCTGTAGACTGGCTAGAACCGGTCCATGGTCTGTGGAGGAATGTGATGTGGTCCTTGTCACCTGCTGTGTTGAGACCACAGGAAAGCAGAGAGTCTGGGTATGGCGTCTAGTGATTGGTTAAAATCAGTGGTGGAGCAAGTCTTTTGAAAGGGAGAGAAAGGCAATTTGGGGGGAGAGGGTATAAAGAGGCGCATCTGACCTCCCATCTCATTGTGGCCAGGAACTCAGTTTTCAAGGTTTCTCTGGGGTCCCCTTGGCCAAGAGAGGTCTTTTAAGTTGCTTGTAGGGGGTTAGAACATTCTTTTTTCTTTTGAGACAGGATTTCTCTCTGTCACAGAGGCTGGAGTGCAGTGGCTGATCATGGCTCACTGCAGCCTTGAACTCCTAGGCTCAAGTGATCCTCCCACCTCACCCTCCTCAGTAGCTGGAACTACAGGCATGCACCACCACACCTGGCTACTTACAACTTTTTTATTTTTTATTTTTATTTTTATTTTTTTTGTAGAGATGTAGTCTTGCTATGTTGCCCAGGCATAGGACTTCATTCTTATTTCACACCAGTGATCCTTAGCGCTCCTTGTCCTGTAGGCTCGTCATTCCAGTCTCCGCATCCATCCTCACGTGGTATTCTCCCTCTTTGTCTCTGTGTCCAAATTTCCCTCTTCTTATCAGGAGACTGGTTACATTGGATTCAGTATCCACGTACTGCAGTATGGCTTCCATTTAATCTAACTAATTACATTTTTAATGACTGTGATACTGTGATTTATAACAAGAAATACACAGAAGCTCCCTGACTTACTATGGGGTTACATCAATTGACAAACCCATTGTAAGTTGAAAATATTATAAATTAAAAATGCATTCAATACACTGCATCTATTGAACACGACAGCTTAGCCAAGCCTACCTTAACGTGCTCAGAACGCTTACATTAGCCTGTGATTGGGCAGAAACATCTAACACAAAGCCCATTTTAAAATAAGGTATTGAATTTATGTTGACCTGAAGGAAGAAATTGAGACACAAAATATAATTTTAAAGTGTTTACTTGAGCCAAGGTGAGTACAACTGCCCGGGAAATACTTCTAAGTTGCCTTGAGAAGTGCACCTTTCGGCCTTTGCTACAAGGAGGTTTTTAAGGGCAAAGGTGGACAAGGAGTGGGCTGATACAATTCATATTGATTTACAGAAATAACATTGATTAGTGATTGGCTATACGTGGTTGAACTGTAGGTTATGAGCTGTGGTGTCCAGTGTGCGGCATTGTCAGGGTAATTTGTAGTTACTTGGCATCAGTCAGTCTAGAGTCAACGTGGCAAGCACCTTGAAGAGATCAAGTCAGAATGGAGTGGGACGTGACTGCTGTTCCATTCCAGTGCTTCTCTGGGCCTGATCATTTAAGGGGGGCTTGCATTCTTCCGCTATAGTGTGTCTTTTCTTTCTCATATCTCATGTAATTTATTGACTATTGTACTGAAAGTGAAAAACAGAATGATTGCATGGGTACTCAGAGTGCAGTTTCCACTGCATCATGTCATTTCACACTGTCAAAATGTCAAAAAATTGTAAGTCAACCCATCGTGAGGGACTGTGTACATATTTGGTCTTGTTCCCATTTCCTGAAACACAGCACCTAAAATCTTTGGGATCTCCAAAGTGTGATGATATGTGTCTGTGTATGCTAGGCATATGACTGATGGCTGGGGGCTCCTGGATAGCCTCCAGGGTTGGGGGCGCTGGTTGCCAGAGGAAACAACTATGTGATTAGAGGGTTGGAACTCTCAGTCCCACCTGATCTCTGGGGAGTGGTGAGGGCTTGAAGTTTGAGTTGATCAGCAATGGCCAATACTTAATCAATCACGCCTGTGTAACAACCTACAAAGACAGCATTCGGAGTGCTTTCAGGTTGTTGAATTTGAGGAGGTGCCAGTAGGTGCCGGAAGCTCCACACCCTTCCCTCATTCCTTGCCTATGCGTCTCTTCCATCTGGCTGTTCATTTGTATCGCCGGTGATATTCTTAATAATAAATGAGTAAGTGTAAGTAAAGCATTTCCCTGAGTGTCCTAGCAAATAAATCAAACCCAAAGAGCGGGTCTTGGGAACTCTAGTTTATAGCCAGTTGGTCAGAAGCACAGATCACAACTGGGGCTTGTGACTGGTATCTGAAGTCGGGGGCAGCCACGCGAGACTGAGCCCTTCACCTTAGGTCCTGATATCATCTCTAGGTAGATAGCATCAGAATTGAATTGAATTGTAGGACACCCAGTTGGTATCTGCTTGGAGAATTGCTTGGAGTGCAGAGAAAATCCCCCATACATTTTGGTCACAGCAGGTTCTGTGTTGTGTGGAGTGTGAGAATAGTACAAACAGTTTGGTGTTTCCTATCGGCTTACAATGACCCTATTTCCAAATAAGGTCACATTCTGAGATTCCCATGGGCTAGGGCTCAACACTGTGGGGGAACACAATTCAACTCATAGCAATATCTAAGCACTAAATGTTTGTCCAGGAGGTCTTGAACCTGAAACGTTCCCAACAGCCAAGACAGAGACCCAGAGTCATGTGTTTCTATTTCCAACATAAACTTTTATAATCTACTGTGCTTTTGTTTTTATGATTCCCTCATTGGGAAAAGTTAGGAAAGAGTTTCTCAGTAAAGAATGAATAATGGGTGTTTGATTTAGTCACCATTTTTACATTCAGAAGTGAAAGCTCTGATCTTGCAGCACACAGTTTTTTTTTCCTTCTTTTTTTTTTAATGGAAATAGTTGGGGATTTAAAGTACAATGATTATAGCCTGAGGAGATATGATTGTCTCCTGCTAATTCATTGAAGTTAGTAAGGTATCTTCTATAAGACCTTAATCAGATCTTCTACCATTCATTCTATTTCTTTCCTCTATAGATTATTCTTTAAAGCAGTTTGGGTTTGTGCTTTGCAAGCATCAGGATTTTTGGATCTCACACTTGAAGCTGTGCCTATTGATCTCAAAGATATTTTATTTTCAGGACACATGGTCATTGAATTTTGTATCTGGAGATTGAATTTCTGGTCAGAAACAAGTTAAAGAAATGTTCTCGTTTTTTGTTGTTTTTCAGCATGGAAGAGGTGAACGTTAACATAAACATTTAGCCATAATTATAAATTCATCAAATGTGATGCAGTTTTAATTATACAAGGCCAATTGAAAATGCAAAACATGAATATGCAATTTTAATTTAGATACATGGGTAATTACAATGATACTTCTCACAGGAAAAAGCAGGAAAATTTCGTTTTACTCCTCGTTACCCCTCTTCCCTTAAATGCGATCCTTGTTCATTAAATCCTCTAATATCCTTGGAAATCGTCCTGCTGTGGGTTTTTTTTTAATTGCTCATAGACAACTGGAGTTAAAATCCAAATCCACCTAAAATCCAGTGTGAGAGCCTGTTTTAAAGCTCCACTTTGTGTTTTCAGGGGAAGGGCAGAACGGTCCGCACTGTTCTCATTTGTATTGACGTCAACCAAGTATCTCAGTGAAAGTGGATTTCAGACCCACCAATCGCTTACGGAAGAGATACGACATAAACATTGAAATAGTAGGAGCTATATTATACTATAAATATATAAGAGCTTTGTACTTGGTTTAAAGATTGAAGGCTGTTGTCTTCAATATATAGCTCTTCACGTATTTGTGTGGATCTCCATGTCTACATCCTCAAATAAACACTTTAACTTTGCAGGTAGGTAGTGAAGAACATGAAGACTCCATAAATACTCATATGCCAATAATATTTCAGTTAGATTCACCTCTATTCTAAATTCATATGCTTAATGATCTGTTTATTCTGTTATTAAATAAAATGAAGAGATGAGTTTCTTATTATCAGATATAACTATCAATTAAATGATTAAACTTTAACAAATATATTAGAATTTAAAACCAGTCAATTTGCTTAATTCTACTAATATATGAATATGCTACTAATATATTATTTCTACTAATATATATTAATATTCTACTAATCTATTACTTAGTAATATTCTACTAATATATTAATATTAATATTCTAATCTGTTAGTAATATTCTACTAATATATTAATATTAATATTCTACTAATACATTAATATTCTATTTAGTCTCCTTGGGAGATGTTGGCCAAGAGCGATGCCATTTCTCAAGTCAGGGAAACTCAACAGCTGGTGCCTTGGATGTAAATGTAGGTGTTTCTGGAGGGAGTTCAGAGCAGCTTCTTCCTATTCCTTCTTCCTCCATGCTGATCTCAAAGCTGCTTTTATCTGCAATGTCAACATAATGCTAAATGCAATCATCACTTGGGCTTTATATCACTTATATCTGATTCCCGTGTGTTATAACAATAATTATGCATATCATTAAATATTATCATTGGGGCAAGATTTATTTATTGCTATAAAAATTCTATTCCCATGTGATCAGTTCACATATTTTGTTGCTCAACCAAAAACTGTGTTCTAGTAAAAAAAAACAAGGGGGGGGGTAACACTTTTATCAATCTGGTTAAAACCTGATTTGGGATGATTCATGGAATTGCCTAGCAACAAAGCACTTTGATTTTACAATACTGGGTGCAATTTGACTACTCAAAACACAATAAGAAGAAAATTTTCATTGGTCTGCTTAAAGATTTTCCACTGTTATTGCAAATGTTTAAGTGGATCTCTCAGAAGCATGTTGGAATTAAAAACAACCACCACCACCTTCTTTTGAATTAGTACCTTATCTTTTAGAGCCTTTTTGAAGGAGGTTTTATTATTCATCACCATAACCAATAACACAATGATCATTATAAAGATTATTATCAGAAGCATTTATTAAAACCATTTTCCTGGATTGTAGAGTAGGTCTGTTGCTGTGGGAAAGAAGTATTTCATTAAAGAGTATCTTCACAATACAAAAGCATTTACTCAGCCTTCCATGTTGTTTTCCTGGGAGTTTCAGGAGTCATTTTAATAAGCAATCAACAGGGATTGAGCTAGTGAAAAGTATTTCAGAGTTAAGTACCACCAAAGTTAAATTCCCAACATTATCACTCTCCTTAATTATAAGCCACTAAGACAACTATTCATTGCCAATGTGCTATACAGGAATTTCCTGGTGCCCAATTACATGTGTGTATCCTGTTTAGAGAAGAGTAAAAAGGGGGAATCGTTTCAGTGCCTTCGGTGTGGAGGGACTTCTGGGCTGTGTCAGAAACACTGTTTTACCACTTAGTGCTGTGACTCGGAGATGTTCCCTGTGCACTTGCTCTGAGAACTGAGTGTAAGATCCCAGTAGACAAACGTTTTTAACGCACATGCAATGCATGCCTATTTAAATGGGATGGATGGGGAATGAGCATTGTTTAATTGGCTTTCTTATTAACAGAACATTACTAAAACACAAATCTTGCATTACTACTTTTCAATCAATGATTTTCAAACAATTGGAAAAGTCTGTTAAGTATTAAAACGAGAGTGAACAGAATCAGGATCTGGTCTCAAACATCACCTTGGGAAGAAGCTTTCCGTACCCATCCTGTCTAAAGGCACATCCTGCTCCCATTCCAGTCACTATTCTCAGACTCCCCTGAAGCCAACAGGTGCATTTACTCCGTCATATGCTAGAAAATACACTCCACAGGGACCTGGGACTGTGCTCATCTTGTCCACCACAGTATCCCCGGCAGCTAGACCAGTTCCTGGGCGATGTTGAAGCTCAACATCTATTGGTGGACCAGAGCAGTCAATTTCGGAGTGTCTCAGGGTCATAAAGAGTTAGACTGTCCAAACTGTGTGCCTGGAAGGCTATTTCTGTGGAATTTTAACCAATGTTACATGATAAAGGGGCTCTGAAGTCAAATAAATGTGAGAAATAATGGGATGAACAAGGCTAAACAGATGTTTTCAATGTAAGATTTCTGAGAATCTTCAAGATACGAATTATCCAGTCATAGTCCCTCCTCCCCTCTTTTTTGAGGAACATCTTCACCAATATTCAGAGAAAAAGACTTGGGGAAATGTTGCTGAATAGCAAATGAGGATGATTCTGATTGCTTGGGATTTTTGGTGATTTGGAGTCCATATAAACAGGCAGATATTGCAGAATGTTAAATATGCCCCCTTAAAAGAGATAATCCATTTTAAATGGCAAATAATATTTTGAGGTGTGCATAGAAGAAAGGTTTAGTGGTAATATGAGAGCCTCGGGTGTTGTTGAATCCTAATCTTATCACTATGTTTATTTTAGAGAAATGTAATTTCCTGAGAGCAACTCAGGGCTAAGTTGCAAAACCTGGAGAAGAAGGAAGTCCAGCAACATTTGTTGCTGTTTTTACATTTTGGTCTTATGTGACCTTCAGGTTTCAGCAGCTTATCCATCCAGTGATAAAAGATGCTTTTTTTTTTTTTTCGATAACAGCCTCTTTTACTTTGCCTGTTAATAACAAATGATTTCTAATTAAGAACCTCTTTTTGATCTTGATTTTGGGTGTACATTTATCAATAAGTTTAAAAGAAAGGTCTTTTGACTTATGGGATTTGTGTTTTTTACTTTTTTCAGCTATGCATTTGATCGTACTTCCCTAACCATTTCCCCAAATGGAATAATCAAATGAATTTTCTTTACCTGGTCTTGTCTCTTCAGATATTATCATGTTAAGTTGAATCCTATTCAGAGAAAATCTTACAAATATTGCAGAGTTGTTCTACCTCAGCTATTCTCTGCATCCTGTTTGTATTGCTCCAAATCTTGTCTAATTTATTTCTTTTCCTTAGGCATGCTAAAATTACTTATTCTATAAAATGGTAACTTATAAGAAAACACCACACATTTTTGCATTTGGTCCTGGTGACTTATTTTGCCACTACAAAGAAATTTAAAATGCCCTTTACCACTAAAGAGTCTAATTTTGCCTCTTCCCTCATGTTGAAAAATTTCATTCTAGTCTTACTACTAGTTAGATGGTCTACGTCTGTGGTTCCTGACATGCAGACCATGTGCGTCATGAGTTTCTTCTTGAGTCCATGTGCCCAGTAAGCAGTATCTGTAGGTTGACTAAATAATCTCTTGCACATGTATGGGTTAGTATTTTAAAAATGTAAGTAGACACTTAAGATTAAAATAATTCAAATTAATTAAAGGCATCATCGAATTCATAGAGGTATGTTTTTATTAATACAAAGAAAATAAATATAAATGCTACCTATATTATAGGGGTCTAAGAAATGTTTTGTTTAACTTTAAGTTCAGAGGTGCATGTGCAGGTTTGTTACACAGGTCAACTTGTGTGATGGGGGTTTGTTGTACAGAGTATTTCATCGACCAGGTATTAAGGCTAGTACCCATTGATTATTTTTCCTGATCCTCTCCCTCTTCCCACCCTCCACCCTCTAATAGGCCCCAGTGTGTGTTGTTCCCCTCTATGTGTCCATGTGTTCTCATCATTTAATTCCCACTTAAAAGTGAGAACATGCAGTGTTTGGTTTTCTGTTACTGCATTAGTTTTTTAAGAATAGTTGCCTCTAGCTCTGTCCATGTCCCTGCAAATGACATGACCTCATTCTTTTTTGTGGCTGCATAGTATTCCATGATGTGTATGTACCATGTTTTCTTTATCCAGTCTACCATTGATGGGCATTTAGGTTGATTCCATGTCTTTGCTATTGTGAATGGTGCTGCAATGAACATACACAGGCATGTGTCTTTATAACAGAATCATTTATATTCCTTTCGGTATATAGCTGGTAATGGGATTTCTGGGTCGAATGATATTTCTGTCTTTAGGTCTTTGAGGAATCACCACACTGTCTTCCACAGTGGTTGAACTAATTTACACCCCTGCCTCCAACAGCATATAAGCATTACTTTTTCTCCAAGACCTTGCTAGCATCTGTGTTTTTTTTTTGACTGTTTAATAATAGCCAAAAAATGTTATTTTAAACTTTTATTTTAGGTGTTAAAAAAGGTCCTCATGTTCACCCTAAGGGATTCCACGTTCCTTCCATCTTCTAGTAAGATTTTTATCCTATTATAGTATGTATTGCCCCTACCCATAATGTTAATCCAACGCTTCCTCCTATCCCTTTCTTGCTTTAGAATTTATACCCATAAGGGTGCCACATGGTTTTAAAAAGTATAGTGTGCACTTACTTTAATAATACTAGTTCACTCTTTTTTGTTTGTTTTTAGAGCTAGGATCTCACTCCATCACCCAAGCTGGAGTGCAGTGGCAAGATCATAGCTCACTGCAGCCTAGAACTCCTGGGCTCAAGCAAGCTTCTTGCCTTGGCCCTCCAAAGTTCTCAGATTACAGGTGTGAACCACCATACATTGAAAAATATGCATAAAGCTCACACTGAGTGGTTCTTGTCACTGGGTATGTATAAGAATCACCTGGCCAGGGGTGGTGGCTCACACCTGTAATCCCAGCACTTTGGGAGGCTGAGGTGGGCGGATCATGAGGTCAAGAGATCGAGACCATCCTGGCCAACATGGTGAAACCCCATCACTCCTAAAAATACAAAAATTAGCTGGGCATGGTGGCGTGCGCCTGTAGTCCCAGCTACTCAGGAGGCTGAGGGAGGAGAATCACTTGAACCTGGGAGGCAGAGGTTTCAGTGAGGCAAGATCATGCCACTGCATTCCAGCCTGGCGACAGAGTAAGACTCTATCTCAAAAAAAAAAAAAAAAAAAAAAAAAAAAGAAGAGAATCACCCAAATCACCCACGGAGAAATACAAACAAATCTCATCATGGTCCTGTCTCCACCAACAGGATGAGCATCTTCTGGGAAGGAGGGGGTGCTTGATATCTCTATTTTAAAGGAGTTCCCTAGGAGAGTCAAATGCATGGCACATAGGAAGAACCCACTGCCAGCAATGGACCAGGCACCATGTTTGGTGCCTGGCATTCCAAGAGTGAACAAGTTAGACTTGGGCACCGTCTCCTCTAAGACTCTGGTCTTGCAGAAATCCCACAGCAACTTCTCTTTGAGTCCAGTCAGCTTGTCACCAAATGCATTGTATTCTGACACCCTGCAATTATTGCATAAAAATGGTTTAATTAATTACAACATGCCAGACATAAACACTTGATTCTTGGCCTTTAAAGCTCAGATACCAGACTGTCTGGCTCTAAACTGCATGCCTGGCATATGGAGTGCACAATGCCTGGCACCTAGATGGGAATCAATAGATGTTTCTCTTTCATGAACAATTGAATAAAAGAGCAATGTTTGCTGTAAAGGAATTGTTTGCTAACTTCACATTTTCAATTATTAGTTGTGGGGAAAAACTGCCCAGAGGCAAATTTCCTGATTCCTGTTTATTAGAAAATAAACACTTGCAAAAAAAGACTGTTCTTATTACATCTCCCAAGTCTATCAAATTTCAAACATATTACAGTCTTTACTGCTAAATTTTACAAATTGTCCTTAATTCCAAGTGAGATAAATTAGATTTAGGTTTCTTCCTCTTGTAGTACCTCCCGATTCTCTCTGTCTCCCTCACTCTTTTTTGTGATTCTTACTGTTCCACTTTTATTTATGTTTTCTTTCTTTTTTTTTGCAAGGATAAGAAGATTTTGATTCTGGTACTTCTTGCTGGATGACTTTGGGAGCGTCAGGAAAGTTTTGTGGCCTACATTTTCTCATCTGTGTAATGGAAATAACATTTTCCACATTGTGCTTTAGGAGAAGGATAATAATAATATATCAAAACACATTTGGCCGGGCGCGGTGGCTCATGCCTGTAATCCCAGCAATTTGGGGGGCCGAGGCGGGTGGGTCACTTGAGGTCAGGAGGTCAAGACCGGGCTGGCCAACATGGTGAAACCTCGTCTCTACTAAAATACAAAAATTAGCTGGGTGTGGTGGTGCGTGACTGTAATCTCAGCTATTTGGGAGACTAAGGCAGGAGAATTGCTTAAACCCAGGAGGTGGAGGTTGAAGTGAGCTGAGATCGCACCACTGCACTCCAGCCTAGGTGACAGAGTGAGATCTGTCTCAAAACACACACACACACACACACACACACACACACACACAAACCCGAAAACCAAACAAAAAACCCACATTTAACTTGATATGTAGGAAGTACTAAAAAACGTCAATTGTACCTAAATATATTCCACTATTTTCATATTACAGATGAGGAAAATGAGACTTGGAGAGTTTCACCAATACACTCAAGGTCTTATAGCTCCCTAGGGCTGGACATATGCTTAGAATGTGATGGCAGTGGGAGAGGCCATGGGGAGGGGTGTACCTTGGTTCTAGGAAACACAGAGATAGTAGGAAAGTAGCATGGGAAGGACTCTATATCAAATGTGTATAAATCTATAACAAAATTCAGGCCCGAGGGTAGACGTGAGGCTGCTGATACAATAATAGCAGGAGAGATCTCTGATTCCACCCTTTGGGAGGCTCTGGCATGTTGGCTTTCAGCCGGTTCCTAAATCTTTCAGCCTGTCTTCTCTGCAGTGAACCATCCGAGGGCCTCTGTCCTTTCCTTGTATTTCTGGTCCTCTTGAATCATCCTCTTCCTCACATTTGTTTCCTCTCAGGTTCCTCATCTCTTTAGCCGATGTGGCTGAATGCCAGGTGGTATCCTGGCTAAGGCTCAGCCAATCCTGGCTTATGGGAACAAGAATGAGAACCTCGGGATTCTACACTTCATCCTAATTCCTTGGATTTTTAAGCTGTGTTTGTGCTGAGCTGGGTGCATGCTGTGTTTCTGTAGTCGATTTTTCCTCATCAGGGAGTCTCTCTTGCATACATCTTTCCTGAACCTGGTACTGACTGATTCCCCTGATTTTGAGTGTATTCTCCTAACAAAGGCAAGCAGTGCACATTGGCACAGCCGCTTGGTATTTTTCCTAGAATGCTAGAAGGAAGCAGACATTCATTTGCTTTTCGCCAGTCTCTCTTTGTCTAAATTGTCCCATTTGGCTCAGCCCGTTGGCTTTAGTCATTAGAAGGGGGATGTAGGAAACTGTTCCTCTTGGTTTATGAGCTTAAGCCCAAGTACATCAACATGTGCCTTACCAGGACAGAGATTTACATAAATATTCCTGGGCTATCAGAGTTCTGTGAAGAGTGTTTCTGCATTCCAGATGTAGGGCACGCATGTCCAAATCCCATGTGGAGGTCACAGTTCACTAACTCTGGAGGGCCACCTAGAGAAAAGAAGTGTTTCAGGATAATCACTCTGCAAACTGTAGACAAGAGACCCAGAAACCACCATTCTTTTGGTGCTGTTTAGAATTTGGACAAAGAGCCACAGACACATTTTTGAGGTGAGGAGAACTGCGTTTTCCTTTTCATAATGTAAAAAAACCCATCTTTAGCATTTTTGGAATAAGCAATATTCATCTCTCAATTAGTGTTAACAGCTAATCAGGGTGCAGCAGGATAGTAGAGCTTTCCTCGAACAGCAGGCAGCTTGTTTTATTTTTTCAATGCAGCTTAAAGATTATTTGAAAAATCTCCTTCAGAGACCAGTGTGCGGGGAGCCACCTACCCCAGTCAGAATTTAAAATGATCCATAATACAATATTAATGATTGATGCGGAAGCTCACAGTTTGGGGCTGGGGTTTAATTAGATAAGCATTGCAGCTGTTTTCGGGTGGAAGCAACTTGATAGGACGTGGAGCTGTTATGTGACTTCCCATCTACAGGGTATCTATTGAAGCGGAAACAGAAGCAAGCTACTAGGAATTATGATGATTACATTTTTTTTTTCAGTGCTGAAATGAGTAGAAGTCTGATTGTAGGGGAGGAAAAAGCATTTTGTAATTAAAAAGGTAGGTTTGGATCCTCTATTCATTTGCTCATGAACTTAACATTCATAGAAAAATCAGCTAGTTGCAGGCAAGCAAAGATCTGGCAAGCTATATGTAAAGAAGTTACATGTGTGGCTCTTTTGGCCTGTACCACTTTGCACGTACAAAATCCTTTTGCCTCAAACCCATCCTTCCCTTTGCAAACATCAGGTCATGTCAGGCTGCCTAATGTCTTATGCATGCAGACAAATACCTCTAATGGGCTGCTTTGGAATTGCTTTCTCACCCTGAAAACTTGAGAAGAATTTAAACTGGGGTCCATTTCACCGTATGTCACTTTCTAAGTCAAAGGGACTTGTCAGCATTTGATTACGATAAGAGGAGTTTCCTGTGTCTCAAGCTGGAAATGGCTAGAACGCACTGTGTAGTCTGTTTACAACTAAGCTTCAGCCTGTATGAATGACCTCTAGTCATGAGAGCCATCTCATGAGGGCAGTTTATTGAGGCTTATTGTAAATTAAATGCCCCAGATTTCCAGGATTTATTCCACCACAATGAGGCTTGGAACTCTGTACATTTAAAGTGGTTTTGTTAAATTGATTTTTAAATTATCTCTACCTAATAAAAAGGAAGCCTGTCTAGGTGTTTTGTGTTGTAAAATAATTATACTAGCCATCTGGTTATCTATGAGATAAATTTTTAATTGTTTATTGTCAATAACTACAAAATGTGAAGTCACATGAGAATGCTAAGTGTATTATTTTTATTGTGTAGATGAAGCTTACTGAGTCTTCTCCTGATTGTTCTAAATCAATTTCTGCCTGACTCTTTGTGAATAGGGGAGAAATGAATCTTTTGGAAGGTGCATTAACTCTCTCAGGTTATTGTCATTCTTTGCACTGAAAAGGGACTTAAGCACTGCTTTCTCCCTTCCGGTTAGAGGTGTTGGAAGGTGAAGAACTAGGGATTAGAAAGCTTGAAAAACGGAGCCCTGGTTTGTCCATTTTCTAGCTGTGTGATCTTGTTCAGTTTGCTAAACTTTGAGACTCTCCTCATTTGCAAAATCAAAACAATAGCACCTGCCCTGCCTATCTCACAGAGTAATTCTGAAGATCTAGTTGGATGACACATGTCTTCAGGTTGAGACCTGAAGCTAGGCATGTCTAATATTCTGCACACAAACTGTAATGAATTAATGTAATAAATCAACAGGGGCTTCAGTGAGGCAGTTCCCTGCAGTCCATGCTACTGAGAATAGATGATTCTGTCTCTCTTAAACTTTCCATTGATCAAGGACGATGGTGAAATATTTGGATTTCTAAAGCTTCTTCTAATAAGTAATAACTCTTACCACCTGCCTATTTTGAGAGGTGTGGAGAGAGTGTAGGGTTATTCAGGCAGATATATAGATGAAGAAAATTAGATTGTGCATGACCCAATGAATTACAAGTCAGACCTTGGACCCAGGACTTCTGATTCCAAGGTGAGTGTTACCTCCTTTACAGCGGATTATCTCTGCAGACAGTATGTAAAATTAATGGAAATGAGGAGATGGGCTATGAGGGAAATGTGTGATCAATTCTGGAATTGCAGAGTGCAGATGTCAACAAAGCAGGTAATTCATTAAAGAAGATCAATAGGCTGAACAGCATGGTTGCCATGAGATGGACCGCAGATCACTATTTTGTGTATACAAGAGATTTGGCTATATTGTGGATTTAAAAAAAAGTAAAACAGGCTGAGTGCAGTGCCTCGCACCTATAATCCCAGCAACTTGGGAGGCCAGGGCAGGTGGATCACTTGAAGTCAGGAGTTTGAGACCAGCCTGGCCAACATGGCGAAACCCTGTCTCTACAATAAAAAAATTAGCCGGATGTTGTGGTGTACACCTGTAATCCCAGCTACTTGGGAGGCTGAGGCAGGAGAATCTCGTGAACCCAGGAGGTGAAGGTTGAAGTGAGCCGAGATCACGCCACTATACTCCATCCTGGACAACAGAGTGAGACTCTGCCTCAAAAAAATAAATAAATAAAACATACTCCTTTTAGTTGCATGCAATAATGATTGTTGATCATTTGCAAGTGATGCTTCCATACTTGTTCCCTTGATAAAGTAATTGATCAACCTATGGTCCCTTCATGCCTTTTCTAATTGATGCTGATGGAAAAGCTGACAACAATAAGTGATAGGGTTATTGTAATACTCCATCAAGATCTTTGAGGATAGAGATGGATTATAGTGCTTTAAACATCACTATAGATCCTGAAGGCAATCAATAAACGCTACTAAGGATGGGAAAGCCTGGTGGACTGCTGAGTAAGAGGTAGATGTGAATATTTTGGATAAAGGGAATGTACAGAATGTAGGAAATGCTAATACATAGTTAATGCATAGGCAATAGACACAGGGCTTGTAATGTATAGACAAGCACTTACCTTGTAGAATAATGGTAATTTTGATGAAGGATAAACAGCAATTACTTTTAATTTATTGGTATCTATTGGTCTTCCAATCCAGTGAATAGTCTTTCAGAGTTCAAATTTGGGCTGCATTATCCATCCCAAGGTTAAATTTTCCACTGAATAGCAGTGACCCCAAATCAAGCTACTTTTCACATGACATAGTCACGCACTCGGCTGAACACTCCTGCAGCACTTTTCACATGCCTCTGTTAAGCAGTTGAGGCCACAGCTCTGATTGAGATGCCTCAGAGAAAGGTTATTAAGTGAGAAGAGTAGATGGTCTAACATCAAGCATTAAGGCACCCCAACACTTATAGGCTGTGTAAGTGAGGATTTGAGAGGTAGAGCCAATGAGTAGCTGGGGACAGGAAGACAATTAGGAGAGGGTGACATCACTATAGAAATCCAAGGAAGAAAGTGTTTCACAAAGAAGGGCGTGGCCAACAGGGCTGAGTTGTCGGGGAAGATGAGGGCTGAAAAAGGTCAGTTGGCTCAAGTAATATGGAGACCACTAGAGAACTTGGCAAGGGCTGTTTTAGTGAAATGGAGTGAGCAGAAATCATATCTCTGTGGGTTGAGAAGTGAGTGAGGGTTGTGTAAAGTAAACAGAAAGTACATACAACGATCTCACTTGCAGTTATTTTAGAATCCATGATGCCATTTTTCCATGTATTCCCCTAGAGTCACAGTTAAGACAAGCTGTGAAGGTTTCCATCCAGAAAGGCCTCCCATCCATCTGGAGCTAATATTATTTCCAGCACTCAGGGTAGCTCCTGAGAACCAACTAATCCTGTTGCCAGCCCACCTGGTGTAGGATTTCCAAGAGCAGCCGGCTTCTTCCAGAGAGGCCTGAGTCCTCCAATCCATCAGAGACTTCAGAGTCCAGGTCTGTGGACATTTCTAGGTCGTTTCTTTCCCCCATGACTCATCCATGTCTTTCACACAAACTGAACAAGGTCCTCTGGTCACTGTCCTCTTCACGTGGCCATGTGCTTCCTTCTCCCTGGACCTGATGTAATTGCTCTTCTTCTAAACTTTTCCGCTGTGCTCTGTGGAACCTCTATTAGTTGCAAACAATTTCATGCATGCTCTTCACCTAGTTACAGAAAGTTTCACCATTTCTTTGCTCTCACTGAAACCTTTGCTCTCAAGTGTATGCTCTCATTTGGATTGGGGTCCTCCTTGCTCTCAGAGTCCCTTGCAGATCTTCGCTCATTCACCATGTCTCCTGGTCACTTCCCTTCTTTCAGGGAGCCCCTGGACCTGCTGCCATTCTCTTTGTCTCAAGCGGGTGTGACTCACCCTCCACCCTGGGATCTTACCTTCTTTTCTACCTCAACAGACCAGGACATGGCAGGACCCACCATCCCAATCTATCCCCCATCTGACCGTTTCTTCTGCCTTCCTGCTTCCAGGCCCGACAGTCCTCAACCTGGGCTGCTGCAGCCTTGGGAATCAGCCTCCTGTTTCTGCTTTTGCCCTATATGGCATCTTCCATCTTCCATGACACCCAGAAGAATGTCTTAAAAATGTGTCACATTGGCCAGGCACGGTGGCTCACGCCTGTAATCCCAGCACTTTGGGAGGCCGAGGTGGGCGGATCACGAAGCCAGGAGATCGAGACGATCCTAACTAACACAGTAAAACCCCATCTCTACTAAAAATACAAAAAATTAGCCGGGCGTGGTGGCAGGCACCTGTAGTCCCAGCTACTTGGGAGACTGAGGCAGGAGAATGGCATGAACCCGGGAGGCAGAGCTTGCAGTGAGCCGAGATCATGCCACTGCACTCCAGCCTGGGCGACAGAGCGAGACTCCTTCTCAAAAAAAAAAAAAATTGTCACTTTGTGTCACACCCCCACTTAAAACCCTCCAGGAACTTTTCTTCATACCAAGACTGAACTCCAAAGCCTTACCATTGTCTGGAAAAGCCTCCAGGGTAGGCCCCTCTCTGTCCTTATCTCCTACCACATCCACCTTGCTCAGGCTACTCCAGCCACCCCCAAATCTACCAAGCTCATTCCTTCCCCACAGCATCCTCTTCCAGAGAGAGCTCCTCTTTCAGTCATCCACAGAGCTCACCCCTTGCTCCATCCAGTTCCCCACTCAAATGCCAACTCTCCCTGGTCACTTTAACTACAAGAGTTCCTTCCTCTCCCTGTCCCCAATACCACTCTCAACCCTGATGCTGGGCACACATCAGAAGCAGAATTATTGTGTCCTTGGGTGTGTTAGCGTCTCTCTCCTCCATTAAGTGCCTGGAAGGTGAGGATCTGTGCGCTGTGCCCACCACTGTCTCCTCAGCGCCTGCTGTGAGCTGAGTACATCCTATGTGCCAAATAAACCCTTGTTGGATGATGAAGGAACAAGGTAGCCAATTCACTCTTCTCCAGCCACTTTGTCTTAAAGCCATAAAACAAGTTCTTGTGGCATCCAGATGTGTTGGGCTAGAGACCTAAAATAGCAGTTCTTCTCCCAAAGTGCTACCACTGAAGAGTGGACCTCCTCTGCGCCTTCTCGGCATGACTCTCATAACTGTGCAGTCACTCTCGGGTCTCAGGATGGGCTCATTCCAGTCCTATCTCTTCTAAACTTTTGTCTACCATCTAAAGGACTCCTTGGTACCTGGCACAGGCCAGCCCATGAGGCTGGTCCCCATTTAGAATGGAAGAGAGTTGTGGTTCTTTCTCCTGAGTCTTCTCTCCCCTCTATGGGGCAGGGACGAGTGGAACTAAATGAAGGTCACAAGGCAGATATCTTCTGCCTCATAGCCAGCAGCTGTCAGCTTTGTTGGGCTCTCTGTGCTGTTATCGTCCTCTTGGCAAGGACATGTCTCAGCAAGCCTGTGCAATAACTGAAAGTTTTTCTGAACTTAAAATGTCGAGTTCTTAGGACTTCTGGGCTCAGCTTTGGGCCTTAGTTGCAATTCTGAGAAAAGCAGAGAAAACATACCAAGCCCCAGTGTCATCCTTTCAACCAAAGGTCCAGGAACAGCTCAGCTGCTGAGACTGTGCAATGAATGCACCGCTCTGGCCTCAGCTTCCTGGCTTTCCAGTGTCCCCACTCTCTTGGGCCCCTGCAAGACTGTCAGCCTCCTTACCTACCAGCCTCGAGGGACTTCCGCTTGTTCCCCACCCTGCCTATAACTTAGGGGTGATCACTTCAGCCTCCTTAGAGAGGTCTTCCTGGATGACCCCAAACACAGCAGGCTCTTCCTTGTCACACCATGTCTGTCATGGCCCCTACCCACCATCTGAAATTCTGATTTCCGTGTTTATCCTCTTGTTTCTTGTTTGCCTCCACTGCACAGCACTGGAACAATCCTTGCCTGTGTTGCTCACCACTGTGTCTCCAATGCTAATGCTAAAGCTTGGCATGTATCAGGCACTCAGTAAACGTGTTGAATGAGTGAAGACATTTCAACAATTCCCTTGCCAATGTCTTCAGTGCTCTTGCCCTCTAATGCCTTCCCCACCCGTCCACCTAAAAGCCAATCTTGGTCAACTTGCATCTCCTTTTCCTGCCCCTACCCTGGCCTGCTGAGCATGGCTGGAGGAAATCACGCGATGTTTGGGTTGCAGCTGCTACCAGTCCATGATCTCCAACCTCAGCTGAGGGCGACCATTCTTCTGTGAGTCTCAGTCATCTCTCTTCCACTTGCCACCATATTTACTTCAAGGCTTCCTCAGTTTCCCTGTGCCCCCCGACCCAACTGGGAAAGTGGAAGATATCAGATGGGAATTGGCTCAACTGTCCAGTCTCCCTGACACTTGTCTTCATCCATCCTCACATGCTTCAGTCATTGCAATGTGGCGTGGACTTCCCTTCCCTTCTCCTCCATAAGCACACACCTTCCACTGTGCTCTCCCACCTGCTCATGGGTTCCCTTCACCCAGCAGCCTTGCTCCTGGGGCTTCCACAGCTTCTTTCTTACTGATTCTTTGCCGTCAGTATTTAAACATGATCAAATCTCTCCAGTTGCGGAAAAAAAAAAAAAAAAAAAGGAAAACAAACCCCCAAGCCCACCCTCTCACCCATGTTTCATTTAGATTCTTTATTCTCTCATTCATTTCCTTTTTTACAAGTTTTTTATTGAATGCCTTCACTCCTGTTCATACTGAAATCCTCTACAATCTCATTCCGCCCCCACCACACTAAAGACCCCTGCTTTTCTGGAACCTTATACACTTAGGCTGATGAATAATTTTAGGCTGCAGTGCATGCAGGCCATTGTCTCAGCTCCACTCTAGGGAATTAAAGAAGCAAAGGCTTTTCATCTATTTATTAGGATTCTCCTAAAGAACCAAGTGGTACAAAGACCCAGAATTATCAGGGAAACCAGCCCAGTAGCCGCGCATTTGCTCTTACCTTCCCTATACCTTCATGACCAGTATCATTCTCAGGAGGTGGTGCCTTTCTATTTCTTCCCACCTGCCCCACCTACCTCTGTTTGCTGTTTTCATCTGGAGCACATGGTGTGGTTTGCCTCACTACGACAATCCCTGCTTCTTCTGTGGGAATGATCTCGACCTTGGCAAAGGTCTAGAAAAGAGTGCAGTTGGGTGCCTTCCTCCCACAAGATCCCCCCTAAGTCGTGACCTGAGGATGGAAGTTTTCTCTTGTGCCTGGATCCATATGTTCTATGTAACTGTAAAGCTGATGCCCAGTCTTATCTCTGGGGTAGACTTCACAGGTTGTCTGGGCCCCATGTGTGTCTCATGGAAAGAGCGGAAGGTCACAATGTCCCAAGGCTCCTCCAGGAGTTTGGAAGTATCTGCTGCAGATGGCTAGAGACAGATGGTTTTGAGTGGCTTGACAACAAAAAAAATGCTGTGCAAGTTCAACTGAATTCTTTTTTATTTTTTTACTTTATTTATTTATTTTTTGAGGTGGAGTCTCTCTCTGTCACCCAGGCTGGAGTGCAGTCACGTGATCTTGGCTCACTGCAACCTCCGCCTCCCAGGTTCAAGCAATTATCTTGCCTCAGCCTCTCAAGTAGCTGGGACTACAGGTGCCTGCCACCATGCCCGGCTAGTTTTTGTTATTTTAGTAGAGACAGGGTTTCACCAGGTTGGCCAGGCTGGTCTCAAACTCCTGACCTCAAGTGATCTGCCCCACTCAGCCTCCAAAAGTCCTGGGATTACAGGCGTAATCCACTGCGCCTGCCCTGAATTCTTTTTTTAAAGACTTCTGATTTTCACACACTCATTAAATCGCTTGGAATAGGGAGAAAGGATGAGAGGTAAACATTTTGGCAAGAGGAAGGTGGGAACTAGTGGTAAACAGCTAGAGGAGAGTCCACGGTGAAGGAGGGCTGGAGGATGGACGTGCTTGCCTGGTTGCTATGCAGAAAACACCATCACTGGTACACTGTGCCTTTTGCAGGCAGTGTCGTTTTGCTCGTTTCCTGCTCCATCCCTCCAGATTCCCTGCATTTCAAGACCATACCATATTAACTGGTAGCTCACTAACCTCACACCCTTCTGGGTTCCTTGGCCTGAAATTCTCTTTCTCATGAATTTTCGATTGAACTCTTATTCCTTCAAGGACCAGCTCCAACGCCAACTCCTCCACGAAGCCCTCTCTGATACCTATACTGGCAACCTCAATGAAATGGATTTCTCCTTCTTGCTTAGTCGCCTCAGCATTTTGTGTTACTTTAATACTTTTTCTGAGAAGTAACTGGTTCAGTTAAGAGAAAGACTATGGACTCTATAGAGTCAGACAGACTCAGGCTCATGCACAATTGATGATTTAGTCTGTGTGACCTTGGCCAAGTCGCTTAACTTCTCTAGGCCTCTGTTCTCCCACCTTTGGAGGTGCAATAATACCCAAATCAGACGACTTTGGTGAGGATGGGGAGGAGGAATATGAAGCTCTCTGCATGAGCTCCGTGTTCTCTAAGTTCACCCTGATCCATTGCATCTGCTGGGCACTAGGGCTACTGGCTTCCTCATCCTCATTAGACAGAAAGTTCTGTGAGTGCAGGGTTAATACCGTTATCAGTATGACATGTTCCTAGAGGGCCTAGCACCATGCTTAGTAAGTGCACATCAAATGTTTGACATATGAATTCCAATTTCCTTAGACTGTTAATTCCCAAATTTGTTCACCTCCTGGTGCTCCTAGAAAGTGAAAATATTTGTATGGATAACCTGGCGGGGCTGTGAGGGCATCGGTGTGGTGCTTGGTGAGAAGAGCAGATCCATTTTCTTTATCCTATATAATTATGGTAAAGAAAATAAGGTATTAAGAAATATATTAAATATTTTATTTGTACAATACTTTAAAGCACGACCTCTTTAAATTAGTGGCCCAAGGAAGTTATAAGAATAGAATTCCAATATAAGTTCAAGTGATTCTGAAAACATTCCGTTTTGCATTTTGTATTCACTATGAAATATTTATAAATATCGATAACTCTCAGGACACTGGGAGTCTGTCCTAGGGAACACTGATGAGGAGGAAGAGCTTTAGTCAACGTTTGTGTAAAGTTGCAGACTGTTTTTGAAGTGAGGAAGCGGACTGGCCTACAAGTGATGCCCTGGTGGGGGTCAGAAGTGGGTCAATGCAGCAGCAGGAGTTAGTACAGCACGGCCGATCTGAGCCCAGTCACCTGGCAGGTAATCAGCAGGTAATATTGCCTAAATACTTCTTGACTTTCAACGGAGCCCAATTTCTCCTGTTTTCACTCAAAAGGCACCTTGATCTTCAATGAATGTCCTTTGTTAAATTGCAAGGGACGTCCTAATAAGGTCACTGACTTCTTTTGGGCATGGCTCACGTTTGTAACTTGGAGTTCCTGATTCTGCATCGCATGTAGGTTGGCCTTGTTTGCTGTAAGATTCTGGAATGACTTTGAATAATGCTGTTGATTCCAAGGGACCCACTGCCTGCCAAAACTGTGTTCCAGGAGAAGAGATGGAAAGGAAGCAGAGAGGTACAACCTCAGGGATTGGAAAATTAGACAGACGTAGCCATCTGTTACCGCTTCCACCTCGCTCATGGGCGGCTGTTATTACAAGGCTATTTTTACAGGTGCATATTTTTGTTATGTTTGTCCTCCACTTGTCTTTCTGGGCTCATTTTGAAGCACTTGAGGCAATCCAGGGAGCCCTTTGGCTCTGTAAAAACTGCAGGATGGCTCAGAGCCTGGCATGGTAGGAGAAGATCTGTCCTGACATTCTGGTGTATTTCTACATCCAAGGATGGGAAGGGCATTTGGTGGCAATGGTGGGAGAGAGGGCTCAATGGGGCACCAGTGTGAACAGAGGAAAGACGTTGAGCAGACATATTGGGTTACTTCCACGATAACTTCAATTTCCCCACACATGCCAAATGAAATACTTGCAGGGCACACTAACCTCAATAATACAGAGAATAGTGAGACCAAATTGAACTCAAATATATGTGGGCACATAAGTATTTCCACCTTTATAATCTGACCCTAAAAGTGGTGATATACAATATGCCAAATCACCTGGGCCTCAGTGAAACTTCTTTTCATGTTGTGTTCTATTTTACTTCTAGAAATTACCATTTAGAGGGAAGCTCAGATGATAAAACCCAAGCATTCCAAGCTTTCTTTCTGCCTGGCACAAGTATTTATCATTTGTTTACATTATTCATACATTAAATGCAAAGCAGTTATTAAACATCCACCATGAATCAAGTACCCTGATAGATGCTGAGGACACAGGGCTGGATAAAACCGTCCTTGCTCTCAAGAAGCTCCCAGTCTAGTCTACAGATTTGCCTAGTGTGATACGTGCTGTTATGAAGATCACAGGGTGCACCACGGAGAGAGAGAAGAGGGGAACTTAAATCAGCCTGAGCCGTCAGAGGCACTTCATGTAACAGGCAGTGTGTGTGCCTGGATTCCTTTCTTCAGGAGGAAGGAAATACTCATTGGGTGAATCAAGACAATGGAGGGAATAGGACATTGGTCTGAAAACAACAGCACATGCAAAAGGTCCTGAGGTGGGAGCAACCTGGACCATTCTTGGTACAAGGGACAGCAGGGAGTTTGATAAAGCCAGAGGACAAGGTGTCTGGGGGACAGGGAGAATGGTTGATGAGACAGGAGAGATAGGTGAGCACTAGATCATGAAGGGTCTCCCATGACAAGCCAGGACTTTCTTGTGGGGACTTTCTTATGAAAACCATAGGGAGCTGGTGAAATAGTGGGAATAGATGGCGGCAGCTTGGCTGTTTTTGAATTTGAGAGCAACCAGCTCGGTGGCAGGAGATGGACAGTGCAGAGAATACACTGAGTGACATTGAAGTTAGAGGCAAATTGATCAAGAAAGGGGTGAGGGCCTGAATGGTCGTAGTAGCAGCAGGGATGGAGAAGAGGAGAGGATGCTGAGAGCTATTTAGAGAAACTGGTGTAGATAAGGATGAATGTCTGCATGGATGTAGGGGACCCAGGACAAAGAGCAGTGAAGGATGACTCCAGAGTTTCTATGTAGGGAAATGGGTGGGTGGTGGTATCATAAGCGGAGACAGGGATTCAGGAAGCAGAAGTGCATATGGAATGGGGGAGGGACAAGAAGAATTCCACTGCAGCATCTTGAGTTGCAGTTGCCAAGTGAATAATCCTGCGTTCATTTTCTGTGTGGCATGAACAATCCCATTGTCTACAGAGTGGGCCTGATGTTCTGTATCTTTGAGAACTGTCTCCTGATCTGCTCTTCTGTTCCCTCTCCACCTCCTCCTCCACATGAACCCCCAGCAGTCTTCCTGCTGCCCTCTCTATTCATCCCCCTCATCTGTGAGTATCTTTCCTTTGACACCTCTTTCGAGCCTCTCCATCCTCATATGATTTTCCGTGCCATCTCATTGAAAATCACTGTTCCCCGAGCAGCACCACGTGGCATTCTGTGTTGCTCGATGTCTGCCTTCCCTGATGTTCTGCTCTCCCTCACAGAGGTGGGGGCATCCAACATGATGGGAGTTAGCTCGTCAGGGGTGAGCTCGCGCAGCTGCAGAACATGAAAATGGCTGGCTGAATGCAACACGGTCCATGAGAGAGGTCCCTGGAGGTTGCTGAATATCTGTTTGAAAAAGGAGATCAAAATGACTGTGTTGTGGGCCATGGGGATGGAGAGACTCACTCATTCTTCACAACTATCTTCTCTTTTGGTAGCAGCACCCTCAGGCCTCTGGCTCTTTGCTGTGGCCAGGAACTCCCTGTGGGTTTGGGATGTGGTGGTGCTGCCAAGAGAGACCCAGCTGACGGCCTTCCTCTCTGGGTCAGCTGGCTGCCCCTCCTGCATCTGAGGACTCCCTTCTTCACATTGCTCCTCTTCTTCCACTTCCTGAAGCATGGTAGCTGAGCAATCTGAGCGGGTCCATTTCTGATTCTATGGGAATTTAGGCCCCAGGGTCTTCAAGCCCTCCTTCCGATAGGGAAAGCACTGCACATCACAGGGTGACTGTGACCTTGGCCTGGGCCTTTGGCGGACAGTGACCAGAGTCCTCCCATCTTCCATCAGCTGAGGTTCTCACCTGTGCACCTGACCATCTTGGTATCCACATAGGAGGCTCTGAAGAGCACATATACTGGTACATCAGCGTACATTCTAAGCTTGTTAAAGGCAGAGATGTGGTATATCCCTTCAACACCTAATACTTGCCATATAACAGATGCTCAGTAAATGTGTGTTGTTGAAAAGGTATGTGACTAGGTAAATTTCCTTGAAATGATCAATAGTAGTTTATATATACATATATAAGTAATACCACACTATTTTCATCATAGCTACTGTTTTTTGTTTGTTTGTTTGTTTCAGCACCTACTATGTCAGGCACTATTCCAGGCATTCTATGCACATTATTTCTAATCATCTCAACTAAGTGCATTCATTTTGTTTTTGACATATATTTATTGAGACTTCATGAGGTTAAGTTGCCTTTCCAAGGCACATCAGAAGTATCCTGAACTGAGGTTTAAATATAAGTTATTTTTAGCAATATCCATGCTCTTTCATGAGCTCATTCTCACCAGCAAATATCTTTGACAATCAGGTCTATATGTGAGTCAGCACCATCACGCCATCCTTTGGTCTGGGGCTCTGCCCCGTACTTTCCGCCATATGCAGCCACCAGCCCTATAGCACTCTAGCATGTGTGTGACACGCACGTACATACACACACTTTTCCCTGCCTCTGCCTTACTCATACCCCATGCTCCACTAGGAATGGGACCCTTACTCTTCCATAAAATATTTGATGCTTTCTTTCTTCTCTGCTTCTTTTTAGTGCACATGATTCTCTCTTATTACAGTTTTTGCTTATTCAACACTCTTAAGAAGAAATACTCATCAATGTGTGATATGTTAATATATTGCCTTGGCTAGTGCTACATGGTTCAGCTATTTTTGGAAAAAAAAGAGGATTTCTAGTTTGCCGATACAAATTGGTTTCGCAATATATTTCCCTATATGTTAGTCTTTGTATTTCTCCTCATTTTCCCCCCTCGTCTAAGGTTCCCTTTCTTCAATATTTTCCTTTTGCATCTGTTGGGACTTTAATATTGGGGTTTCCTTGGAAACTTGTTACTGGAAAATACTGAGCCATTTTATTGTAGGACTGGGTAAATACTGTGACTTATTGTGGCCAGATCAATTTAATGGCAAGGAAATGCTTATGTTCCAAGACCAATAATTACAATCCATTCCTCACTGGCTTTCCCGCTTCTGGCATGGCTCCCTGCAGTCAATCCTTCATGCAGCTGCCAACTTCATTTTTCTCACCCGCTGCTCTGACAGCATCACCTCTCTCATCCAACTCCTACAGTCGCTATTACCCCTCATGTCCATCCACACCCAAAGCTATCCCCTTAGCTTCAAGACCTTCACTACCTCAAGAGCCTTTTCCCCTCCAGTCCTAGCTAGCATTCTGCTGACAGTACTTTCACACAAGGACGTCCCTAGCCCTTAGAGACGCTCACTCTATCAAGAATTGATTGGCAGCATGCCAGTGGATTCCAGATGGATTTCTCAGTGTTGCTCCCTTTGCCTCTGAATCCCTTCCCAATACTTCTGTTCTCCCAGCCACACTCTTTGCCAAGCGTACCTGCTGAAATTTCACCTCTTTCCTATAGTCTTTTTCATTTAACAGAATGATAGATTGTATGATATATTTTATTTATTTATTATTTTTTTAAGACAGAGTCTTGTTCTTGTTGTCCAGGCTGGAGTGCAATGGTGTGATCTTGGCTCACTGCAACCTCCGCCTCCCGGGTTCAAGTGATTCTCCTGCCTCAGCCTCCCAAGTAGCTGGGATTACAGGCATGTGCCACCACGCCCGGCTAATTTTTGTATTTTTAGTAGAGACGAGGTTTCACCATGTTGGCCAGGATGGTCTCGAACTCCTGATCTTGTGATCCACCCGCCTCGGCCTCCCAAAGTGCTAGGATTACAGGCATGAGCCACCAAGCCCGGCCCAATACATTTTATTTTTACTTTTATTTATTTTTTGAGACGACGTCTTGCTGTGTCACCCAGGCTGGAGTGTGGTAACACAGTCACGGCTCACTGCAGCCTCGACTACCCGGGCTCAAGCAATTCTCCCACCTCAGCCTCCCAAGTAGCTGGGACTACAGGTGTAAGCCACTGCACCTGGCCCTGTATGATACATTTTAAATTAAAAAAAATTCAATTGTGGCAAAACACACATAACATAAAATTTACCATCGTAACCATTTTTGAGCATACAGTTTCGTAGTGTTAAGTACCTTCACATTGTTGTGCGATGAATCTCCGGCACTCTTCTCATCTCGCAAAACTGAAACTCTGCACCCATTATACAAAACTTCTGATTCGCCCTTACGCCTGGGCCCTGGAAACCACCATTCTGCTTGCTGTCTGTGTGAATGGGATTACTCTAGGTACCTCATCCAAGTGGACTCATACGGTGTCTGTCTTTTTTTGTGACTGGATTTTTTCACTTAGCATAATGTCCGCACGGTTCATCCATGTTGTAGCATGTGTCAGATTCTTTTTCCTTTCAAAAGTTGAAAAATTCTCATTGTGTGCATATATCACATTTTGTTTATTGGGTCATCTGTCAGCAGGCACTTGTGTTGCTTCCACCTTTGGCTATTGTGAACAATGCTTCTGTGAACATGGGTGTACAACTGTCTCCCTTGGGAACACTGTTTTCAATTGTTTTGGGTATATACTCATCAGTGCATTTTTAAACTCACGAAATAATTTTTGACGTTTGCTTTAAGAGGGTTTAAGTAGGATGAAACAAAAGCAACTATGTAGTGCTTTTCAATGGATCCATAGTAAGGGATGTGCTAATGTGAAGATGGGTTGTACCTGCTTCAGAACCCAGTGGTAATAAATGAATATTTCACAGTGAACAGTGAGCAGCATTTGTTTGTTGAACAGTTCAAATCTCAGAAACAGTGGGAGAGGTGATAATTCAAAAAATTGTTGAGTGTGGTTAGCTGAGTAAGTCAGTATACCTTAGGGTCTAAGTGTTTTAGGTGCTCATCTTCATTTTATAACACTTGTGGTTCTGTGATGTCAAAATATGTTTGTAGTAGAAAATATGGAAAGTACGAAAACACATACACACTTGTGTGTGTGTGTGTGCATGCAGCTCGTTTGCTAAGTGAAAAGTGTACATTCCCCTCCTTGCCAAGAGAAGTCCCCCTGATTCTCTCCCATGCCCCTTATGGGGCATTGCTCCATGTGTGTAGGGAGTCCTGTGTGGCTGGGCTGGGACACATGAGTCACAGGGATTACCCTTGTCTCTCTGGCATGGGACTCAGGCTATATGTGACTTCTTTTCCTTCAGTTTACACCTGATCTTACTCTTGAATCTTAACTCTCTGATGACAAAAGAGTCAGGAAAAGATGAAACCAAGGAAAAGTGTACCAGTGACAAAGAGTATTGTCCATTAAGGCCCACAGCAAAGTTGGCCTAAGTGCTTCCTTCCCTCTTCCAGGCAGGAGGCAGCTTGAGGCCACGCTACATGGCAGAGACCTTACTGCATAGAGCCCAGGTTTTGAACACCTTCTCTGGTCATGGATTAAGCTGGAGCCCCTAGCACCACAGACCTGTATCCTTGACCTTGATCCTATTGCAGCGCACCTCTCTGTGGTGTCCCTGCTTGTGGCTTTGAGCTGTCCCTCTGCTCAGTGCATGCCATTGCATGGGTCACAGTGGAGGTCTCCTTGCCATACAAGATGTGTCCCATCTTTCCCAAGGAGGTTCCCAGTATGTAGGTAGATCAGAGTTTTCAAATGAAAGCACTTCATACTCAGCAAGTATGCTGCAGTCTCAAATTTTGGGTTTCTTTCTTCAATTCCCCCAAAACAGATGCTGTTTCTTGAGATGATTTTGTTATGCAAGAGAAGACTGGTGCAAAAAAAAAATTGAGGAAGAGTTGAGCAATGACTTTCCTCCCCTCACTTGTTATTGTTTATTTCTTCATCTGGCTTGATGGCAAATTCAATGGAGAAGGTGCCAATCTATCCACTCTTGCTTCTAGCAGAGTCACAGAATTTCTCACATTAGAGTCACTCTGAAAAACCCAATCAATATTTGCTTAAAGAGCAAATCGGAGGCACCATTCTCATTTGAAAGTTAAGGTCCCCTTGGGATGGGATCGGCAAGCCAACTTCCTTCGTTTTTGGCTTTCCTCCTCTCTCTCTCTCCAGGGTTTTGATTCTCACTACCCTCTCACCTTCCTGCTTAATCCCCAGCCTCCATATGCCATCCATTTTTCTGGACTTTCTGCTGTGATCCAGGATTTGGAATTGGTCCTCATCCTTCCTGTTTTCACAGCAGGCCAAAAAAAAAGTAACAAAGGAATTAAAATCCCTTATGAATCAGCAGTTTGCAGAGCAGACTTCTCTTACGGATGCTTCTCATTAATACCAGGCAAGGTGTTTATTGATAGAAAACTGCAGAGGAATTTTTACAAAGTTTTTTTTTTATGTCTTCGACTCCCCCAAATAATCAGGAAACCTTTTCACTGATATACCTTATACATTTTAAATCAGAATTTCTTTTGGTGGCTTTTAACTGACGAGGCCATAGGTTTTGAGATATGCTCAACTAAAATGAATGAGGAGACCACAGGAGAGAGCTCCAACGTGGCTGACATGTATAGTGGACAGAAAACAGAGACCTGCGTTGGGCTTTGTTTATTCTTTCAAGTCTCTAAGCTGTTGAATGACAATACCCTGTATGGCATCTTAGCAGAAATGACCTGCATTTTTCATTTTTTCTTTGGTCCTCTAAAGCGTGGTGTATACCTTCTGTGTGGTTCAGATATCTTCCATATCATATTGGAGCCTTATTAACATGCCATGTGTAATACATTGACATTAGAAATAAGTCAAGCACATTGTGTGCGTGTGTGAGAGAGAGAGTATGCAAATAAAACCTAGTTCAATTTTCATAGCTACCTAGAAAGCATCTATTGTTACCCTCCTTTCACAGATGTAAAAGTCAAGGGTCAGATAAGTGACATAATTTGACATCTCACAGTAAGAGAAAGAGCTGGGATTTGCACGAGGGGTCTGCATTTACAAAACCAGTGTTCTTTTCATCTCTATGCTGCTGTTCCTTTGGTGGTGAAAACAATGATTATCTATCAGTCCCCTTGCCCTGCCATTTTCTCTCAAGCATTGCCTGGCTGAGAATAGTTGCCCAACAGTTGTGAATTTCCTTCCTTCCGTTTCCTCCTTCTCCGATCTGGCCAAGTTTCTTGGCTGCAGGCATTTACAGACTATCAAAATTCTCAAAACAGTTCAAACCAGTTCTGTGTATGAGCAGAATATAGAATCTGTCATAATGTTGGCCCCCTGAAATTATGTTTTTATACACTATGCTTTTCAAATTGGGGCCAATCAACTCGTCATTCACTGAAATATTTTCAGCAGAGATTACACTGACACATGGGGATGCATATGTCACATTTTATAGGGGAGGTTTTAAAATATGATCATTCCACTGGCATCGATTCCTTGTTAACCAAAGACGAGGTTATTTAGATGCATTGAGTGTGGCTCTTTTGGATCAACTCAGCTACTTTTGATCTTACCCAGACTTTTACAATTTTGTCTTACAAGGATATAAAAAACAAAATTTCATCCTCCTGATAGAGTAGGAAAATGATTAAATATACTATAGATATTGGAGAAATGGAACCATATTCAATTACAGTGCAAGCGTATGAAGTTCCATTTCTCACTGTGTCTGAAGTTCTGCAGTTGGGTTTCTGCCATACTAAGACGGGCGGGAGTCTCCTTGATTGAAGGTCTTCTTAGGTGAAATGCAGGATGACTGGTTATTTTTCTCGGAAATAAGGCCAGTGCAGATTTGAGAGCAGCACAATTTAGCTTCACCACTGTGCTTCTCAATCTGGAGAAATCCAAGCTATGGCTATGGAGAAGTACAGCAAGCTTAGATGAGCACTGTACCAGGAATTAGCATTTCAGCCGGAAAGTGCCTGCAGAAGCCCAGACTTGTACATCCAACAGTATCCTGGACATCTCTCAGGCAGGCATCTTAACCTTAACTGATCTAAAACTGACCTCCTGTTCCTCCTTCCCTAACCTGCCCACTCAGTTTATCCCCCTCGGTGCTTGGCAGTGCCATGCTTCTAGTTGCTCAGGCCAAAAACGTTATGGCTATCCCTGATTCCTCTCTTTCTCTCACATCCAACCCATCAGCACATTCTGTTGCCTTTGTCTCCATAATACACAATACGTCTGAATTCTGACCACTTCTCATCACCTCCATTGCCAACATGTTGGTCCAAGTCGCCATCATCTCAAGCTTGGATTGCTGTAGCAGCCTCCCACTGGATTTCCTATTCCATGCTTGTCCTTGACAGACTGACATCAACCTAGCAGCCTGGTGAACACCAATGGCAGACCATGCATCTCTCTGTCAGAACTCTCTACTGGCCCCTCATTTCCCTTAGAATAAAAGCCACAGGGTTTCTAGTGGCTTACAAGGCTCTGCAGTCTTAGCTCCTCTTCCTTCTTTGGCCTCCCCTATTAAGACTCTCTCCCTCTCTCTTTCTACTCAGCAAAGTCTTCCTTCTTTTTCTCAGCCATCAAACAGCTCAATGTTGGCCTGAGACAGATTCATTAGTGATGTTTCATCAGGTGTCTCCATCTAGTGCCTTGAACCTGTTTCAAAAATCATCTCTACACCTTCTGGAGAAAGCGCAAACCACCAGTCCAGTTAATCGGCGAGACAAGTCAGCTCTACTTCCAAAATATGTGTCTAGCAGGTTCTTTTTCCGCCAACTTCACTGTCAGTAATCCTCATTCCCAGCCCTCAGTTATTATGTCTGAACTAGGGCCTTACGGCTCTGCTTGGGTGGGCCTCCAGAGACCTTCTCAGGGCAATTCTCGCACCTCTTTACTCAAATGTCTTCTTCTCATGGAGGCCTATCTTGACCTCCCTATTTAAAATTTAAAAAGTATTCTATTGCACTTCTCCATCATAAATTGAAAATCTAGGATTTCTAGAATCTAAAAATTGAAAATTTATTAAGATAATTTTATTTATTAACCATGGAATTCTGTATTCAAATAAAATTCAAAATAATTTGATGTCAAAAAAAAAAAATTACAACCTGCATATTTTTCTGCTAGAACATAAACTCCATGAAAGCAAAAATAGTTGTCTTTAAAACAAACAAACAAAAAAAACTGATGTGTTCCTGAGAACTTAGAATAGTGCCTGGAAACAGTAGGCACCCATTACATATTGGCTTAATAAATGAATAAGCTGAAGGTCCTAGCTCCAGAACTGGATTTGATATTGTGGACAAGACACTTCAACCTTCTGAAAATTGGTTTCTCCACATATGGAGAGGTGAGGGTCTGCAACTCCTAATTCCTGACTTTGGGGAGACATAAAAACATTCCAAAATGTACATGATGCAAATATAACATGGTTCAGGGGCACACGTGGCAGAAGGTGTGAGTGACACAGTGGGCTTGTGCCCCATCCTAGAGCTGCCCTGGCTGCACACCCAGGGCTCAGTATTTCTCCTCTGGAAAGTTAGCATCACAAATTCTTGTCAAATTCTAATTTAAGGCTAATACGTAGCTGCAGTCTGACTGAATCAGGAAGAATTCAGACCACGAAAAGATGAGGGAGCCATAACGGTAAACGCTTCTGGTAAAAAGGCATTGCTATGGGAACTTGCCACTTTGCTTTACATGTGTAGCATTCTGAGTGACCAACCAGAATAATAAAGCAGCTCCTTGAATTACTTAAAATCACACCGAAACTCACTGAGGGCTTTGTGACCTAACCTTGCGTTAATGATGTCACTGTGCTCTGAAGTCCGGAAGTATTGTTACCTTGGGTTTTAACATTTTTGAATAAGTTCTTTATTAAAAATACTTGCATCAGAATTACTTGCCACTTTCTCAAACTGGTGATTTGTAATTGGAACAGATGCACTGGTGCACACAATTGTGAGAGTCCTATTTTAAAGTGTTCTTCCTCATTTTTAATGAGTTTCCTACCTTTAGGCATTGCGATATATGCCTTTATTCATCCTGGTTAAGATTTATAAGCAGCTTATAAATAAAAATTTTAATTTAACTTGTAAATGTAGTAGACATTCAACCACAAATGTCTTTTTCCTTAAGAGAGAGAAATAATCTTTACTCATTTACTCATGCATTCATTAATTCAGTTGCATCTCTGATGCATCTACTATGTGTCAAACCCTGTGTTAAGGGGTGAAGAACAGTAGTTCACAAATGGCCTCAGTCCTTACCCTTATTCATGGAGTGTATAGTCTAGTGAAAGAGAGAGAAATCAGACTAATAATTAAATACGATCTAATTAATATCAGGCTGTTACTAAGGAAAAGCAGTAGATTGAGCAGCAGGTAAACCTGAGCTGGTTGGGGTTGGGGCTAGCGTCTCCATACCGTGTGCCTTTCCACCTAGGACATGAAGGAGTCAGCCAGGAGAGAACAGGGTCGGTGTTTGTGGGATGCCCTGCATCCCGGAGGGTTGAAGAGCGTGTGTGATGGTCCTGGGGTGAGTAGGAAAAAAAGAGAAGGCCAAGAAAGAGAGAGACAATAAACTGGAGAGGGCCAAATAATGTGGGGCCTTGTCAGCTACGGGTAGAATTTGGGAATATTTGAAGAGTAAGAGGGATCCATTGAAAGGTTTCAAGCAAGAGTGTGACATAACGATTTTATTAAAGCATCACTGTGGTTGGTGAACGGAGACTGAGCTGGAGGTAAGTGTGGATGGAGGGGCAGCGCTTAGGGGCTTCTGCACTTGTCCCAATATAAACAATTTGGTTTTGTGGTGGCAGTGGTGGTAAGAATTGATAGTGAAGATGGTGAAAACAGAGCCCGCTGGACACACATTCTGGAAGTAAAACTGGCAAGTCTTGCTGATGGATTGGATGTGTAGTTTATTATCCAGAAAGTGTTGAGATGAGTTTTGGAACAGGCTCAAAAGACGCTACAAGAGGACACCTAATGGAACATCAGGAAGGAATCCAGACTCACAGTGAGGATGATGACATGATGAATTCAGCAGCTGGAGCTGGGTGGTCACCATGGGACAAAAGCTTCGGGGATCTCATTTCAGCAACCTCTTGAATTCCAGCTCACAATCTGGCATTTACATTCCCCTGCCTGCCAAATGCCAACCTTGGATTTCACTTCTGCAGAGATTTCTGGAGAGTGGTTATTCTATGTGTGTAAAAGAAGGGCTCATTCTCAGGTGTTTCCTGAGGATCCACAGAGAACTGCCAGTACTTCCAGCATCCTGGAACACTTGTCTTTTAAAAATAATTAAAACTTTTTTCACTGAAGTAATACATGCACAGAGTTAAAATAAAAATATGGAAATATGGAAATCAATCAATAAATATATGCAAAGACTTAAAATAGGAAGTGATAGTTCCCTACTGGGAATCTCTCCCCCGCTCCAACTCCTAGTCTCTAGAAGCAACCACTGTTTACCAGCTATCTTCATCTCTGTAATGATATGACCATATTTATTGAGGTGAAATTCACACAACATACAGTTTACCATTTTAAAGTGAGCAATTCATAATCGTTTCCAGATTCATCCAACTTGTAGCATGTAGCAGTATTTTGTTCCTTTTTATGGCTGAATAATATTCCATTGTATGTATATGGCACAATTTGTTTATCCATTCATCCAATGATGAACATTTGGGTAGTTCCTACCTTTCGGCTGTTACGAAAAATGCTGCTATAAACATTCATGTTTGGTGTTCATATGTTTTCATTTCTTTTAGATATATACCTAGAAGTAGAACTGCTGGATCATAAGATAATTCTATGTTTAACATTTTGAGGAGTTGCCAGGCTGTTTTCCAGTGGCTGCACCGTTTCACATTACCACCAGCAATGCATGAAGGTGCCTGTTTCTCTACATCTTCGGCAGCACTTGTTATTTCCTTTATTTATTTATTTATTTTTTTGTCTATTATAGCTATTCCAATGTGGGTGAAGTGGTATCTCATTATGTTTTGATTTGCATTTCCTTAATGACCAATTAAGTTGATTAACCTTTTGTGGGCTTTTTGGTTATTTGTACATGAAATATATGTTCATGTCCATTGCCCATTTTTTAAAGTATTATACTTTAAGTTCTGGGATACATGTACAGAGTGTGCAGATTTGTTATATAGGTATACATGTGCCATGGTGGTTTGCTGCACCCATGAACCCGTCATCTACAATAGGTATTTCTCCTAATGCTATCCTTACCCTTGCCCCCCACCCCCTGACAGGCCCTGGTGTGTGATATTCCCCTCCCCGGTGTCCATGTGTTCTCATTGTTCAGCTCCCACTTATGAGTGAGAACATGTGATGTTTGGTTTTCTGTTCCTGTGTTAGTTTGCTGAGAATGATGGTTTCCAGCTTCATCCATGTCCCTGCAAAGGACATGAACTCATTCTTTTTTATGGCTGCGTAGTATTCCATGGTGTATATGTGCCACATTTTCTTTTTTTTTTTTAAATTATACTTTAAGTTCTAGGGTACATGTGCACAACATGCAGGTTTGTTACATATGTATACATGTGCCATGTTGGTGTGCTGCGCCCATTAACTCGTCATTTACATTAGGTATATCTCCTAATGCTATCCCTCCCGCCTCCCCGCACCCCACGACAGGCCCCGGTGTGTGATGTTCCCCTTCCTGTGTCCAAGTGTTCTCATTGTTCAATTCCCACCTATGAGTGAGAACATGCGGTGTTCGGTTTTTTGTCCTTGCGATAGTTTGCTGAGAAAGATGGTTTCCAGCTTCATCCATGTCCCTAAAAAGGACATGAACTCATCATTTTTTATGGCTGCATAGTATTCCATGGTGTATATGTGCCACATTTTCTTAATCCAGTCTATCACTGATGGACATTTGGGTTGGTTCCAAGTCTTTGCTATTGTGAATAGTGCCTCAATGAACATACGTGTGCATGTCTTTATAGCAGCATGATTTATAATCCTTTGGGTATATACCCAGTAATGGGATGGCTGGGTCAAATGGTATTTCTAGTTCTAGATCCTTGAGGAATAGCCACACTGTCTTCCACAATGGTTGAACTAGTTTACAGTCCCACCAGCAGTGTAAAAGTGTTCCTATTTCTCCACATCCTCTCCAGCACCTGTTGTTTCCTGACTTTTTAATGATCGCCATTCTAACTGGTGTGAGATGGTATCTCACTGTGGTTTTGATTTGCATTTGTCTGATGGCCAGTGATGATGAGCATTTTTTCATGTGTCTGTTGGCTGCATAAATGTCTTCTTTTGAGAAGTGTCTGTTCATATCCCTTGCCCACTTGTTGATGGGGTTGTTTATTTTTTTCTTGTAAATTTGTTTGAGTTCTTTGTAGATTCTGGATATTAGCCCTTTGTCAGATGAGTAGATTGCAAAAATTTTCTCCCATTCCGTAGGTTGCCTATTGACTCTGATGGTAGTTTCTTTTGCTTTGCAGAAGCTCTTTAGTTTAATTAGGCCCCATTTGTCAATTTTGGCTTTTGTTGCCATTGCTTTTGGTGTTTTAGACATGAAGTCCTTGCCCATGCCTATGTCCTGAATGGTATTGCCTCGGTTTTCTTCTAGGGTTTTTATGGTTTTAGGTCTAACATGTAAGTCTTTAATCCATCTTGAATTAATTTTTGTATAAGGTGTAAGGAAGGGATCCAGTTTCAGCTTTCTACATACGGCTAGCCGGTTTTCCCAGCACCATTTGTTAAATATTCCCCATTTCTTGTTTTTGTCAGGTTTGTCAAAGATCAGATGGTTTTAGATGTGTGGTATTATTTCTGAGGGCTCTGTTCTGTTCCATTGGTCTGTATCTCTGTTTTGGTACCAGTACCATGCTGTTTTGGTTACTGTAGCCTTGTAGTAGAGTTTGAAGTCGGGTAGCGTGATGCCTCCAGCTTTGTTCTTTTGGCTTAGGATTGTCTTGGCGATGCGGGCTCTTTTTTGGTTCCATATGAACTTTAAGGTAGTTTTTTTCCAATTCTGTGAAAAAAGTCATTGGTAGCTTGACGGGGATGGCATTGAATCTCTAAATTACCTCGGGCACTATGGCCATTTTCACGATGTTGTTTCTTCCTATCCATGGGCATGGAATGTTCTTCCATTTGTTTCTGTCCTCTTTTATTTCCTTGAGCAGTGGTTTGTAGTTCTCCTTGAAGAGGCCCTTCACATCCCTTGTAAGTTGGATTCCTAGGTATTTTATTCTCTTTGAAGCGATTGTGAATGGGAGTTCACTCATGATTTGGCTCTCTGTTTGTCTGTTATTGGTGTATAAGAATGCTTGTGATTTTTGCACATTGATTTTGTATCCTGAGACTTTGCTAAGTGGCTTATCAGCTTAAGGAGATTTTGGGCTGAGACAATGGGGTTTTCTAAATATACAATCATGTCATCTGCAAACAGGGACAATTTGATGTCCTCTTGTCCTAATTGAATACCCTTTATTTCTTTCTCCTGCCTGATTGCCCTGGCCAGAACTTCCAACACTATGTTGAATAGGAGTGGTGAGAGAGGGCATCCCTGTCTTGTGCCAGTTTTCAAAGTGAATGCTTCCAGGTTTTGCCCATTCAGTATGATATTGGCTGTAGGTTTGTCATAAATAGCTCTTATTATTTTGAGATACGTCTCATCAATACCTAATTTATTGAGAGTTTTTAGCATGAAGGGCGGTTGAATTTTGTCAAAGGCCTTTTCTGCATCTATTGAGATAATCACGTGGTTTTTGTCTTTGGTTCTGTTTATATGCTGGATTACGTTTATTGATTTGCGTATATTGAACCAGCCTTGCATCCCAGGGATGAAGCCCACTTGATCATGGTGGATAAGCTTTTTGATGTGCTGCTGGATTTGGTTTGCCAGTATTTTATTGAGGATTTTTGCATTGATGTTCATCAAGGATATTGGTCTAAAATTCTCTTTTTTTGTTGTGTCTCTGCCCGGCTTTGGTGTCAGGATGATGCTGGCCTCATAAAATGAGTTAGGGAGGATTCCCTCTTTTTCTATTGATTGGAATAGTTTCAGAAGGAATGGTACCAGCTCCTCCTTGTACCTCTGGTAGAATTCGGCTGTGAACCCATCTGGTCCTGGACTTTTTTTGGTTGGCAGGCTATTAATTATTGCCTCAATTTCAGAGCCTGTTATTGGTCTATTCAGGGATTCAACTTCTTCCTGGTTTAGTCTTGGGAGGGTGTATGTGTCCAGGAATTTATCCCTTTCTTCTAGATTTTCTAGTTTATTTGTGTAGAGATGTTTATAGTATTATCTGATGGTAGTTTGTATTTCTGTGGGATCAGTGGTGATATCCCCTTTATCATTTTTTATTGTGTCTATTTGATTCTTCTCTCTTTTCTTCTTTATTATTCTTGCTAGCGGTCTATCAATTTTGTTGATCTTTTCAAAAATCCAGCTCCTGGATTCATTGATTTTTTGAAAGGTTTTTGAGTCTCTATCTCCTTCAGTTCTGCTCTGATCTTAGTTATTTCTTGCCTTCTACTGGCTTTTGAATGTGTTTGCTCTTGCTTCTCTAGTTCTTTTAATTGTGATGTTAGGGTTTCAATTTTGGATCTTTCCCACTTTCTCTTGTGGGCATTTAGTGCTACAAATTTCCCTCTGCACAGTGCTTTAAATGTGTCCCAGAGATTCTGGTATGTTGTGTCTTTGTTCTCATTGGTTTCAAAGAACATCTTTATTTCTGCCCTCATTTCGTTATGCACCCAGTAGTCGTTCATGATCAGGTTGCTCAGTTTCCATGTAGTTGAGCGGTTTTGAGTGAATTTCTTAATCCTGAGTTCTAGTTTGATTGCACTGTGGTCTGAGAGACAGTTTATTATAATTTCTAGTCTTTGATATTTGCTGAGCAGTGCTTTACTTCCAACTATGTGGTCAATTTTCGAATAAGTGTGATGTGGTGCTGAGAGAATGTATATTCTGTTAATTTGGGGTGGAGAGTTCTGTAGATGTCTATTAGGTCTGCTTGGTGCAGAGCTGAATTCAATTCCTGGATATCCTTGTTAACTTTCTGTCTCGTTGATCTGTCTAATGTTGACGTGGGGTGTTAAAGTCTCCCATTATTATTGTGCGGGAGTCTAAGTCTCTTTGTAGGTCTCTAAAGACTTCCTTTATGAATCTGGGTGCTCCTGTATTGGGTGCATATATATTTAGGATAGTTAGCTCTTCTTGTTGAATTGATCCCTTCACCATTATGTAATGGCCTTCTTTGTCTCTTTTGATCTTTGTTGGTTTAAAGTCTGTTTTATCAGAGACTAGGATTGCAACCCCTGCCTTTTTTTGTTTTCCATTTGCTTGGTAGATCTTCCTCCATCCCTTTATTTTGAGCCTATGTGTGTCTCTGCACGTGAGATGGGTCTCCTGAATACAGCACACTGATGGTTCTTGACTCTTTATCCAATTTGCCAGTCTGTGTCTTTTAATTGGAGCATTTAGCCCATTTACATTTAAGGTTAATATTGTTATGTGTGAATTTGATCCTGTCATTATGATATTAGCTGGTTATTTTGCTCGTTAGTTGATGCAGTTTCTTCCTAGCCTTGATGGTCTTTACAATGTGGCATGTTTTTGCAGTGGTTGGTACCGGTTGTTCCTTTCCATGTTTAGTGCTTCCTTCAGGAGCTCTTGAGGTCAGGCCTGGTGGTGACAAAATCTCTCAGCATTTGCTTGTCTGTAAAGGATTTTATTTGTCCTTCACTTATGAAGCTTAGTTTGGCTGGATATGAAATTCTGGGTTGAAAATTCTTTTCTTTAAGAATGTTGAATATTGGCCCCCACTCTCTTCTGGCTTGTAGAGTTTCTGCTGAGAGAGCCACTGTCAGTCTGGTGGGCTTCCCTTTGGAAGTTTCTGATGGGTAACCTGACCTTTCTCTCTGGCTGTCCTTAGCATTTTTTCCTTCATTTCAACTTTGGTGAATTTGACAATTATGTGTCTTGCAGTTGCTCTTCTCAGGGAGTATCTTTGTGGTGTTCTCTGTATTTCCTGAATTTGAATGTTGGCCTGCTTTGCTAGGTTGGGGAAGTTCTCCTGGATAATATCCTGCAGAGTGTTTTCCAACTTGGTTCCATTCTCCCCGTCACTTTCAGGTACACCAATCAGACGTAGATTTGGTCTTTTCACATAGTCCCATATTTCTTGGAGGATTTGTTTGTTTCTTTTTACTCTTTTTCTCTAAACTTCTCTTCTCACTTCATTTCATTAATTTGATCTTCAATCACTGATACCCTTTCTTCCACTTGATCGAATCGGCTACTGAAGCTTGTGCCTTTGTCACGTAGTTCTCATGCCATGGTTTTCAGTTCCATGAAGTCATTTAAGGCCTTCTCTTCATTGGTTATTCCAGTTAGCCATTCATCTAATCTTTTTTCAAGGTTTTTAGCTTCTTTGTGATGGGTTCGAAATTCCTCCTTTAGCTCGGAGAAGTTTGATCATCTGAAGCCTTCCCTCAACTTGTTAAAGTCATTCTCTGTCCAGCTTTGTTTCGTTGCTGGTGAGGAGCTGTGTTCCTTTGGAGGGGGAGAGGCGCTCTGATTTTTAGAATTTTCAGCTTTTCTGCTGTTTTTTCCCTATCTTGGTGGTTTTATCTACCTTTGGTCTTTGATGATGGTGACGTACAGATGGGGTTTTGGTGTGGATGTCCTTTCTGTTTGTTAGTTTTCCTTCTAACAGACAGGACCCTCAGCTGCAGGTCTGTTGGAGTTTGCTGGAGGTCCACTCCAGACCCTGTTTGCCTGGGTATCAGCAGTGGAGGTTGCAGAACAGCGAATACTGCTGAGCAGCAAATATTGCTGCCTGATCGTTCCTCTGGAAGCTTCATCTCAGAGGAGTACCTGCCATGTGAGGTGTCAGTCTGCCCCTACTGGGTGGTGCCTCCCAGTTAGGCTACTTGGGGGTCATGGACCCACTTGAGGAGGCAATCTGACTGTTCTCAGATCTCAAACTCCGTGCTGGGAGAACCACTACTGTCTTCCAAGCTGTCAGACAGGGACATTTAAGTCTGCAGAGGTTTCTGCTGCCTTTTGTTCGGCTATGCCCTGCCCCCCAGAGGTGGAGTCTACAGAGGCAGGCAGGCCTCCTTGAGCTGCAGTGGGCTCCACGCAATTCGAGCTTCCCAGCTGCTTTGTTTACCTACTCAAGCCTCAGCAATGGTGGGTGCCCCTCCCCCAGCCTCACTGCTGCCTTGCAGTTTGATCTCAGACTGCTGTGCTAGCAATGAGTGAGTCTCCATGGGCGTGGGACCCTCCGAGCCATGTGCGGAATATAATCTCCTGGTGTGCTGTTTGCTAAGACCGTTGAACAAGCACAGTATTAGGGTGGGAGTGACCCGATTTTCCAGTTGCCATCTGTCACAGCTTCCCTTGGCTAGGAATGGGAATTCCCTGACCACTTGCGATTCCCGGGTGAGGTGATGCCTCGCCATGCTTCGGCTCACGCTCGGTGGGCTGCACTGACTGTCCTGCACCCACTGTCTGAGAAGTCCCAGTGAGATGAACCCGGTATCTCAGTTGGAAACGCAGAAATCACCCAACTTCTGTGTCGCTCACGCTGGGAGCTGTAGACTGGAGCTGTTCCTATTCGGCCATCTTGGAACCCACATTTTCTTTATTCATTCTATCATTGATGGGCATTTGGGTTGCTTGCAAGTCTTTGCTATTGTAAATAGTGTGGCAGTAAACATATGTGTGCATGTGTCTTTATAGTAGAATGATTTATAATCCTTTGCATATATACCCAGTAATGCATTGCCCATTTTTTAACTGGAATTTTTGTCTTTTGTTGAAAGTGTTCTTTCAATATTTTGGATACTAGGCCCTAATCAGGTGTATGATTCGCAGATGTTTTACCTCATTTTGTAGGTTGTCTATCATTTTCTTGAAAGTGTCAATTTTATTTTTTTTTAATGTAGATAAAGTCCCATTTATCTATTTTTTTCTTTTTGTTGTTTTTGGTGTCATATCCAAGAATCTATTGCCAAATTGTGAAGATTTACTCTACATTTTCTCCTGAGAGTTTTATAGTTTTAGCTCTTATATTTGGGTTTCTGATCCATTTGGAATTACTTTTTATGTATGAGGTAGGGGTTCAACTTTATTCTTTTGCAAGTGGTTATCCAGTTGCCAAAGCACCATTTATTGAAGAGACTATTCTTTCCCCATTGAATGGTCTTGGAAGCATTGTCAAAAATCAATTGGCCATAGATATTGGTTTTATTTCTGGACTGCAGTTCTGTTGGTTTATATGTCTATCCTCATGAAAGTACCACACTATTTTGATTACTGTAAATTTTGCAGTAAATTTTGAAATTGAGATGTATGAGTCCTTCATCTTTATTCTTCTTTTTGAGGATTATTTTGGCTATTCAGGGTGCCTTACAATTTCATGTGAATTTGAGGATCATATTTTCTATTTCTGCAATAAAAAGCCATTAGAATTTTGAATGGGATTATATTGAATCTGTCGATCCTTTTGGGGAGTATTTCCATCTTAACAATATTAAAGCTTTCAATCCATTAACATGGGCTGTCTTCTCTTAATATTGTCTCTGATTTCTTTCAACAATATCCTATAGGTCTCAGTGGTCAAGCCTTTCACTTCCTTGGTTAAATTTATTTCCAGGTGTTTTATTCTTTGGATGTTAATGTAAATGGAATTGTTCACTTAATATTTTTGTCAGATTGTTTATTACTGGTGTACAAAAAGATAGCTGATTTTATATGTTGTTCTTGTACCCTGCAACTTTGCTTATTTTTATCTATCTATCAATCTATCTATCTATTTTCTGAGGTGGAGTCTTACTCTGTCATTGAGGCTGGAGTGCGGTGGCATTGTGTCAGCTCACTGTAACCTCCGTCTCCTGGGTTCAAGTGATTCTCCTGCCTCAGCCTCCCGAGTAGCTGGGATTGCAGGTGCCCACCACCACACCCAGCTAGTTTTTATATTTTTAGTAGAGATAGGGTTTCAACATGTTGGCCAGGCTGGTCTCAAACTCCTGACCTCAGGTGATCCAACTGCATCAGCCTCCCAAAGTGCTGGGATTACAGGCGTGAGCCACCCTGCCCAGCCCATTTATTAGCATTAGTAGTTTGTGTGTTGTGTGTGTGTATTTGTAATTTTCTATATATAGAATATGTCATTTGAAAATATAGATAGCTTTATTTCTTTATTTCCAACTTGGATGACTTTTATTTCTTTTTCTTGCCTAAATGCTTGGCTAAGATTTCCAGTACAATGTTTAATAGCAGTGGCAAAAGTGGGTATTCTTTTCTTTTTCCTAATCCTAATCTTTCATTTTTTCACCTTTGAGTATAATGGTAGCATGGGTTTTTCACATATACCATTTATCACGTTAAGGAAGCTCTCTTCTAGTCCTAATTTGGTGAGTGCTTTTATCATAAAAGGGTGCAGCATTTTGTAAAGTGCATATTCTGTATCTGTTAAGATCACCATGTGGTTTTTTCACTTTGTTTGAAGTTCTATTAATATAGTGTATTGATTTTTTAAATGTTGAACCATCTTTGCATTCCTGAGATAAATCCCACTTGGTCATGGTGTGTAATTCTTTTAATGTTATGTTGGATTTTGTTTGCTAGTATTTTTTTGAGGATTTTGCATCTATATTAATAAGAGACAGTGGTCTATAGTTTTCTAGTGGTTTCTCTGTATGGCTTTGGTATCAGGGAATGTTGGCCTCATAAAATGTTTTAAGAAGTATTCCTTCCTTGTCATTTTTTTGGAAGAGCTTGACTAGTACTGGTGTTCATTCCTTTTTAAATATTTGATAGTCTTCACTAGTGAAATTGTCTGGTCCTGGATTTGCCTTTYTCTGAAGGTTTTTGATTACTGATTCAATCTGTTCTTTGTTATAGGTCTATTGAGGGTTCCTATTTCTTTTTGAGTCTATTTTGGTAATTTGTGTTTCTAAGAATTTGCCCACTTCATCTAGATTTAATTTGTTGGCATATATTTGGAAAAAACTCAAACTGCTTTTCGTCTGCTCTCATACCACAATAATCATCAACACAGAATAATACTTCTGTGATCAAATGTAGGGGGTGGGGTTCTCCCCACCACCAAGTGAGCAATTGATTCTGCAGCAGACATCAACTGGGTGTCCTCCAGTTCAATTTCATCACTATCTACCTGGAGATATTGTCAGGTCTCTCACAGATTGAGGGCTCAGTCCCCAAAACCTCAGGCCCCATCAGACCCCAATTGCAAGTCTAAGTCTCCAGAACTTCTGACTGACTGAATTCAAGTTTGGATTCCTATGATCTCCTTTTTGGAGTAGATGAATTTGCTGGGGCAGCTCACAGAACTCAGGGAAACACTTATGTTTACCCTTTTATTATAAAGGCTGTTACAAAGGATGCAGATAAAGAGATGCATAGAGTGAGGAAAGAGAGAATAGGTGGGGAGCTTATATGCCCTCTCTGGGTGCATCACCCTCTAGGAACCTCCATGTGTTCAGCTATTCAGAAACTCTCTGAACCCAGTCCTTTTGAGTTTTTATAGAAGCTTCATTATGTAGGCATGACTGAAGCATGGGCAACCATGTCAAAATGTGATCGGACAAAAAAGCCATGCTCTAAACCTAGCAAGACCTGTCCAGATTCGTTTTGGCCTCTCTGTGTAGCATTCCTTCCKTYGGGGTATGAGGCAAGACCCTTTCTGCTAGAAGGTAAGAGAAAGAGATTCTATTTATTATAACAAGGGCTATGAGAGTTATGAGCCAGGAACCATGGGTGAAACATATATATACACACACGCACATATATATTATATATATAATACATATATATGTGCGTGTGTGCATATGTGTGTGTATGTGTGTGTATGTGTGTATATATGTGCATGTGTATGTGTGTATATATGTGTGCATGTATGTGTGTATATGTGTGTGCATATTCACATACACATATGTATGTATATGCAGACATGTGTATGTGTATATATACACACATATATGCAAAAACGTACATACATACACATATGTGTGTATATACAAATATACACATACGTCCACACATATATACACACATATACACATACACACATAAACACACGTATATGTATATACAAACATATACATGCACACATATATACACATACTTATCACAGCATATAATTGTTCATATTATTCTCTTATTTTAATTTCTATAAAGTTGGTAGTAATATTCTTGCCTTAATTTATGGTTTTAGTTAGTTTCATCTTCTCTCCTTAGTCAGTCTAGTTAAAAGTTTGTCAATTTTGTTGATCTTTTCAAATAACCAATTTTTGGTTTTCTTGATTCTTTCTATTGTTTTCCAGTAACACTGTGTAACAACTGCACTATTTCTCAGTGACTTAAAACAACAAACAGTGATTTTTCTTACTTATGGGTCTACTTGTCAGTTGTGAAAGTTCTTGAAGCTATGCTCCAATTATTTTATTCCTGTAATGTACTTCAATGTGTTATCTTTCAATTGTTTCTCCTTTTTCAATCATAGGTGGATTTGTGGGAAATCCACCTAAAACTTACTCTAAACAAATCTGCTGAAGTGCATTTATGTTGCCATTTAGTGACCTTTTTTTTTTGAGCCAGATGTAGCAGAATAACTGGATGCAATAACATCTGTGGCCACTACTGTAGAATTGCCCTTTCCAGTCAATCTGCAAAACATCTAATAATATGTCACAATAGAAAAAAGGCAAATGACTGTGTTCATCTTCCTCACAACTAAGGTTATTGGCAGCAGTTTGCTGTGCGAATAAGAGGACTTTAGCTTTCTAAAAACATTGACTTATTTTCATAGAAGGCCTAAGGATTGAAGAATGTCAGCTCAAACAGGGCAAAGGTATCTCTGAGCTTACTCCAGGCAAAATTGAGAACTGGCTCTTTCCTGTCTCTAAATTGAGTCACTTGGTGTCTCATGCCTATTTCTGCCTGCTGTGTTCTGAGAGGTGGAATGTCATCATCATCACGTTCTCAATGACAGATAGAACTTTGTTAGCCCTCCCAGGACTATTTTTATTTTAGAAGGGATCAGGGTCTTAAGCAGAAAAAATGAGATGATATCATTTTTGTCACCAGCCAAGTAAGAAGATGGATAAGGCAGATGGCCCTTCTAGATACTGTCATATTCAGGGGACAGAATCTGAGAGCTATTTCCAGTCTTTTCAGACTTTGTATATATATTTCACTTATCAAGTTTCTCCTTTTTAAAAATCTCACCCTTAGGTATCTCATAGGAGCCCTACATGCTATTTTGGATAGAAAATAGGTGCCATATCGTTTTCCATAAATAACATAGCTTGTGGCAGTACATATTAGGCATTTGACTGACAATTGTTTCCATAGGTTGTATTTTCATGTAAGTGCATTTGATGTCCAGGCCTACTTCATCAATTGCCTACCTGTGTTTTCTATCTTTGATTTGTCTTGGAAACATTTATTTATAATTGATACCATTTTCACTTCCTAAAAGGAATTGAGCAGCACAGAGTAAAAGATGAAATAATAACTCTTTAAAAATAGAAGTCAGAAATTAAAAGCTATGTAGTAGAGGTAATATTATAAACAACAGGATTTGAAGTCAGGGACCTCTAGGAAAATTAACCTCTCTTAGTCCCTGTCTCTTACATGTAAACTAAAACATGTAAACAATTGTACCTATATCCTCGGGTTGTTGTGAAAATTAAAGTATTTAGTTTGATGCTGGCATATTAGCAAAACTTTTAAAAACTGAAAGGATGGACCAAAACCCCAAGCTTCTTTATTTCCTATTGAGAGGTGACAGCGTGCTGGCGGTCCTCACAGCCTTCGCTCGCTCTCGGCGCCTCCTCTGCCTGGGCTCCCACTTTGGCGGCACTTGAGGAGCCCTTCAGCCCACCGCTGCACTGTGGGAGCCCCTTTCTCGGCTGGCCAAGGCCGGAGCCGGCTCCCTCAGCTTGCAGAGAGGTGTGGAGGGAGAGGCGCGAGCGGGAACCTGGGCTGCCTGCGACGCTTGCTGGCCAGCTGGAGTTCCGGGTGGGCGTGGGCTTGGCGGGCCCCGCACTCGGAGCAGCGGGCCGGCCCTGCCGGCCCGGGCAATGAGGGACTTATCGCCCAGGCCAGCGGCTGCGGAGGATGTACTGGGTCCCCCAGCAGTGCCAGCCCACCGGCGCTGCGCTCAATTTCTCACCGGGCCTTAGCTGCCTTCCCGCGGGGCAGGGCTCCGGACCTGCAGCCCGCCATGCCTGAGCCTCCCACCCCCTCCATGGGCTCCTGTGCGGCCCGAGCCTCCCCGACGAGCGCCACCCCCTGCTCCACGGAGCCCAGTCCCATCAACCACCCAAGGGCCGAGGAGTGTGGGCGTGCGGCGCGGGACTGGCACGCAGCTCCACCTGCAGCCCCGGTGCGGGATCCACTGGGTGAAGCCAGCTGGGCTCCTGAATCTGGTGGGGACGTGGAGAACCTTTATGTCTAGCCCAGGGATTGTAAATATACCAATCAGCACTCTGTATCTAGCTCAAGGTTTGTAAACACACCAATCAACACCCTGTGTCTAGCTCAGGGTTTGTGAATGCACCAATCGACACTCTGTATCTAGCTACTTTGGTGGGGCCTTGGAGAACCTTTGTGTCCACACTGTGTATCTATCTAATCTGGTGGGGAAGTGGAGAACCTTTGTGTCTAGCTCAGGGACTGTAAACGCACCAATCAGCGCCCTATCAAAAACAGACCACTTGGCTCTACCAATCAGCAGGATGTGGGTGGGGCCGGATAAGAGAATAAAAGCAGGCTGCCCGAGCCAGCAGTGGGAACCCGCTGGGGTCCCGTTCCACACTGTGGTAGCTTTGTTCTTTTGCTCTTTGCAGTAAATCTTAACTGCTGCTCACTCTGGGTCTACACTGCTTTTATGAGCTGTAACACTTACCGCGAAGGTCTGCAGCTTCACTCCTGAAGCCAGCGAGACCACGAGTCCACCGGGAGGAAGAACAACTCCAGACGTGCCGCCTTAAGAGCTGTAACACTCACTGTGAAGGTCCGCAGCTTCACTCCTGAAGCCAGCGAGACCATGAGTCCACCGTGAGGAAGAACAACTCCAGACGTGCTGCCTTAAGAGCTGTAACACTCACTGTGAAGGTCCGCAGCTTCACTCCTGAGCCAGCGAGACCACGAACCCACCAGAAGGAAGAAACTCCGAACACATCCGAACATCAGAAGGAACAAACTCCAGATGCGCCACCTTAAGAGCTGTAACACTCACCGCGAGGGTCCGCGGCTTCATTCTTGAAGTCAGTGAGACCAAGAACCCACCAATTCCAGACTCACTAAGACATTACTTTTAGCTCAGCATTTCTTGGATGCCCAGGCAAAAGTATGGATGCATAAAATTAGATAATCCCTACAGTCTTATGGAATGTGGCTTTTGCTGGCCAAGCCTCTCTCGCTTACCACAGTGCAACTTCAAGAATTAATATATTCAAAAAAGGCCTGGAATTTCCAAACAACATTCTTATTAAGGGTAAGTAGAAGTCGGAGTAGAAAGAATGTCTGGAATTTAATGAGTGTGTACTTTGTTCTGATACCTGTTTTTAAAAATGAGCACATGTGATTTCATTTAATATTCTTAATAATTCTATAAAATAGATATTATTTATCTTCCATTTCTGAATGACTAAAATAAGAAACGTAACCAAATTCACAGTCATTCAAATATTTATGTCCAGGATTGGAATCCAGGTCCGTCTGATGCCAAAGCCCATGGTTTTTCCATTCCAACATCCACCTACCTTGCCTACCCCAGCGCACCAAGTAAACAAGTGATCAGATAGACCAAAAAATGTCTAAGCAAGTCTAAGTCACTATTTAAAAAAGTGTGTTTGACTTCATTCACTTTGCCTTCGTGGGGAGCTCTTCTGGGCTGTTTTCTCATTGACTACTGGTTTTGTCTCTCATCTCCCTGAGATTTTCATCTTGGATATTTTTTCCCTAGCTTTTTGAGAATTCAAAGGAAGCATATGTATCTTAATATGCAGAATACAGAAATTCTCAGTAGGACATGCATTATTTCAGTAGAAAAAAAGAAAGCAGCAGATTGCAGTTTATTTCTCTTTGTATCTTTACTCCCCATCTTCGTGTGTGTGTGTGTGTGTGTGTGTGTGTTCGGAGGCTAGACTGCCTTACCCAGTTGTGGCTTTTTTGGTGGTTGTTATTTTGTTTCCTTTCTTTCTGGGTGCAGGTGAATTTCTAGCCTATTTGCCTTTTGAAGAGTCTCGCATAAGCCATCAACACACCTTCACCTTCCACCCATCACAGTTACCTCCTCACAGGGGAACCCACACAGTGACAACAGCTGAGTCAAAACCATCTGCTAGATCTTTCATGTCTACCCACACGTTCAATAGCATAGTATTACCTCTGCTATCTGATAAAAAGTGGTATTATCATAGCCTAATGGAAAACGATGTTCTTTCCAACAGCGCTTCTACCAAAGCTCCAGAAAGTGTATGTTGATCCGTAAAAGTACTGGAAATGCTGTTTAGATTTAAAACCATTCAGGGCTCCCTGCAAGTTTGGTAAAAGGCTCTATGCTTTCTTTGCATTATTCCAGTAATTATTGTGACTAAATATTCACCTACTTGAATAACTCAAGATAGAAGGGCAAAGATTTACTGAGCCCAGTGGCAATGATGAAGCTATGGCCTGGGATAAAATATTTGCAACACATACATCAAACAAAAGACTTGCATGTAGAATACAAAAAACAAAACAAAAACCCCTTAAACTGGAAAATAAAACAACAACAAGCAAAATGGGAAAAAGATTTGAAGAGACACTTCACAGGAGAAGATGTAGGAATGACTGGTAAGCAGGAAAGACGATGCTCAACATTGTTAACCATCAGGGACATCTCAGTGGAAACCGTGATGAAGTACCCCTGTATACTCAATAAGATGGCTGTTAGGAAAAAGACCCAGTGTTGGTGAGGATGTAGAAACTGGAATGTTCCTACAGTGTTGTGGGAATGTACAAGGGAACAGCCAAGCTGAAAAGATGTTAGCGGTTTCTTAAAAAGTTAAACCTACACCAATACATAATTCAAGCCTCTTCCACTCCTTGGTATTTACCCAGGAGAAATGAAAGCCATGTTCATACAAAGACTCTTACATTCTCATAGCAGCATGGCTCATTGCAATGGACATGCAATCTGTGTGTTCATGGACAGTAAATTGGAAAACAAAATACGTCTATCCATATAAGGGGATATCACCGAGCAACAAAATGATGTAAAAATCAGTACATGCAGCAACATGGATACATCTTAAAATCATTATGCTGAGTACATAGAATGGGGTCCCATTTAGATAAAATTGCAGAAGGTGAAAACTTATGTATAGTGGCAGAAAGCAGGTCATTGGTTGCCTGGAGATCATGGGGTCAGAAAGGGAAGAACTGATTGCAAAGGACACATTATGAAAATTTCCAGGGCAGGGTGATGGAACTGTTCAATGTCTTGATTGATTTATCTCTTGGGTGGATATGTCAAAATTTATCAAATGATACATTTAAAATATGTTCAGTTCTTGTTATGTAACGTATGTCTTCATAAATTAGTAAAAGAAAGTAAAAACTTAGTAAAAAATTTGCAACAAAGTAGTAAAGAAAAAAAAGTAGCTATTGGAGTAACCAGAAGTAATGTATGAAGAGATCAAAATTGGGAGTGATACTTGGGAATAAGAAAAGAGCTACATTTGAGAACCACTTTGAAAGACGTGTTGGCAGGACTTGTTGAAAAAGTAAACCATAAAGTTTTTAACAACCGTGATTGAGGAAGTGGTAGAAACATTGACAAAAATGGGAAAGTCAGTAGAATTGATAGAATTTGCTAATAGAAATGGCAGAGGGTTGAAGGGGAACTTAACGGAATGGACATACAGGTTGTATGTCTGTTGCTATGAGACATGCTGCTATGAGAATGTAAAAGTCTAACCTACTCATAGCTGCTTTGAATATCGTTTATGCCTTTCTCCTATCTTGCTGCTTCCTCTTGTTCTACAATTATCCTATGAATTTTCATTCCATGAAAAAGGAATTTTCTCTGTCTTATGTCTCAGTGAGTGACTTCTTTTTATCTTCCTGCTAATGTTTAAACCTGGAACCACTTGAAGCTTACTTAATCTTAAGTTTAGGCATGACTAACTTTCCTTTATTTCCTATTTCCCATTTGTTTCAGAATCTTTAAAAATCTCTCTTCTCATTCTGAAAATCTGCTCTCATAGGTATTATCATATATTCCCTAAACCTGTTTGCCTTTCCCCAGGTCTCTTTCTCCTGTACTTGTGTACAAGATTTAATATATAAGTATGTAATGTATTTTATAAAGAATTATTTAAAAATTGTTTTTAAAAAGAAAACCTTATTAGGCTAAACTTATTTAGAATGGCTCCTTGCCAAATGCTTCTAGACAAGAATAAATAAAGCCAAGAACAGCAACTATCTTGATAAAGATGTAGGGCTGGGGAGAGAAGAAGAATGTCAAGGGATTGGCAAGAGAGAGGTGCTGGGGCCACTGCAGGAGAGGGAGCTGCAAATGGGGGCAGGAACTTTAAGAAGTGTTGCTGTTGGGGGTTGTGAATTGGAACTGCTAATTCTTCATAGGTAAACCTAAAATTTGGAATTCCTCTTAAATTCCTTTTGATTGAATTGGGTTTCCTGGCATTTGACTCCCAGCAGGGACTGAGTCATGTGAAGCCCTTAAATGTTTGAGAGCTAGGTCTGAATTGGTCAAAGTAACTACAGTTTCATACATTATAGTAGCCAAGTCCATAATACTTCAGTAAATGAAAAGAAGAAAGAAAATCACTCAATTAGAAGCAAGATAACAAGCCTATAACAATTTTTTCCTTAGGCATTTAGGCTACAGCCTGTTAATAAAGTAAATGTAGCTATGGGAAGAATATTTTCATTGCCTGTAGCACAGGCTTTTGGCTCTTGTTTTAATTGGAGCTGTGCATTTGAATATTTATAAGTGTGATTTGCAAGCCTACAAATCAAATTATTTTCTGTATAGGATACCAACCAGAAAAAATGGTACTGTTTTTTGGAAAAACAATATGGTGTGTGGGATGGAATGAGGTTATGGTAACAAAATTTTCCTGACCCTAAGTTGGGCTGTGTTCTGACACATGGTTTGATAAGGCAAAATATTTTAAATCAGTGGACTCAAGGAAAAGCCAGGACATATGGCTGTCTTAGTTTGGGTACTAAAATAGAATCCTATATTCAGACACCATCTCTTTAGTAAATTAGACAGCACTACCCCAATACGTTCATGGATTTCTTGATTTATTGTTTCAGTTGCTTCTTAGCAAGATATAGAAGCCCTTCAATACATGTTTCTAGCCTCATGATTCTATTCTCTCTCACAGCCTAGCCTCATCCATTCTAAACTACTTAGTTTCACCGTATATGATGAGCAGGAAGCCCAGAATTCTGGTAATTTTCTGTTTCTGGGTCTGGGTGCTGGTTCAAAGACGTGTTCAGTTTGTGCACATTCATTGCAGGTTTTACTTATGCATATTGCTTTTCAGTACAAATTTTAAAAAGCAATCAAAATTCAGTAAGTCATGATATTCAGTAAGATATAATATTCTGATAATCTGACCTTGGAAAAGTTTTAAAAATTGTTGGTGTTTGACAGATAATTTCTGCAGAGAAGAAAACTATAAATTTTTTTGGTGGGATGGGGGAGGACATATGAGAGTTTGTGTCTAGCTCAGTAGGAGGAATTTTTTAAAAAGGAACTTAAGCATAGGTGGGCCAGGGAAAGAGGTTTTAGCTCATTTCACTTTGTTCCTTTTGATTTAATGCAAGGAATTACTCAAGAGCAGAAAGGGATCACGGCGGGAGAAGTTCAAAGTATGGGTGAGGAGGAATGGTGTAGCCAAGTCCCAGAGAAGGTGTGAGGATGGGATCAGCGCAAAGGTAGAAAGTGTGGGGCATTAGAAGAGGATCAAATTCTCTCCTTAGAAATGGCAGGGATGGGAAGAAAGATACTGAGGCTCTCATATGTGTCTAAGTCCATTTGGGATATTAAAGTGTAGGAGGTGAGTGTGGAAGTGGGAGTTGAGAAGCAAGAGGGATTAACAGAAATGTTCTCAGAGGACTTATCTGTGTGATAAGATAGGAATGAAAGTTTTGCCTGAATGGCTAGGGGGCTCCATTATGAATGCCATTGTGGTTTTATGGTGCAGTGCTTTGGAGTTCAGGGTGAAACTGAAGGAAAGTAATCAGGAGGGGTGCCCAGACAATGCTGGGCATAAGTAAAGCTCTAAGGGGTGAGGCATCAGGGTGTTGTGAAGGACCTGTACATGATAACCCCGCACAGTCTCCAAAACTGTTTGGCAGGAATTCACTGAAGTACAGTGGGACGTGTAAAATTGGAGACTTAGAGAGGGCCCAAGGGATTAAGGGTTGAGGTCAGTGGGTACCATGTTCTGTCTCTGCAGGGGAGGGGAGAGATGCCACTTGGTGTAGACTTCAGGTCTTTTCTAAATTTTAATTGTCTCACTCCCTCTGTCCTAGAGTAAGCATGTCATCGTGGCCATAATTTCTCTACAAAAAGTGCCTTAGGAAACAAAAGCTTGGGGCAATTTTTTTTCAGTACAGAGATGAGCCCCTCATGTTCCATAGCAGCTGCATAGCAGTCCTCAGGGTTATATAGATATGGAGTTACATCTGGACATCCCATTAGCTCCAAGAGGTTCAAGACAGCAGGCCTAATATTCCAGCATCAAAAAAGAGGTTCTACAAAGGTTGATTACTCCAAGTACAAGATCCCTGTGCCACCAGAGACCTGTGAATAGAATGGTTTTCTTAAACTAGATGCCAGGTCCCTCATTTCTAAATACACTGTCAGAGATGCTCTTTTTATTTTGTAAAAGGTAAGCTTCAAACATATTCTTTTTACTAATGGAAGCACTGAATCAAGATTCAGCTTAGCTCTTGGGTTATTTGCCCTGACCATCCTTTCATGCAGAGCTGGTTTTTTATCCAAACATAACCCTTCTGTCAACATCATCATCATCATCAGCTGTTTGCTTATACTCCAAATTCTTATATTACACACTTTCAGCATCATTACCCCAAATTGGAGAATTTCAGGCAGAATCATCTGTGAAAATATTAGAGGTAAAAATAAGCTATTATAGGGTGTTGATGTCACCCTGAGGCCTTGTTTGCTACTTTTCTGCTCATTTTACTGCATTTAACTCACGAGAAAAGGAACTAAACTATAATCAACTGCAATTTATCAGTGTTAATGGGGGAGAGACGAGGCATTGGCAATACAAGATAGCAAATAATAAGAGATGAATGCAAGAAAAAGATAACATATGCATACTTTAAAAAAGATTATAAATATGTAAATATCTGCCCTAATAATGTTGCAATTCAACTGGATATTCTGTGGTCTGGGAAGGGGAAAGAGGTAGAGCAAGATTACCTAGGGTTGCTGTGCATTTTGGTCATTGGCAGACGCACGGGGACCTGTGTTAGAAAGCCCAGCAAGCGGAAAATTGAGAGCTGACTTGCCGCCAACTACAATTGAAAACAGATGGGTATATCTGAGCCATGTTCACGTATCTTGTTCATTTTCTCATTAAAAAAATTGCTGCACTATTTTTAGTCTATGACTCATTTTTCGGCAAGAATCACCTGCAAGTAGATCTTAATTTTCTGCTGAACTTCAGGGAAAATTCAAGTTCAGCATGGCCTTCAAGAACTTTGACTCCTACAGAAATGGACAAAAAGGTTGGCAGGTGTCAGTCTGATGAAAGGGCTGAGATCTTGACTGCCCTTGAGGGATGCCAGTATGAGATGGCTGTGGGGCAGGCTGTGGCTGCTTGTTGGAGGGAGGCAGCATTGTTTGCATCTTGACATCTCATTTCTGTAGGAAGGCATGGATCATTTTACTAGACCCTGTGAATAAGTCAAAATAAATCAAGATCTGCATTAGAACCGAAATCTCGATTACTTTTTTTGTCAGTTTTGCTTAGGCTGTATATATAAAAATGGGAAAAAAGGGCAGACACAGAACGTCAAAGAAACCAGCTCTTTATGTTTTAATTGCAGCCAAAAAAAAAACCAGCTATATAGGAGCTTATGGTTTTAATACTCTCAATATGAGACAAACCTAAGCATTCCCACTCAGTTTCTCCCTTTCTAAGATGTCATTTCCTCCCCATCCTTAACTGTCAGGTGTTGTATCATGTTGACCCATGATATACCCTTCACCCTTGAAAGCTCATACTCCAGAGAATCATAGTTTCTTAATATTTGTTTTATTAAGTGCCACCTTCCAAGATACAGTCCTTGCTGTAGCCAATTAGCTAGTTCACTGGCTCATGAGAAGCTGCAATGCTTCTAGAAGCAATAAAATTAAAGAACAGTGCTCTCTTAAAAAGGCAGGGAGAAGTGGCAGGGCATTCTGTTGTTGCTGTTGTCCTTGTGAGCTGTCCTTCATGTTTGAGAAGCAGGGGCTGTCAAGAGCTTTACTGTACCCTTTGATGTATGAAGAATCCAATTTAGAGCTTAGTCTGTGCACATTTTCCAGTGACTAAGCCAGTCATTTGGGTTAGGGGAGTGGTATTTGTAAGGAGGTCTTTACAGCAGATATTTTTTTTTTTTTTCCTTGATAGGTGTGAAAGAAACTGGTTAGCTCTTAACCAAAGCCATTTTCTCTTCCCTCTGAGCCCAGAGTTAGATCATTTTCCAGCCCTATTGTGGTGAGGTGTGGCCACGTGACTGAGATCTGACTGATGCAATGTGCTAAGAGTCGTGTTCACACCTCTTGGCTTGGCTCATAAAAACTGCACAATATGGCCCCCCATGGTTTTTCCCCTCTGACTTGATGCAGACAAGCGTAGTAACCTGAGGAACCTGGCATTGGAGATGATGAAGCTGTGAGCCAGAAGAAGCCTGGGTCCCTGAGTCACTGGAGATCTGCCCTCTGTTAGGGAATAACCTGTTTGTGAACACAATACACATCTAGTCTCTGAAGCCACTAAGATTTAGCATTTTATCTGTTATATCTTTAGCTAGTTCTTCCTTACCTAAAACATAGAACAAGTATATGCCTATATTTAATGTGTACTGAAATTATATTTGATTCATAGTGGCAAGCAATTTTAGATTCACCTTTGTTAAACAAAGGTCTATGTATTAATATTTGCAAGAGTCATTTATTTCAAATCTTTTTAAGACATGTGATTTCTAAAAGTCAGTTAACTTTAGTGACCAGAAGGCTTCCATGTGTGAAGCACTTTTAAGGGTATTGGGTGCGGATAATAGGCATAGATAAAGGTTGATGAGGTCTCTAACTGGAGAGGAAAAATAAACCTACAAGAATATACTAAAGAAACACATGAAAACAAGGATAAATGAATAAAGTACATACACCATGTAAATTAATGTTCAGAGCTCAAAAAGAATTGTTACAAGAGGGGCTAAGGAGTTTTGAGACTTGCCAAAGATGCCTGAAAAGCTTGAAGCTAACTCGAGCTGAGGAATCAGCACTTGAACTCATGGAGCTAAATTGATTTCGGTTTCCTTCTGAGGCTGACTCAGGATTGGGGGACACAGAAAAGGATGGATTACAGTGACAGTGAGAGTGTTATTGTTTTCTACCTAAGGTCTCACCCTGGAGGTTGTCTTCCTGGAGATTTTAAAAACTAGACTCCTGAAATATACTTTAGTCCTTTTAGGTTGCCCATGTAGAAAAAATTGAATGCCACTCATATGAGAAAAGCAAAGGTGATTTATTCAGCGCTTGCCATAGCAAAGGAGTTGGCCACCATCACTTTCATTTGGCAGAGACTCAAAGGTAGGCAGAGGAGGGAGAGAGCTTTACAGTGGGCAAAAGGGATGGCTTCACGTGTGCCCCTTATTGGAAGCTGTTGGCCAGGGGAAGCCCAGGGTGGCCAATTTGGAGCACGGAAGCCTGTCTGATTGGTTGGGGCCATAGTTGGCTTTCTCTGGTTAGTCCTAAATTAGAAGCAGTCACAAAAATTAGGGAGGCTGTCAGTTACTGTGATGGTTAATTTTATATGTCAACTTGACTGGGCTAAGAGGTGCCCAGATAGCTTGTAATCAATTATTTCTGGGTGTGTCTGTGAGGGTTTTTCTGGAAGAGATTAGCATTTGAATGAGATGACTGAGTAAAGAAGATTACCCTCACCCACGTGGGCATCATCTGATTCCTTGACAGCCCAAATAGAACAAAAGGGCACAGGAAGTTCTCTCTTCTGGGACATCCATCTTTTCCTGCCCTTAAACATCAGAGCTTCTGGTTCTCAGGCCTTTGGACTCCAGGACTTACTCCAGCAGTTGGCAGGTGGGGCAGGCTCCCGTGGTTCTTAGGCCTTCAGCTTTGGACTGAATTATACAACCACTACAACCAGCTTTCCTGGTTCCCCAGGTTGCAGATGGCATATCTTGGGACTACTCAGCCTGCATAATCTGCATAATGGCATGAGTCAATTTCCATAATAAATTTCCACATATATATGTATGTATGTACAGGCATACATGTATATGTAATATATATGTAATATATATGTATACATGTATATGTGATATATATGTATACATATATATGTGATATATATGTATACATATATATGTGATATATATGTATACATATATATGTGATATATATGTATACATATATATGTGATATATAGGTAATATATATGTAATATATATGTAATATATGTGTAATATATATGTAATATATGTGTAATATATAGGTAATATATGTAATATATGTGTATACATATATGTTATATATGTGTATACATATATGTAATATATATGTGTATATATATGTATAAACACACATCTTATTGGTCTTGTTTCTTTGGAGAATCCTGACTAATACAATTATTAATTAAGTCCTGAACATTTTGGGTCTTTTGTTACAGAAGTTATTGTTTAGCTTCCTGGGTTACCACTAGAGATAGCAGACTGGCTTCCTGCGAGTCTGGCTTTAGCAGGCTGTCTTCCTGGGCTGTTTGTCATACATAATGGGCTTGGTTTCCTAAGCAGGCTGCTACAGATTTAGGGTGATAGTTCTATTCTTATTATATGGTCCAGGCACTGTGCATTTGTACATTCAGTCTTTCATTTGTTTCTTCATTTTTATGATGATTTTATTTTAAATAGACCCTTTCCTTCCTTCCTTACAGAGGACAGCTGGCTGGCTTCCTTCACTTTCATATTAATAAGCCTCAATCCTTGCTGATCATAAACCCGCACCTGAGGATGAGTGCCAGGAAATGCAATGCCTTCTTCCCTCCTGGGTTGCCTCTTTCAGAGATTTGGGGGTAAAACTTGTGTCTGCATTATTGCCCTGCGGAAAGTCTTAATCCCATCAGTCCTCAAAATCTTTTTCACTGTTTCTGTTTTTCCCAGGGGCAGTGGCATCCTCATGCAAGCTGGTCTACTGGTGGCTGCCCCTGTGACCTGCTTCTGAATGGCCAGGCAGGAAAAGTCTCCCACTGTGTTGCATTTAAAGAAAAGAAAAAGATGAATTAAGTAAAAAGCTCTGCAAACAACTGAGTGTAATTATTGGATATGTATAAACTTATGCATATTTTCCTTTTTTTAATTATACTTTAAGTTCTAGGGCACATGTGCACAACGTGCAGGTTAGTTACATATGTATACATGTGCCATGTTGGTGTGCTGCACCCATTAACTCGTCATTTAACATTCGGTATATCTCCTAATGCTATCCCTCCCCCCTCCCCCCACCCCACAACAGGCCCTGGTATGTGATGTTCCCCTTCCTGTGTCCATGTGTTCTCATTGTTCAATTCCCACCTATGAGTGAGAACATGCGGTGTTTGGTTTTTTGTCCTTGCGATAGTTTGCTGAGAATGATGGTTTCCAGCTTCATCCATGTCCCTACAAAGGACATGAACTCACCATTTTTTATTTGAATCTGTTGATTTATTGCTTTTTAAATAAAAAATGGATCTGTCCAAAAGGTGAAAATAAAGTATTTTATATTTCTTTCTTATTTCAGCTGGTTTAGCCTAAGGACAGAAAACCCCCAGCCCGTTTAGTATTCTAGGCATTTAAAAGACCCTCAAGTATCAGCTCTTTGGAAGCCCAGTGTCTTTAAATTTGCAAAATAGACAGGGCAAGATTCCATGTTTCTAACTCCCTGGGACTCATTTCAGGAGTTTGATTAACTCTTTGGTTTGTCTCAGCAAAGGGAGGCTGAAGTGTCCGCTTAGAAGAAGAGGTAGGGGGCATTCAGATGAGGGCTGTTGTCTGCCAAGATCAAAGCAGCGCTGCACATGCTAAAGAGTCTAATTCACAGACCCTCGGTGCTTAGTTGTAGCACCAACTTGAAGCCTATTTGGTCAGAAGTGGCCACTCGAGCCGTCTTAGGGCTAGGCAAGGGCTTCTTTGTTTCAGAAAGCACTTGCCACTGGGAGAAGAGAATGTGAAGTGAGGGAGCCCTCTTTTGGAGGAGGAAGGCTAAGGAGGAAAGTGAGGGAGAGTGGGAAAGACCACAGGACAAGAAGATCTAAGCCAAGGGAGCCTTGTTTGCCTTTACTGGCAGGTAGGTACTCACGAACAAGCCAGCCTGCATTTCTGAACTCACATCGTGGCAAAAGCAACAAACACTTTTAAGACAAAAGATAAAGGGTAAACTACTTATGGGAAACACTTTTCCAAAAATACCTAGATTCTAGGTGGCAGGGTTAGAATTGTTCTCTTGTCGTTTGGCTAACATAAGGGACTCCCAAGACACGAGCAGAGAGGGTGGAGATGGTTATGTGTCAGTTGGAGCGAGGTGGGAGCAGGAACCTCCTATTTAGGGCACAAATCTTTACACAGGGATGACATTTGAAAGATTTGGTCATGGACCTGGGTCCACTTCCTTTGCTTTTCAGAAAAGGTCCCAAGATTAGCAGCAAAAGTAATCCAGGTGAAAATAATCCATGAATTTGAACACTTTGTTGGGTGTAGTAGGGAGATTCTGACAGGTGCCTGATGACCCTATGTCCTGGTACCCACACCTTTGCTTAATCTCCTCCCTTCAAGTGGGGATTCACTTTTAATGTGACTCACTTTTAATGAACAGAATACAGCAGAAGTGCTGGGATGTCATTTCTGGATGATGTTGTGCAAGACTGTGACTTCTATCTGGGACACACTCCTTTTCAAATCCTCACTTGCCCACTCTGGTGAAGCCACTGCCACATCGCCAGCTGCCCTACAGAGAGGCCACGTGGCAAGATGCTGAGGGCAGCTTCTGGCTGATAGCTGTAAGGAACAGAGGGTCTCAGCCCAACAGCTTGCAAAGAACTGAATTCTGGCAACAACCTTGTGAGTGAGTGTGGAAGTGGCTCCTATTGAGCCTTGAGATGGCTACAATCTACTGTCACTGTGATTCAGTAAATGCAAGTCCTAAACCATGCCCAGCTTCCTGAATTTCAGGATATGTGAGATGAAAGTGTTGTTGCTTAGGAGTATTTGTTCCACAGCAATAAATAACTAATACACTAAGGTATTATTATTTTACTGTACCTTCTCTGCTTTGTGCACCTATTTGTCTGCTGAGTCCTATAAAGATTTATTCTTCAAAGTTTTCATTTCTTCCCTCCTTTCCGGTTTTATAGACACAGTCTATTCCAAGAAAAGCTTTAAACTTCCTGGGAAATTATAGGGAAATAAATTAGATGTCCTGACGTCTGCAGAATGTCCTCTAGACAGTGTCCTCATTATGCTGCCCTTGGTTCTTCCAGTTCATCAAATCTCATTTAGCTGTGCACCAATTAGACTGCCTTTGGCTGGAAGTGACATAAAGCTGAAAAATAGTGGATTATATAAGCCAATAGCTTATTTTTCTCACACAACAAAAAGTCTGGAGTTGAGTTGTCAAGGATGTTATTCTGTCTGAGTTGATAAACTTTGTTAAAGGTCAGAGAGTATTTTAGGCTTTGTGGGCTGTACCATCTCTGCTGCAATTACTAAATTCTGCCTTTAGGGCACAAAAGCAGCACAGATCATATGTAAACAAATGACTGCGTACCAATAAAACTTTATTTATGGACAATGAAATACAAATTTCATGTTATTTTTATGTCATAAAATATTATACATTTTAAAAATTTCCTGTAACCATTAAAACATGTAAAAGCTATTCCTTTTGTAGGCTGTATAAAAACAGGCAAGCTGGATTTGCTGGCCTTTGTATTAGCTTCCTTCCACCTTCCTACATTCTCATTTTCAGTGCATGGCTTGGTCTTCATGGGCACATTGTGACTGCTGCTGCTCCATTCACTGTGTTGGCATTTCAGGCAAAGAGAAAGGGGAGGGTGAAAGAAAAAGGAGTGTCGCCTAGATCAGATCAACAAAAGCCTTCCAGAAAACTTCAGCTTATGTCTCAATAGGCAGAACTATGTTAACGTTTTTAGCTGGGCTTATAGCAAACCTGATCAAATTTGGGGTTCTATTAGTAAGAATAGAAAGAATGGATATTGGATAACATCATTCAGATTGTAAGTGGTGAAAATGGAATTTGAACCTCTAGACCAGTGATTCTCAATGGGATGATCAACCCTTACCCTTCCCAGGGGGCATTTGGCCACATCTGGAGATATGTTTGGTCATCACAACTGGTGTGTGTGGGTGCTACTGGCATCTCATGGGTAGATGCCAGGGATACTGCTAAACATCTGCAATACAGAATTAACCAGCACAAAAGTCAATAGTGCTGAGCTTTGGACAACACAGGAGACTCTGTCTAAAAAAAAAAAAAAAAAATAAGAGCCAAGCTTGAAGAACGTTTCTTAGTCACTCTGCTATTCTCAACTATTTCTTTATCCAGCTCTCAGCTCTTTCTTTATTCAGTTCCCATATATTTTCTACACATCCGACAAAGATAATTTAAAGACAAACTGATACTTTTCCAGGTTTCCTCAGGTCTTGTATGCCATTCTGTAATAACTTTAGGAGTAAGGAAAGAATCTAAGAATTAACTACTTGGTTATTCTTGGCTAAGAATTAATTACTTGGTTTTTTAAAGAAGTTAGTTGTGGAATGAATACTGTTTAAAACATAAATGTAATATAATAATAAAAAAACCCAGAATCTCTCCCCACTTTGATCCAGAGAAAGCAAATTTCTGTGAATGCATGGTGAAGTTGAAAAGGAATGTTAATGTGCCAATTCAGTGAAATACCAACATCTCTGGGAGGTGGCCTCTGTGGGTTGTGACAGTACTAAGGAAGAGAGAAGACAGTGCAGATGCTGACTGGCTTTTCTTAAAGCCTAAAGAACTGGCATTATGTGAAAGAATTAGCAACAAATGGAAAAGACAGGGTGGAGGTGGAGGTATAAGCCCAGAAGAGTATTCTTGAATTTTTTTGGCTAGAAATATACCTCCAAATACACCTGCCGGATACTATAAAAATCTGAACATCACCAAGGAATGTAGTCACCAGATTGTCTAAAGTCAATGCTAAAGAAAAAGTCTTAAAGGCAGCTAGAGAAAAAGGTCAGATTATGTACAAAGGGAACCCCATCGGGCTAACAGCAGACTTCTCAGCAGAAACCCTATAAGCCAGAAGAGATTGAGGACCTATTTTCAGCATCTTTAAGGAAAAAAAAAAAAGAAACTCCAAACAAGAATTTCATACCCAACCAAACTAAGTTTCATAAGCAAAAGAGAAATAAAATCTTTCTCAGAAAAACAATCACTAAGGGAATTTACTACCATTAGACCAGCCTTGCAAGAGATCCTTAAGGCAATTCTAAACATGGAGATGAAGGAACAACATAATCCACAGACCCTTTGAAGCAACACACAAAAGAAACTATAAAACAGCTAACTAGCAACTTCATGATAAGATCAAAGCCTCACATATCAATATTAACCTTGAATGTAAATGGTCTTAATGCCCATTTAAAATGTACAGAGTGGCAAGTTGTGTTAAAAAAACACCACCACCACCACCCATTCATCTGCTGTATTTAAGAAACCCATCTCACACATAACAACACTCATAGACTCAAGGCTGGAGAAAGATCATGCAAACAGAAAACACAAAAGAGCAGGGGTTGTTATTCTTATATCAGGTAAAATAGACTTTAACAACAGTTAGAAGGAGGACAAATAATGGCACTACAGCATGATAAAGGGTTCAATCCAACAAGATGACATAAGTATTGTAAATATATACACATCCAACATTGGAGCACCCAAGTTCATAAAACAAGTACTTCTAGATCTATAAGAAGACTTAGCCACACAATAATAGTGAGGGACTTGAACACCCTCTGACAGTGTTAGATCATTGAGGCAAACAACTAACAAAGAAATTCTGGACTTAAATTTGACACTTGACCAATTGAACCTAATAGACATCTACAGAACACTCTATCCATCAACCACAGAATACATATTATCCTTATCTGCACAGGGAACATAATCTGATTGACCACATGCTCAGTCGTAAAACAAGTCTCAGTAAATTCAAAAAATTGAAATCATATCAACCATACATTCAGACCATGGTGGAATAAAAATACAAATAAGATCGGGCACGGTGGCTCACGCCTGTAATCCCAGCACTTTGGGAGGCCAAGGCAGGTGGATCACGAGGTCAGGAGATTGAGACCATCCTGGCTAACATGGTGAAACCACGTCTCTACTAAAAATACAAAAAAATTAGCCAGGTGTGATGGCGGACACCTGTAGTCCCAGCTACTCGGGAGGCTGAGGCAGGAGAATGGCGTGAACCTGGGAGGCAGAGCTTGCAGTGAGCCGAGATCGCACCACTGCACTCCAGCCTGGGCAACAGAGCGAGACTCCATCTCAAATAAATAAGTAAATGAATAACAAGAAGATCTCTCAAAACCACACAATTACATAGAAATTAAACAACCTGCTCTTGAATGACTTTTGGGTAAACAGTAAAATTAAGACAGAAATTTAAGAACTCTGAAATAAATGAAAACAGAGACACAACATATCAAAATCTCTGGGATGCAGCTAAAGCAGTGTTAAGGGGAAAGTTTATAGCGATAAACACCTACATGAAGAAGTTAGAAAGATCTCAAATTAACAATGTAACGTTGCACCTGAAGGAACTAGAAAAACAAGAACAAACTAACTGCAAAGCTAGCAGAAGAAAAGAAAAACTAAAATCAGGGTAGAACTGACCAAAATTGAGACACAAAAAGTAATACAAAGAATCAACAAAAACAAAAGCTGGCTTTTTTGAAAGGATAAATAAGATTGATAGATTGCTATCTAGATTTACAAAGAAAAAATGGGAGGAGATCCAAATAAGCACAATCAGAAGCAACAAAGGTTAAATTAGAACTGATCCTACAGAAATATAAAAGATTCTCAGATTATTATGAACACCTCTAACAAACTAGAAAATCTAGAGGAAATGGGCAAATTCCTGAAAACATACAACCTCCCTAGTCTGAGTCAGAAGATAAAACCCGGAACAGACCCAACTTCAGTAAAGATCCAGGATATAAAAATAAATGTACAAAAATCAGTAGCATTTCTACACCCCAATAACGTTCAACCTGAGACCCAAATTAAGAATGCAATCCCATTTATAATAGCCACAGACACACACACACAAACCTGGAAATATATCTAACCAAAGATATAAGAGATCTCCACAAGGAGAACTACAAAATGCTACTGAAAGAAATCATAGATGATACAAACAAATAGAAAATGTCCCATGCTCATGGATTGGAAGAATCATCATTAAATGGCCATACTGCCCAAAGCAATCTAAAGATTCAACACTATTCCTATCGAACTAGTAGTGTCATTTTTCACAGAATTAGAAAAAAACTATTCTATAATTCATATGTCACCAAGAAAGAGCCCAAATAGACAAAGCAATTCCAAGTGAAAAGAACAAAGCTGGAGGTATCACACTACCCAAGTTTAAACTATGCTACAAGGCTACTGTAATCAAAACAGCACTGCACTAGTACAAAACAGGCACATAGACCAATGGAACAGGATGGAGAACCCAGAAATAAAGCTGCACATCTACAGCCATCTGATCTTTGACAAAGTTGCCTATGGGGTTTTCTAGGTGCTGGGATAACTGGCTGGCCATATGCGGAAGAATGAAACTGGACTCCTATTTCTCACTATATACAAAAATTAACTCAAGATGAATTAAGACTTAAATGTACAACTACTCCGTGTTTTTGGCCTGAGCAATTAGAAAGTTGGAGTTGCCATTTAATGAGAGAAGAAAGACTGTGGGAGGAGCCAGGGTGTATAGGGAAGTTCAAGAGTTTATTTCTGGACATAAAAGTTTGATATGCTAATTACATGTCCAAGTAGAGATGTCGGGTTAACTGCTGGTTATGGGAGATTCAAGTTCAGAGGCAATGTCTGACTTCAGTGGCAATTGTCTGATACATAATTTTAGGACTCATTAGTATTTAAGGCCAATTAGGGAGACAATTCGTGAACTGGAAGATTGGTTTGAAGGAATGAAAAATGTGGCAAAGAGTGATAAAACGATAGGAAATAAGAAACAGACGAATAGGCCTGGAGGAAAGGAACAGGATGCTCCAACATATGTCAAGAGGAGAGAGCAGAAAGAGAAGATAGTAACAGTGGGAGAAGAAATGATACTTGGAAAAAATATGGCTAATAGTTTTCCAGAATTGATGAGAGATATGAATGTGTACATTAGAAAATCCGGAGAATATCAAGCAGAGTGAATAAAAGTGAAAGTAAACTTTGATATACCAGAGTGAAATTGAAGATTAGAACAAATAAACCCCCCAAATCTTAAAAAGCATAGAAAAGAACAGATGAGGCTGGGCACAGTGGCTCATGACTGTAATCCTAACACTTTGTGAGGCTGAGGTGAGTAGATCACCTGAGGTCAGGAGTTCGAGACCAGCCTGGCCAAAATGGTGAAACCCGGTCTCTACTAAAAATACAAAAATTAGCCAGGCATGGTGGCATGTGTCTGTAATCCCAGCTACCTGAGAGGCTGAGGCGAGAGTATCACTGGAACCCAGGAGGTGGAGGCTGCAGTGAGCCGAGATCATACAACTGCACTCAAAACCTGGGCGATAGAGAGAGACCTTGTCTCAGGAAAAAAAAAAAAAAAAAAAAAAAAATCAGATTCATCTAATTGTCAACTAGATTGATGGTTCACTTCTCAATAGCAAAAATAAAAACCAAAAGCACTAGAACTGCCAAAGTATTGAGAGAAAATAACTGTCATGCTGCATAGCTAACCTATCATTCAAGAACAAAGGAAAAATAAAGATATTTTCAGGCAGACTTAAAAAAATCTTCTGAAGAATATATTTCAGGAAGAAGGAAGTTAAGTGAGCTGCAAAAACCAATAGTGAGGTGCGGGGAAAAGACAAGTGTATGGGAAATCTAACCAAATAATAAATATACAGAACAACAAAAATAAGAATAACAGATCCAGATTATGGGGAAAAGACAGAGGTAAATTGCTGGCAGTAATAATATATAAGATCAGAGACAGATAATCAAAGTTAAAAGTTTCTTGCAGTGATTGTGACTAGAATTGAGCTACTGATTAGATTTTGTTTTCTTTTTTCTTCTTCAAATTTTATTTTAAGTTCAGGGGTATATGTGCAGGATGTGCAGGTTTGTTACATAGGTAAATGTGTGCCATGGTGTTTTGCTGCATAGATCATCCCATCACCTAGGTATTAAGCCTAGCATCCATTAGCTATTCTTTCTGATGCTCTCTCTCTCCCAACCCCCACCAAAAGGTCCCAGTGTGTGTTTTTCCCCACTATGTGTCCATGTGTTCTCATCATTCGGCTCCCACTTATAAGTGAGAACACATGGTGTTTGGTTTTCTGTTCAGGTAATAGTTTGCTGAGGATAATGGCTTCTAACTCCATCCATGTCCCTGCAAAGGACATTATCTTGTTCTGTTTTACGGCTGCCTAGTATTCCATGTCGTATATGTACCACATTTTCTTTATTCAGTCTATCACTGATGCACATTTAGGTTGATAGCTATTGTGAATAGTGCTGCAACGAACATATGCATGCATGTATCTTTATAATAGAATGATTTATATTTCTTTGGGTATATGCCCAGTAATGAGATTGCTGGGTCAAATAGTATTTCTGCTTCTAGATCTTTGAGAAACTGCCACACTGTCTTCCACAATGGTTGAACTAATTTACACTCCCACCAACAGTGTAAAAGCATTCCTTTTTCTCCTCAAGCTTGCCAGCATCTGTTATTTTTTGACTTTTTAATAATAGCCATTCTGACTGGTATGAGATGACATCTCATTGTGGTTTTCATTTGCATTTCTCTGATGATCAGAGATATTTGTTAGTGAGGTGTGTGGGTTGTCAAATGTAACACTAAAAAATAAAACTTCCAGATCATTGGAGGTTAAAAAAAGAAATAAAACTTGGCCAATGTAATATAGAGAAGAGAAAATGAAAGGGGCAGATAAAAGCATAATAAACAGAAATAACAAAATATAGAAATTAAAATTTCAATACTTATGATCTCTGTAAACAAACTCACTATTTTTAAAAGACAGAATCAGATTGGCTAAACAAAATCTGTAAATATGTTGCACTTAGGTGTGTGATGGTCATTTCAAACTTAGGAAACAAAACTTATTTCCCAGTTCTTCATCTGTCCATGTCAAGAGGCCTACTGCAGTCATGTTCCTGGCCTCTGGCCCTAGTGCTTATGGCTTCTTCCCATAACCAATGGCCCCGGATTTCCTAGAGTGAGTCAAACGAATCTAATAAAATGTTGCAAAGCCTGGAAATCCACTTCTTTTCTTCCCTCTCTGCCTTGGATCTGTACAAGGCAGCAATACTGGGGAAGTGTGTCTTCCCTTAGATTTAGACTTTTCCTTGGGTGTGCTCTTCTAAGGTCTGGACTAGAAGGTAGAGGCAGAGAGACAGACAGACAGACAGACACACACACACACACACACACACACACACACACAGAGAGAGAGAGAGAGAGAGAGAGAGAGAGAGAGAGAGAGAGAGAAAGAACCAGCCCAACTGGCTTTCACAACGAAGCCATATTCTCCAAACATCTTTAGTAAGAAAGGTGATGGTAGATCTCTTTGCTTGGCCCTAGAAACCTTTGGTTTCAAACCAGAAATTGGAATTGAGGTGTTGGTTTTTAAGCCTCCTCCCAACCCAACAAGATTTCCAAACCGTACTCCGGGTCTTCTTCTTAAACTTGCTCCTCCTGCAGTCTTGCATCTCATAAAATGGCTATTCAATTCTTCTAATCACCCTGGAGTCATCCTTGATGTGCCCTTTCCATCACATCTTACATCCAACCCAACAGCAAATCATCTTGGTTCTGCCTTCAAGATACATTTAGAATCTGACCGTGGCTCCCTACTTTCAGTGCTGCCCCCCACCCCGCTCAGCCATCCATGGAAGTTTCTCACCTGGAATATTGTAATAATGTGTTCTTCAATGCAAATCAGATCTGGTCACTCGTCCACTCCATTTCACTCAGAGGAAAGTCCAGCATCCTTATCGTCACCTCAAGACCTTTTGGGAGCTGTCCCTCCATCTCGCTGGCCCACCCCAGACCTCCTCTCCTGTGCTCTCCCTGTGACCCTTCACTCTACTTACAGAAGTGGGATTGGCCACCTGCTATCTCCAAGTGTACCCAAGCCTACTTTTGACTGTGGGCTTGTTCCCCAGCTCTTCCTTAAGCCTGGGGTCTGTTTTCCTAGGTATTTCCCTGGCTTGCTCCCTGGTTTCCCTGGCTTCTCAAATACCACTGTATCTGCAAGTTCTTCACTGACTACCCTCCACAAAACAGTACGCCCTCCCACTCCCCCATACCCTCTTACTCTAATTTGTTTTTCTTCATACCTCTTGTATTACCTTGTTAGTTGTTGTCTTTCTTCCTCTCCTGCCCTCTGACTGCCCCTTGTAGACTGTAAACTCCTTGATTGCAGGGACTTTGTTTAGTTCACTTCTGTTCTCCCTTTGCCTAGAACTGTACCTGGCACAGAATAATCAGTGAATAATAGTTTTGTTTTGAGTTAACTGTGAATGCTATTTGTGAGAATTAATCCTAAAATATGGAATAGGAAAAGGTTGAGTTGAAACTGAAAACATTATTCCAGGAAAATATTAACCGGAGTGGCTGGCAGTGTTAATGCCAGGCCACACAGACTTTAATGAGAAAACAAAATTTAGGAGAGAGACAATCACTATACGAAGAGAAAAAAAGAAAAATCTCTAGTAAGATACTAGAATTCTAAACCTGTTTCCACCCATGTTACCACTTGGCTCTGTATGATGCAAACATTTTAAATGACATTTGGAAGTGGACAGATCTACAGTCATGATGAGGGATTTGGCATGCCGTGCTCAGTAATTCATAGTATAAACAAAAATACTAGGCAGGATATGGGAGATTAAAATTTGAAAGCTTAATATAATGGATACACATCCTTGCTCCCAACATGTAAAGAATTCTTGAACTTTCATGACACATGAAACAATTTCCTAAATAGTGACACTAGAGCAAATTTTAATAAATGCCAAAAACTGATATCAAACATGCCATGTTCCCTCGGTGCAATCATACCACAGTGCAATCAAATTAGAAAGCCATATAAAATATTAATCCTTATCCATAATTTAAAATTTTAAAACACAATTTTAAGTATCCCATGGGTCAAAGAAGAGTCCATTATGAAAATCCAAAAATATCTGGAAGTGAATGATAGCACCAGTGTTACGGAACACAACTCATGGGATGCAGTTAAAACTGGAAAGATGGCTGTATCCTAAATACCTCCATTAGAAAGGAAGAGGACCACAGAATCAGAACTAAGTGTCCAAATGAAGACTCTTGAAAAAACTCAAACTTCATTTTTTTCTTCTCATTTTAAAAGAAATGAAAACTTGTTCTGGCCCCTAAAAGTATTGCTGGCTGTCATCCCTGGTTCTATGATGCATGTGTAGGCTGAGATTCAGCTAAATGGAGCATCTATGGCAAGAGGCTTCAAGGAAAGCATGAAGAAAATCCAGTAAGTTCTCATGTCCCACTCATGCATTTCTTATCCAGCCTTCCAGCTGGAGTGCAGTACGCAGTCGCTGAGTTGATCCTGACGGCATGTCCTCTCAAGGACCAAGATTGTTGGTGACTTTTTCTGTGTGTGATGAATCGTGAAGTGACTTGGCAGAAGTGAGAAGATGCAAATAGGCAATTAGCTTCTGAAAGTTAAAAATTGATGCAGTAGAAGAAAAATAATATTTTTGCTTATCCTCTATTTTCCATATCAAAATAAGATAAACATAAGTGACAGAAACTTTGCTTTTAAAGACAAGTAAGGAGGCAAGGTAGATGTCTGCTCTGAATTCATCATTCACATGGCTAACTTTCTCCCGTCCTTTGGGTCTTTACTGAAATGTCATTTTATCCCAGAAGACATCTCTGACCACCATGTGTAAAATGACAACATCCCCTAACATGAAACACCCCAAAGCCCCTTGCTCTCCTTTATTGATCTCTGTGCCCCATCAGGAATGGGAACTGACTTGGCAATTACTTGGTGTCGGTGTCTTGTTCATCGTTGTTCCTACAACCTATGGTCGTGGTTGACATAAATATTTACATCTCAATTGGTGTTTGATGAATAAAACATAAATGTATTTGCTAGAGTATTTATTAAAATGGGGCTCTTGGACTTGAACCCTTGGCAGTTCCAAATGCTGACCACATTAGAAGCTTCAACTATCATCTGGTTTAGTGGTCAGAGTTGATTTGGCTAATTTGAATGATTCAGCAAGAGTCTTTTGAACCTATTCATTATGCTAATTACATCCTTCCCAATCTGCCTGGTCCAGGGGAGATTTTTTTACCTGTAGATTGTTCTTCAGACTAGAATAGACAAGAAGATTTCCCCTCTTTTTAGAATCTCTGCAAATGTTTTGAAGAGATATTTGAGGAGAAAAAAAATTCTCCATTCTTCCTTTACTTGTATGTGAATCTGGACTTGGACATTTAGAGCAATTCCTGCTGATCAACCTGAAAAGAGAAAATTTAAGAAAAGAGATACAGGAAGATACTGGAAGTAAAGTCCCTATAGGACTTTGTAACTTAAAGTATCCCAGGACACTTCTGTTCTCTGGTAGTGATAGAAAGTAATATTTATTAAAGCAATTTGACAAATAAAATGGCATTGCCCTGAGTGAAAAATGGGGTTGTAATAACCCCGAATGACTGTTGTTAGTATATGGGTAATGATGAGACTCTTTATCCTCTGTCTTTGTTGATAGGTCATTCTTGCCATCAGTAACTGGAACAAGAGTTAAAATGCATGTGGCATTTCCAAAATGCCATTTCTTGTAGAAAGGTTAGCACCGTAATAAAGTTTTAGGGAACATATGAGGCCTGCTTTCTTGTTTATTGTAGGACGTGTAGTTAAAAGGCTTGTTGTCAGCCATGCCAAAGATGATATGATTGCAAGCTAGTTACAACTTGGTTTCTAAACATTCAGTGACCTGATATTATGAACAATTAGGGTGTTGGAAGGAGCAATTATTCTTTTCACACATGTATTTTAATTCTAGGGAGCCTCTTATATGAGATGTATGCAGAGATACTTCATGGTGAGTGAAATAATTTCCTTTAAATTTCAAATAGATGTCAAAACACCATGTGATAAAATCCAGCATGCAAGTTATATGATCAAAGTAAAGTCATTTTCATAAGACCAGTTTTGCATAGGATAAGAGTAAAGTTCTTTAAAATGTTTTCTTTGACTCAGAAGAATTCATTATAGAAATTATGTTGACCTAAAACTGGAAGATGAAGAAATTAGATTTGAAGTATCACAAAGTGATTTATGGGACCAGCCACCTGTCACATCTGAATCAAAGTTCAGGGTAGTTGCTGTTATACTTAATAGCACACCACTAACAATTATAAGGAATGAAGACAAAGTAAAATGTATAGAATTTATGGAGCACCGTGCAAAGCATTAATGATTAATGATTATGAAATATCAACTATATAAGCCTAAAAATTTTAGCACCTTTAATTTTACAAAGTATTCCACATCTATTAGCTTATTAAGCACTCAAAACGACCCTCAGTTTCAACACTTATCTTGGGCCAGTTTTACCAGTTCTCAGGGATATTCAGGAAGTTGCTCAGGAATATCTATTCCGAGACACATCCTTCTTAAGTGGCAGAGCCTGGAATCTTCTGCATTTTTTCCTACCATTCCCCATGCTGAATATTTAAGTCCAGCAACCTCCTTGTCTTGCACCATAATTTTGGCTGTTTAATACTGGGTGCTGCAGATGTGTAAATGAAGATGGCAGAAAATGTTCATATGACTGAAAGAGATGATAACATAGATGTTTTAAAATAATTTAGAAAGCCAGTATGAGGGAATAAGTTCTGCCCCAAATGCCAACAAGCAGCAATTTGAATATAAGCGATACTGTATTTATCTTGACTACTTTCTAGACTGAAATTGGCATATTTAACCTACAATTTAAAAATTGGTTATCCATATATGTAGTTTAAAAAGTGGAGAGCATAAAAGAGCTTATAATGAAAGGCAGTGTCTTTTAAAGGCACAGACTGATCCCAGTCTTCTCCTCCCCATCGTGAGCTCCCACCTTTATGAGTTCTGCATTGACTTTAATATTGCCAGGCTGCTAACGTTGACGATCTGAGTTTTAACATGGATTAAGCCTCCTGTGCTTTGGCTATCAAATGATTAAAAAACAATAAACTGCAATAGCCTCCTGATAGGTCTCTCTGCTTCCGCCTTTGCCCCTTCTAACTTGTTCTCACTGCAGCAGCCTGAATGATGTTGTTTGAGATCACATCGCTCATCTGGCCCCATTCCCTGCAATGTCCACCATTCACTCAAAGTGGAAGCTGAAGTCCTTCTAAGGACCTATAAAGTCCCACACAACCCACCTACCTCCTCCCACTCAACTTCCATCCCACCTTCCCACTCTCTCTCTCACTCTTTTGCTCTGGGACAGCCACCTTTACCTTTTTGGTTGGCAAATAGCCTTCTCGTCAAAAGGCTGTTCATGGCCTTCAGATGGCTACCTCCTCGCCACATTCAAATCTCCCTTGGATAACATCTTTTCACCTAATTTCATTGGCCCCTATGCAACTTGCTTCACAACTCACACCCTATCCCTCTTTGCCTGTTCTAGCATTTCCCCAGCGCACTTAACCCTACAAAACTTACCTAATGATTATCTATAATATATTATGGATTTCCTCTAGAATGTAGCTTACAATGGGGAGGCTTGTTTGTTTACTGTCTTGTTCACTGATGTAGTCCATGTGCCTACACAAGCCTGGCACATAGTAGGGAGTCAATAAACACGTGTTGAATGAACATGCAGAATTCCTGTTAAAATGATTATACAAACATTGCTTACTGAAAATTGAGAATGGAGTAGCTTCTTTTGATTATACTTCCTTCTCTGTGGTTCCAGTGTCACGAGCCCCATGCAACTTAAGGAAAAACGTTCAAATTGATTCAGCATTCTTGTTCTCCACTAAAGCAAACAAAACAGAAGTAGGCATGGTCCAGATAGAAAGCGATTAATATAAGAATTAAAAAGTGGCATGATTTTGAAGTAATTGTTCTTTTTTCACGAGACGTCCTTCTCTCTTCCTATCCTTCTCCTTCCTCTTTTGCTCCTTTTACTTCTCTTGCTTCTCTGGATGTAATACATCATTATATCAACGCTCATATTAATATTAATTCTCATATTAATTAGCCATTTTTGCAAGTCCCCCTCCTTTCCCTCTGGGATTAGCTTTTCTGCATAATTCGTCATGGTCATTGTCATGCTGCAGGCTTTCTTCAGATTTCTGGTGGTTCTTGCTTTCCCAGTCATATTCAGACTGAGGCTTCCCTGGTGGCATTTGTAAAGCAGCAGGATTTTTTTTTTTAGAGGACCTGGTGATTAAACTGAGGATTACCCTAATGCTGGAATGTGGGGGGCTTTGCTCCAGGATGTCAAAACCCTACATTAAGGGTTATAATTATCACTTGGTAGTTTGTCTATTTCTTTAGAGAAAAAAAGTTGCAGCTTTCTTCATGATTAAACATCTGTCTTGCAGGACAATCTGTACATGGAGTTGCGGGCTTCAGGCATTTCAGATGTAGACTATTAATTAACATCCCTCCCACCCTGCCCTCTGCCACCTCTGCCATCCTGATGACAGAGCTGTACTGAGATCCCACCAGAGTCTGGCTTCCTCCTTAGCTGCAGCCTTCTCTGCACCTATTTCTGTCTTCTAGAAATTTGTTTTATCTCTTGTTTTAGGCAGCCTCCCTCTCCCATATTTAATTAATTTGTGAGTATATAGTTAATAACCACATTGCTTTATTAACACCTTAAGGAAGTCTTGGGAAGAAGTGGTCATACATGTTTGCACTCAGTCTGCCATCTTGAACAGGATCATATGGGCTGGTTGTAAATTCTGTAGTTTATCCGGCTGTAATTAAGTATGGATTATGGCTATTTGATAAAAACAGTATAAAGGTGGTGCCATAGAAGCTTGCTTCTCTTCACTCTATTCTCATTGCATTGCAATTAATTTACACTGTGTATGATACACGTGCACTTAGGCTTCCTGTGCAACAGTAAAGTCTATGTGTCTGCTCTCCCTTCTTACCCCCACTGTCTTGTTAATCTCTGAAGGATGGAGATTACACCTCATTCATTTTGAAGTCCTTATGCTTACCCCAGACACAAAGATTTCTAGGGAATACTTGTTGAATGAACCAGAGCAAAATCTAAGTAAGAGTCCAATACCTCTTTATTTTAATCTTTACTATTACAGATTACTGCTTGTGCTGTCATTGTTTCTATCCCAAACTTGGAACCATTCAAACAAAAATGCACTCTTAGTACTTAGAGTCAAATTCTTCCTTTGACTTCTGTATCTTCAGGGATGTAGGCCAACTTGGTGCAATCCCAGAACAAATTCCTATGGGTGAGAACTTGTCAGAAGTTTCCCTCTCTCTCTCTCTCTCAGATCTAGACTGTTCTAGCAAATAAAAGGAATGTTTTTAGTTTGCCTTTCTAAACTCTGGATTTGCTTGAAGGTCTGTGTGTAATTTCTTGTGTGTAATAAAGGCCACAGTACAGAATGATGATGATAATAGGTACTATTCACAATATTTATAATAGAAATATGGAAACTAAAATTATCTCAGGAGGCAAATTAGAAATTGCAATAATAAGTACTATTGTAATAACAAGTCAGTGAGGGATTTATATAGGCTGATTATTAAAAAACATGTTACCAATGAATCTTTTAGAAGTATTTTAAAAGGCACTTGGACAAATCACTGCTAAGTAAAAATTTCAAGAGACTGGCCTACCCCAAGTAATTTGTTCACAGAAAGCACGATGCAGGATTCCATGAGCTATAGTAGACCTTTCATTAAGGAAGCAGTGACATAAATCATGAGTGTGGAAAACAGGGCTTCCAAGAAGTTTAATGAAGGAGATGTTGATTTGACATGAAGCATCTCAGTAGGCAGGCACTGTACCACCTCCATGTATGGAAAGAAGGGCCCCGCATGTGCCTAAGGATACATGTTGGAGCCTGCACTACAGACATGGGCATCTTGTGTAGCTCAGCATGTCACTGACCTTTGCAGCAGAGCAGACCTCACTGCATGCTCATCACCTGTGCCACTAATGGAGTGGTGCACCCCACTCCAACACGAGGCTTTTGGTGGTGCCAGATGGCACAGGAAACTCTTGAAAAGACACAAACTCAAGTCACATCAATACATTTTTTGCTTGGGTTGGTTTTACAAATCCACATTGCTCTCATGGATCGGGTAAAAAAAGATGGAAACTGAGCTCACGCTTAATGTTGATATTTCTCACTTGGATGGTACCTCCAGTCAGCTCCCCTAGACTTACTCATTTGCCCCATCCTCAACGTTTTAAGCATTCATTATATGCTTCCCAGTTATAAGTGTGTCAGCCTCATCTAGCCACATTTACTAGCTTTGCCCTTCCATCAAGTTGGACAGTAATCTCTTGCTATAATTTGAATATATCCCCCAAAAAGCATGTGTTGGAAACTTTATTCCTAATGCAACAATGTTGGGAGGTGTGTCCTAATGAGAAGTGATTAACCCTGAAGGCTGTGACCTCCTGAGTGAATTAATGCTGTTATCATAGGAGTGGGTTCCTTATACAAGGATGAGTTTGGCCCCCTTTTCATTCTCTCATTCTGTTGCCTTCTGCCATGAATGATGCAGCAGGAAGACCCTCACCAGATGCTCACCCCTTGATCTTGGACTTCCCAGCCTCCAGAAACATGAGCCAATAAATTTTTGTTTATTATAAATTACCCAGTCTCAGGTATTCCATTATAGCAGCACAAAATGGACTAAGACACCTCTCATTGTCTCAGCTGTCCTGTAGAGCTCATCTAAGTACAGCTGAGTGTAGCTCACCAGAATTGTTCCTCAAGCACTCTCCACTCATTTTGTGCATCCTATATAGAGCTTACCTCTTAAGCACTATGTAGTATATTGTATGTATTTTTACTCATCTTGTGCCCATGGCCTTCTGTTGCTTAATGTACCTATTTTACTCCATAACACTGAATAATATGCCATATGCAAAATATGGTATTTATGTCTGCACAGATGAAATTTTATACTTTAGTAAATCTATTAAAAGCTTGGTTTTTTTTTTTTTTTTTTTTTTTGTTGAGATGAAGTTTTGCTCTTGTTGCCCAGGCTGGAGTGCAGTGGCATGATCTTGGCTCACCGCAAACGCCACCTCGTGGGTTCAAGCAATTCTCCTGCCTCAGCCTCCCAAGTAGCTAGGATTACAGGCATGCACCAACATACCTGGCTAATTTTGTATTTTTAGTAGAAACAGGATTTCTCCATGTTGGTCAGGCTGGTCTCAAACTCCCGAACTAAGGTGATCTGCCCACCTCAGCCTCCCAAACTGCTGGGATTATAGGCGTGAGCCACTGTGCCCGGCCTAAAAGCTTGAATTTTATGCCCTTTGGTAACACATCTTAAATTTTTTTTCCTGACAGTTTCACATTGCAAAAGATATCACATATTTCATTTGACACTTGCATCCCTCCTATGTAGGGAAAATGAACATGAAAGAAAATTCAATGAGCAGAATCTATAATGACATGCAATTTTCCACAACCCTGACTATTTGTAGGTGAATCTTCTGAAATTCTTCCCAGTTTCTATCTGCATTTTCTTTATTGACAAAATCTTCCAAACTTTTCTTAGAAATCATTACTTTTGCACTAATATCTTATTTTTCAAACAGTGACTTTCCTTAGTTGTGATATCATAATTTCCATATTGCAGGGTACCTCAAATTCAAGTTATTTTTCTGATAGAGATTGTGTATGTTACTGTAGACCAGTGGTCCTCAACCTTTTTGGCACCAGAGACTGATTTCCTGGAAGACAATTTTTCCACAGACAGGGGTGGTGGGGAGATGGATTAGATTCTCATAAGGAGGGCACAGAATAGATCCTTCACATGCGCAGTTCATGATAGGGCTGGCACTCCTATGAGAATCAAATGCTGCCACTGATCTCACAGGAGGTGGAGCTTGGATGGTAACATTTGCTCACCCACCACTCACCTGCTGTACGGACCAGTTCCTAACTGGCCATAGGCTGTTCGATTTTCAATAATATTGTAGAGGCTTTCCTGATGTTTTTGTAGCATGAACTAGATGATTATAATAATAGCTACCTATTTTGGGGTAACTACTGTGTGCAAGATTCTTTCCACATGTAGACCCCACCTCTCTAAATGCTTCTGTTTACTATGTGGAGAGTCAAATGTGAGCTCTGTCTCATATGGTGGGTAGATTAGTCAGGGTTCTCTAGAGGGACAGAACTAATAAGATAGATATAGATATACAAAGGGGAGTTTATTAAGTATTAACTTACACAATCACAGGTTCCCACAATAGGCCACCTGCAGGCTGAGGAGCAAGGAGACCCAGTCCGAGTTCCAAAACTGAAGAACTTAAAAGTCCGATGTTCCAGAACAGGAAGCATCTAGCATGGGACAAAGATGTAGGCTGGGAGGCTAGGCCAGTCTTGCCTTTTCATGTTTTTCTGCCTGCTTTATATTCGCTGACAGCTGATTAGATGTTGCCCACCCAGATTAAGGGTGGGTCTGCTTTCCCCAGCCCACTGATTCAAATGTTAAGCTCCTTTGGCAACACCCTCATAGACAGACCCAGGATTAATACTTTGCATCCTTCAGTCCAATCAAGTTGACACTCAGTATTAACCATCACATTGGGGAAGCCACCCTCTCTCCCCCTACAGTCTGCTGAAGGGCCTCAGGACTGGCTTGCATTCTGCAGCTGCAAATGTCTAACTGGCTCAATTCCTGTCAAACTGCTTCTTCTGGTTGTCTCCACTCTCTAGCAGCTTTCTCATTACCTTACTTTCCCAGTGGAGACTTGAGGAAGGTATAAGGAAATTAGAAATGCTAAAAAGAAAGGTGTCAACATTATACATCATCTAAAGTCCATAGGCTACATTCCTATGTGCAGTTTCCTTCATTGGCCCTGGTCTAACCCCTTGTCAAGTCCCACTGCTTCTTAATGTCCCTCTTCTGGGAACGCTTGAATACTGCAGCCATTACACCTCTACTATGTCTTTTGTGAAGTCTTATTTAAGTCTCCCATCCAATATTCTATTGGTTATCTGTCTTTTTCTTAGTAAGAAAGAGACGGGTGAGGCTATGGTGTTCCCTTATCTCCAATCTAAGACAATCAACTATCCTGAGTAATGTGTCTTACATTTTCCTTCCTGAAAATTTTACATCACAAAAGGTATGAGATGTCTCATTTGACAACTGCATTTTTTTTTTTTTTTTTTTTTTTTTACTAGTTATCCTGCAACTAATAGAAGAAAGAAACATGGAGAAAATGGAGCAGATATTCAAAGTAACTGTATTTGACTTTGGTTAGCAATGATACAGACTTGGCAGGCATAAAACTGACTGTGCCATTCTGACACCCTCACTCTCTCAGCAGGTCTGATTTACTCCTGATGTTCACTTCTGGTGAGTTAATATATTACAGCAGTTTAGAATTAATTGCACCCTGTTGTATAAGTTAATTCTCATTTAATTCTTTTTCTTAATCTTACTAGCTTTTGGCTTCATAATTCTATTAAAATGGGGCAGTATATAGAAACATAAGCTGTATCAGAAAAATAGCTTAACTAATTTAATTTGTTTTCTTAAAATTGGCTGGTTTTTGCATCATAATGCCATTCAAAATGGGATGGTCTATAGAAACATATACAAGCTGTATTAGAAAATAGCTGGGCTTAAAGGCATTTTATGATATAGAAGCGATTTTCACCCGATTTACTATTTTTCCCCTGAAATCAAATATCAATATAATTAGTCTGCAATTGTGGGAATCAACCTTCTTCGTTTTAAATATGAGCATGATGATGTATTCCTGTAGTCCTGGCTACTCAGGAAGCTGAGGTGGGAGGATTGACAACCCAGGAGGGCTCATAGTTGCCATGCCATTCTTAATTTTTTTAATAAAAGATTTTTTTGAAGTATAGTGTATATATAGAAAAGTATCCAGGCTTTAAGAGCCCAGTTTGATGAATTTTCATAAAGTGAATACATCCATGTGCCTACAACTCATGTAAAAAAGCAGAATGTTGGCAACCAGACCCCCTTCCTCATACTCCTTTTTATTTTATTTTTAGTTATTATTATTATTATTATTATTATTTGTAGAGACGAGGTCCCACTATGTTGCCTAGGCTGGTCTTGAACTCCTGGGCTCAAGTGATTCTCCCATCTTGGCCTCCCAAAGTGTTGGGATTATAGGTGTGAGCCACCATGCCCCACCTCATACTCTCTTTTAGTTACCGTTCTCCCAAAGGTAACCTGACTTCTAATGCCACGGGTAACTTTGCTTGTCTTTGCAATTGATTAGTATGTAATTTTGTGTGTACATCTACTTTTGTTTTTGAGATCATCAACACAGTTGAATGTAGCATGTTTTCATTGTTGTATTCTACTGTATGAATATACAACAATTTTATAATTTATTCTAATGTTGATGGACATGTCATTTATTGCACATGTATATACATTCCCAGAGGAGGAATTGCTAGATCCTAGAGCTATACATGGTCATTTGCTATCTAAGAGTTTTTGAAAGAAGCTGTATTATAGACTCCCACCAACATTACACGATAGTTGCAGTTACTCAATGTTCTTGTCAACTTTTGGTATTCTCGGTCTTTTGGAATTTTACTCATTCTAACAAGTGTGGAGTGGCATCTCACTGAAGTTTTAATTTTCATTTTCCTGATGACTAATGAGGTTGAACACCTTTTCAGGTTTCTTGGTGATTTGGATACCCTCTTTTGTGAGGTGTCTATTTAAGCCTTTGGTCCAACTTTCTACAACTTATTTTTTTCCCTTTTTATTGATACTTTAAATAGGCAGGATTTAAATCCTTTGGCAGTTATATGTATTGAAAATATCTTCTCCTACTTATATTTTTAAATTTACTTCATGTTGAATTTTTCATATACAGAAGTATCTAATTTTAATATAGTTAAGTATGAATATTTTTCTTTACAGTTAGTGGTTTTAGCACCTATTTAAGAAATCTGGTCTACTTCAACATCATATACATATTCTCTTATGATGTCTTCTAGAACTTTAAATTTTACCTCTCACATTTGGATCTACAATCTAACAGGAATTGATTTTTACTTATACAGTGAGACGGGGTCAAAATTGATGTTTTCTTCCATTTGATCCAGTATATAGCATAATTTGCTTGCCTGATAACAGAAGATAGATAGTAACAATAATGAAAACAGAGAATGTATAGAATGATGCTCAGGAAATATAACACAACAAAAACAAAGCTAAAATAAAACCCAACAAAGAGCAAAGATTGGGTGATTGGCTATGTCTGGAGGCAATTTTGGGGTATGTATTAACACTCCCTCCAAAACTAATTTCCCATATGGCTGGGAAAGGAACCTATCACCTCCTTTTGAAAAATAACATGACTGTAAGTATTCAGATTTCATCACGATATACAGTCCCATTTCTTCTCTACAATATGCTCTTTCACATTATATGTTACATTTTACATCAACCTAAGATTAATACTCTATTTCCAAGCTTTATGCAGAATCAGACAATTTGTCATTCTTTGCACTCTGTTGTGGGAGATGAAGAAAAAAAAACCCAACTATTGTTTTGTACAAAAATAGCATTAAAAATTTTAAATTCTATTTTCCTTATTAGTTCAAGACAATGTATCCACTTTTCTTTTTTATTGGATTTGGAATTGTTATTGTGTAATACATTTAAATTCCCCAGTGTTTTATTAGAACAGCCTATTAAATTATGTGTTTGGAAGAGATGCATTCATCTTTTTACATATGAATGTTATGTAAAACTGTGGTCATGCATTTCATTTGCTTCCCACAGTGTGACTTGCGGAGGTACAGGACATCTAGGAGCATTTAGAAACCAGTTATAGGCTGGTAGATCAACTCAGAGAACAAAACAGTTGATAACTTGTTGCTTTTTATTAAGGATAATAAATATAAATGTATGTTTCTAAAGCATTAAAGACGTATATCTTCATAGCTACTATATATCAAGGGGCTGCAGGAAGCTTACATAGAATTTGAAATGACAAATATGGGCTGTGCATAGAATTTGAAATGAGAAATATTGGCCATTTTGGGGGTTGTCTCTCAGGAAGGGAGGCCGAGAGGTGGGTGTGTGGTGCTTCATCATAGAGTGAGAGGAGTTCGGGAAGCCCCAGTGTGGAGTTATGGCATTTTAGCCCTGCTTTAAGTTAAGCTGAGCTAAACATGATACGATAAAATGATCTGCAGCTTTTCTCATCAAGGCGATTCTTCAGTGATCTCAGGAAACTGGCTCACCTGGACAGAATCTGGGCATAAATTACTATAACAGAAAGGCCAAAAAGAGAAGCTTGCGAAGGAGCAGGGGAAGTAAGAAAGAGGGAGATACTCATTTCTCAACAGAATTGAGGAGCCATATCTCTAGTGAGTGGCATATATTGAATTTAATAATGTTTGTCTGCTGGAGCAGACATCAACATAGGGTGTAAAATTTGGTGTGACATCGATCTTGGACTTGGTGTATATATATACCATTTATATATATATGATATATATATATACCATTTATATATATATGACATATATATATATACCATTTATATATATGAGATATATATATACCATTTATATATGAGAGATATATATACCATTTATATATATGAGATATATATACCATTTATATATATATGAGATATATATACCATTTATATATATGAGATATATATATACCATTTATATATATGAGATATATACCATTTATATATATACCATTTATATATGAGATATATATATATCATTTATATATGAGATATATATATACCATTTATATATATATGAGATATGTATACACCATTTATATATATATGAGATATGTATACACCATTTATATATTATATATATACCATTTATATATATGATATATATCCATTTATATATGATATATATATCCATTTATATATATATGATATATATACCATTTATATATATGATATATATATCATATATATATCAATCACAAACTCCACCCTTCCCCACAAACACCTCCCAAACTAAACCCAAACCCAAAGTTGATTCTATTCAGCAAGTCTTCTCTAAAATCTGCGGCCTCTAGTTTGATCAGGCCAAAGAAATATTCAACTGTTTGATTCTTTTAAAGTCCTATTGTGTCTGAAGTTTCTTTTACCTTCTTAAAATTCTTATCTTGATCACACTTCTCTTTGCATCTGTGTCTTTTTCCACAGTTGACTTTCCAATTTATTAAAAAACACAAAAAAGCAAAAAACAAACCACCACTAGCAACAACACCCCCCGAAATCCCCCCAAACCCTGAGGTCTATATATTTCCCAAATGTGCCTTGGCTTTTCTTTTTGCTTAATTTAAATTTGTCCTATGTCTCAACATGATGTACAACTCTATGTGTGTGTGGCTACTTTTATACAGAATTGTCATCTGGCAGATTTTTTTTTTTCACAGTGTTAAGTTTTGGAATTGCTTTTTCAACTGCTTCTCTGCTCTGTAGTCTCTTGACTTGAAGTCCTGAATTCTTCTGCTGGCATTTCACATGTAGTGATGTTTGTTGTCTCTGAAATATTATGTCTGGAGTGAGCATCCCTTCAAAAATATATAGAAATATGTTTTTTAAGGTCCATGCCTAATAAAACTGCAGCTGTCTATCTGCTGAGGGAAGCAAGGAACTGCAGCTCTTGCACAGGAATAAAGTACTAGAAATATCATTACCCAGAAATTCAAGAGCTTCAGGTGCAGAATATACCAAAATAATTTCTGTTACCTGCATTCAAAATGTGGTTATGCTGACAAAACCTTCAGACAATGTGTATATGGCAAAGAATCTCTCTGAGAACCAGAGAGAAAAATCAGGAACGTTGGGGCTGTATGCACATCTAAATTCATAAAGATATTTTGGAATGACATTAACTCTGCTTGCGAGTTTCACTGGAGAACCACTGCATCACCCTCCAAAAGGAATGTATTAATATTTAGTCATAATAATGAATCTAACAAGGAAGCAATCATGTAATTGAACAATAACAGCTGTGTGTTTCCCAGAGAAGATTCAAATCAAACAACAAGAACAGAGCTTCTGTAATTTTCTCTATGCTCTTTTCTGAAGAAGAAAGGATGTTAATGTTGTATTGTTTCTTTCTTGTTTTTTGTTTTTTTTGAGACGGAGTCTCGCTCTGTTCCCCAGGCTGGAGTGCAGTGGCGTGATCTCAGCTCACTGCAAGCTCCGCCTACCGGGTTCATGCCATTCTCCTGCCTCAGCCTCCCGAGTAGCTGGGAATACAGACGCCCGCCACCATGCCTGACTAATTTTTAGTATTTTTAGTAGAGACAGAGTTTCACCGTGTTAGCCAAGATGGTCTCGATCTCCTGACCTCGTGATCCGCCTGCCTCGGCCTCCCAAAGTGCTGGGATTACAGTATTGTTTCTTTCTTTAAGTTCTTTGATATTGAGGTCAAGACTATGCTTCCACATTGGTTGACCCTCCTACCTGTTAAAAATATAAGATCTGGCTGTATCCAAAACACATGCCATTTCCAAAGCGGATTTCATATTGTCTCTTCAGGACCAACTAGGTGGCAGGAAGCTAGGACCCTCATGATGTCTTGGAACATTCAAAGTCCTGTTTCTCAGTGGGTGGAAGAGAATTAGTGAAACAACAACCACAAAAGGCTGCTGACCTTTGTTTTCCTTTGCAAGCTGACTTCTCAAGCTCTGGGGATGCCTCAGTGATCTCTGATGTGGAATTAGTGGAGGCTGGCCGTTGCTCACCTCTACACAGCCTGCTGGTCGTTAGCGAGCAGGAGTTCTGATGTTCCTCTCATCTTGGATGGTAAGAAATTTATGAAAATGCTAAGTCCTGAGGATTAATAGAGGAAATGAGGACTAAATATACAAAATAGTCCAGAAGGTGGCAGGTGGAACACAGCAATAATATATGATGTTAGTCATCAGTCATTAGTGCCACAGGGATCCTAGGCGATGGCTGGGAAATGGCTTTTGCAGGCTGAGATGGTGGTAGCGCTTCACCCTCTAAGGCAAGTGCCTATGATTCAATGGGTGAACTCACTGCCACCCCAGCAGGGTGGGGTTGGGGTTGGCTTGGTGAGAAGGGAGATGTCATCTTGCCCAAGGAGGCTTATCCCTTGTGAAAGTCTGGAACAACACACAAAACACCAGGAGGAACTGTTTCGGAGTGCTGTCTTGAATGCAAGCAGGCAGCCTCCATTTAGATCTCACTGATTCTTCTAGGATATTACAAAGCACTTTCTTACCCCAAATCCTTCAGTGCCACCCTGCCACTAAATACAAAGAAGAAGCTCTGCTTCCCACCGTGCAGAGGAGCCACAGGGATTGCATGGTCCCCATGACTGCCTCTTTGGCCCAGGGAAAGGGCCCAATCAGACAGCACCCCAGATCTTAAGAGAAGAACTTCCAGTCAAAACAACAGGGCACCCCCGTGTGCTGGAAGGTCCAACTCTCTCCAGTCCCAAGAGTGTTAAGCATCTGGCTAAGGCTTTGCTAAATTTCCCATAAGAGCTGCATTGTTTTCTTCTGTCTGTTAGACCTAGGAAGTTTTCTGGGTGTGGACGTAGGGCTTTTGCAAGTTTCAAAGCTTCCAGGGGATTAGAAACCATCATTCCCAAGCATTTACAAGAAAATCTTTTGTCTCCACTGCTTGATATCGAAAAACAAGGGTCACTCTTCTTTTCCCCTAAGGAGGGAAATGGGAACACCCCGCTGACCATCTCCTTCTGCCTCAGGCACTTTCATGGAGACAGTCGAGGGCTTTGGGGCCTGTCCTACCTGGTGGTCTACTCAGTAGAGCCATCGGGCTGAAAAGGAGACATCTGTTAAGGTAACTGGTGATCCCATGTAAAAGCTTTGACTAAACCACAGGAGCTGGAACCACTTTCTCAGTAAAGCATGCCAGGAAGCACAAATAAAGTCATGTGCTGCATAAGGACGTTTTGGTCAATGAGGGACTGCATAAATGATGGCGGTCCCATAAAATTATAATATCATATTTTTACTGTCCCTTTTCTATGTTTAGATAAACAAATATTACCATTGCATTACAACTGCTCACAGTATTTCAGCAGGAAAGGGCCCTTCGGGAGGGGCTCCAGCTTGCCTCTCCAGGTCTAGGTCTTATCGTTCTTCCCCTTGAAGTTGACCCTACAACCTTATTAAATCTTCTGCAGTTACCAAAAGTGACAATGTGCTTGGCCTTTGTTTAAGCTGTGCTCTCTGCCTTGAGCTGTCCTCCTTCCCTCTGCTCAAGTGCCCCATTTTTCATGTCCCTTGGGAACAAGCTCAGGTGTCATCACTGAATTCAGGTAGATGCCCCTCTTATCTGTCCCCAGAGCATTCTGCACTTATCCCCATCACAGCACTTCTCATGCTCTGTTATAATTTCCTTCCTATTCCATTAGCATATGAGGAACCAAGGGCCATGTGTCATTCATCCTAGTACATGTTACTTAGTGGAGTTGCATAAATACTTATGGAATGAATAAATTGACTAAGAGGTGAGCTGGGCTCAGCTTGTGGATGATCCTGAAAGATAGATTGGCAGACTCTTACCTTTTTTGGGAGTGTGCAACCGGAAACTGCTTATTGTGTTTTTGAGGTGGGAGATAATTTATTGGGACTGTCCTTTGGCATGATAGCTCTAGAATGAGTGCTAAGGTTGAATGGGATGGAAGAGAGAGCCAGTTAGTAAGCCATTGCAGGGTGCAGGTGAGACAGAATAAACTGAAGTTAAATAGGAGTAATGCGGGAACATTCAAAATAGGGTCAGTAAGAAGTGATCACAAATAACGCAAGGGAGACGGAGGAATCAAGGGTGATGTGGAGGTTTCCAGCGTCTACTGAAGTGAGTGAATGAGGATGCCTCTTTCCCACTAGAGGAAGATAGGTATGGGGGTGGCCACAGCTGCCCGGTTGCATGGATAGGAACTCCTTGACTTACCTTTTATTAGAAGATGGGTAATGATGACTCCATCACTGTAACTGCAATCTATTCTGGGTGAAGAGTGCCCATACGGTAAATGTTTTAAAATATTCTGAATATTGCCCCTGGTCCCAAGGGATGAAGGCATTGTGGAGGAGTTTTCCCTTAAGCATAGTTGAAATAGGAGAAAAAAAAAAGAAAAGGAAAAATCAGAAGTTATGTCTTAGAAGGGTGTTGATGTGGATTGGTTTACCAGGGTTGCTGTAACGGAGCAGCATGGCCTGGGTGGCTTGAACAACAGAGGTTTATTTTCTCACAGTTCTGGAGGCTAGAAGTCTGAGATCAGGCTGTCAGTGGGTTTGCATCCTCCTCAGGCCTCTCTCCGGGCATGTAGGTGGCTGTCATCTCCCTGCGTCCTCACAGGGTCTTTCCTGTGTGGGTGTCTGTGTCCTCATCTCTTCTTCTAAGGACACAAGTTTGTTTTTGGATTGGGATCCACCCTAATTACTTCACTTAACTTTAATCACCTCTTTAAAGACCTACCTCCAAATAGGGTCACGGTGTGAGATACTGGGAAGTTAGGACTTCAATATATGCATTTTGGTGGCAGGAGGCGCACAATTCAGCCCGCAACATGAGGCATGAGCAAAAATATAAATTTAAACAATGTTGGCAAAAACAGATTCAAAAGCAAAATGCAACGCCAAAGCATGAGGAAAGGGAAGAAGTTTTGGATAGTAGGCATGGATGAGGTGGTCCCGAGGGAGAGAAGAGGCTGGGGCACCACGCGGAGGGGTTTGGTAGACCCTGAGTGGTTTCTCTCATTGTAGAGGGTCAGGAACAATTTGAACACAGAACAACTGAAGAGCCAGGCTTGACGGCTCTGTTAAGGAAAAGACACTTTTAGGACGTGCAGTTGGACCTTTTCAAGAAGCTGTTGGAGGTCAGGGTCTGAGTTGAGAAAGGAGCTTGGTCCTGTAAGTCATCGACACTCAGTTGCTTCTGGATCCCATCCTCACCCCCTGCACCGCGGGGTCCTTCTCAGGGAACGGGCCACTTCCCGATGCTCCCTGGGCTGCCATCAGCTGCCATGAACACTCTGCTTAGTGGAGGCTCCGTGGCCTGTGAATTAGCATCAACCTGAAATAACAAGCAGGGGCTTCCTATGAGTCAGCCATAGTCTGTTCAGAGATGCTGCCTAAAGGGTCTAAATCCAAAGGCATTAATTAATTTGTTCCCAGGGTCCACAGCATGGGGAGCTCAAGCCCTTCCATTTCCGCTCATTGATACCGGCTGGGTAATATTATGTGGGTTCCATTTTTAATGTAGAATGCTTTATTTGACAAACATCCAGACAGCACCCCCAACTTTGTTTTCTTGAGCAGAAGAGAGAAAACAAGAGATGAAGGCATTGATGCATCAGCCCTGCAGAAAAATGGCAAAGGTTACAATATGTTATATTTAGATCCGCAATTTGCCGAAGGAAGATAATTGGGAAATTAAGTTGCCTGGTTGGGAAATCAGCCGTCCTTTTGTTTTTGTCCGGTTGTGTAGTCTCATAAATGTTCAGGGCTTCAATACCTTTAGGCACTTATAATTAATTTTTTAAAAATTGGAAGATTCAGTATATAAGCTGCCTGATTTAATGAAATAAGTCAAAAGGAGAAAAAAGAAGGGAGTTTCTTGCAGTAATTGGTTGTTACATTTTTCCACATTGCCATTCTAATTCATTCCTTTGAAAAGAGTTCGTTTTTCAGATTCTATAAGTACCCATGGCAATAAGTGCTATTTATAATAAAGAGACATAATGAGTCTCAGCTGCACCCAGGGAGGTTGCAGCAGGTCAGGAGCCTCTCTGTCTGCTCCATTGTTGCTGGGAGAGAGGGTCTTGTTCCAAGGGTTGGGTGGGAAACAGGAATTCCCCACACTGTCCCTGAAATTGTGGAGTGATGAACTAGGGAGGGAAGTCTTAACTGGAATTTTTCAATATTAGATTTTCCAGAGACTTCATTCAGCCCACTCTTCAGTAGGGAAATAAATCCTTTATGTAGAAAAAAAATCAAACCATTTCCTTTTGAATAAGGTAATCTCTGAATCTGAGGAACCCCGAGATAAGATGATGTATTAGCCTGCTCAGGCTGTCCTAACAATGTACCGCAGACTGGGTGGCTTCAACGTCGGAGATTTATTTCCTTGCAGTTCCGGAGGCCGGGAGTTCTAGAATACATCAAGGCATCCACAGGGTTGGTGTCTTCTGAGTCCTCTCTCCCGGGCATGCAGGGGGCTGTCATCTCCCTGTGTCCTCACATGGTCTTCACCCTGTGTATGTGTGCCTTACTCTTTGCTTAAAAGGACATCAGTCATATTGGGTTAGGGTAGAGCCTCATTTTACCTTCACTACCATTTTAAATACCCTATCTCCAAACACAGTCACATTCTGAGGTACTGGCTCTGCATATAAATTTGGGGGGACACATTTCAGCTCATAATAGATGTGCATCTTATTTTTGAAAATAAAATTACAGAGGTCTTTCCTCTTATTCCCTTTTCCTCTTTCACCATTCCTGCCTTTCCTGTATTAGCTGAGACAGTAATTCATATTGTCAGAGCACACACTGTCTCTCTCTCTCACACACAAACACACATACCTCCACACACTTTATCTTTCCTGCCTCCAAATTATTTTCTTGTTATTGGAAGCAAAAATGCATTTTTCCTTCATAGGCACCTTCTTACCCAGTCCTCAATGGGTGCTGTGATCAAAGGAGGCCACCACAGCTCTATTAGCTCATGCCCAAATAAAGCCAAATCTCACACCTTCCACAAGTGACCTGTGTTGCTCCCTTCCTGAGGTTGTTTCACAGAGAAGAGACCCAAGGTTAGGCTGGCTGTTGGCCTCCATCAGTGATAGTGATGGCTGGGTCACAGGTTGCTGAAGGAGTCAAGGGACTCATTCAATACTGGATGCTTCTGTTCCTCTTTCCTCTGGGGCTGGACTAATTAAGGAAAAATGTTTCCTGGCTGTTCAGGTTTCCTCCATGCTAATTCAGGCCTATTCTTGCAGATGCATACAGTTATGACTTCATTATGCTTGTTGGTATGGAAATAGAGGTAAGATCAGGTGCCCAGTGGTCTGAAAAATGTTGACATGCATTTTTGAGCCTGTCCACAGTTGTCGTTAAAGCCTTGTCAGACTTCCCTGGGAGGACATTTAGAGTGAGAAAAAAGAGAACCTAGGAAAAATTCCTGGGAAACATCAGCATTTCCAGTTCAGCTGCATGCTTGCAGATGCGAAAAAGTCAGGGAAGTGGAAGCCAGGAAGGTGAGAGGAAAACCGGGATGGGAGGAGCTGTGGAGATCAAGGGTGGGGCAAGAGTTTCATCGGGGAGGGGCAGCAGTCTGCAGTGGCCAGGGTTGTGGATACATGAAGCATATGATTCCTGACTAAGTGAGGATTTCTGGAGTGCGTCATCTAATTTTCTCTGAACTCATTTTGCAAGAATTTCCTAGGGATTCCATTGGGGCGGGCGAGGTTCCCCTTGATGCTTTCGTGTAGTAGTTGGCTCAGAGGGAATGGTGGAGGTAGGAGGCATATAGCTCCTCTTCAAGTGCCACTTCAAATCCACTAGGTGTTATCTCTCATTTTGGCTACTGAGCTACATGTTGTGCCCCCGTTCCAGCACCTTCCAGCAGGTGTAACTGACAATACTCACCCCAGGCTCACACACATAGCCTTTGCTTTGTGCTGCTGTCTTCTCCATTGGTATGGCATGGAGCATGGCCATTAGCACCTGCTCAGTGCTCATGAGTGCACCAGAGTTATTTCCCTGTGGGCAGCTTGTGACCAGAGTAGGTCAGAAGCTAATGGAGAAATGCTTCCTCCTTTCCTCCTCTGGGAAAAAGGTCTGCAGAATTGAGCAACTGGTTGCCTGTGGTGATGGCCAAATTTCTGAACACATCATTAGAATGTTAGGGTGACTCTCTCCTCCTCTGCTTTGCTTTCTCTCACCCTTGGTCCATGGACCACCCTCCCTACTGAAGTACTTGCAACTCAACTTTGGGGGAAACTGTGGATAAGAGAATTAGTCTGGGAAGAGTTGGATTACTTAAAAGTCAAAGAGGAATACGGACCCCATTGCTGGTGATAAGAGGAGTGGTGATAATCCTTGGTATGCAACAGCTTCCTGTTACTATGGCTCTTGCCTGTGGTAGAGTGATATGTGGCACAGGTGGAAGGTAATGCATTAACTTAGGTCAGCAGCTGGCAAGCCATCGTCCGTCGCCTATTTTTGTATGGCCTGTGAGTATAAAATGGCTTTTGCATTTTTAGAGGATTGGAACCACACACACACACACACACACACACACACACACACACACACACACACAGAATATGCAACAGAGACTGTGTGTAGCCTACAAAGCCTAAAATATTTTCTGTCTTCCATTTACTGACGAAGTTTGCTGAACTCTGGTGTAAGTGATAGGGTACCATGTGAACAATGAGAACATGAAGAATGGCCATGGCAGCTGACAGCTAACGGCTAGATAGTACTAGTGAACATGAGTAACACTCACAGAATATAAGCAATAATTAGACAAGGCCACTGTGTCACCACCATGGAACAAGACAGACAAGACCACTTCATGACTGTGAGTGAAACAAGATAGAGACAAGGACACCCTGCAACTCCCCCTCCAAATAACTTAACATGCCACTCTTCTAACAAGAATAAGAGACTATCACTTCGTGCTGATTGCAACTCTATCTGTGATTCAATCCTCCTGCCTCCTAATTAAAAATTACCAAGGAACCAAATCACTGAATTGTTCACATACCCTAACAGCATTCAGTCTAGAACTGTCTTTGTTTCCTTCAACTCTCCCTCCAATCACCTGGCACAAGGTCAAATTCTACAAAAATCCTATCTTAATTCCTAGTTTCCAAGACATCCCACAGCCCTACAGAAATAAAGACCACCCAACTGAGAACAAGGATGGTGATTTATTCGGAGCTTGCTGTAGTGAAAGAGTCGGCCACCATCACTGGTGTTTGGCAGAGACTCAAAGGCAGGCAGAGGGGTGGGAGAGCTTTACAGTGGGCAAAAAAGACGTCTTCAGGTGTGCCCCAATTGGAGGCTGTTGGCCTAGAGAAGCTGGAGGTGGCCAAGTAGGAGCAGGGCAGGCTATGTGATTGGTTGGGGACATATTTGACCTTCTCTGGTTTGTCCTGAATTGGAAGTGGGGACAAAAATCAAGAAATATGTCAGCTATTAATCATGTGCTGGTCATTTTGGGCTGATTGCTACAGAAGTTGTGGCTCAGAGTCTTATTGCCACCTCTGGTCCAGCCACTGGCCATGGGTGTGTTCAGTTTTCAGTTCTCTGGAATGCCTTCTTTTCTCTGCAGTAAGCTCAATGAACTTGGAAGCAGATTCTCCCCCACAGCCTCTAGGGAAGAGCCCAGCTATGTCAATGCTGATTTGGGCCTGTGAGACCCTAAGCTGAGAACACAGTTAAGGCCCCCCAGACTTCTGATCTCCAGAGTTAGAAATAAATGAGCACTCTTTCAAGCTGCTGAGTTTATGCTAATTTGTTTGACAACAGGTGATTCCTGATGGTCACTGGTTACTGGACTTGGAAAACTGTGTGAGTGCAAGCATAATTATTAGGATCACAGTGTATGCTGGGTTTTGTTAACTGCATTGACAGCCTTAAAGAAAATGGTACCCTCAGATCAGCCAACTGTCAACTCAAGGTGTGCTGTGAAAGCTGGAGGCCTGTAGAAAGAGTTTAAAGAACCATGACCTCCTTTAGCCAGAGGAAGACTAGATATCTACAAAGACCTCACTTGAGGCTGATCCTTCCTCACAAGATGGTGTTCATCCTCCTGAGGGTCTTTGCTGTGACCCCTTACCATCTCCAGACCAATGACCAGGATCAGGCCTCATAGCCCTGCCTGCCCTGAAAACATAGGGATAAAACAGATCCCAGTGGTTATTTAGCAAATGTTCTGCATCCTCTATGTCTGCATCAGTTACTACCTCAAAACAGCTGGCATTTTGCCTTTTTTCCCCCACTAATTTAAAGCGCATTCTGAGAGCAGGGGTCAGCACACTCTTTCTTTAAGGGTCAGATTGTAAATATTTTCATTTCTGCAAACCATTTGGTCTTTGTTGTTATCCTCCACTTTGCCACTAGTAGACATAGATAATACACAAGCGAATGGGCATGGCTTTTGTTCCAATATAACTTGGTTTACAAAAACAGAAACAGGCCAGATTTGGCCCACAGGCTATAGTGTTCCAGCTTCAGTCTTGGAAAATCATTTAATCTCTCTGGGTTTCATTTCTACACCTGTAAAATTAGAGTATTGTTCTAAGACAATGCCTCTCACACTCCAGCTAGCGTTAGAATCATGTGGAGAGCTACTGAAAGCACAGATTCTTGCACCTTACTCCCAGTGATTCCAGTTGAATAGGTCTGGAGTGGGATCTGCATTTTTAACATGCTCCCAGGTAAAACTAGTGCCGCTGGTCCAGGGACCATGCTTTGAGTAGCAGAAGTCTTGGGCAGTACTTCTCATCCCTGGCTTCAGAGGAGACTCGTGCTGAGAACTTTTAAAAAGATACTGATCCCTCTGTTCCACCTAAGACCAATTAAATTACAAGCAGAATCCAGGCTTCTGAGCATTTTAAAATTTCCCCCAAGGGATCATGTACAATCAGGGTTGAGATCCACTGGTGGAGGTGAGCTCCACAGCCCTGCCCTCCAAGTATGATTCTTGATGAGTGGCCTTGGCATCAGCACAACGTAGGAACTTCCCAGTAACACACAGTCTCGGGCTCCACCTTGACCTACTGAATCAGAATCCACATTATAACAAGATCCCTTGGTGATGCATGAACACATTAAAGTTGGGGAAATGGGGTTCTACAGGAAGGAATGGATGAATATTTTCACAGGTTCCTCTTCTCCTACTACACACCAGGCACTGGGTGGGCTATACTTAAGTCACTTAAACTTGCCTGTGTAGGTTTTCTACTGCTGTCCTGACAGATTAACATAAACTTAGTAACTTAAAGCAACACTCATTTATTTTCTCACAGTTCTGTGGATTGGCAGTCTGGGGAGGCTCAAGTGGGTTCTCTGCTCAGGATCTCACAGGCCCAGAGCAGGGTATTGCTGTGTTAGGCTCTTAACTCAGGCTTGGGGAAGGAATCCACTTCTAAGCTCAATTACGTTTTTGGCAGAATCAAGCTTCTTGCAGTTGTAGGACTGAGGTTGCTGTTTTCTTGTGAGCTGTTGGCCAGGGGTTGCCTTCTGCTTCTAGATGTCTCTTTGAGTTCCTTTTAACTTTTACATTATGTTCAAAGATAGCAACCATTCATCATATCCTCCTCATGCTTCCAACCTCTCTGACTCCTCCTTCCGCTACTAGCTAGTGAAAACTTGCTTTTAAAGAGCTCGTGTGATTATATTAAACTCACCTCCATAATCGCCAATTTTACTAATTCAAGGTTGATGGATTAGTAACCTTAATAACATCTGTAAAATTCCTTTTTCCATAGATGTGTTATCTCGTATATTCCCAGTCACTGGCATTAGGGCTGAAGGTCTTGGGGGACATTTAAGAATTCTGTCTACCTCAATGTACCATGCCACTTACACGTCAGTCTTAGAGTCAGATTTTGAATCTAGGTGTGTCTGATCCTAAGGCTTATATGAACATTATTTTACCAATTTGTTTCTCTGTGGTAAGAACAAAGGTGTTCTTTGTTCAGAGAAATTTATAGTTATCAAAGAGCTTTCACATTGATTTTATTGTTTGGTCTCATAAAAGACCTTTATTAGGTATTATTATTCTTTTTATGGGGGATTGAGAATGTTTAATTATTTGTTCAAGGGCCTATAAGCAGAATATAGAAAATTCAGGACTGAAGAATGGGTCTCCTGATTCCAAATTTCATACTTTTCCTTTTATATTACCACAATTTTATAATTTCTTATTTAGATCATTCTTGTTGTCTAATTAGAAAACAAATTTACCAGGATAGAATAAAAGAAACTAGCAGAGTAGTTGTAGATAGGATGCAAATGTCTGAATCCTGCAGTGGGCCCTGCACAGAAAAATAGACCCACCTGTTACGCTAATTGAAGGAAAAACTCTGCTGAAATTCAGAGAAGTACTCCATTCAGGTCTTAAAAATTATTGTTCTTAAAGAAGACAGTCATTCAATTTTTAAATGTAATTTAGAAAACAACCAATTCACAAAACAAACACTTTTTACTGAATTACAAGTCAATCATGACCTTACTTTGGAGAAATGACAGGAAATATTGGCAAATCATGTGGATGCAACTCACATTTGTGATAAGAAAGTTAGCCTGCTCCCATGGATGAAGCTTAAGGAGAATCATAAAACCATCCTCCTTCTAGTGACTATCTTTCAGTTCATTCTCTTTTTGTTTCAAAAGCAAAGAAACCAATGTGACCTGAATGAACTATAATTACAAAGCTAAGATTCTTTCAGAGGGCAGGATGATATCTACTGGTTGGGGTTTTCTTGGCATGGCCAACTAGGATTCTGGTATATAGGGCATGTCTCTCATGAGTCCCCTAATAATGTAATCATTTTTTCTTCTCCATATGGTGCAAAAGTCATATCTAGTGAGAAAGTATCCTTACATTGCCAGTTTAGAAGTTATTTTATGCTTAAAAAATGGCCCAGTCAGTTGTTCAAATAAAAAACAGCTGGAAATTCAATATCTTGGGCTGTTTCCTTGTCATCATTTATAGATGTAAGGGGTTTCATTACAATCTGAGAGGCAGTCTATGATTTAAACAAATTATCAAAAAAATTAGGCCTTGGTCAGCTCAATTTTATTAAAAGCCTTCAGATCTTAAAGGATCAATGACTACAAGAGAAAGGTTAACCCCCAGGGCTCCTGGTTGGTGAACAAACACATCAAAGTGAAATCAGAGTTAAAAGCTATTGTTCCCTTGGCTAACTTTTGCCTCTGTCATATTCAGTTGATTTGAAGAGATGAGGAATGATAAACAGGACCAGGTTACAAACATAGAACTGTTACATTTTGTTCATTTAGCCAGGAGCTTTATTCTTTTGTTTTTCATGAGATGGGTCATTTTAATAGTCAACGGTGTTGACGACAGTCACCATTCAATCTGTCATTTCTAATACAGTCTTTCCTAGGAGAATATTTCTCACGTGTTTGACAGAAAACATTATCTGTCCATCATTTCCATGGATTCCTGGGTCTCACGGGCAGAAGGACAAGGCAGATATGAGGCGGATCTGGTAAAGTAAGTCATTGTGTACTCTTTGTATTTGTTTGAAGATATTTGGTCATTTTCAGTCATATATGTGATGGAGAACCAGTTGTTAGAACAATGTGTATATTGATGGAGAAACAGGTGGGCCAGAGTGGTCGGTAGTCTGTGTGACAAACAGTGATGCCACTTTCACTATCTGAAAATGAATGAATATATTCATAGTAGTGGGCATGCAAAGGTAATAAAGACCTGACCCCCAACATCAATAATATAATAATGATGAATTCATATTCTAAATCTGATCATTTAAGGAAGGCCATCCATATCTCCATCACAATCACTTAAACAAATGCAAAAATGGATATTCTTTCTAGAATATTTCTGATGAAATTGCTTCTGAAGGCTGCAAATTAGTGCTCAAGACCCTGTTGAAAAGCAGTTTCCTGTATTCACTTATGAAGTCAAATGCAGAAATTATATTTATTTGGATTTTATTTATAGCAGAGAGAATAACTTAAAAACTGACATAGCATTCTTTTCAAATCTGAACTCAATGTCTGATTTTTGGAAGATTCATATCAGCTCTACTCTTATAAATCAGAAAACAAAAACAAAACAAACAAACAAAAAACAACAACAAAAAAAGAAAAACAGGCCCAGACACCAGCAGTGACCCAGTCAACCACTGGCCAGTCAATATGAGAGCCAGCTGGTTCTTCTAGTGAAACCTTCACCTTTCTAATCAGAGGGTTTCAGGTTTTGCTCTCTATTGAGTCAATTGCTTGAGGGTAGAAAAAGAAAATCTTCGAATTGCATTACATACCACTCCTTTCCCTTTCTATAGATTTCCCCCTCTCTCCTTTCCAGGAATATTGATTTTCTTCCCTGGGTTTCTGAAAAAGCTTTTCTCCCCAGGCATCTTTATTTGGTTTGCTGACCAAAGCATTATTCACACTTCTCCTGCGGCCACGCCAATGCCACACCCGCTGCAAGGTGCTCCCGGTCTCCTACCTCTGAACAACAGTGGTCTGAATCTCTGACTTGAGCCGTGCAGCCCTTTGAAAGAAAAGTCATTTAGGAGCTCAGCCCTCTGAGGATGTAAAGCCCGTCGCAGGTGCTTGTTTTGTCTGTCTCCGTGTGTGGAAGATGCCTTCTGTGAGGTCCTGCGCCTCTGCGTAAGCAGCTGAGTAGCTCCTTGGGCTGACAAAATACTTTGTTGTGGCTCCATTACACACCCAGGGCAACCTCTTTAGCTGGATTTTGCAGACCGGGAAATGGGCTCTGAGGGGAAGTCACGCCTCATCTCAAGGTTTACTGAGGAGCCACGAGGAGGCCCCACCGCTGCCACAGCTAACTCATGGCCTCCGGCCAGGAAGTCTGGAGATTTTAAGACCATAATGTCAGCCAGGGTGACCTCTGGAACCTGTTCACCCCTTCACCCGTTGTGAACAAGAGAGCTGAATAGCCACTATCACAGATAATAACAACAGCTGACATTATTAATAGGATGCCTTACAGGCTGTAAAATACTTTCACAAACAGGATCTCATTTGATCCTCATAATCTCAACATGAGGTGCGTAAAGCAAGCAATTATTACTAATCTCCTTTTACAGAAGAGAAAAGGAAGTCCTGAGAGATGAATCCACTTCTGGGAGGTCTGACAACGTTCAGCTTTACCTAAGCCATGGTCAGGAAACTTTTCTGCGTTCCAGGAAATGGCCGGCCACAACGACTGGCCCTTCCCTATAAAAACTTACAAAACCCTCACAGGTGACCTCCTTGTTTACCTATGACAGAACCAGACACAGTGCCAGATCCTCCAAACTCCCATTCTTTGCCTTATATGTAATCAGTTGAACTGTTTGTATCTACTGACTAATCTAGACAAGGTACTTGCTAACTTGACCTGTTTAAAAGTTCGAAATGCCAAACTTTCTTTCTTTTTTTTTTTTTTCCCATCCCACCCCACCCAGATGGAGTTTCACTCTTGTCACCCAGGCTGGAGTGAGTGCAGTGGTGCCATCTGGGCTCAGTGCAACCTCTGCCTCCCGGGTTCAAGCAATTCTCCTGCCTCAGCCTCTAGAATAGCTGGGATTACAGGCATGTGCCACCACACCCGGCTAATTTTGTTTGTTTAGTAGAGACAGGGTTTCATCATGTTGGCCAGGCTTGTTACAAACTCCTGACCTGAGGTGATCTGCTGCCTCAGCCTCCCACAGTGCTGGGATTACAAGTGTGAGCCACAGTGCCTGGCCCGAAATGCTAAACTTTCATCAAGATATTGCAATAGTCTTTTCTAAGAAAGCTCTTCCTTACTTAACTTGTGCCTGGCCCCAAATGCTAAACTTTCATCAAATATTGCAATAGTCTTTTCTAAGAAAGCTCTTCCTTACTTAACTTGGGATTTGTTTTATCTGACACAGGGCACAGGGTAAAGATCAGAGGTGGCTTCCTGTCACTCATCCAGCCAGCCACCCAGCTATGGTTACCCACAGGGCCTGATAGCCATCCCTGCCAGCGGTCAGGGTTGCATTGTGGCCCCCACTCCAGGCCTTGCTTATTGCAGGCTTGGTTCCCATGGCTGCTCTCTGTGTTCTTGCAACCTTGCATCCTGCCAGAATCTCTGGAAGAAAGCTCTTTGGCGAGAAATGAAGAACAATCCCAAAGGTGCTCCAGGAAAGTTCATTATTTTGTGTACTCTGGTGTCTTACCTTAATCAGAGAACAGTTGTCTGTGATCCTCAAAGAGGGAATTAAAGGGAGGAATGGAACCAGAATTCAGTGACAACTGGAATGAGTGACTGAGGTGTAGCGTCAATCATCAAGGTTTATTAAACTACTTAGGGTGCGTCTGGAAAAAACATGAGCCACAAATACATCTGGGGTTGTTTTTCCAAAGAGGTTTTTGGGAGATTTAGTATTTATACATTTCCTTAGAGGGAAAAGGCATGTGGAAAGAGGGGCAGGTAGGCAGTTGGCAAATACTACATTTTACATAAGATAAGGCAAATGAAGAGAGAAAGAGAGTAAAGGAATAGTCCATTTTACTTATGTCTTTGTTCTGCACCTGGGAGGAAGTTCTTCATGACATCAGTGTGGAATCAACAAACTTTAGTTTTAGGAGCTAGGCTTAGTTTGTAGACCTACAGTTATAACTGGTGGTTCTGTTGATGGGATGCCAGTGAAGAATGTACTTAGGAATGATCTGTGAGGACTGTCCTTTCCTGATGCCTGAGTCCTTTTTCTTGGGGTGAGCGGGGGGTACAAAATAGGAGCATATATTTATGGAGTACATGAGATGTTTTGATACGGGCATGCAATGTGTAATAATCATGTCATGGACAATGAGGTATCCATCCCCTCAAGCATTTATCCTTTCTTTTATGAACAATCTGATTACACTTTTTTACTTATTTTAAAATGAACAATTAAGTTATTATTGACTATAATCACCTTATTGCCAATGTTTGTCATTCTGTGCCTGGCTTATTTCACTTGATAGAATGTTCGCCAGTTCCATCCATGTTGCTGCAAATGTCAGGATCTCATTCTCTTTTAAGACTGAATAGTGCTCCATTGTGTATATGTAGCACATTTTCTTTATCCATTCATGTGTTGATGGACACAGGTTGCTTCCAAATCTTAGCTATTGTGAACAGGGCTGCAACAAACATGAGAGTGCAGAAATCTCTTGCATATACTGATTTCCTTTGTTTTGGGTGTATACCCAACAGTGGGATTGCTGGACCATATGGTAGCTCTATTTTTAGTTTTTTGAGGAACTTTCAAACTGTTCTCCATTGTGGTTGTACTAATTTATATTCCAACTAACAGTGTAGGAGTGTTCCCTTTCCTCCACATCCTCGCCAGCATTTGTTACTGCCTGTCTTTTGGATATAAGCCATTTTAACTGGGGTGAGATGATATCTCATGGTAGTTTTGTTTTGCATTTCTCTGATGATCAATGATGTTGAGCACTTTTTTGTATGCCTGTTTGCCATTTGCATGTCTTCTTCTGAGAAACCTCTATTCAAATCTTATGTCCAGTTTTTTGATCAGATTATTAGACTTTTTCCTATAGAGTTGTTTGAGTTCTTTATATATGGCGCTTATAAATCCCTTGTCAGATCGGTAGTTTGCAAATATTTTCTCCCATTATGTAGGTTGCCTCCTCACTTTGTTGATTGTTTCCTTTGCTGTGCAGAAGGTTTTTACCTTAATGTAATCCCATTTGTCCACTTCTGCTTTGGTTGCCTTGCTTGCTGGGTATTACTCAAGAAATTTTTACCCAAACCAATGTCCTGGAGAGTTTTTTCTATGTTTTCTTGTAGTAATTTCATAGTTTGAGGTCTTAGATTTAAGTCTTTAATTCATTTTGATTTAATTTTTGTATATGACCAGAGATAGGGGTCTAGTTTTATCCTGCATATGAATATCCAGTTTCCCCAGAACCATTTATTGAAGAAACTGTCTTTTCCCCAGTGTATGTTCTTGGCACCTTTATTGAAAATTCACATATTGTAGGTGTGTGGATTTATTTCTGTGTTTTCTATTCTGTTTCATTGGTCTATGTGTCTGTTTTAATGCCAGTACCATGCTATTTTGGTTACTATGGTTCTGCAGTATAATTTGAAGTCAGGTAATGTGATTCTTCCAGTTTTGTTCTATTTGCTTAGGACAGCTTTGGCTATTCTGGGTGTTTTGTGGTTCCACATAAATTTTAGGATTGTTTTTTCTATTTCTCTAAAGAAGTTCAGTGGTATTTTGACAGGTATTGCATTGAATCTGTAGATTGATTTGGGTAGTATGGACAGTTTAATAATATTGATTCTTCCAATTTATGAACATGGAATATCTTTCCGTTTTTTTGGTGTTGTCTTCAGTTTCTTTCATCAGTGTTTTGTTGTTTCATTATAGAGATCTGTTGCTTCTTTAGGTTAATTCCTAGGTTTTTAATTTTACTTTTGGCTTTTGTAAATGGGATTTACAAAAATTTCTTTTTCAGGTTGTTCACTGTTGGTATACAGGAATGCTAATGATTTCTGTACGTTGATTTTATATCCTGCAACTTTACTAAATTTGTTTATCAGTTTTAATAGTTTTTTGGTGGAGTCTTTAGGTTTTTCCAAATATAAGATCATATCATTTGCAAACAAGGAGAATTTCACTTCTTTCTTTCCAATTTGGATGCCATTTATTTCTTTCTTCTGATTGCTTTAGCTAGGAATTCCAGTAGTATGTTGGATAATACTAGTGAAAGTGGGCATCCTTGTCATGGTCATGTTCCATATCTTAGAAAAAAGCTTTCAGTTTTTCCCCATTCAATATGATACAAGCTGTGGGTCTGTCATATATGGCTTTTATTATGTTGAGGTGTGTTTCTTCTACACCCAGTTTTTTTAGGGTTTCTTATCATGAAATGATGTTGAATTTTATTGAATGCTTTTTTGGCATCAATTCAAAAGATCCTTATATCCTTTATTCTGTTTTATCCTTTATCCTTTATTCTGTTGACATGATGTATCATGTTGATTAATATACATATGTTGAAAAATTCTTGCCTCCCAGGGATAAATCCCACTTGGTTATGATGAATGATCTTTCTAATGTGTTGTTGAATTCAGTTTGCTAGTATTTTGTTGAGGACTTAAAGGCCAGAGATTTTGGCCTGTGGTTTTCTTTTTTTGAGTGTCTTTGTCTGGTTTTGCATTATAGAATGAATTTGGAAGTATTCACTTCTCCTCTATTTTTCAAAATGGTTTGAGTAGGATTAGTATTAGTTCTTCCTTAAATGTTTGGTAGAATTCAGCAGTAAAGCCATTGGGTCCTGGGCTTTTCTTTACTGAGAGAATTTTTATTTGATCTCATTACTTGTTATTGGTTTGTTTAGGTTTTGAATTTCTTACTGGCACAAGCTTGGTAGGTTTTATGTGTCTAGAAATTTGTCCATTTCTTGGAGAAATTCCAATTTATTGGCCTATAGTTGCTTATAGTAGCCACTAATGATCCTTTGAATTTTTGCAGTATCAGTTGTGAAGTCTCCTATTTCATTTCTGATTTTATGTTTTTGTACCTCTATTTTTTAAATTAGTTTGACTAAAAGGTTTGTCAATTGTGTTTAACTATAAAAAGAACCTTTTTGTTTTATTGATCCTTTTTATTATTTTTTTTCATTTCAATTTCACTTATTTCTGCTCTGATCTTTATTACTTTTCTTTTACTAATTTTGAGTTTGGTGTGCTCTTGTTTTTCTATTTCTTTAAGATGCATCATTAGATCACTTATTTGAAGGATTTCCCCTTTTTTGATGTAAGCATTTGTAGATATAAACTTCATCTTAGTACTGCTTTTGCTGTATCCCATAGGTTTTGGTATGTTGTTTCCATTAACATCTGTTTCAAGACATTTTTCAATTTCCCTCTTAATTTCTCCATTGATCCACTAGTCATTCAGGAGCATATTGCTTAATTTCCATGTGTTTGTGTACTTCCCAAAATTCCTCATGTTATTGATTTCTAGTTTTATTCCATTGTGGTCAGAGAAGATGCTTGGAATTATTTTAATTTTTTGAATGTTTTAAGATTTGTTTTTCACCTAATGTATGGTCTACGCTTGAGAATGATCCTTGCACTGAGGAAAAGAATGTATATTCTGCAGCCATTGGATGAAATGTTCTATAAATATCTATTAGATCCATTTGGCCTATAGTGAAGATTAAGTCGGATGATTCTTGGTTGATTTTCTGTCTAAAAGATCTGTCCAATGCTGAAAGTGGGGTGTTGAAGTCTCCAGCTATTCTCGTATTAGAGTCTATCTTTCTCTTTAGCTCTGACATTTGCCTTATACATCTGGATGCTCCAGTGTTGGGGACATATATATCTAAAATTGTTATTCATATATTATCTTGCTGAATTGGCCCTTTAATCATTATATAGTGACCTTGTTTGTCATTTCTTATAGATTTTGTCTCAAAAATCTATTTTGTCTGAAAATATAGTGACTCCTGCTTATATCAGACAAATTTGATATTTTTCCATCCCTTTATTTTCAGTCTGTGTGTGTCTTTATAGGTGGTGTGTTTCCTATAGGCAAGATATCAGCAGGTCTTGCTTTTTTCATTCATTTAGCCAGGCTATGCCTTTTAATTTGGGAGTTTAGTCCATTTATATTCAATGTTATTATTGATAAGTAAAGACTTCCTCCTGCCATTTTGTTATTGTTTTCTGGTTGTTTTGTGGTCTTCTCTTCCTTCTCTCTTTTTCTTCCTGTATTCAATTAACTGAAGGTGATTTTCTCTGGTGATATGATTTAGTTTCTTGCTTTTCCTTTTTTGTGTATCCATTGTATGTTTTTTGGTTTGAAGTTACCATGAGGCCTGCAAATACTAGCTTATAACCCGTGATTGTAACCCAATAGCAACTTAACCACTGTTTGCATAAATAAACAAGCAAAAAGATAACTAATAAACACTCTACACATTTTTTTTTTTTTTTGAGACAGTGTCTTTGCTCTGTTGCCCAGGCTGGAGTGCAGTGGTGCAATCTCAGCTCACGGCTCTTTCTGCCTCCATATTCAAGTGATTCTCATACTTCAGTCTCCCAAGTAGTGGAGATTATAGTCATGTGCCAGCATGCCCAGCTGATTTTTGTGTTTTTAGTAGAGATGGGGTTTCACCATATTGGCCAGTCTGGTCTCGAACTCCTGACCTCAAGTGATCCGCCTGCCTCAGCCTCCCAAAGTGCTGGGTTTATAGGCATAAGCCACAATACCTGGCCAACATTCTACATCTTAACTTCATCCCCCCACTTTTTAACGTTTTGTTTTATCTATTTACATTTTCTTATACTGTCTATGTCTTGAAAAGTTGTTCTAGTTACTATTTTTGACTGGTTCATCATTTAGTCTTTCTACTTAGAATAAAAGTAGTTTACACACCACAGTTACAGTGTTGTAATAGTCTGTGTTTGTATACTTACCATTAACAGTGAGTTTTGTATCTTCAGGTGATTACTTATTGTTCATTAACACCCTTTTCTTTCTGATTGAAGTACTCCCTTTAGCATTTCTTGTAGGACAGGTCTAGTGTTGATGAAATCCTCAGCTTTTGTTTGTCTGGGAAAGTCTTTATTTCTCTTTCATGTTTGAGGGGTATTTTTTGCCAGATATACTGTTCTGGGGTGTACATTTTCTTCTTTCAGCACTTTAAATATGTCATGCTACTCTCTCCTGGCCTGTAAGATTTCCATTGAAAAGTCTGCTGCCAGAAGCATTGGTGCTTCGTTGTATGTTAATTGTTCCTTTTCTCTTGTTGCTTTTAGGATCCTTTATCCTTGATCTTTATCCTGAATTTGATTATTAAATGCCTTGAAGTGGTCTTCTTCGGGTTAAATCTGCTTGGTGTTCTATAACTTTCTTGTACTTGGATATTGATATCTCTCTCTAGGTTTGGGAAATTCTCTGATATCCCTTTAAATAAACTTTCTGCCCCTATGTCTTTCTCTGCCTCTTCTTTAAGGTCAATAACTCTCAGATGTTCCCTTTTGAGGCTATTTTATAAATCCTGTAGGTGTGCTTAATTGTATTTTATTCTTTTTTCTTTTGTCTCCTCTGGCTGTGTATTTTCAAACAGCCTATCTTCAGGCTCACTAATTCTTTCTTCTGCTTGATCAGTTCTGCTATTAAAAGACTCTGATGCATTCTTCAGTATGCCAGTTGCATTTTTCAGCTCCAGAATTTCTGCTTGATTCTTTTTAATTACTTCAGTCTCTGTTAAATTTCCCTGATAGAATTCTGAATTCCTTCTCTGTGTTATCTTGAATTTCTTTGAGTTTCCTCAATATAGCTATTTTGAATTCTCTGTCTAAAAGGTCACATATCTCTGTTTCATTAGGATTGGTCCCTGGTGCCTTATTTAGTTCATTTGATAAGGTCATGATTTCCTGGATGGTGCTGATGCTAGATGTTCTTCGGTGTCTGGGCATTGAAGAGTTAGGTATTTATTGTTGTCTTCACTGTCTGGGCTTGTTTGTACCCATCCTTCTTGGGAAGGCTCCAGATACTTAAAGAACTAGCGTGTTGTGATATAAGCTGTATCTGCTTTAGGGGGCACCCAAGCCCAGTAACACTGTGGTTCTTGCAGACTAGCAGAGATATACCATCTGGTATCTCTTGGTATTGATGGTCGTGGACAAGATCGAGGAGAATTCTCTAGATTACCAGGCAGAGACTCTTGTTCTCTTCCCTTACTTCCTCCCAAACAAACAGGGTCTCTCTATCTCTGTTCTGAGCCACCTAAAGCTGGAGGTGAAGTGACACAAGCACCCCTGTGGCTACCATCATTATGACGGCACTTGGTTGAACTGAAGCCAGCACAGCACTGGGTCTCACCCAAGGTCTGCTGTAACCTCTCTCTGGCCACTGCCTATGTTCACTCAAGGCCCTTGGGCTTTAGAGTAAGCAGATGGCAAAGCCAACCAGGCCTTTGTCTTTTCCTTCAGGGCAGCAAGTTTGCCCAGGCCCCTGGAGGGTCTAGAGGTGCCATCTGGGAGTCAGGGACTACAGTCAAAAACCTTAGAAGTCTACTTGGTGTTCTACTGTATTGCAGCTGAGCTGGCACTCAAACCACAAGACACAGTCCTTCCTGCTCTTCCTTCCCCTTTCCAAAGGCAAAGGAGCCTCACCCTGAAGTCCCTGCCACCACAGGTCACAGGGAGTACTGCCAGACTACTGCCGATGATCCCTTAAGACCCAAGAGCTCTTCAGTCAGCTTGTGGTGAATGCTGCCTGGCCTGGGACTCACCCTTCAGGGTAGTGGGCTCCCTTCTGGACACAGGCAGGTCCAGAAATGCCATCCAAGAGTCAAGTTCTGGAATAAGGGACCCCAGGAGCCCACTTGGTGCTCTACCCTTCTGTGGCCAAACCAGCACCTAAGGTGAAGGACAAAGTCCCCTTTACTTTTCCTTCTGCTTTTCTCAAGCAGAAGGACTCTCTTACTAGAGCTACCATAGCTGGGAATGTGCCGAGTCTCACCTGAAGCCAGCAAGTCTCAGAGGCTCACCAAGGCCCTCAACATAGTTCCTGGGTATTGCTGCTGTTTATTCAGGGCCCACGGGCTCTTCAGTTAGAAGGTGTTGAGTGCTGGCAGGACTGAGTTCTTCCCTTCAAGACAGCAGGTTCCCTTCTGGCCCGGGATGTGTCTAGAAATGTCATCCAGGCGCCAGGTCCTGGATCAAAGCCCTCACAACTGTGACTGGTATCCTATCCTGCTGTGGCTTAGCCGGTATCCAAGATACAAGACAAAGTCCTCCCCACCCTTCCCTCTCCTCTCCTCAAGCAGAAGGAAGGGGTCTCTTTTGGAGCCACAAGCTGTGCAGCCTGGGGTTAGGGGAGGGGCGATGCCAGTACTCCCTTGTCTTCCCCAGCTTGTGTCTCAGTATGTCGCCCATCCCCAGTCCACTGTCTCTGGGCCTGGTTCAGCAGTAGCTCTTGCCTAAGAGTTGCAGTTCCTGTGGCCTAGACTGCTTTTCAAGTTTACTTGGAGATACAGAGCGCTGTAGCCCTCAGTGGTGAGGTTTGCAGAAACTCAAGTTTGCACGGCTGGGATCTGTGATCCTTTCTGGCTAGGGCTGGTTTAAATGTTCCCTCTGTGGGTGAGAGTGAGCTGAGTTAGGTCCTTTCGGTTTTCCTTTCTGCTCTAACAGGACAGCACTGAGTTCAGTGCTTCACAATTGCTGTGCTCTCCCTCCTCTAGTGCCTAGAGATGCTCTCCACACCACATCACAACGGTTTTTCCTGCCTCTGAAGTTAAAACCAGGTACTATGAGGGCTCACCTGATTTTTGGTTCTGATGAAGGTTGTGTGTGTGTGTGTGTGTGTGTGTGTGTGTGTGTGTGTGTGTGTAAATTGGTGTCCTTGAAGGGAGGATGATGGGTGGAGTCTTCTATTTTGCCATCTTGCTCCACCTCCACCTCACCTGAGGCCTTTTACCTCTCTCTGAGGACCCGCCTAATGCGTAATGCTGGTAACAGGTATTCATTTGGGAGAAGGTGTTGCAGTGATCTTCCCTTTTGCATAAGAATTTTGGAGGGGTCCTGAGATACTTTAATTAATTGAAGAATAATCCCAAATGTTCTCCAGGAAAGTTTATGTTGTTTTGTTTATGCTGGTGGTTTACCTTAACCCAGAAAAGTTGCTGTGATCCAAAAAGGAGCAAGTTAAAGGGAGGAATGAAACAGGAATTCAGGATGAAAAAATGAGAAATCTTTCCAATGGTTGTTGTTTTGTTTATGATGAATGCCACGGATATCAGACATTCTTATGCAGAAGTGAGTTTAAAAGATCCAAAGCATTTCCACCGTTTTCTGTTTAAAGAGCAGCAACAAGAATCACACATGTTCCAACATGCAGTTTAGAGAGGCTAGAGGCACAGATATGGACAGACGTCCCTGCTCCTAACAGCTCTCTAAGGTCTGGTGGAGGATTCAGACACATGACCTGGCCTGGAGGATTGAGCTTCTGGATTGTCTGTAAGCTAGGCAATCCACTATTTAGTCTTTAGTACTGTAATAGAGGTCTCAGTAAGTGTGTACCTTGTTTGCCTACTTTATATATTTTTATTTTGTGCGATACCAAATATTGTGGAAGGATTTCAGGTAGGAATTTTGAGTGTTGTTTTTGCATCAATTTATAAAGATGACGGTCTCTGAGCTTTGCAGGCAGTATGTCTATACCGTGTTGATTCATGTGCCTGGCTACAGGTCACCACACACTATACACTCTTGAGTTTGCTCTGGAGAAATCTCAATGAGCCACCTGCAACATAACCTGCTTTGTGGCTGGGTTCCTTAAAATCCAATATATTCTGAAGGATGTGATCAATAAGCAGATGGCTCAAGCCCATACACATGCCAAGAAATGAGGCATCTAATTAACAGTTAGACAAGGGTGTGAGGGAATTGCAGAGGGGTGTGGAGGCCCTGCCTGGGCTGGGAGACCTCGGGATGGGAGAATCAGGGCTGGTTGTGTGACGTGTCGACACATAGTGGCTGTTGGAAGTGTGAACACAGTCGGGACCTTCAGGCTGTGCTCATTAGGGCTTTGCAAAATTCCCAATTATCTCTTGACCTGGCCCTAAGCAAGGCCCCTTTCCATTGCCCTGGAAAAAAAAAATGAGTGAGTCAAAAAGGACACCTGATTTGACACGCTACATGGGTTTGGTTCTGAAGCTAGGCTAGTAGAACACAGAAATGAGGCATTCTTGTGCAACCAGTGATGACTACAGGAAGGATAAGTACCAGGAGCATCCGGTGTCACAGAGGCAAGGGCGGGCTTTTTGAGATGGCTGTATGGTGCCCCAAACAAAGGCCAGAAAGAGACGATTTGTGAGAAGAGACCAACGCGCCCCTTGCAAAGAATTCATAAGCAGTGTTTCAGTTAAACTGCAAATCTCATGGATGGTGTCAAAAGAGTGAGGACTCCTTTCCGTACACGTCTCACAGCTCAAACAGGAACAGAAAGAGGCTTTCTCTCTGTGTCTTGGAGAACCCACCACTAAGTGCTCCCTGGTGTCAGAGAAGGGAATTGGGCTCAGTGTGACAGCTTTCCCTGCTATATGTGAAATACATTATCAATCTGTTGTCAGCCTGATGCTCCCTAGCTGACTGTTTTGTTGTTGCGCTTCCAGTGTTACCCTGGGTTGGTCCCTGCGTGATGTTTCTAATATAAAATATGCAGATTGTGAAAGAGAAGACAATGCTTCGAGTCTGATCTATCCTAAGATGAATGTGCTAATGCTCCCAAGACCCATAAGACAGAGGAGGTCAAGAAGGTGCCTTGTGGTAGGCGATGCATCTTCAAATTCGTTGACACAGGCTCGTGAATTCAGATTAGCACTTGACCACAAATACACATGTTAAAACAAAGTCACATTAAACATCTCTCTTCCTCAATCTCCTTTCCCAGCTTCCTTGCAGAGAAGAAATGCAAGAAGGTGAGTGAATAAAATCAGAATTATTTGCTTTTTATTCTGAGGACAAAAGACAACTGGTTGGATTCCATGGGCACACAGTGATCTAAGGTTATAGTAACCAACAACTATGACTAAGAAAGTGATAGTCATTGTGATAGTTAATTTTACATGTCCATTTGGCTAGGCTATGGTGCCCAATTGTTTTATCAAATGCTAGCTGGATGTTGCTGTGAAGGTGATTAACATTTAAATCCATAAGCTTTGAGTAAAGTTGATTACCGTCCATAATGTGAGTGGCCCTCATCCAGTTAGCTGAAGGACTTACGAGAATGATTGAGGTTTCTGGAAGAAGAAATTCTGCCTCAAGACTTTTAACATAGAGACTCTCAGCCTGCAGATTTTGGACTCAAGACTGCAACATCATCTTGTGCCTGAAATTCCAGTAGGCTGCCTTGCCCTACAGATTTTGGACTTGTCATCATCCCCCATAATGACATGAGTCAATTCCTTAACATAAATCTCTCCTATATATCCTACTGGCTCTGTTTTTCTGGATAACCCTGATTAACACAATCATTCTGTCTATTGTAGATGATCTGTCCTCCTTGACCACACTCATTGGCCAACACTAGCCTTATTACCTGCAAACATGAGATAGCATGATCTATTGCCCAGAAAAGAGGATAGAATAGAGGCTATTTTTTTCCTCCCATCTCCCTGTTCCCCTGTCCTCTATCCTTATCTTAATCTTTCCAACCTACTATTATGCTCCAAGAGTGTTACCTACTTTTATTATTTTCTGTCTTCAAAGTTAAAGAGTGCCTGAAAGTATGCAGATAATTCAAACAAAAAAGCAACACTTCCCTGTGTAATTATTCGCTCAACTCTTTGCCTTGGTGTAATTTATGTGCTCAACACTTTTCCTTGGAATCTTAGCTAAAGAAGACTTTTCTGGGGACTGGGCGTGGTGGCTGAAGCCTGTAATCCCAGCACTTTGGGAGGCCGAGGTGGGCGGATCACGAGGTCAGGAGATCAAGACCATCCTGGCTAACACGGTGAAACCCCATCTCTACTAAAAATACAAAAAAATTAGCCAGGTGTGGTGGCGGACACCTGTAGTCCCAGCTATTCAGGAGGCTGAGGCAGGAGAATGGCGTGAACCCAGGAGGCAGAACTTGCAGTGAGCCAAGATCGCATCATTGCACTCCAGCCTGGGCGACAGAGCAAGACTCTGTCTCAAAAAAAAAAAAAAAAAGAACACTTCTGGAAACTGTTTTTCCTGGCAGTCCTTGGTCAAGTTGCTAATTTAATATTTTAGATGGTTTTGACATGGTTTAGAATGCAAAATTATCATCTTTTAATATGTATTTGTTTGCAGAGAACCCATGGGCCTTAGTTCATTTCTGCACCCACAGAGAGGTTTAATCTCATTTAAATGCTAAACATCGCAGTGGTCAGGCATTAGGAACACTGCTAGGAAGGCTGCAACAAAACAAGTGTTTCCACTTAGTGTTATTTGGGGGTTACCATCCACATCATACAGGAAATGGAGTGACAAATACCAATTTGAGAAAGGAACACAATGAAACTACATAATTCCTCTTGTAGGTTAGTTGATCTGTAACCAAGCCTTAAAAATTGACATTGACATTGAACCACTGCCTGTGAAGGGAGAATGAGAAATAACCTCAAATCTGCCTCTAAATAAACCATCCATAGCTTAATTCAAGAGTTGGGATACCAGCTCTCTAGCATTCAAATGGAATTTAGGTATTTACTAGGCATACTGTGGGGGATTTTTAAGTTGAATGGGTAACATAGAGCATTGGGGCAAAATAATAGAATACGGTTGCTGGTTTCAATGACAGCATGGGTCTTTTCCACCAAGAGACTACAGTACAAAATTTAAATCAGGTAAACTGGTCCAATGTAGAAAGCAGGCAGTCAGGGAAGCATAGTTTAAGGGTGGCATTGAAATAGTTTTGCCACTTCAATTTGGTCACTAGCTTTTGGGATCAGAGTATAGTGTCAATGAAGAGAGTCAAATTCTGTAAAATATTTGAAGAGATTTATTCTGAGCCAAATATGAGTGACCATGGCTCATGACAGCCCTCAGGAGACCCTGAGAACATGTACCCAAGGTAGTTGGGGCACAGCTTGGTTTTATACACTTTAGGGAGACACAAGACATCAATCAAATACATTTAAGATATACATTGGTTCGATTCAGAAAGGTGGTACAACCTGAAGTGGCAGGGGGGTGGTGGCGGGGCAGCTTCCAAGTTATAGGTAGATTTAAACATTTTCTGATTGGCAATTGGTTGAAAGACTTACTATCAATAGAAAGAAATGTCTGAGTTATGATAAAATGTTGCTGAGACCAAAGTTTTATCATGCAGATGAAGCCTCCAGGTAGCAGGCTCTAGAGAGAATAGATTGTAAATATTTCTTATCAGACTTAAGGTCTGTGTTGATGTTACATGCTGGTCAGCTCTTCCTGAATTCCAAAAGGGAGGTGGTATAACGAGGTATGTCTAACCTCTCTAAGAGCTCCCTCTTAGAAACAAACAGACAAAACACACAACAAAAACCACACTTGTAAACCCATCGTCCCATCTCTCCACAGCTTGACTTCTTTTCATAATCCAGATTTGGCTTAGGGATCCAAGAGTCTTGAAAATATTTCCCATGCATTTATTCTGAAATTTGCCAAGGGTAATTTGACTCCTCCCTTTGGGTTTTGTGTTTATGGTGCCTGAGATTTCAAATTTGACATTGTTAATTTTGTTCCCCACCTCCAATCAGCCTTGCCCACCTCAACAAATGTCCACTTCATTCTTTCGGTGGGGGTCACTCTGGACTTTGTTCTTTCTCTCAAATTGTCAGTCAACAACTCTGTCGGCCCTGCCTTTGAAATAAATTCATCTAGGATCCTGCCCCTCTTCACCACTGCCACCACCATGCTGGCTAAAGCCACTGTTATTTCTCGTAGGTTAGGACAACACCTTCTGTCTGGTGTTGCCTCTACTGTCTAGTCTCCACACATAGCCAGAATACTCTTAAAACATACATCAGATACCATCATTTCTTAGCTTGCCATTCTCTAATGATGTCCCACAATTCTTAGAGTAACATCTCAAAATGTGACCATGCCCTGTGTATTAGTCGTCCTCATCCTCCTCCTCCTCCTCCCCTTCTTCTTCTTCTTCTTCTTTATCATCATTAAACTTTAAGTTCTGGGATAGATGTGCAGAATATGCAGGTTTATTACATAGGTATACATGTGCCATGTGGTTTTCTGCACCCGTCAACCCATTGTCTAGGATTTGAGTGCTGCATGCATTAGGTATTTGTCCTAATGCTCTCCCTCCCCTTGTCCCCCATCCCCTGAGAGGCCCCAGTGTGTGATGTTCCCTTCTCTGTGTCCATGTGTTCTCATTGTTCAACTCTCACTTATGAGTGAAAACATGTGGTGTTTGGTTTTCTGTTCCTGTGTTAGTTTGCTGAGAATAATGGTTTCCAGATTCATCCATGTCCCTGCAAAGGACATGAATTCATTCTTTTTTATGGCTGCATAGTATTCCATGGTGTATATGTGCCATATTTTCTATATCCAGTCTATCATTGATGGGCATTTGGGTTGGTTCCAAGCCTTTGCGATTGTGAATAGCACTGCAATAAACATACATGTGCATGTATCTTTACAGTAGAATGATTTATCATCCTTTGGGTGTTTATACCCAGTAATGGGATTGTTGGGTCAAATGGTATTTCTGGTTCTAGATCTTGAGGAATCGCCACACTGTCTTCCACAATGGCTGAACTAATTTACACTGACACAGTGTAAAAGCTTTCCTATTTCTCGACATCCTCTCCAGCATCTGTTGTTTCCTGACTTTTTAATATTTGCCATTCTAACTGGCATGAGATGGTATCTCACTGCGGTTTTGATTTGCATTTCTCTAACGACCAGTGATGAGCTTTTTTTTTCATGTTTGTAGGCTGCATAAATGCCTTCTTTAGAGAAGTGTCTGTTCATATCCTTCACCCACTTTTTGATGGGGTTGTTTTTTTCTTGTAAATTTGTTTAAGTTCCTTGTAGATTCTGGATGTTAGACCTTTGTCAGATGGAGAGATTGCAAAAAATTTCTCCCATTCTGTAGGTTGCCTGTTCACTCTGATGATAGTTTCTTTTACTATGCAGAAGCTCCTTAGTTTAAGTAGATCCCATCTGTCAATTTTGGCTTTTGTTGCCATTGCTTTTGGTGTTTTTGTCATGAAGTCTTTGCCCATGCCTATGTCCTGAGGGGTATTGCCTAGGTTTTCTTCTAGGGTTTTTATGGTTTTAGGTTTTATGTTTAAATCTTTAGGCAATCTTGTGTTAATTTTTGTATAAGGTGTAAGGAAGGGGTCCAGTTTCAGTTTTCTGCATATGCTTAGCCAGTGTCCCCAGCACCACTTATTAAATAGGGAATCCTCTCCCCATTGCTTATTTTTGTCAGGTTTGTTGAAGATCAGATGGTTGTAGATGTGTGGTGTTATTTCTGTGGCCTTTGTTCTGTTCCATTGGTCTATATATCTGTTTTGGTACCAGTACCATGCTGTTTTGGTTGCTGTAGCCTTGTAGTATAGTTTGAAGCCAGGGAGTGTGATGCCTCCAGCTTTGTTCTTTTTGCTTAGGATTGTCATGGCTATACAGGCTCTTTTCTGGTTCCACATAAAATTTAAAGTAGTTTTTTCTAGTTCTGTGAAGAAAATCAATGGTAGCTTGATGGGAATAGCACTGAATCTATAAATTACTTTGGGCAGTATGGCCATTTTCACAATATCGATTCTTCCTATCCATGAGGATGGAATGTTTTTCCATTTGTTTGTGTCCTCTCTTATTTCCTTGAGCAGTGGTTTGTAGTTCTTGAAGAGGTTCTTCGCGTCCCTTGTAAGTTGTATTCCTAGGTATTTTATTTCCTTTGTAGCAATTGTGAATGAGAGTTCACTCATGATTTGGCTCTCTTTTCATCTGTTATTGGTGTTTAGGAATGCTTGTGGGTTTTGCACATTGATTTTGTATCCTGAGACTTTGCTGAAGGTTCTTATCAGCTTAAGGAGATTTTGGGCAGAGATGATGGGGTTTTCTAAATATATAATCACATCATCTGGAAATAGACAATTTGACTTCCCCTCTTCCTATCTGAATACTCTTTCTTTCTCTTGCCTGATTGCCCTAGCCAGAACTTCCAATACTATGTTGAATAGGAGTGGTGAGAGAGGGCATCCTTGTCTTGTGCCAGTTTTCAAAGGGAATGCTTCCAGCTTTTGCCCATTCAGTATGATATTGGCTGTGGGTTTGTCATAAATAGGCCTCATTATTTTGACATATGTTCCATAAATCCCTAGTTTATTGAGTGTTTTTAGCATGAAGGGATGTTGAATTTTATTGAAGGCCTTTTCTGCATCTATTGAGATAATCATGTGGTTTTTGTCATTGGTTCTGTTTATGTGATGGATTATGTTTATTGATTTGCATATGTTTGAACCAGCTTTGTATCCCAGGGATGAAGCCGACTTGATCGTGGTGGATAAGCCTTTTGATGTGCTCTTGGATTCGCTTTGCCAGTATTTTATTGAGGATTTTCGCAGCGATGTTCATCAGGGATATTGGCTTGAAATTTTATTTTTTTGTTGTGTCTCTGCTAGGTTTTGGTATCAGGATGATGCTGGCCTTATAAAATTAGGGAGGATTCCCTCTTTTCCTATTGTTTGGAGTAGCTTCAGGAGGAATGGAACCAACTCCTCTTTGTACCTCTGGTAGAATTTGGCTGTGAATCCATCTGGTCCTGGGCTTTTTTTGGTTCGTAGGCTATTAATTACTGCCTCAATTTCAGAACTTGTTATTAGTGTATATGGGGATTCAACTTCTTCCTGGGTTAGTCTTGGGAGGGTGTATGTATCCAAGAATTTATCCATTTCTTCTACATTTTCTAGTTTACTTGCATAGAGGTTTTCATAGCAGTCTCTGATGGTAGTTTTTATTTCTGTGGGATCAGTGGTGATATTCCCTTTATCATTTTTTTATTGTGTCTATTTGATTCTTCTCTCTTTTCTTCTTTATTAGTCTGGCTAGCAGTCTATCTATTTTGTTAATCTTTTCAAAAAACCAGCTCCTGGATTCATTGATTTTTTGAAGGGTTTTTCATGTCTCTGTCTCCTTCAGTTCTGCTGTTAGTGTGTTGGTTTTAGATCTTTCCTGCTTTCTGATGTGGGCATTATAGTGCTATAAATTTCCCTCTTAACACTGCTTTAGCTGTGTCCCACAGATTCTGGCATGTTGTGTCTTTATTCTCATTGGTTTCAAAGAACTTATTTATTTCTGCCTCAATTTTGTTATTTACCCAGTAGTCATTCAGGAGCAGGTTGTTCAGTTTCCATGTAGTTGTGTGGTTTTGAATGAGTTTCTTAATCCTGAGTTCTAATTTGATTGCACTATGGTCTGAGAGACTGTTTGTTACGATTTCCATTCTTTTGCAATTGCTGAGGAGTGTTTTACTTTCAATTACGTGGTCAATTTTAGAATAACTGCTACGTGGTGAAGAGAAGAATGTATATTCTATTGATTTGGGGTAGAGAGTTCTGTAGATGTCTATTAGGTCTGCTTGGTCCAGAGCTGAGTTTAAGTCCTGAATATCCTTGTTAATTTTCTGTCTCATTGTTCTGCCTAATACTGACAGTGGGGTGTTAAAGTCTCCTACTATTATTGTGTTGGAGACTAAGTCTCTTTGTAGGTCTCTAAGAACTTGCTTTATGAATCTGGGTGCTCCCGTACTGGGTACATATATATTTAGGAAAGTTAGCTCTTCTTGTTGCATTGATCCCTTTACCATTATGTAATGCCCTTCTTTGTCTTTTTTTCATCTTTGTTGGTTTAAAGTCTGTTTTATCAGAGACTAGGATTGCAACACCTGCTGTTTTTATTTATTTATTTATTTATTTATTTTTATTTTTTTAGCTTTCCATTTGCTTGGTAACTATTCCTCCATCTCTTTATTTTGAGCGTATGTGTGTCTTTGCATGTGAGTTGGGTCTCCTAAATACAGCACACCAATGGGTCTTGACTCTATCCAATTTGCCAGTCTGTGTCTTTTAATTGGGGCATTTAGTCCATTTACTTAAAGGTAATATCATTATGTGTGAATTTGTTCCTGTCATCATGACGCTAGCTGTTTATTTTGCACATTAGTTGATGCAGTTTCTTCATAGTGTCAATGGTCTTTACATTTCGGTTTGTTTTTGCAGTGGCTGGTACCAGTTTTTTCTTTCCATGTTTAGTGCTTCCTTCAGGAACTCTTGTAAGGCAGGCCTGGTGTTGACAAAATCCCTCAGCATTTGCTTGTCTATAAAGGATTTTTTTCTCCTTAACTTATGAAGCTTAGTTTGGCTGGATATAAAATTATGGGTCGAAAATTCTTTTCTTTAAGAATGTTGAATATTGGCCCCCACTCTCTTCTGGCTTGTAGGGTTTCTGCAGAGAGATCCACTGTTAGTCTAATGGGCTTCCCTTTGTAGGTAACCTGACCTTTCTCTCTGGCTGTGCTTAACACTTTTTCCTTGTTTTCAACCTTGGAAAATCTGATGATTATGTGTCTTGGGGTTGCTCTTCTCGAGGAGTATCTTTTTGGTGTTCTCTATATTTCCTGAATTTGAATGTTGACCTGTCTTGTTAGGCTGTGGAAGTTCTCTTGGAAAATATCCTGAAGTATGTTTCTTGGAAAATATCCTGAAGTATGTTTGGAAAATATCCTGAAGTATACTTTCCAACTTGGTTCCGTTCTCCCCATCACTTTCAGGTACACTAATCAATCATAGGTCTTTTCACATAGTCCCATATTTCTTGGAGGCTTTATTTGTTCCTTTTCATTCTTTTTTCTCTAATCTTGTCTTCACGCTTTATTTCATTAAGCTGATCTTCAATCTCTGATATCCTTTCTTCTGCTTGATCGATTTGGCTATTGATACTTGTGTATGCCTTACGAAGTTCTCATGCTGTGTTTTTCAGCTCCATCAGATCATTTATGTTCTTCTCTAAACTGCTTATTCTAGTTAGCAATTCCTCTAACCTTTTATCAAGGTTCTTAGCTTCCTTGCATTGGTTTAGAACATGCTCCTTTAGCTCAGTGGAGTTTGATATTACCCACCTTCTGAAGCCTACTTCTGTCGATTTGTCAAACTCATTCTCCATCCAGTTTTGTGCCCTTGCTGGAGAGGAGTTGCAATCATTTGGAGGAGAAGAGGCATTCTGTTTTTTGGAATTTTCAACATTTTTGCACTGTTTTTTCCTCATCTTCGTGGATTTATCTACCTTTGATTTTTGATACTAATGACCTTTGGGTGGGGTTTTTCTGTGGGCATCTTTTTTGTTGATGTTGATGTTATTGCTTTCTGTTTGTTAGTTTTCCTTCTAACAGTCAGGCCCCTCTTCTGCAGGTCTGCTGGAGTTTGCTGGAGGTCCACTCCAGACCCTGTTTGCCTGGGTATCACCAGTGGAGGCTGCAGAACAGCAAATATTGCTGCCTGCTCCTTCCTTTAGTAGCTTCGTCCCAGAGTGGCATCTGCCAGAAGTCAGCTGGAGCTCTTCTGTATGAGGTGTCTGTTGAACCCTGCTGGAAGGTGTCTCCCTGTCAGGAGGCATGAGGGTCAGGGACCCCCTTAAGGAGACAGTCTGTCTCTTAGCAGAGCTTGGACACTGTGCTGGGAGATCCGCTGCTCTCTTCAGAGCTGACAGGCAGAACGTTTAAGTCTGCTGAAGCTGGATCCACAGCCGCCCCTTCCCCCAGGTGCTCTGTCCCAGGCAGATGGGAATTTTACCTATCAGCCCCTGGCTGGGGCTGCTGCCTTTCTTTCAGAGATGCCCTGCCCAGAGAGGAGGAATCTGGAGAGGCAGTCTGGCCCCAGGTACTTTGCCATGCTGCGGTGAGTTCTGCAGTCAGAGTTAACACTGTAAGGGGAAAAGCACCTACTCAAGCCTCAGTAATGGTGGACGCCCCTCCCCCAACAAGCTCAATTGTCCCAGGTTGACTTCATACTGCTGTGCTGGCAGCGAGAATTTCAAGCCAGTGGATTTTAGCTTGCTGGACTTTGTGGGAATGGGACCCGCTGTGCGAGAAGACTTGGCTTCCTGGCTTCAGCCCCCTTTCCAGGGGAGTGAGTGGTTCTGTCTCACTGGGGTTCCAGGCACTGCTGGTGTATGAAAAAAAACTCCTGCAGCTGTTTATCTGCCCAGAGAGTTGCCTAGTTTTGTGCTTGAAACCCAGGGCCCTGGTAGTGTAGGCACACGAGGGAATCTCCTGGTCTGTGGGTGGCAAAAACCATGGAAAAAGCATAGTATCTGGGCTGGATAGCACAGTCCCTCACAGTAGAGTCCCTCAGGGCTTCCCTTGGCTAGGAGAGGGAGGTCCATGACCCCTTGCACTTCCTGGGTGAGGCGATACCCCACCCTGCTTCTGTTCCCCCTCCATGGGCTGCACCCACTGTCTAACCAGTCCCAGTGAGATAAACCGGGCACCTCAGTTGGAAATGCAATAATCACCCACCTTCTGCGTTGGTCTTGCTGGGAGCTGCAGACTGAAGCTGTTCCTATTCAGCCATCTTGCCAACTCTCTTGTATTAGTTTTCTATTGCTGCCATAACGAATAGTCTCCATCTTAGCAGCTAAAAACAACACCCATTTATCAACTCACAGTTCTGCAGGTCAGAGTCTCGTAGGCTTGGCTAGTTTCTCTGTCCTGAGTCTCATCAGATTGACAGCAAGGGGCTGACAAGGCTGTATTCCCTTTTGAAAATTTTGGAGATGGATGTGTGTCTTTGTTCATTCAGGTTATTCACTGAATTCAGTTCCTGTGGTTGTAGCAATGAGATCTCCGTTTCCTTTCTGGCGGTCAGCCCAGGGTAGCCTTTGCTCCTAGATGCTGCTTGCATCCCTCAATCTTTCCAGGTGGCCCCTCCACCCACAGCAGGTAGGGTCCAGGTCCCTCTCTTGCTTTAGATCTTTCCTCCTTACTCTTCTCACTCCAGCCACATTTCTCTCACTCCAGCCAGAGACATTTCTCTAATTTTAGATGGGTTCCACTCCCTGGTTTAAGGTCTGCTATCTTAATTGCATCTGCCAAATCTCATCATAGCAGTACCCAGGTTAATATTTGATTGAATTACTGGGAGATAGGAATAGTGAGGGACTACCACAGCCTAGGAAGTCTTGAATGATATGATTCCTGTGACTTCTCTGACTTCATGTCATCCCTCTTTCCCTTTTAATATCTAGACTCCAAGTCAGTATGGCCTCCTTGCTGTTTTCTCCAATTGACCAAACCTATATCCACTTGAGGGCCTTGACACCTCACATTTCCTCTGCCAGAACACCCTTGCCCGAGGCCTTTCCATGGCCCACTCTCTCACTAAGTTGGATGAGTCCTCTGGGAAGCAGACTCCAAGGCAGTATTAGGAGAGCTCAAGATTTATTGGGGGTAAGGCCTGTGAAAGATAAAGGAGAGAAGGGACAGGAGTGGGAAGGCTGGGCCTTCAGACCACAGTGCAGGTCTGACATCCTTGCAGGGATAGGAGGGGATAGGAGGATTGGATGAAGAGCCTCAGATTTCCATGCATACTGCACTGAGAAAGTGTCAGCCAGCCCAGCAGGGAGCTTTTGCCACAGAGATTGCCTGTGGAAGGGTTCCACGCTGCCCGGGAAATGGCAAGCCTTTGTATCATTGTGCTCCGTCATTGGCTGAGGATTATCCAGGAAGCATGTGACCTCCACTCAAAAGCTGAGGGAGAAACAACCAAATGTCCATCAACAGATGAGTGGATGGACAAAACGTAGTATGCACATTCAGTGGAATATTATCCAGCCATGAAAAGGAATGAAGTATTGACACACACTACCACATGGATGAACATTGAAAACACTGTGCTCAGTGAAATAAAACAGTCACAAAAGGACAAATATTGTATGCTTCTACTTATGGTAAATATTTAGAACAGGTAAATCCATAGAGACAAAATATAGATTAGAAGGTCCAAGGCTTGCAGAAGGAAGAAATGAGGAGTTATCATTTAACGGGTACAGTTTCTGTTTGAGGTGTTAACAATTTTTGAAACTGGATAGTGGTGGTGATAGTTGCACAGAATTGTGAATATAATTAACACCACTTTAAAATCTTAAAAATGGTTGAAGTGGCAAATTTTATGCTAAATACATTTTACTACAGTAAAAAACAAAACAAAACAAAAAAACAGACCGAGGCAGATCCTGAAAGCACCAGCAGCTAGAAGCTGTCAGCAAATAGCACCTTTTGTGGGAAGCACATCTCCATGGCTGCCATGCTCACTGCCTCGGGTCTCTGCCGAAATGGCAACTGAGCAGTGAGTCCCTTAATGACTAAATTACATCCAAGAGGAAGGCCTATCCTTCTCAGTCAAGTTAATTTTTCTCCATTACACTTAAAGCCTTCTGACTTATATATTTACCTGTTTATTTTCTGCTTCCCCAATAGACCATAAACACCATGAGATCAGAGCATCCATCTGTAGACTCACAGAGCAAGAAGCGTGACTGCCCCAATCTTGAATGGATGAGTAAGTAAGTGAACTACCTGATGATTCATTCATCGGACAATAGTCGATCTGAGGCAATTACAGTGTGTCTTGTGTTATTTAGACTTTCCATTGATAAATTACTATAGGCAGAGTTCAGACAGTTCTTCCTAATTAGAGAATAACCTGTCTTTTGGAAAGCTACTTTGTTTTTTTTCCCCCTGTGAATTGAATTCTCAGAGGATCATCACAGGAAAGGAGATCTCTCTGGTGTAACTTTTGTACTGAATCTGCATTGGACGTTGCTGAGCTCTGTCCTGATGGAAGAAGAATGTCCTGAGAATCAGGAAGTGTGCAGCATGTTCAGGCTGGATGTGACTTCTGTTCAGGAATGTAGGGGGTGCAATAAGAAGGTGGCGTGTCAGAAACAAGAGTTGGCACAGATGAAAGGTCTGTTGGAAAGGGTTGGAAGAGAGAGAGCATCTGTGTTTGAAGCCAAGGAGGAAGGAGGGCAGATAGAATGGTTCACGTTGGAGAGAAGAGAGAGACTGAAAGCACTTTTCTGCCTACAGAATTTTTTTTAATAGGAAGCCATGACCTTGAGCATGGTTGGAGAGAAGTCTGGGGACTATTGAGGTGCTTAGATGATATGGAAAATATATGGTGAGACCTGGAACCAGCTAGGTCAGAGATAGGGAGTGAAGAGGTGTCAATGGTGATGGACCATAATTCTATCCAGGAAAAATTAATTGTCATTATTTATGATAAGTCCTCATTCCAGACCATTGTGGTCAGTAGATAAAGGGAGAATGTGTGTCTTTCTAGGGAACTTTTGTTTCTTTTTGCCTTAGTTTTCTTCTTCCAGCACCTCTATTCTTCTTCTTCATCCCATCCCCGCAATAAAATCTGAGCAGTTTGATGCCCACATCTCAAAATGCAACCCTAAAGTCAAAGAGAGAAGGGGTGTTCCATAGGGGGATAGCTGTTAAGAGCAGGTGAGTCTGGAGGGGCCATCCCTCTCCCATCAACTGCAAAACTCTACCTAGTAAACTCCCAACTTGTACATTCCATTCAGCTTGCAAGATCCAGGAGTAGTACCCCCAAGCAATTATAATGTAAAAGATTAACAAGTGGTCCAGGGAAATGAGAATCAAACAAAAAAGGTAAGTTAAATAAAATTTATAATTATAAGGCCTGTGGGAGAAAGCTAGGAGAGAAAGCGTATTCTGGAATTAGGTCCAGAAAATGGTCAGTGTATTTCTGTGGGTCCTGGTTCAAGAAAAGATTAACAAAGGGCAGTGTTGTTTGGAAGAGCAAGTCATTGGTGCAAGATGAATGAGCCCAGTGTGGTGAGGTCCTGCAGCCCCTTTTGTCTGGTAAGTCCCTGTCACATCTCCACCCTCCTTCCATGTCCCATGCTGCTACAGAAGTTCAACTTTGAGGTTGGAGAACTAGAACCACAATTTTCTTGGAAAGCTGGGGTATTGTAAAGATTCACCCTGCATCTGTCTCTCCCTCCTCAATTCCATTTTGCACATTGCTCCCGGCGTGCTCCTCCTAAAGCCTGGTCTTGCATTATTACCATAATCTCCCTCCCTCTCCACCTCCATGGACTCCCCTTTTCTACTGATCACTGTCCACATGAAATGTGGGCATTAAAGGTTCTTTGTGCCCTTGACCAAGTCTCCAGTCTTGCCTTTGCACACCTATTCAGAAGACTTGGGAATTCATTGAATAGAGTCAACTGACGCTCTCCTTGATAATTTTCCTTTTGTTATTCCAGGCATCATTCTGTCTGCTACTTCCCCATCTATGACAATTTAAATCCAAGTATTCCTTCTTTAATGCTTAATTCACATGGCATCACCACCCCAAAAGCCTCCTCTGATCACCACTCCACCTTTCTATGGCAGATTTAACAATTACCTTATATCATGGGGACCCGCACATCTGTCTTGTCTCTCCTACTACAGTTCAAGCAAAAGATCATGTTGGTATGCTCGGCTCTGGCTTCTTCACAAGGCACAGCACAGTATATAGAAGATGCTGAGAAAGCTTTGATGGAAATAAAGAGATCTGTGGCTCAGGTGGAGAAGTAAGACTTGGAGAAGAAGCGAGGTTCTTTATAAGACAGAAAAGAATGGGGAGGGGATGAATGAACATGTACAAAAACACTGAGATAAAAAGAAAAGGGAGGTGGGGAAGTGCACATGAGAAAGCTGTTAGCTTTTTGGGTTGCTAGTTCCCTGGGAGATAGAAACAAGAGCTTGGGAAGCATCATAGAAGAACTACTCAAGGCAGAGGTCAGAAGTGCATACAAATGTATTTCTAGAGGTGTGAAAGGAGATCTTGTGGGCTGGGGGTATCTGGGGTGGACAAGATCAAGCCTGTGGTGTACCTGTGGCTATGTGGGATGAATAAGAAATAGAGGAAGAAGGAGGTGCAATGTTAGAGAGTCCTAAAGTAGAATTGGAAAGGGAGTTAGTAGAAGACAGAGACTAAACTAAAAAACTAAAATGATAAAATGATAAAAAAGCAGACAAACTGGGCAGCTTAAAACAACAGAAATGTATGTTCTCACAGTTCTTCTGGCTAGAAGTCCAGAATCAAGGTGTTGACAGGGGGCCATTCTCCCTTAGAAGCCTCTGGGAGGCGCCTTCCTTGCCTCTTGCAGCTTCTGGTAGCCCAGGTGTCCCTTGGCTCTGGGCAGCATAGCTCCGATGCCTCTGCCTTCACCGTCTCATGGCCATCCTCCCCACATGCCTGTGTCTTCAGAGGATACCAGGTATGTTGGAGTAAGGGATTACCCTCCTCTAGTATGACCTCCTCATAAGTAATTATATCTGCGAAGACCCTATTTCCTAATAAGGTCATATTCACAGGTACTAAGGGTTAGGACTTCAACCTATCCTTCTGGGGGTCACACTTCAACCCATAATAGTGGGTGAGAAGAGACCACATGAGTGCCGTTTTCATCTTCACCTCAACTTCAACGAGGGCTGCCTGGCTTTTGGCTGGTTAAAATTTTGGGATCTGTTGAAGGCCTTAGAAACAGTTCCACTGCTTACTGATATACTGAAAACCACCCATGTATAGAATGCCACTTCCTACAAGGAAACAGGCAAACACATCATTCCACTGGCTTAAAGCTGCTTTCCTGTAAGGCTTTATAACACTGGTTTTTCTTCTGTGTACCCTTATCTCATTCAGCTTGGCCAAGGCACAGCCAGCCAGACACTGCTGATGTATGTTGGTCTGGAAGTACCATTAAGAATAGAGTGGGCCGGGCACGGTGGCTCACGCCTGTAATCCCAGCACTTTGGGAGGCCGAGGCGGGTGGATCACGAGGTCAGGAGATCGAGACCATCCTGGCTAACATGGTGAAACCCCGTCTCTACTAAAAATACAAAAAAATTAGCTGGGCATGGTGGCGGGCACCTGTAGTCCCAGCTAATTGGGAGGCTGAGGCAGGAGAATGGTGTGAACCCGGGAGGTGGAGCTTGCAGTGAGCCGAGATCGTGCCACTGCACTCCAGCCTGGGTGACAGAGCAAGACTCCGTCTCAAAAAAAAAAAAAAAAAAAAAAAAAAAATAGAGTGAATAGCATTGGCCCTTCCATTCTGTCCATCCTTGTTCCCTTTGAGTCTCCTTGAAGTGCCATACAGGTCACACATGTGTGGCCTGCTCTCTCAGGGGCTCTGAGTCAAGTAAGTATTCCACCCCATATGCTTTCTGGTGCCTTTGGAACTGACAGCACCCTCTAATTAAAGGCAGTGGGTGGCGTGATGACAGGATTAGTATCAGTGTCTGGCTTCCCTAAGGACCAGGGAACACTGTGACCCAAGTTTTCCCATCTGTGTAATGGGATTTTTCATATGTTTACATATCTAGGGGTAAAATCTAAATGGGGGTGGTGCTTAATTTCTCTGGCTTGCATATGCTCTACCTGTTTCAGGAAAATCGTAGAGAGGAGTCCTACAGGAAGTGTGTGACTGTTTCGCTTCATTGAAAATATAGGGTGCTATGGCTTTAAATACATTGGTATTCTGCCCCTGGCTTCACTGCAGAATGAACAACAATGATGTTCTGCTGAACATCAATTCCAGACGTTTTAGAAAGGGCTCAGCAGTTTCGTGAGAATGAAGCTGTATTACTCAAGTGTAATGAGCCAAAAACATCTTGTTTTTATGCAGCACTAGTACAGACCCATGCCCTGGACCTGTAAGTGCCTTTTCTGTTCATTGTAGGCTTAGAGGGCACAGGGTATTCACTCAGCCTTATCAGCACAAGTGTGAAAGGAACATTCTGGCTCAGAGAATTGAGTTGAAATGAGTATCAGGGACACAGCTTTTGCCAACTAATTATGGACTGAATATTCAATCCAGGTTTGCAATGTGCTGCTACCGAGTGCCTGCCCCACCAAGAAAAGGGTTTAAAAATGGTCAACTCAGAGTAAATTATTTTACAAATCCAATATTTATTTTATCTTGTATGTACAAAAAGTAAACTCCAAGTGAACATCAAATCAAATCTAATCCTTTTGGCCACATGACTGGTTGTTCTTTATCTCATAGTTACAATGAATCATATAAACTGTAGACTGCCACTACCACGATACTTCTGTGACACAGAAGGAATGTCCTATTTGCCTATCTATCTGAGGAATGTTAAATAGAGAAAAATAGATTATAAAACAACCTGGAGGTCACAGGATTCTGAGATAATCCCTCTGTTAAAAAACATCTGAACAGCAAATGTCCAATCTGTAATAAAATAGTTAAAGGTCCAAGTCAAGTCCACTTCTACTTGGCTGGCCCAGCACAAGAAATCTAACAGCACTTTGTAATCATTTTGCTTTTCTAATTTTCCCGGAGGACATGGGCCATTGACATATAAGGAAAAAAAACAAAAACAAAAAACGATTAAGTAAGTTGTGTGATCCCTAACCTGTGAGTTCAAAGGAAGATTTTGCAGGGCACCATTATTTCCATAGAAGATTCTTTTAACAGAGATGTCATTTCAAATCTAACGTAGCAATGGTGTGTTAGGATCACCCAGAATGAAATGACTCTGCTGATTTATGGCAAAACAGACATACCTTGGGTAAGAAATGAAGCCAATGATAACATCACACATGCAAAGATTTTTTTAAATAAATTGAGCTATATAGTTTTATTCTTTTTGCTAAACTCAGTTATTAAAAGGTTTCTTAAGAAACTTAACATCTTTGCGCAACTATGTCACTCAAGTGATTTATCTACAGGTTTGTTTTAAACCGCTAAGCATCCTGAGTCCATTTCTTTGCCTGGTGCTTGCACACACAATTTTCTTAGAAGGAGGCAACAGTTTCATTAACATAACTGAGGACAGAAATCAACTTGTTCTGGTCACCAAATGTCTTGTGTATATTTAAAAATATAACACGAGAAAAAGAAGATACTTTTTAAAATTCAGAATCTGTAGTTTGTAAAACTACTATCATTTTAGCATAAGTTCAGTGCTGACCTTTTCAGATCAATCATAAATAATAAATTCTCTCAAGAGAAATATTTCTAGTGGAAATGGGAAAGATGTGAACTAAAGCTATAACCCCTGTACCCTAAATATCAGCCACTTTGGGCTTAGCACTCTTTTGCGGGGCGGTGATAATACTGCATTAGAGCACATATGAATATATACCTTAGTTTACGCAGACAGAATATATGACATTTTTAAGTGATATACATTTGCTTGCGGTATCATTTCTAATATTATCAGTACTGTCATTATACAAAAATTTTTTTGAGCAATGATTGATAGTAACCCATCATACATGCAGCTTATGCCTTTCTGTGGCAGGATGAAAATCAATTTATAAACATCTTGTGACAAGCTGGAATTCAGTTATAGATCAATTACAGATTGCTCACTGGACAATCAAGGACATTATTAGAAAACGGTTTCCACCACTAGAAATTCATCTACATTGACATCCACCTAAATATCCAGAAGGTCATCCCCACTTTCGTCGCTCTCCACAGTCAGCTGCCGGGTCCACCACTTCTTAACTTCAGAACCGCAGGAAGCCGCGTCAGTCATGGGGTTCATTTTGCACACGACAGATTTCATGGTTGTCCTTCCTCCAAACCGTAAGTTGACTGAGGACACTGAATGGCTTATTGGTTTTGGGGCTGTGGAATTAATGAGTCCTATGAGCCACTTGGTATTGCTTCACCCTATTGTAATCACTCCTAAAAACCCATGATATTCCCATCAGTGATACTTTTGGCTAACGTGTCCTAGCCACAGATGCTAAGTAAACATCCTTTTCAGGACTTGATTCTTTATGTTCACGATAGATTTTTTTTTTAATTGTGCTCATGGACAACTAATGATGTCATTTGGGAAAAAAACGTGCTGCTCACCCCTTTCATTTTGAAATAATTAAAAAAACTAGAAAATCACTAAAAAAATTCCAATTCGGGAACTATTAAGTGTCACAGAAACCTGTGCATTCATTAGCATATGCAATAAAAAAAACAAAAAGGAAGGAGAGTGTGACCCACAGTAAAGGCGAGGGGGGATGCAGTGAGGGTATGGGAGGAAAGGTGTGGTTCTGGGGCCTCACAGTCATGGTGTTGGGACCCACCTCTGCAACCTGTGGATATGTAGCTATGGGCAACTTCACGTCTCTGAACCCAAGTTTCCTCCATTGTAAGATGAAGACAATGAAAATGTCCTAATTAGACTATTGTCAGGATTAAAACAGGTTACATGAGATGACTTAGGAAAGTGCATAGCATGACACCTGTGACATTGTTGCTGCCCCCTCAAAATACTATTTTTCTTCTCCTCTGCCTCCTCAAACTCAGCCTGACCCCAAGAGCATGTCTATTTCACGATCACCGTTTTTGGTGGGGACCACCTAGGCATGGACCAGTGGAAGTACTTTTTTTTTTTTTTTTTTTTTTTTTTTTTTGGGAGACAGGTTCTCACTCTCTCACCCAGACAGGAGTGCAGCGGCACAATCTTGGTTCACCACAACCTCTGCTTCCCAGGCTCAAGTGATTCTCCTGCCTCAGCCTCCCAAGCAGCTGGGATTACAGGTGCACACCACTACCGGTCAGCTAATTTTTGTATTTTTAGTAGAGACAGGGTTTCACCATGTTGACCAGGCTGGTCTTGAACTCCAGGCCTCAAATGATCCACCTGCCTCGGCCTCCCAAAGTGCTGGGATTACAGGGGTGAGCCACTGCGCCTGGCCCAATGGAAGTACTTTTGACAGCATCATTTCTTTTGTCCATTTAAATGAATACCAAGGACTGTGCATTCTCCCCAGGTCACCTCTCCTATCTGTCCCTGCAGTATCTGGCCCCCAGCTCTGTCCATGCCTTTGTTGCCTTGTGCTCACACCACGGTAACTTCCTCCAGCTTGTAACCTGCCTCCAGGCTCTGTCATAGACAATTCCCTCCTTTGCTGCCAAGTCAACTTCCTAAAGCACAGATTCCAAAAGTCACATACTGCTCAGAAATCTTTGCTAGCTCCTAATTGCCTACAGGATAAAATTGAACCGACTCAGCTTGTAATTTATGACCTGGCACCACCATCTACGTTGTCTTGATGCTGTCATTCTCTGCTGTGTTTGAATCAGGAGGAACCTAGATCTTCTCTGATCTCTGAAAAATAAGTTCCTGGATATGAAAGGGGATACTTTCCTTGGTGGTAGTCCCAGTGAAGACCCACTGAACATCGTCAGCCTCAAAATGTAAGCTGTGCTGTCATCTGCTTTGTGGAACACATATGCTACACATCTTCTCCTTTCAATTGGGCTGAAGTTGGGGCACAGTTAAAGAGCATTATAAAGCTCCTGCTTTAGCATGAACTTAGTTATCTATAGAAAAAAACATGTACAAGGACACTGGGCTGTGGGGAGCATTGCTCTCCCTCCATTCCTGAGTGCTCTTAATGGGATTATCCTGGCTTTCCAAAACCCTATAGAGAAGAAGCTCATAGAAGAAAATTCTCTTACTGAATCAGTAAAATATGGAAAATAATGGGACTGTTTATTAAAGGATTGAATGAGAGAACACAAGTAATGCACTTAGAAGAGTGACTGGCATACAGTGAGTACTACGTAAGTGTTTGTTGTTGTTGTTTGTTATTGTATGGAGGTAAAGCAGCTTGCCTAAAGCCAGTGACCGGCTCAGCTGCAAAGTGTGCTGAGAGAAATCGGGGGCCTGTCCCTTTTTTGAGAACTTCGTGGCATTTTCTGAATGATTGCATCTGCCCACTCCCTCTTCAGTTGAATACTTTTGCCCATGTTTGAGCATGCCTTGAGGCACACAGAAAGCCCTTGGAAATTTCTCCCTCTTGCTGAATCTTGTCTTTTTCATAGGTGCTGGCTTCTCAACCATGATAGCCTGAAATGTACCCGGAAAATGGGGGCTAATGTAAGTCATATTTAGAGAAGTTATTTTGGGGGACAATGTTTTTGACAAGACTACATTTTTCATTATGTTGCTGTCTGTAAACAACTGTAGATGCAGACTTGCATTTTGAAAGGCAAGACCCAAAACACACAAACAGAGTAAATACCTTTAAAATGCCTCGATCGCTGGAGAAATGCCTGGATGGACCTACCTGAGGGCAGACGCCACTGCCCAAATTTCCTCTGGGGTTTCCCTGCGTCGGCTGCATCTTGCCGACTTCCTCCTCGATCCGACAGCGTGGGGCTCAGGAGCTGCTGCTGGCTGCTTGTCTGCATGGGAGGAGAAGCACACAGTTACCGTCTTTTTAACCCTGCGCTCTCCTCCTTTTACTATAAGAAAGGAAAACACATGGCAGGAGGACAAGTGGGAAGAACAACATGGACTCAGAGTGTCCACAATGGGGAAAAGTGAAAATGGGTATAAAGGGTCACAGAAGAAAAAGAGCCACCACTGCACGCCCTGCTGAAGGAGACACCACTCTTCCTGGGACATCTTGTCCTGGGTAACCCCCACTGCTTCGTTCCCCTCCATGCCTGAGAATGTCATTGTTTCCCTTCATATCTTCGCTGGCAAACCAGGGGGTAAGGAAGGGGAACTGCAGGAAGGAAGGTGGGGCAGTGGGGACGGGCTGGGCGGGGGCAGTCTACTGTCACCAGCCTGGAGATCCACACTTAGAGCTTCAGGGAAAGAGTTCTCTGCAGGCAAAGCTGTATGATGGGCCCTGGTGGAGGATGGAGCTGATAACAATCTAAGCTACAGTGAAAGAAAGAGAGATGCCAAGACTTCCCACACATTTCACCTGTTCTCAGGTTCACCTGTCACCTCTCCCTTTCCTAACAAAAGCCTTGGTCTTCACATCTCTTTAGTATCCTTTTTTTTTTTTTTTTGTCACCTCTTTCTTTCTTAGGCTTTTTCATCTAAAAACAGAGGGCTCTGAAATCATCACTTTCCCCAACCTCATTAGCCCTGTCTCACTGTCTGTCCTGACTTCAGCCTGCCTCCCTCTCCCATGCGAGACATTGCCAACCATCTTCAGGGTGACCAGTGGCAAGGCCACTGCAGATGCCTCCCCTTGCCCCTTGGTTGACTAACTCCGCAGAAGTCCCTGCAGTCGGTGGCAGATGATTTCTAAAGGCTGGGGAGCCCAAAACATGAGATCTACTGAAAACTGAGCTATGGCACCAGTGGGCCTCCTGGAGCACCCTGCTGGGCCGTGGAGCCTTAGGCTTCCAAAGGTACTCTGGCCCCTGGCTGCGTTGCTGCACACCATGGAGCCTGGTGCTGCTGGGGGCTCTGCACAGAGCACGGGATCAGCTCCACGTTGTTAACCTCAAATCGTAATTGCTGCCTCATAAAGGGGCAGGTCCTCCCAGCCAGCTGCTTCTCACAGCACAGGACTCTCCAGGACGCTGATAACTCCTTGTACTTTTTTATATAGACACATACATAGAGTTTGAAAATGAAAATATGCTGTGACTTAATAAATAGAAACTCCTCAAGCCAATTGTCCTGAATTCCATATGTTCTTCTGATACCCAACCAGGAAAGGATATATCTTCAATGAGTCTGATTATTTAAGGAGGTTGAAAGCTAATTACAAACATTTTCACTGATTTTACTGCAAATTTCTATGACTTTAGAGAAGGGAGGAAAATATTTAGGGCAGAGCTTCCTGTAAACCATACTCCATGTAATATACCCAGATTCAAATGCAGCCCTTAGAGCTGATGTTAACTCTTTAGACAAAAATAAAACTACAGAATTATGAAGTTCAGGGCATTCACTTTTTTTGGCATTCATATGAGTCAGACTCTTTTTAAATAACCTCAACTGCATCCAAGATGGCAAAGACATAGACATAATCTGGATCAATGGATTTCCGTTGCCTTTTTTTTTTTTAATGAAAATATTCCTATTAGAAATATTGTCACCTTGTTTGAATGATCTGACCAGCACCCATTTTATTTATTTTTATTAAAAGAAAGAAGCCCACAGAGTGTCCTGGGACAGAGGACGCCTCGTGCCCATACCTCAGGTTGCATGCTGTTGTCCTGACTGTTGGCATTCGTGTCCTCACTGGGCTGGGTGGTCTCGATGCTGGGCGGGTTCAGAAACCGGCTCAGCTCTTGCTGCTGACTCTCTCTCAGGCTGTGGATGATACTGCACGACTGCTGCTGTTTCTATGGAAATGCGATTGTTTGTTCAGTAAAATAAGCCCAGCATCCTGCCTGCCCCACCGCCACACAAATCTTATTTTCTTCTCCCCTCTCCTAAGACCTGCATGACGGGTGACCTCTTAGGAATTTCCAAGTAAGGATCCTGAACTAATTTCAATGTTCAATTAAGGTAGGCTGATGCAAAGGTGGGCTTAGAGAGGTATGCATTGACTTCCCAGTCCATTTTCATTTGTGTAACAATCAGAATAGTGACGGTCATTGATGCTTGTATTTTATTTATTTGTTTTTCTTTTTGTTGTTGGTGTTTTCTGTTTTTTTTTTTTTTTTTTTAGATAGGATCTCACTATGTCCCGTAGACTAGAGTTCAGTGGTGCGATTATTATAGCTCACTGTAACCTTAAACTCCTAGGCTCAAGCTATGCTCCTGCCTCAGCCTCCTGAGAAGCTGAGACTAAAAGTGTGCATGACTGTGGCTGGCTAATTAATTTTTTTTTTTTTTTTTTTTTTTCAGAGAGGAGGTCTCACTCTGTTGCCCAAGCTAGTTTCAAACTTCTGGTCTTAAGCGATCCTCCCGCCTCAGTTTCCCAATGTGCTGGGATTACAGGCATGAGACACTGTGCCCAGCTTATGTCTTATTTAAAATTACTAATGTGGCTATTCTATTTTTTCTCCTCTTATTTTATTCTAGGCTCATTAAGCCAATACAATCCCAACCCCTTTCCCACTTTCCTGCAAGTTGTAAGAGGCAAAGAGCCTTGGGTGGATGAGAAAACCTTTGTGCTTGTCTTGGTTCTGAAGTTTTCAGGTCAATCCAGGAGACCAATCTGTCTCGGCATATACTAAAGCCAGGACTCCTTGTGCCCTCTCAGAGCCAGAGGAGGACAGATTGATCCCTGGAGCTAACATAGCTACAGTGGCCAGCAGTGATGGGACATCACTGGGCAGCTGGCCTTGCTATAGGAGGTTGAGTTGTATCTTTTCTCTGGGAACCTTTTCTCCTCCAATAGAAATACATGTGTCTGCAATTGACGTTGTTGCTCTGAGGAAGAGGATTGAAACAATCTCTGTTATATATAAATGTTTAGTGATTGCTTTGGGTTTTTTCCCTGTCTGTGAAACATGCCAAAAGCATTCATAAAAGTAATTATCTCATAGAAACATTCACTGTAAATACAGTATATGTCAATGCAGTATACATTCATTAATTTATGAGTTAGAGAATCTTATAGGCTTATAAGTCAGGAAGCAGGAAACATCATTAATCTTGAGAGGTGGTCTTTTCAGAATAAATGACATTATCACAGTTTGTTGAAATTTTTAGCAGCAATTTAAAGTAGTTTTGCAAATTCAATATGTGGAAAATTCTAGAATTTTGAACAGTTGAGTTTAATAAATGGACATCATATTTTAATATCAATAAACTTTTTTTTTTTTTGAGACAGATTCTCACTGTGTCACCCAGGCTGGAGTGCAGTGGCATGATCTCAGCTCACTGCAACTTCTACCTCCCAGGTTCAAGTGATTCTCATGCCTCAGCCTCCTGAGTAGCTGGGACTACAGGCATGTGTGCCACGCCTGGTTAATTTTTGTATTTTTAGTAGAGATGGGGTTTTGCCATGTTGGCAGGCTGGTCTCCAACTCCTGGCCTCAAGTGAGTTGAGCTCCCCCCTTGACCTCTCATAGTGCTGGGATTACAGGCATGAGCCACCACACCTGGCCAATAAACTGCTTTTTAAGTCTTCATGTCATATTATAAAAATGGGATTCCATGGAAACTCCTAATGGACTCTGCTAAAGAGGGCAGGGCTGACTGTGGACTAGAGTGAAAGTCTGCATCATGATCTGACCACTGTAAGTGGAGGTAGTGGACATAGTTTAAAGGGATAGAAGGCTGATCACAGAAGGAGCTAATCCCATGTTCACGAAGCTCTTTTCTTTCATCCTCCTGCGGGGCAGGGCGGGGCGGGGCGGGGACCCAACCTGCATGTGTGCAGTTCACTCACAGCTCTGATGCGCTTCAGGCACTTCTTGAGCCACATGCGGATGGTCTGCTTGGCCACCTCCTCCTCTATGGTGTACTCCAGCTGCTCCCTCGCCAGGAGTTCCTCCAGCTGCAAGCTCTTCCGGATGTCCACGGACCGGTATGAAAGCATGCTGGTGGGAGAAACACACCTGCAATCGCAGCTCTGATTCACCTGAGATTTACACCCTTAGATACGTCAAAATCCAGAGAGGACATCACTCAGTCTAATAAGTCTAGTGTTTTGACGCCACCCCTCGCCACCCGCATGTCTTGGGCTGGTCCTGTCACCTCTCTGTGTCTCCCTTCCCTCGTCTGTAAAACAAAGATGATAGATAGTCCTGGTAACTCCTTTATTTAATGACTAAGTGAGTTAATATCTGTGAGGCTCTTATAGTAGTAAGTGCCATCTAAGTGCCTGTAAAGCAAAAGATCCAGGCTAGGAAAAGGCTCGCGACTTTCTCTGCAGAAGGAAGACCGCACCTCCCATACTTTCTTCACACTTAGCCCCCCGAGGTGATGGTTAATATGCTCGGCTGTGCGTCACACATCCCTACTCCCTGCATCCCACTTCCCTCTCTGTTTCTCTCATTCATCCTTCTGTATCTTCCTTATTAATTAATTTTTTCTTTTTTTGAGATGGAGCTTCACTCTTGTTGACCAGGCTGGAGTGTAATGGCGTGCTGTCAGCTCACTGCAACCTCCGCCTCCTGGGTTCAAGCATTTCTTCTGCCTCAGCCTCCCAAGTAGCTGGGATTACAGGTGTGTGCCACCACGCCCAGCTAGTTTTGTATTTTTAGTAGAGACGAGTTTTCACCATGTTGGTCAAACTGGTCTTAAACTCCTAACCTCAAATGATCCACCTGCCTCAGCCTCCCAAAGAGCTGGGATTACAGGTGTGAGCCACCATGCCTGGTCTTCCTTATTAATTTCAGAGGCTACCAAACAAACCCAGGGTTGAATATCCACTCCCATTTAACCCTTGACACACAGCAGGCCCATGCAGTTGTAGGTAAAGCCAACACAGCATTACAGTTCATGGGGCAATAAGGCAGCTCCCAGGATGCCTGGACTGAGCAGTCCACCACCAGAGGAGAAGACAGCCCCTCTTGGCAGTGTGATGCACCCAGGTGTAGCCACAGGATTCCAGGTTATGGCTCAGACCCATGCACCCTGGTGCACCTGTGAGCTACCCACTTCTGTGAGCTCAGTTCCATCCTAGAGCCCAAATCACAGCCTGGAGGCTCTTGAGAGCACTGGTACATTGGGCTTCTCTTTGCTAAATCTCTTCCCACCACAGAGGGAAAAAAAATGAATTTTCTCTTCCTCTCTTCCCTGACTCATCAAGAATCCCATCAAAGCTTCATTGCTTTTATCTTCACTGTTTGTTTTTATCATATACTGGGCTAGGGGAATAAATAGGAAGGGGAGAGACAGCCCCATCACAGATTTTGCCTGGGTCTATTTTTATTAGATACATCGGTGTGTTCCAAAGAGGCTGAATATTAATTATTAATGACAACAGTATGCCTATCTGCCTCATGTCAACCAAAAAAATTTGCCACTAGGAGGAAAGACTCAGAAACATTCTGACAGAGATGACCTCCTTTGTGATTCACATGCATTTCTCCGTCCCATGTTTTTCTGCTTTTTAGCTTGTTGGTGGAAGAACTGGATAGTGGGAGGTGAAATTGATAACTTGAGAGAACTTTTCCCAGATTCTTCCTGTGCTGATCTGATCCTTTTTTTTTTTCAGCTTCTGGCCACAAGCATATTTCTGTACACCTGAGTTCTCCTGAAATTTGAGACACAACACAATATCCCACACACTCCTTGTAGGTACTGCTATGTGATTAAAATAGCTACTGCTAGTCAGTCGCTCTTATTTTTTTCTGTGGCATGGACCCCTGTGGCAGTGGAGCTTATGGGACATTTCTTGAAATAATGCTTTAAATGCACGGAATGAAATACACCGTATTACAAAGGAAACCAATTATATTAAAATACAATTCTCAAATTTACTTTAAAACGGCAGTGATAAAGTAACATAAGTAAGTGCTTCCTTTATTATTCCATTAAATAATACCATCTAGCAGAGCTCAAATGACTACCATAACTCAGAAGCACTGGTGAGCATAAATGATATTTTAAGATGTCAGTCAAGGCAGTCAGTTATGTCATCTGAAAATATCTATGATTTCTCCTGGTAACAAAGACATGGATATTGCTAATGCGACTGTGGTTTGTTGCCTACGTTCATCATGGAAGAGAATGACACATTTCAAAGAGTGATTAGTGAAAATAAAGATGTAATTGTTTCCCCCTTGCAAGTCCATGGGCCTCTGTTTTATCCATGGACTCCTGCTTAAGAAGCTGTTATGGGTTAAATGTTTCCTCCCAAAAAAAGATATGTTGGAGTCCTAACCTCTAGTACCTCAGAACGTAAGGTTATTTGGAAATAGAACATTGCAGATGTAATTAGTAATTAAGTTAAAATGAGATCACAGTGGAGTAGAATGGACTCCTAATGTAATACGACAGATGTTCTTATAAAAGGAGGAATTTGAACATAGATACACACACACACACACACACACACACAAACAGAATGCCATGTGAAGATGAAGGGAGACCAAGCTGATGCTTCTACAAGCCAAGGAATGACCAACATTGGCAGCGCACCTCCAGCAGCCAGGGGAGAGGCTAGGCTAGATTCTCCCTCACAGGCCTCAGAAGGAATCAGCCCCGCAATACCTCCATCTCGGGCTTCCAGCATCCAGGACTTCGAGACCATACCTTTCTGTTGTTTAAATCCCTCAGCTTAAGGTGCTAAGTTACAGTAGCCCAAGGAAACAAATACAGAAGTCTCCCAGGAAGAAGAAAAGGCAGAGACTCCATTTGACCCTCTGTCCTGTCTGGGCGCTCATGAAATGTCTGGAAAATCTGGTGTTTTAGCCAACGGGGCAACCATCACAGAGCAGGCCAGGCAAATTCTCATCAGACCCATGCAAGTGAGGTGCTCTGCATGTTAGTCCCAGCTTTGCCAGAGCCCTGTAACCGCAAGCAAGTCACTCAGCTCTTCTGGGCAGTTCCCGCATCACAGGGAAGGGGTGGGACTGTGCTCTCCCAGATCCCTTCCACCTCTCCCCTCGGGGTGCACCTCAGTGGGCAGGGGTCCCTACGGGACATCAGGGCACAGCCGCCCAGCCCTCCCCTGCGAGGCACCTACTTGGAAATGTTCACTGGAGGACGGCAGGAAAGGGCACTTAGCGCCTGGGACATGTGACCCCACTTCACGACCACAGCAGATGTGGCATTTTGGGTTGGAAACACACTTGTTAATTGTACTGCAGAGGCCTTGAAGGCTGACAGCTGTGGTTTCTGGCCCCCATTCAGCCCTGCGAAAGCCTGCCTTGTACCTCAGGACATCATGGAAGGTGACGTCGCCGCCATTGTGGAGCCTCTCCATTTCGTAGCACATGTGCTTAAACAGGAGCTTGTCCTTGTCCAGGTCCACCTCCAGCCTCCCACGCAGTAGCCGCAGCAGGAACTTGACGCGGAACGTGGGGATCACCCCCTGCGGGGCAGAGCACAAGAAGTAGCAAATCATCAGGCCTCGATGATTCACTTGGGTTTCTCAAAAGAAAAAAAAAAAGGTGCTATTTCTCAAAAGCTAGCATAATTAGCACCAGATGTGAAGAAAGCTGGTCACCTCCTTGGAGCCTGGTAGAATTAAGTGCACTAAGAAGAGCAGAGGATAGAAAACTGAGTGATAAATTTCTGCTGGTGCTTCTCTTTCTGGGATGTCACCACATTGCAGCATTTGGAGTGAGGCATGGGAAGCTCCCCTTCAGCCCCCCAGGACCCTACTCTTGCTCTCACCAGGCTGATGCTTGCATAGCCTGTCCCACAGACGCCACCTCCAACACATGCACTGAGTGGGCCATAATGTACTCACACAAGGTAATGGACAAGACACACACGTGTAATCCTCCTCTTCACTCAATCGGGATGCTAGGAACGTCTCAATGTTTATTACATGTTTTTCTACCATTAAAAGATAACTCGTGTTGGATCATGCCTGTAATCTCAGCACTTTGGGAGGCCGAGGCGGGTGGATCACCTGAGGTCAGGAGTTCGAGACCAGCCTGGCCAGCATGATGAAGCCCAGTCTCTACTAAAAATAAAAAAATTACCCGGACATAGTGGTACATGCCTGTAGTCCCAGCTATTTGGGAGGCTGAGGCTGGGGAATCACTTGAACCCAGGAAGCAGAGGTTGCACCACTGCATTCCAGCCTGGAGACAGAGTGGGACTCCATCTCAAAAAAAAAAAAAAAAGAGCTAACTAACTCCTTTTCATGTCTTCTTCAGGATTAGAAAAACTATATACAAGAGAATTAGGCCTTCAGCTCTGCCCTCTTCTGGGGTCAGAACTGATCCAGACACTGAGAATCTAAGATGTGTTGCTACCTTCCATGCAACACAAACCACCATGCCCCCTGGCTGTATCTTTGAATGAAAGTGCTGGGCGGAACACTGGCGACCATGACTGCCTGCCAGTTACTGACATCTCGGTGTGCAGGGCAGTGGGTCTTCATGTGTGTATTGCATGAAAGCAGGTTCCCGTGGGTGACAGTTACAGAGAGACAGGTGGATCCTGAGGAGCTGAGAGTGAGCTCAGATGCCCTGCACGCAGGGCTCTCACTACCTTGAAAGGAAAGCCCTCAAGACTGAAGCCTGGGCGGGCAGGGGTACCAAGAAGAGGGAGCAAATTGGGGTGAGTGCACTGCCGGAGCCCCTCATTTATGATGCCCAGGCTGGCTTCTTGGTCTTTGTGCCCTTCATCAACTCTTCTTGAACTATTTCCAGATCTCGCCCCAAATACCCTGGCAGAACTTTCCTTGTTGTTCAGACATGAGGTCCCACAGCACCCCTCAGGCCTCCTTCATGGTCATTCCTGCCGGCGCAGCCCCAACCCCAACTACTGTCTATAGTTTTAACTTCTGGAAATACTGCACTATTTATTATTATTTCACTTTTTATTATTTGTCTCCACCTATTAGACTGTAAGCTCTGTGAGTACAGGAGCTGTTCCATCTTGTTCACTGCTATATCCTCAGTGCCTAGAACTGTGCCTGAGTGTTTGCTTGGATGAGGAAGAGAGAAGAGGAGAGGGAGGAAGAACAGGAGGAAGTGGAGAAGGAGGAGGTGGGGGAGGAGAAGGTAGAGGAAGGGGTAGAGGAGGAGGAGGTAGGGGGGAAGATGAGGTGGAAGAGGAGGTGGACGAGGAGGAGGGGGAAGAGGAGGGGGAAGAGGAGGGGGAAGAGGAGGGGGAAGAGGAGGGGGAAGAAGAGGGGGTAGAGGAGGAGGAGTAGGAGGAAGGGAAGGAGGTGGAGGTTGATGACGACAATGACAAGAAGAGGAAGAGCAGACTGCAGCTACTTTGGCTAATTTTAAGAAACCTTGGGTAAACTTTATGGTTAAAACATTCAAGTAGTAACTCAAAAATAATCCAATACACACCTTCAGATGCCACTTAAATAACTCCTTTGTACTTTTAATTGGGATTGCTGCTTGAGTTTGAGGTGATCATGAATTTGTAATATACTGTCCCTTTGGTAGTTTCAGTGTCACCTCTTTTTCTGGCCTGAGCCCAAGGCTGATTCCTACAGAGTCCCTTTGGCTTCCTTTCCCTGCTGGCCTTCGGAAAGTCTGAAGAAGAGGATGTTCATGGTTGAAGATCATGTAAGGAGGAACGATGCTGTCTCCCTTCCTAGAGGATTCTGCTGAACTGTAAATGATGGCTTTCTGCAATTCACCATTTAAAAATTCAATCTGTGTCATTTGCCAACCTGAAAACCATTTAAGTGTTTGAGACATGTTGATAAGTCTCTTTGAGGTGAGGCATGAAACAACAACCCACTCCCATACCTCTCTTTTATCATCCACCATGTTCCATATTATTTGAAAGTGGCGAAGATCATTGTAACTTAAAAGCTGGTCCTCCTCAGTGGAATAAAACAAGGAGAAATTCTCCACAATTATGGCTTTTAAAAAAAGAAAAATTCAGAAGTTAGACCATTATGCTAATCTGTCATATTTTAGAAAGAGTAAAACATCTATTATTAATAATGGATTCTATCACCTATATCATAAGCCAAATTTTTAAAGTGCTTTTAGTATGGTTTCCAAATTGGCATGTTTACACTTGGACTAAGCTATTTCTCCAGCTCCTGCCTTTCCAAAACATGAGGGTCGTAAGCACAAACACACATTCTGTGTATAGAGATAGTCATGCCAGCTGGCTTTAACTCTTAGTTGAGAGTTCCAGGGCCATTTTTAAAGGTCAAATTGAGTTCTGGGTGGGCCCACATCTGGGTAAATAAGGTGTACCTTTCAAAAACATAAATGTGATATTTCAAGGCTAGAAAGATAGTCCTCTCTGATATTTGTTCAACTCAATCCATGAGAAGAGCCCTTTTGAAATTAATGATCATAATAAATGCTACAACTCTTAAAATTGCAGTCAACTGTCATTTACGTGCCTTTCAAAGGTCTTTTCAGCTTCTGGATTGAGAGACAACAATTTATAATTAATGCCATGAAACACCCACCCCAAGAAATCCAGGGTAATTGCTTGAAAATAATACATAATTATCTAAGTACCTGAGTTTAAAGAGTAAAAAGTATTCAACTAACATCACTTACCTACAAGCAGATTTAGCATGATGTAGGCAATGATGACATAAAATGAACAGAAATACATAAGTGCCCCAGCATAATTTCCACAGTCTGTTGCCCAGTATGTAAATTCATCTGGAGTACAAAACGGAGGCTGAACCTTTGGGGCATTGGGGTGGAAGAAGGAGAGGATAAGAGTAGAGAATACAAATTTCTTTTAGCTGACTATAGTTAATGAATAGATTCCTAAACATATAGCATATAATTAACTTCAAAGTAAGCTTTCAAAAGCCACATACATTGGGTACATCATCTGTAGCAGAAATAAAGAAGAATATTTCACTTATGCTATGCTGTTATCTTGTAGAATCCCAAGGTTATTGCCATTTTTAAAAGCACAATGAAAATGAACTGATCTCCACTAGATATTCTTTCTGCCACCACCACCAGCCCCAAGTGATAAGTAGCCACTGTGATCAAACTGCAGAAAATCAAATAAAAAGACATTTGCAAGTTTTTCTCTGACTGAAGTAATGGGTTAAGATTTGGGAATATAGACTCTACAGGTATACCTCGGAGACATTGCAGTTTCAGTTCCAGACTGCTGTGATAAAGTGAATATTGCAATAAAGTCCTATGCATGTTTTGGTTTCCCAGTGCACATGCAACTCATGTTTATACCATACTGTGGCTTATTAAGTGCACAATGGCATTATGTCCAAAAAGGTACAGACCTTAATAAAAAGTACTTTTATTGCTAAGAAAAGCTAACAATCATGTGAGCCTTCAGTGAGTTGTAATCTTCTGCTGGTGGTGGAGGGTCTTGCCTCAATGTTGACAGCTGCTGACTGAGCAGGGTGGTGGCTGCTGAAGGTTGGGGTGGCTGTGGCGATTTCTTAAAACAAGTCAACATGGAAGTTTATCATATCAATTGACTCTTCCTTTCATGAAAGATTTTTCTGCAGCATGTGATGCTGTTTGCTAGCATTTTACCCACAATAGAACTTCTTTCGAATTTGGAGTCAACCCTCTCAAACCCTGCTGCTGGTTTATCGAGTAATTTTATGTAACATTATAAATCCTTTGTTGTCATTATGACTATGTTCATAGCATCTTCTGCAAGAGTAGATTCCATTTCAAGAAACCACTCTGATCATCCATAAGGAGCAATCTTCATTCCTTCAAGTTTGATCAGGAGACTGCAGCAATTCAGTCGCGTCTTCAGGTTCCATTTCTAATTCTAGTTCTCTTGCTATTTCTACCAACCACATGTGCAGCGACCTCCTTCACTGAAGTCTTGAACCCCTCAAAGTCATCCATAATGGCTGGAATCAACTTCTTCCAAATTCCTGTTAATGTTGATGATATTTTGACCTCCTTCCATGAATCATGAATGTTTTTTTTTTTTTTTTTTTTTGAGACGGAGTCTCACTCTGTCGCCCAGGCTGGAGTGCAGTGGTGCAATCTCCGCTCACTGCAAGCTCCGCCTCCTGGGCTTACGCCATTCTCCTGCCTCAGCCTCCCGAGTAGCTGAGTCTACAGGCGCCCACCACCATGCCCGGCTAATTTTTTGTATCTTTAGTACAGACAAGGTTTCACCATGTTAGCCAGGATGGTCTCGATCTCCTGACCTCGTGATCCACCCGCCTTGACCTCCCAAAGTGCTAGGATTACAGGCGTGAGCCACTGCGCCTGGCCATGAATGTTCTTAATGGCATGTAGAATAGTGAATCCTTTCCAGAAGGTTTTCAATATACTTTGCCCAGATCCATCAGAGCAATCACTATCTATGGCAGCTATTAGCCTTATGAAATCTATTTCTGAAATAATAAGACTTGAAAGTTGAAATGACTTCTTGATCCATGGACAGAATGGATGTTGTGTTAGCAGGCATGAAAACAATGTTAATCTCCTTATACATCTCCTGATACAGCTCTTGGGTGACCAGGTAGATGCATTGTTAATGAGCAGTACTACTTTGAAAGCAATCTTTTTTTTCTGAGCAGTAGGTCTCAAGAGTGGGCTTAAATATCCAGCAAACCATGCTGCAAACAGCTATTCTGTCATCCAGGCTTTGTTGTTCCATTTATAGAGCACAGGCAGGGTAGATTTAGCATAATTCTTAAGAGACTGTATTAGTCCATTCTCACACTGCTAATAAAGACATACCTGAGACTGGGTAATTTATAAAGGAAAGAGATTTAATTGACTCACAGTTCAGCAGGGATTGGGAGGCCTCAGGAGATTTACAATCACGGCGGAAGGGGAAGCAAATATGTTCTTCTTCACATGGTGGCAGCAAGAAGTGCCAAGAAAATGGGGGGAAAAACCTCTTATAAAACCATCAGATCTCATGACGGCTATAGTGAGAACTCACTCAGTATCACAAGAACAGGATGGAAGAAACCACCCCCATGATTCAATTATCTCTGCCTGGTCCCTCCCACGACACATGGAGATTAAGGGAACTACAATTCAAGATGAGATTTGGGTGGGGACACAGTCAAACCATTGCAGGGTCCTAGGATTTTTGGAATGGTAAATGAGCATTGGCTTCCACTGAAAGTCACCAGCTGCATTAGTCCCTAACAACAGAGTAAGTCTGTTATTTGAAGCTTTGAATCCAGGCATTGACTTCTCCTTTCTAGCTATGAAAGTTCTAGAGGGCATCTTCTTCCAATAGAAGGCTGTTTTGTCTACATTGAAAATCCATTGTTTAGTGTAGCCACCTTAATTATTTGAGCTAGATCTTCTAGATAACTTGCCACAGCTTTTATATCAGCAGCACTTACACTTTCATATTATGGAGATGGCTTCTTTCTTTCCTTAAACATAATGAACCAACCTTTGCTAGCGTCAAACATTTTTTTCTACAGCGTCCTCACCTCTCTCACCCTTCATAAATTTGAAGAGAGTAAGGGCCTTCTTCTGCATTTGGCTTTAGCTTAAGGGCATGTTGTGGCTAGTCTGATCTTCTACTGAGACCGGTAAAATTTTTTCTCCATATCAGCCATAAGGCTATTTCTTATCAGTCATGTGTTCACTGGAGTAGCATTTTAATTCCCTTCAAGAACTTTTCCTTTGAATTTACAACTTGAGTAACTATTTGGTGCAAGGGACCTAGCTTTTGGGCTAACTCAGCTTTTGACATGCCTTCCTCCATAAGCTTAATCATTTCTAGCTTTTGATTTGAAGTGACTGATGTGTGAATCTTCTATTCACTTGAACACTTATAGGCCATTGTAGGGTTGTGAATCGGCCTAATGTCAATATTGTTGTGTCTCAGGACATAGGGAGGCCCAAGAAAAGAGAGAAGAGTTGGAGAAACAGATGTTCGGTGCAGCAATCAGAAGACATATGACATTTATCAATTAAATTCTCCATCTTATTGAGCATGGTTCATGGCACCCCTCAAAAAAAACTACAAAAGAAACATCAAAAGATCACTGATCACAGATCACCAAAACAGATAATAATGAAAAAGTCCGAAATAGTGAGAATTACCAAAATGTGATACAGAACCAGAAAGTGAGCAAACATGCTATTGGAAAAATGGCCCTGATAGACCTGCTCCACACAAGATTGCCATAAACCTTCAACTTGTAAAAATGCAATGTCTGCAAAAGGCAATAAGGGAAGCACAGTAAAACAAGATGTGCCTGCACATAGAAAATTCACATTCAAATTGTGTGAGGAGTAAGCCCCATTCTTGGAACACTGTTATGGGATGCTATGGAATAGCACAAGACTTAAGTCATCAAAAACTCTCTCATTGTTTACAGGCTCTATAAAATGCCGACACCTCTGAGAGAACTTTCTGGTTTTTCTCAGCCAGATAAACTAGCTCTCTCTTCTATAATCCCAGCATTCTGCTTGTATTTTTATTTAAGATTCATTAAATTTTGCCTTGTATTCTATTTGATTTGGCAAATTCTCCTTGTTAATTCATGCATGAAGTCCCAGCACTCCTACTGTGTGCTAGGTTTGTGCCAAGTTTGGGGAGAGACTGGTAAGAAAGACATAGGCGGCCCTATCTCTTCTTCCTACTGACAGTTGAGTGCTGTGCAGTCCAATATGGTGACCACTAGCTCCATGCAGCGATGTAAATTTAAATTTATGTTAATTAAAATGTAATAATATAAAATTAAAACTAAAATTCAGTTCCTCAGTTGTGTTAGCCACATTTTAAATGCTCCATAACCACATATGGCTAGTGGCTCCCGAATTGGACAGTGCAGATTTCCATCACTGCAGACATTTTTTAACACAGCATTGGTCTGTCCTACGGTGAGAAAGAGATAAAATAAATGAATGTAAGCCAGTAATTCACTACAGCTCCTTATTACAAAGGAGAACTATAGAGCAGCATAAGAACATGTAGCTGGCTGTCTTAGCTTAAGGCAAAAGACCTGTTTAAACTGAGACCAGAAGGATGATGCTTGGGGAAGACAGGATATAGTAAGAAGGAAGTATAAAGTATACTTTATAGTATAAAGGAAGAGTAACTCAGAGCCCTTGAGGTAAGCTCCTTGAGTGTGCCTTGGAGTTGTTGAAGACCTAGGGCCTAGCATATAGCTGAGGGGCAGTGAACTATCCACTGAACACATTAAATTAAAGGGCTTCCTGTTTGACTTTCATTACCAAAATATTAAAGATGGGAGGGAAAGAACAACACTCACAAAATGCATATTTGTTGAATGGAACTACAATAGCTCAAGTTGGGTTAATTGAGTATTTTGCCCTAAATATTCACACATTGGAATGTATAATAATGCAATTTTATGGACTGAAGTGTCAGGATTTATATTTCATACATAAAGTCTTAACGCTAACAAGGATGATCCTGCCAACATTGTGTTGCAAGAGTTTCATGCTGATTCTAAGTCTAAGCCTTGTTCATGATGAGAGATATTTACCATACAGTCATGCATAATCTTGTTCCAGTCTTCACCTGTGACAATTCGGAACAGTACGGTAATAGCTTTTCCAGCCGAAGAAAAATTTGCATGCCTAATTTAAGAAAAAAAAATTAACAGAATGTGAATTATAGAAGGGTTTGTCATGAAATAGCATGGTTTGCCAACACCAAAACAAGTGGAGGTTGTAGCAAATTTGGTTGCTAAGTCACCTTTTCCAAAGGTTATACCTTTTTATTAATTTGTCATTTATACTTGCCTCCAAGTATAGCCGTCTGAACACCCAACTCTAGCATGGCCACTAATTTATTACCATTCATCTTGAATGACTAAGTAGGCAGGCTTTGGCAACTAAGTGATTCCTTCTTTCACTTGGACGATGCTATAAAAGGTGGGGCAGCCATGTATCTAATTCCTACAACTTGACATATCGGTATATACTTTGTTGTATCAGGACTTGAAAAAAAATGATGCATCTATAAAACTTAGGCAAATCGTTGAAAACTGCTTTTCATATATTACAACCATTTGGGGGGCTCTAAATTCCCATATTTTGCTGAGAAAGAAACCCAGAGTTATCTTAAAATTGTTCCATCTAAAAATAATATATCATTTTTTGGCAATATGTAGATAGAAAAAGTGCTGGAATTAGGAGTGATGATTACTGAATGTTGGTGGAATTATAGATTCTTTTTGTTTTCTTTTATTTCTAATTTTTCTAAGGTTTTGAAAGTAGACCTTTTCAGTTGAATAACCTTTTTCAACTGGAAAAATATCATTTAAAACTTGGCTATTTTATTTTAATTTCCAACTGATTACTTCCCTTTCCCCTCTCCTAGACTTTAATAGACAAAAAACATTTGTTTATTTAAAATTTTATTACCAAAGGGTTTGCTTGATAAATGAATAGAAAGATAAGTATATACCAACCTGTTAATATTCTCCCCATATTTCACAGTACCAAATAAAACAACTCCAGCAAAAGCGTAACACAGCAGCAAGAGAAACATGCCTACTATGATAAAGAAGCTCTTGTACATGCTGACGACCACTGTCAAGAGGAGCATCTTTAGCGTTACCTGGGGACCAGGGGTGGGAAGCGGGGAGACAGAGAGAGAGAGAGAGAGAGACAGAGACAGAGAGAGAGAGAGAGAGAGAGAATATTCAATCTATTAAGCTATGGAAGACCTGGGTAGCAACTAATCTTTAAGCAGATTGGCTCAAAATCACTCTTAGGTGTATCATTTGAAAGTTGCTTTCTATAAGGTATTACATCAAAATATTCTTCAAAACCCACCAGGCGTTGGGCGAATTTTATTTTTACTTCAAACATTTCAGCCTCTTCACACAAATTAATAAGAGTAACACTAAGCATTTTCACCTTCCATTTTCTCTTCTGCTCCTCAATTCTCTATGATAAGGGCTACACATTTTTGACTGACAGCAAGTAAACTCAGGTTTCTTCCACAAACAGACTTTCACAAAAACAAACCTAAGCAATGGTATAATACTAAATAACTATCAAATATTAAGTATATTGGTTATGTGTATATATGGAATGTATATATGAAATAACGTTTGTAATAAAAAAGGAAACAGCATTGTAAAAAATGAAAAATATATGTGGAATATACCCATGGACATTAACAAATAATATTAAAAAATCTGGAATCTCATCCTGGCTAACGTGGTGAAACCCTGTCTCTACTAAAAATACAAAAATTAGCTGGGTGTGGTGGCACATGCCTGTAATCTCAGCTACTCGGGAGGCTGAGGCAGGAGAATCACTTGAACCTGGGAGGTGGAGAAAACAGTGAGCCGAGATCCTGCCACTGCACTCCAGCCTGGTGACAGAGCAAGACTCCATCTCAAAAAAAAAAAAAAAAAAAAAATCTGGAATCATGGAAACATAAAAATTCATTAAAGATTATTTTTCTTTGAAGTTACTTAACTTTATTGAAAATAAAAATAAAAATGCATTAAGAAAGAATATTGGTTTTTGTTTTCATGACTGGTTATCTTTAATTAATTAAATTAATAAATTTAAATAATTTACTTAATTATTGAATATAAAGAATAAGCAACATAAATGGCAGGAAACACATCGAATGATAACTAAGCTACTGATTCATTTAACAATGTTTAATATTTGTTAATCTTGACTTATGATGTCTAGTAATTTGTGATTACATCCCTAAATAACCGAGGTAAGGCTGTAATCAATTAATCACCATTCTTTCATTAACACATATATGACCTTTAAGATAAGATTCTTAACAATGTACTTACATGTTTTCCACAGATGGAGAAAAACCTAAATACAATCACACAAGCGCCCATCATGTAAGTATATGCATTCTGAAATTTAAACAGAAGACAGCTTCTCATAATTTGCACAAAAGATCTTGTTACAGTTCCATTTTTTAAGCCTTCTGTGAAGTATACTGAATAATTAGCTTAATATGTGTAAATTATTATAAGAAAGTGATCTAAAAAAGGTGCTGAAAAGGTCACTGCAAAAACTCATGAATAAATATTAGATTTAAAATTCAGTCTCAAATGAAACTTCGGGTTCTGTTTTGCTCAGCTAAATTCTGTATTTTGAAATTTATTTTACATAAAATGGTGACCAGCTCTTTTGCATACAGGGTGTGAAAAACACAGGATAACAGTGCAACATAGGAAGGTCAACTGACATAGGAGGTAAAGGAATCCTGGCAAAGAGAAAGGGCTGATGGTGGAAAAGATTGCCAGAAGTCAGATTCTAGACACCACTGAAGAACAAACATACACTCATTCCTCTAAGCTGATTTCAGAGAGGTCCTCCCTGCTCAGGAACACATCCAGCTCTTTTTTCAAGGGTGTGATTAGCAGGAAGAGATGACTGCACTTTATGAATAAGAAAGCTTCATTTGAGAAACAAAGATCCCACCAGCTATAACTGCAATAACAACCTTGACATTCAGCCGATGCCAGAGTGTGATTACTCTCAAGGAGGCTTGCCTAGCCAAATGATGACAGTCACAGATGGGCCCCGCGAAGGGGGTCCAGTGAGATCCTTGGTGAGGTCCAAGCACATGAATGTGTGCACATAGCATCCTTGGATGGGGAACTTTCCTTCCCAATAGTCCACTGCAAAATACGGTGGAGAATGAGCATCCTTCCAAGACCAAAGAGGTTCTTGGAGAAGAACAAAGGCAATTAGGCAGAAAAGGGAAGTTGGTCTTTGGGTTTAAGATTTCCTCTCTGAGGTTATCTGGGATTAGAGAGTCTACTTGACTTTTGCTTGGACTCAGTAGCTTTAGGTTGCATTTCGATATGGTTTGGCTATGTTCCCACCCAAACCTTATTTTGGATTGTAGTTCCCATAATCCCCATGTATCCTGGGAGGGACCAGGTGGAGATAATTGAATCACTGGGGTGGTTTCCCTCATCCTGTTCTTGTGATGATTAAGTCTCACCAGGTCTGATAGTTTTATAAGGGGCTTCCCCTTTCACTGGTCACTCATACTTCTTCCTGCCACCATGTGGAGAAAGATGTGTTTGCTTCCCCTTCCACCATGATCATAAGTTTTCTGAGGCCTTCCCAGCCATGCAGAACTGTGAGTCAATTAAACCTCGTTCCTTTATAAATTACCCAGTTTTGGGTATTTCTTCATAGCAGCATGAAAAAGGACTAACACAGTAAATTCGTACTTAGAGTGGGGGGCTACTATAAGGATACCTGAAAATGTGGAAGCGACTTTGGAACTGGGTAACAGGCAGAGGTTGGAACAATTTGGAGGACTCAGAAGAAGACAGGAAGATATGGGAAAGTTTGGAACTTCCTACTTGTTGGATAGCTTTGACCAAAATACTGATAGTGATATGGACAGTGAAGTCCAGGCTGAGGTGGTCTCAGGTGGAGATGAGGAACTTATTGGGAACTAGGGCAAAGGTGACTCTTGTTATGCTTTAGCAAAGAGACTGGCAGCATTTTGCCCCTGCCCTAGAGATCTGTGGAACTTTGAATTTAAGAGAGATGATTTAGGGTATCTGGTAGAATAAATTTCTAAGTGACACAGTGTTCAAGAGGAAGCAGAGTATAAATATTTGGAAAATGTGCAGTCTGATGATTTTTATAGAAAAGAAAACCTTATTTACTAGGGAGAAATTGAAGCCAGTTGCAGAAATTTACATAAGTAACGAGGGACTGAATGCTAATCACCAGGACAATGGGGAAAATGTCCCCAAGGGCATGCCAGAGACCTTCACAGCAGCCCCTTCCATCACAGGCCTGGAAGCCTAGAAGGGAACAATGGTTTTGTGGGTGGGCCCCAGGCTCCCTCTGCTCTATGCAGCTTTGGGACATGGTGCCCTGCCTTCCAGCAGCTTCTGCTCCAGCCATGGCTAAAAGGTGCCAATATACAGCTCAGGCTGATGCTTCAAAGAGTGCAAGCCCCACGACTTGGTGGCTTACACATGGTTTTGGGCCTGTGGGTGAACAGAAGTCAAGAACTGAGGTTTGGGAACCTCTGCCTAGATTTCACAGGATGTATAGAAACAACTGGATGTCCAGGCAGAAGTTTGCTGTGGGGGTAGAGCCCTCATGGAGAACCTCTGCTGGGGCAGTGCGGAAGGAAAATGTGTGGTTGGAGTCCACACACAGAGTCCACACACAGAGTCCCCACTGGAGCACTGCCTAGTGGAGCTGTGAGAAGAGGGCCACCATCCTCCAGACTCCAGAATGGTAGATCCACTGACAGCTTGCACTGTGTGCCTGGAAAAGCCACAGACACTCAATACCAGTCCAGGAGGGGGTCTGTACCCTGCAAAGCCACAATGGTGGAGCTGCCCAAGGCCATGGGAGCCCACCTCTTGCATCAGTGTGCCCTGGATATATATAAGACAGAGTCAAAGGAGATTATTTTGGAACTTTAATGTTTAATGACTGCCCTATTGGATTTTGGACTTGCATGGTGCCTATAGCCCCTTTGTTTTGGCCAATTTCTCCCATTTGGAATGGGTATATTTACCCAATGCCTGTACCCCCATTGTATCTAGGAAGTAACTAACTTGCTTTTGATTTTACAGGCTCATAGGCAGCAGAAACTTTCCTGTTCTCAGATAAGACTTTGGGCTTGGACTTTTAAGTTAATGCTGGAATGAATTAAGACTTTCGGGGACTGTTGGGAGGGTATGATTGTATTTTGAATTGTGAAGACATGAGATTTGGGAGGGGTCCAGGCAGAATGATATGGTTTAACTGTGTCCCCACCCAAATCTCATCTTGAATTGTAGTTCCCATTATCTCCACATGTTGTGGGAGGGACCAGGTGGAGATAATTGAATTAAGGGAGGCAGTTTCCCCCATCCTGTTCTCATGATATTGAGTTAGTTCTCACAAGATCTGATGGTTTTATAAGGGACTTCCCCCTTTGCTGGGCACTCATTCTTCTCTCTCCTGTTCCCTTGTGAAGAAGGATGTGTTTGCTTCCCTTTCCACCATGATTGTAAGTTGCCTGGGGCCTTCCCAGCCATGTGGAACTTTGAGTCAATTAAATATCTTTCCTTTATAAATTACCCAGTTTTGGGTATTTCTTCATAACAGTGTGAGAAGGGACTAATACAAATTTTATCTGGAGAAAGGAAAAACATGGGCCTTGCTGCCTTTTCTTCCCATGTTAGCTAAAGATCTATTGCAGATACCTTCCCTCTTTATGTTTTGGAAGTAATGACAACCAATAGTTTTTAGGATGAGAATCTGAATTCTTCACCTGGACTGCAAGGTCCTAAGAGGTCTGATACCTTCTTACCCATCCAAATCTTGTACTATGCTAGTACTATGTATCTATCCTTCTTCCAGCTCTGTCATCTTTCCATCACAGGGACAACTACCTGAAATGCCCTCCCCTTATCCTACAGATGGAGCCATCACTCCCTTGGGGATGTCTTCCAAGACCTCTCTGATGAAGCCATCTCCCACTATTATCTATGTTGTCACAGGAACACAGGCTCTCCTTCATCTCCCTCATCATAGTCATTATACTCATAGATTTGTGAGCAATTGATGACTATCTATCTACTTTTCTAGGATATAAGGTTCACAAGAGCAGCAACTATATTTGTTTTGCTTATTACATTCTTCTCAGTTACTAGTACTGTGTCTTGTACTAGGAATTGAGAACCATTTATTGCTGAGAAAATACTTCAGGATGACTGAGAGCTCACCTAGGCTTCATACAGCCCCTGATGCTGAAGGTAACCACTGGTTTAAGAAGGACGCTCACTATGTTCATGAGCACAGCGTCTCGTATTAAGGCAAGCCCTTTAGGATGTGTAAATGAGTCTTTCCCAGCATGTCTCTAACACTAAGGGGATGGGAGAATGGATAGAAGGAAACAGGGAAAAACCGATAATATTCCTTGGGATGAGATCAAGTATGACTAACAAAAAGAAGGTAATTATAATAATGCCTACAGGCTTGTATAATCTTTCTAGTTCAAGAAAGCCTCAAATATATTATCTCACTTGATCTTCATAATGCCAGAGGGAATAGGTGGATTATGAAGTTATATTGGCCATTCAGAGCAGGAAACAAAGGATCATTGAAGGCAAATAAATTAGTCAAGGCTGGAAAATGGTGGAACCTAGACTAGGACCCATATCTTCCAGAGCTGTGCTATCCAACATGGTAACCAGCAGCCACATGGAACCACATGTGGTTACTGAGCACTTAAAATGTGGCAATTTAAATGAAGATATGCTGTAAATGTAAGATACATACTCAGCCAAAGACTTCACACACAGATACAAGGATACTACTTATCTCAATAATTTTATATTGCTTACACATGAAAATAATAATACTTTGGATATAGTTTAGAAAATATAATTATTAAATTGTTAATAATTAAATTATATAAATAATTATAATTACATAAGTATAATTACATACATAATAGTTATAAGTATATAAATAATAATTATACATAAATAATTATAACCAAATAATTATATAATTAAATAATTATTAAATTAATTATATAATCAATTAAATTAATTATTTAATTAAATATATTAATATATAATATATAACTATATAAATAATAAAAATATATACATACACATACACATAATGCATCTTTTAATTAATACATATTTTAAATAATAAAATATATTACATAATTAAATAATTAATTATTATTTATTTAATAATTATTAACAATTTAATAGTTATATTTTCTAAACCACTACTTTTTTATTGTGGCTTCTAGAAAATGTTAAGTGATATCTGTGGCCACATTTTATTTTCATTGGACAATATGGCCCTAGATTACAGTTCAGTACACCCATAGCTGCAGATTTTGAGTGGGATCTCAGACTGAATGGAGGGTGAAGGCACTTTAGGTAAAATAGTGAGAACACAGATATAGAGATGGAGAATCATATGCTTTAGAGAAGTGGAGGCTAAATGTCTTATAGAAAATGAAACAGTGGAAGCACTTGAGAATCACATTGTGAAATACTGATTATAACAAAGTGGAACAAATGCTATATTTCAGCTGAGAAAACAGGAAAACAGGACTATAGTCTTCTGATACTAGCTTGTGTGAATTTGGACAGTTCTCAGTCTCTGTTGCAGTCTTCCTCTCTCTTTCTTGTTTTCCCCTTTGGTAAAATGAGGGGCTAAACCAGAAGATCTTGAAGGTCCTTCTCTTTCTAGCTTGCATCGTCTAGGTCTTTGAGGGGCCAGGTTTTGCCTGTGTGAAGAGTGTGGGGGTGTGTACATGTAGACACAAGCATGTCTGAGAGCCCATCACAGTCAAAGCTGGGCTTTAGGGAGGTCCATCTAACACCTCAGAGCAGGTTGATGTGGAGTAAAATGAGACTGGAAACAGGACTGAGCAGAACTGAACCAAACTGAAATAATCAGCTGAAATCAACTTGACTTCTATGCTTACCAGGAGGGCAAAGTGAAGCACCACCCATACAACGCCAAGCGACGTCACCAGGAGATCGTATCGGTTTCTTCTGCTTTGCCAGAAGCCAGCAGGCGACATTGCTATGATCTTCATGGTAACCTGGAGAAAAAGCAAAGAAGAAAATAAACAGAGAGAGTGTTTAGTACATATTTAAATGTATTAACTTGAGATGCATTATGTGTATGTATTTTTTTCAAATGAAGAAAATTTTAAATTATTTGATGTGGACACAGTATCTTTTCCATTGAAAATGAGACAAACACTTTAATGCCCTTTGAGGTTTCCTTTTAGGCCACGTGCCTACACTATCTATCTGTCTGTCTGTCTATTTATTTATTATTATTTTTTGAGACTGAGTCTCGCTCTGTCACCCAGGCTGGAGTGCAGTGGCATGATCTTGGCTCACTGTAGCCTCTGCCTCCCGGGTTCAAGCAATTCTCCTGCCTCAGCCTCCCGAGTAGCTGAGATTATAGGCACGTGCAACCACTCCTGGCTAATTTTTGTATTTTTAGTAGAGATGGGGTTTCACCACGTTGGCCAGGCTGGTCTCAAACTCCTGGCCTCAGGTGATCCACCCACATCGGCTTCCCAAAGTTCTGGGGTTACAGGAGTGAGCCAGCATGCTCGGTTATACTATCTATTTAAAGAATAATTGTAAACATGTAGTAACTAAAAATAAGAGTTTATTACCAAGATATATGATTTTATTTTTGAAGCTAAGTAGCTTACAAATCTGTGTTCTCTACACTCTTTCCTCTTCGTTTTATGACTAGTTCTGATCATGGGACATTTTTCTTCCTTAAGCAAAAGGCCATAGATTTTGGGAAACATCAACCAGTGTAGGGCAAAATAAGAATCTGCTTGTATTTCAGGAAGACTGCCCTGGAAAGCAATATTATGAGAATCACATGTTAAAATAACCTTGTCTGGGCCAACTTGTTTTGCGTCTCTATTGCAATTTGAGTCAATGAATTATAGTGGCTTGCACCATTCCCTCTAAATATCAGAACTCGCATAACTAGACAGGCCAATGTTCAGACACAACAATCGACAGCAGCATTTCTGTAGTTAGAAAAATCTGATGGATAAAGTGATGTCTTTGTTCGAGTTAAGCAGAACCGCTTAAGTAGGAAATATCCTAAGGGCAAACTTCAAAGGCAATGGAACACAGAGAGGAGAGTAAGTGGCATCAAAGAGGGAGGCTGATTTACTTTAAAACTGTGCACAGATTCCCCCAGAGCTAGCTGACTCATTACAGTACCTCCAGAACAAAGATGAAGGTGAAAACAACTGACATTGTTGCCAAAGGTACGGTCACCGGGTCCTCGACGTCCCACTGCAACAGAAACAGCACACGAGTCGTTGCCCACGTCCATCGGACACATACAGGCTTGCCCCTCTTCTGCCCACTTTGCCATTGACAGTGAATCTTAATTTTTACACCCAAGAACATAACCGTGAATGCATATAGCAGCTTGTGATACTCTCGGATGTAGCAGTGAATACAAAATTCATTCCCGGAGTCTTAGGGTGAAACGAAGTACCTTGACAGAGAGCAACACCGACTGGGCCAGGACGAGTAATGCGATTGTCCTCTTAAAAAATGGATGCTGGGTTATGTCATACATTTTAGCTCTAAAACCATCATTATCTAGAAAAGAAAGGTTTGGGCAAGGGCATTTTAGACACAGGTCACATTTACTTTCTTGTCGTTTATTTTCTTAAATGCTTATCTTAAAACCCATTACATTTTTCTCCCCAAACAGTTCCGTCTATTGTGAGGTGTTTTTGCAGCAATGGCTGGCTCTGAATATTCAAAACGACAGTGCATGATGCCGTCTATATTGGAAGGAGAAGTGCATCATTCAATTTCTGTCAGTTTAATACATTTCACTTATATTTTTAAAAGGCAAGAGCAAATATATTTTATTTAAAAATTCATTTTTTCATTAAGGCTTAGTCTGAGAGCACTGAAGCACAGCCTTTGGGTGGTTGATTTTAATAGCCTTATGGAGAGATCTGTGGTTTGGAGCCTGTTTCTGTATTACCTTATGCACAACCTCCCAGCGGCCTCACGATTATTATTTTAATTTAAATCTGAGACTCCTGGGGAATCGTGCACACTAGTGCCCAACATGAATAAAATCAGAGCATTTTGGGTACCCGGGCGAGGCGGAAGATGAAGAGGCTGTGCGATCTTCAGTCGGCTCTTCAGGTCTTCCCATCTTCTCTGATCGACGGTCAGCAAAGCCGTCCCCTTAACAGACAAAAGAAAGCAGGAAAAGGCCTTTTGTCATGTGCTTGCACCAAGAACATGGCAGATGGGGTGCCGAGACAAACAGGACTGATGTGAGGGCTTGCACTGACCATGTTCTTCCAACCGTGGTGGTGAGAGAAACATGGTCAGAATGCTCAAAGTTGGTCTCGGGAGGAGTTCCCAAAATGATGACCAGGTGTTTCAGAGAGAATTCAGCAGCCTTCGACTTGTATCTTTGGAGATGTGTAATATTCAGGTTTGGGAAAATGTAAAGAGGAGTTTCTACATAATTACATTTTCAAAAAAGGATACTCACTAATAGTAGTTAGTTTCCTTTCATTTCATAGCAGCAAAATTATAGCTTGTCAATGCTGTGGCTTCCAGTTAAGGGTATGTTGTCTTTCTTTAAAAAATGTCTAATATGTGCAATTGCAAAACTGTTTTTGAGAGATACAAAGTCATAGAGTTTGCATTTTAAGAAAGTAGTGCTGTGATAACTGCCTAAATGGAATTCCATATTCTGTATAATAGAGTACTTGATTAAAATGCATATGATTAAAATTATATTATATTGTATTGCACTGCACTGCATTATATTTTATCATAAAAGCTGAAGTGTAATTTTAAAAACTAGACAAAAACCCCACTCTCCCTTTCCTTACCCAGAGCTAACCACTACCCTTCAGGCGTGCATCCTCCTTACTATGTTTTCAGACTTTTGTGCTTACGCATGAATCAATACGTAAGAATTTGTTCTGAATTTTTTAATATTTATAGAAATGGACTCCAACATGTGATTATTTATGCTGTTTCTTTATATCTGCATTGAACAGTATACTTTCCATACAACTAGATTACTAAATCTAATTTGTTTAACTGCTCACAAACACCATCCACTGTACGAATATCCGAAGTTATTCATTTTTGATTTATGGACTATAACCAATGCTGCAATAAGCATCCATGTACTGTCTCACAGTAAATATCTATGAGGGTTTCTCCATTGTTGATCTCTAGGAGAAGAATTGATGGGGTCTAGGAATTTAAGCATCTTTACATTTACCAGATGTTGCCAACTTGCTTTCCAAAGAGCAAAAACCAAAACAAATTTCCTACCAGCAATACACAGGTGTTACCATATCCTAATATTCTTGCAATACTTGATATTGCCAGACATTGTAATCTGACCATTTTGATAGGTGTGAAAATGTATCTAATGTTGTTTTAATATTAACGAGATGAAACATTTGCATGTGTGTAAATGGTGATGCTTGTATCTTCCTATGTGAATTGCCCATTCATATCCTTTGCTCATTTTTGTATTTTGATATTTACTTTTTAATGGTTTGTAGAGATTCTTTATACATGCTGGATACTAATCTTTTATCAATTATGTAAGTTGTACATATTTTCTCTTAGTCTTGGCTTGTATTTTTATTTTGCTTAGAGTGTCTTTTGTCATTCAGAACATTTTAATTTAAATATAATCGAGTTTATAATTTTTTTCCTTTACAGATTTCACTTGGTGGCTAATGGGATGAAATCCATAACTACTCCAGGGCAAAAAACAAATGCTTACTAGGGGTGGGGAGGGGAACTAGAATAGGGATAGTCAAATGTTGATTAATGGATATGAAAATACAGCTAGATTGGAGGAATAAATTTTAGTGTTCCATGGTAATATATGGTGAATCTAATTGACAACAATTAATTGTTTATTTTTAAATACCTAGAAGAGAGGATTATGAATGTTCCCAACACAAAACAGTGATAAATGTTTGAGGTGATAGATATGCTAATTATCCTGATTTGATCATTACACATTATAATACATGAATTGAAATATCACACTGTACCCGATAAATATGTACAATTATGCGCTGATTAAAAATAATAAAGGCAAAAACATTATTTGCTGCTTATCTGAAATTCAAATAAAAAATAAATGCTGACATGCTTTAAAAATGGTTTAAATTTTGCTTTTCATATTGAAGTCTTTAATTCATCTGGAATTCATTTTTGAGTATGCAGTGAGGTAGAGATCTCAGCATAGCTCTTTACATCAATACAATCAATACTCCCAACACCACTCCTTGTTGGTCTCACCACCCTCTGCACTAATTTGTTGAGCTGCTTCTGTTTTCTACATACATGGGTCCCTGCTGGGTCTTTCTAGTTTTTTCTGTAAGTCTAATTTTCTATACCTATAACAATACTGACACTCTTTTAATGATTGTAGCTTACTTTCTTGTTTCATGTTTTTATTTTTGTTCAACCTTCCTAGAGGTTTATTGACTTGATTTAAAAAAAACCAAAACCCAGCTTTTGTTATTCTTGAATATTATAGAAGCTATACAAGTTTCCTTACTTTCTGTATCATTAATTTGTGTCCTAATCTTTGTTACTTTCTTCCCCCCTACTTTATTTGATTTTACTTTATTATAATTTATTGATTTGGATATTTGACATATTAATATTTAACTTGTGATTCTTCTTTAATATATACACTTAAAACGATACATTTATTTGTAATTACTGATTTACCTATACCTCATTAGTTTTTGTATATGACGCTATAAAATGTTTTGTCTGTAAATATTTTGTGATTTTCTATTATAATTTCTTCAACTCATAAATTATTTATAGTATTGTCTTAATATTTCCAAATTGTAGAGTTTTTTTTGTTTTTGTTTTCATTATGGTCAGAAAACATTCTTACATTATCAATTCTTGGGTAATTATGGCCTTCTGGGAGACACATTTTGTGCTTGAAAATAATGCACATTCTCAAATTGTTGTAATTAGAGTTTTCCTTATACATTCACTTGATTGTGTTTATTGTATCAAATCTCATATTTCCTTTTATTCTACTCTGAATTATGAGATTTTTTGAGATATATGTTAATATCTTTCACTATGATTTTGGATTTTCTAGCTTCTTTTTACAACTTGTTTAATTTTTGCTTTGTACATTTTGGGATTTGGAAGTTCTATATCTTTCTGGTGATTATTTTGTCATTCTTTAGTACATCATTTATTCCCAATAATAGTGTTTGTTTAAAATTGTTCTTTTCTGATAATCACATTGCTAAACCACTTTTCTCACTAATTATAAGCAAACACTTGTTCTCTGGCCACCATAGACACTAATGTAATTACTTTGTTATACATAAAAAAAATTTTGGAAAGTTGAACTCTGAAAGGATCTAAAAGAATAATAGGCATGGAGATATCATCTGATCATTAATATATAAAAACCTCTGAAAGTTTATTATTATCAAGTTAGGTTAATAAATCAAACACATTGTCTTACATAGTAGAGAAATCAGAAAAAAATCTATATTACTAATATAGACTTGGAACTCTTTAAAGAGGTTTCCATTTTCAAAAGAAGACATATTTTTGCATGATTCTGAATTGTACCCTAAAGATTCCCTCATTTTCTATCTCTGTTGTCTCTACATTTGGAAATTTACCTATGTGCCTTTGGGTATGACTATTAAGATGTGTGCTCCATGAGGGCAAATAACTTTTCTGTGTTTAGTGTTTAGGTTAGTTCACTAGGTCCTCAGTGTCAAGAGCAGCCTCTGGCACCTAGTAGATGCTCAAATACATCTGTTGAATGATTGAATAATGTATAAATGCTGTTAGATGGCAGCTCATGAGCTGCTTTCTAAAAAAAAAAAAAAACTTGCAGAGAAAGAAACTTTTCTAAAAGGCTCACATAATTTAGCAATTGATATCTCCAATTAACAAATCAAGTTTGTAAAGCTTGGTAATATAATTTCTTGTCAATTTCTCCTTTCTTTAAGTGCCCATTTGAGCTGATAGAACATACGCCCCAGATCCCCCAAACAGGCCACGTTACTCTTTCCTACCTGCAGAACATAAATACAGTGCTGGATGGAGACCTCCCTGGTTATTCTGCTAACCTCAGCCACTTCTCTAAGCTCAAGTGTTGCAATTAATTATACATTTATTTCCAGTTACTGAACATTTTATGTTGTTCTATGTATGTTGCTGAATTGTGAGCTGTGATACATTCTAATCTTCCTGAAATCAGGTGTCTGCTCAGACGGCTTCTTAACGGTGTTCTGGGCAAGCAGTGCCTAAACTCTCCTGTTAATTGACTGATTAGCTTCTGCTTATATTCTAGAATTCTCAGTGTCTGCTGCATTACATGGCTCAAAGGCATCTAAAAAGATCCTTCTTCCTCTTTCTGCTTGGTATTAAACTCAACACTGTAGGGCTCAAAGCATCTCGTTAATGAATGTGATAGGAGTAAAATAAGGGGCTGGGTGACATGATCACTACTGTTCTTTCTGTCTCTAACATCCCATGTTTCTGAGGGTCCAAGTAGAGTCGGGGCCCAAAAGAGGAATTTTTAAATCTCACCCTTTGAAAGCCTGAATGAAATGACATGCTCATTAGCCACACATCAAAGGTGTCAATTGACTGGCTAACTGGTACCACTCACGTTGAGCCTGAGGACAGTGAATGACAGATACAGTCCCATGTGTAGCAACACAAACTGAAGAGCTCTGATGTGAACGCATGGGAATCAGTCCTAGCCATGAATAACATCGAGCAGCACGGTGCTTTACAGGCAGATCTAGCTTCAACTTAATGCAGAGTGAAGGTTGACTTTATTCTACTCATGCCTTCGAAGAATCACAGAGCCTGCGGTAATAGGCACCAATTCTGAATTCTGGCCCTGTTTATCACACCTTATAAGCCCCAGACTAGTCATTGCTTTTTCTGCAACCGTGCATTTGAGAGTTGTGAGAATTGATTGAATATGTAAAATCTTAGTACACAGTGTGTGCTCAAAAACTGCATGCACTTCCCTTACTATGATTCCAAAGACTGCGTCTCAAACAATAGAGGGCATAGCTCAAGTGCCTAGATGAGCAAGCCCCTCTCCAAGGAGTGCTAATAGAATGTTCTTCCCCAAACTCACACTTTGATAGGAAACTACATTGTTATTTTCCCATTTGTGAGCCTTTGTTCTAATCATTAGAGCTGTTACAAACTCAACAGGCTTCCCGAGTTCACAAAGTATGTCAAGTTCATATGAAATTAGAAAATCTTTTTTTCTTTTTTTTCTTTTTTTTTTTTGAGTCTCGCTCTGTTGCTCAGGCTGGATGCAGTGGTGTGATCTCGGCTCACTGCAACCTCTGCCTTCTAGGTTCAAACGATTCTCATGCCTCAGCCAACCCAGTAGCTGGGATTACAGGCATGCGCCACCACGCCCGGCTAATTTTTGTATTTTTAGTAGAGACAGGGTTTCACTATGTTGGCCAGGCTGGTCTTGAACTCCTGACCTCAAGTGATCCACCCGCCTTGGCCTCCCAAAGTGCTGGGATTACAGGCGTGAGCCACCATGCCCTGCCACAAAATCTTTTTTTCTGTGAATTAGGATTTTGAAATTTCTACCAGACTCCCCTCACCCCCATCAAAATCCTGAGTTCACCTACTGAGTTACACAGAAGCATACAATTTACATTTAGTGAAAGTAATATTACCTGTAATTAGCGAATCACTTTCATCTATTGTATTTTAATAACTTGCTGCCCATCTTTCTTTTCAATTTGAACAATAGGAGACGCGCCTCTCAGTTGTCGGTGAATTAATGACACTGTTACCAAAAGGGTAAATTTAGCAAGAGAACTGTACTCTTAAATAATGTGTCTGAAAAGCAGCAATGAGGGAGCTTGTAAAACAGTTATAGAGATTATTTACACCAGTCACATTACAGTTTAAAGCGGCTTCACGCCGCGTGTGAAAAGAAACAAATAGCTCAAAGTGAGTGGCTAGAAAAGGCTAAACCCTGTGGTATCCAAACCAAAAATCCTTACCTTGTTTTCATTGAAATTAGCAATAACTACTCCAACAAAAAGGGTCAGTCCAATCATGCAACCCAGGAATACAAAAACATGAATATAGATTCCATGGATCTGCATAAAGGAAAATATGGTTATTCATCAAAACAAATGAAAGCTGCTCTTGAAGTGTTCAAAGGATTCGATGTGCTCGCTTACCGGCCCCACACGATGAATAATAACATCTCTCACTTCCACCCAGCCTTTCAAGGAGAGAACTTCAAACAACGCCAGCATAGCGTTTCCCACATTGTCGAAATTAAAGTTCCGAGGATTCGCCCTGCGATTCCAATACAGGAATGTTCTGTGAAATTCCAATAAGCAGCACCCGAAGGCAAATATCTGTAGCCCTTTCCAGTCATGAGTGTGGGATATGTGTGTGTGTGTGTATATACACACACATATATACACACACACGTGTGCGTGCACACACACATACATATGTGTGTATATGTATACACACACATTTTTACGCTATATGGCATTCGTTTGCTAAATCATAACAATGCATCAATGTGTTATAATTGATTGTGTTCATTAGGTAATGATGGGGTGATCTCAATGTAAAACAGCTCTAGTTCTAGCTTGAGAGGTTCTGCAACATTTCTACCTTGTCCTGATTACCCTGAGGACTGGACAGATGATTTTATCGATTTGCACAAAGAAGCATTGGATTTTGGATGTGGATTTTGAAATAGTTTTGTAACTGAAAATCTTTCGAAAGGCATAAATTACAATTGCCTGTGTTAGTATAGAAAGTGTAGAGTAGAATTTAGTCACTTTATTTCACTTTGTGTCATCATGGTGAACACAGGGCTGGAAAGTAGTGATGCATTTAGAGGTCACTGAGACGGCAAGAGGTGTTTGCTTGTAGTATGTATTTTTCCAAATTACTCTCTTCCAGTTGGATTTTTTCTTATTAACTCTGAGTCTTCTCAGTGGACTCTTAGTCTGGTCCCCTTTATGGGTGGTATGCTTTCTACCTCCACCGCTGATTCCTGATTCCTGAAACTCATTGGCTTATTCATTTTCTGTTTTCTTATAGATTTGGGGGGTACACGTGCAGGCTTGTTACATGGGTGTATTGCATAATGCTGGGGTTTGAGCTTCTAATGAACCCATTACTCAGATAGTGCACGCAGAATCCAACAGGTAATTTTTCCAACCTATGACCTCCTTCCTTCCTCCTCCCATTTGAAGTCCCCGCTGTCCAGAGTTTCCAACTTTATGTCGAGGTGTACCCACTGTTTAGCTCCCACTTCTGTGGGGGCCAGGGATGTCTCATTTCTTGTTCTTTTAACATGGTTATACTTTTCTCTTCCCAATTATAAAAGTGATCCTTTTTACTAGATTGCATCTTCTTTAATTGTTATGGTTCTTAGCTAACATTTTTGTTGTTAATAGAAGAAGCTTTCAGTGGCTTTTCCCCCTCTTTCCTTCTTATTAGAGGCTAATTTTAAATAATTAAGATTTTGATAACCAAACACTGGAAAATCATGGACTATATTTCTTGAATTTAATGAAGAACTGAGCTCCGGACCACTGACTAGAGTAGGCCCCTTGGAGCCTATTTAAATTATATTTTGATCATTTTTTCCCCCTGCTAGCTCATTTCTCAAAATTTAACCCTCAGGACAGGCAACGCTCTAGGGAAAATCTGGTTCTGTACTTTTCTACCATCTTTTATGTTTTTTAAACTATAGAGACAATCACAAGATGTGCCTTCATAAGTTTTTTGAATATTAAATAGATGAGGATATAAGAAGAAAACATTAAACTGAAACTGATTTGTTCTTAAGGGCTTAGGGCTGATTAGTGGAGACGGTCTTTAATATAGTGCAAAAGCCCCACTCAGAAATGCATATTTTGGAATTCTGCTTTATATTTTTTTATGTATGAAAGTACAAATATATTCTTTTGGATGCTTCCAACAATCTTTCCTTTGGGATGTTTCCACTAAATTTCATATATTTTACAGTAGACAGAAGTTATAAGGATTCTACAGATGCCACAGTTTGCTTGAATAAGGATTTTTTACAAGCAAGTGAACCGGTTCTCAGAGCCGGTGTTGGACTTCCTTACCTGCTCATTTTCTTTTGTAGAAGTGCTTTCTTAGCTGAATTTGCAGCCACTGAAACTACTGTTATGTTCTAGATCTTCTAGAAGTTAGAATATGTGAAAAATATTCTAACTAAACCAAGTAAAACAAAATGTAGCATCAAAGACTTCAATAGTTGGAAGAATTTATCACATTAAAAAAATAAGTCTTTTTCAGTTTTAATCATGTAAAGTGTTTTCTTATGCTTTCTTCATGCTAGCAAAGTTGCAAAGTTTGAAACTTTACCTGTAACTACGGAGTCCTTCAATAAATCCCAAATGCCATCTATTATTGTCATTTTTACCTGCTACCCTTCCTTGAATTGAAAAGGTTGTCATTTTTTCTGGTTAATTTGTGAAATATTGTAATCTTGCCTGTCCAATTCAGAAAACTAAGACATTAGATCTGACCACATAATTTTGTCAGTTTTTTACCTCCCAGAGGAGGTGCTCCAAGGCCCCCCAAGATCAAGGTAGGGAGAGCTGCTCTTCCCTTGGGGAACATGGGGGCACCCTGAAGACGTGACTGAGCGTCTGCCCTTGGATGTGGAAATGCAGAAAAAGACTTTGTCCAAAAACGGCATGCTGTATCTTACACAACCATCTCTCCTAAAAGAAATCAGAAACGTCGTACTTCCTACAGCACCCCAACGCTTTTTGCCTTGAGCTTTGGGCATAGAGTTGCCTTAACTTGTAATACCAAACCTATGCCTAGACTTTCCTCCTCACCTGCCTCTGACCCTGCCCCCTTCACCTGGCTAGTTCCTATTGGTTGTCCTTCAAAAGGTAACCAGTGTGTCTTCTCATCTGGTCCTTCTCTTTGGCCCTGCATAGTTGGGGTTAGGTGCTTCTCCTGTGTGTCCATTGTACCCTTAGCCTTTCTGTAGGAATCAGAGGCAGGTATATGATGAAGCCAAAGAAACCTAAGGGGTAGGACCCCTCTTTTGTACAGGCCCTTCTGAGATGTTGGTACCCCAAATTGTTTGGGCCTTAGACCCTATAAAACCTGATCACCTTCTTCCTAGAACATATCACAGTGTAGCTTAACATTACATGGAGATGAGTTTCGGGTGAGCCAGAGGTAAGCTTAGGGGCTTCTCTGTGCAGCATTAAAGCCCTTAGCATATTATATAAAATTATTTGTAATTTTATTTTCTGTTTCCCACTAGACTTTAAGCTCCTAAGGGGTAGGGGCCATCGCTTATTCAGGGCCTTACCACAGTGACAAGCATACTAGCTGGTGAAGAGCAAGCACTCAATAAATACATTTATTATAAGCCTGAATACTTTGTTAGTTTTTCTCCCATGCATGCCATTTTCCTATATTCCAGACCTCCTCTTAAAATAAATCACACTGTATTTATAATCCATGATATGTTTAATCCTTTTTACTGAGGTGACTCATCAAGTCTGAGTGATTCAGAAGAAAGTACATTTATTAATCTGAAGAGAGAATATTGAAACTAGACTGTCTCCTGAATTAGTGCATATTTATGTCCTAATTATAATTACCAAAGCATTCCTCTAGTGTATTCCTAGATATGTTATTTTCTTAATCATAATTTAGCCAATATAAAATTACAAAATTTCAGCTTCCAACTCTTGATTAGCTTACTTAAGAAGGAAAGTGTAAAAAGTTATCATGGTTACAGATGACATTTATTAGATCGAAGGTGTCTATTTCACTACAATCCAAGTCACATTATCCTGGAGAAATGGACAAGAGCACTTGTGATGATGTTCAAGGAATGCCTGGCTATTTGCTTATGCTTCTAGAATGGCATTGCCTTTGAAACCCCTAATAATACCTTCCATAAAATATTGCATTTAAATTAACTTTGATTTTAAAAATCCCATGTAGCTGGTTTTATGGACTAGGTTGAGTGCTATAGGGCACAACTGGCAGGTTTACTTTTCTCCAAACACTACCTTCAAGTGTGTTCCAGCTCCCTGTCTGAATTCTTGGGGAGGTCCCAGAGCTTTTTGGTTATTTTCAGTAATTCAGTTTTACATCCAACTGATCCTATAACTCATATAACAATCCCATCCTTAGCAGCTCAAGGACCCCGGTTTGAGGAAAGGAAGAAAAGTTGGCCACTTTCTTCACTTCCACTCATCCTCTTCAGGCCACCACGAGATTCTCACATGACTGAGGTGGGATGTCGTTGAAAGGAATGGAGGAATGGAGTTTAAGTCTTGTGCATCTGATACAATTGGATTCTGGCCATAGGTGTTCAAGAGTTTGAACCCCCTCTCCAGCCCAGGAGTGCCTCATTGCACCTTTTCTCCTGTAAGTGTGCAGTCTTTGGGTGATTCTCAAGTCTGGCTCCTGGAAACACACCTACGGACCCTTTGGAGGGGGGTACCCTTTCCCAGCACAAAGCCCTTTGCCGCAAGGCTCAAGAGGACTCAGATGATGTGGCCCTAGGCAGTGACTACTGGGCTCTCCAGGAACACCAGATAACCCTGCTCTCCAGATGGTGATGAGCAGCCTGGCCACAAGAGTCTCTCTTCTTGCCCTGCCCATCTCTGACGTTAAGTGATCCCCCTGGGGTACCTCACTTGGCAGAGGTGGGAGGCACCCTCTACCTTTCTCTATAGTGAAGGAAATGAAATGCCCCAGTGTTCTCTATTCCTGACTACATTTACTTCCATGATATTATCTTTGAATTAATAAAAATTAATAAATTATAACATAAATAACTTTATGCTATAATTAATTTTTATCTCATGGAAGAAAATTTTTATGCTCCTTTAATTTTTATTTCAATGGAAATTGGACGGCTTTTCTAGTCAGCAGTGGGGCCAGGATATTCTCATGTCTCACATTCCTCTCTCTCCAAGCTGAAGCCACATACCCCAAATGAATCCTTTTTCTCAGTTCTTGGATATTTTAAAAAATAAAAACCCAATATGCATTCTATTGGATTACGTATAAAAGCGAATTTCATATGAGAAAAATGCCAAAGAGAGGTAACAGTGAGTGCTAGGGTACAGCTGGGTGAAATGCTGTTCCTTTTAAAGAGTTTTGACATTTAGAAAAGAACATCAATTGTGACAAAAGCAGAGGTGCTGTGACTCAGTTGTTATTCTTACACATTTTCTAAAAGAAAACTTAAAAAACAGATAATAATTTTAAAGGACAAATGAAGGTGACAGAACACTCAGTTCACCAATGACACAGACTGAGAGATTCACTCATGGTCATTAATAAAATAAGAAAGAAGGTACTAGGTATTTCTAGCTTTGATCTAAGTGCTTTGAAAACTCAATTTAAAGAAAAAGGAATATTAAAGGGAAAGTTAGAAGCAATCAACTGTGTCACTGATTATTCCTCTCTAGTGTTTCAATAATGGAAGTCCTTCAGTGTAAATGGGTTTTAAAATGGAAATAGCTTTATGATTTAGGGTTCTATTATGAGGACATCAGATCCTCCTTTAAAGATATAAACTCAGGATAAGTTTAGTTTTAATTTGACAGAAAATCCTGTTAAGCCTAATTTTTTAAGGCATTTGAATCCAGATACATATTTCTGAAGTATTAGAAAAATACTGAGATAATATTTCTCTAGTTTCATGAAGCTATATAGAACTCATTGCACTACTTGCTCTCTTATTTTTTACCTTATTTCTATCTTCCAATATAATCTAGCGCTTCGCCCTGTATGACTTAAGATCATTTTAACATCTCTAGCAAAACTACTTTTAGTTACATGCCATATGATACTTATTTAAAGCCTTATACTGACAAACACACCATTCTTCAGAATATTTTTTTATGATATACTTACCAAACACGGGGCACCCAAAATCCAGGTTTTTTCTCTCCAGGCCTCAATTTTAAATTTAAGTTCTTTGACACACTGACATTAATTCTGAATATGCCATTGCAATCTTCCTAAAGTAGAAAAACAAGAGGAGAGGGGAAACCTGGTCAGAAAATGAACTCAGAAAAGATAAAGGATAGGAAACTCTTTCTTCTTTCACGGAATCCCAAAAGCCCTTTATCTAACAACAGTGATGTGGACAGCTACCCAGCAAATAGTAACAAAGACTTTGGAGACAGGCAGTTAAAAATCGATGCTGAGAATATTACTTAAATGAGCAAAGGACCTGAGTAGACACTTCTCCAAGGAAGATATGCAAATGGCCAAAAAGCACACGACAAGATGCTCAGTATCATGTGCCATCTGCCATCCGGAAAATGCAAATCAAAACCATAATGATATATCACCTCACACCCACTGAGAAAGCCATAACCAAAAAGTCAGATAACAACAAGCATTGGCGAGGATGTGGAGGAATCGCAATCCTCATACTGGAACCCTTACATACTGGTGGGGATGTAGAATGGTGCAACCACTTTGGAAAACATTCTAGCAGGTCCTCAAACCACTAACACAGAGTTACCATATGAGCCAGCAACTCCACTCCTAGGTATCTACCCAAGAGAGATGAAAATATATGTCCCTATAGAAACTTGTATAAAATGTTTATATAAGCATTATTCACAATAGCCAAAAGGTGGAAACAATCCAGATGTCCATTTTTGAACAAACAGATAAACAAAATGTGGTCCAACCATACAAGTGAATATTATTCAGCCATAGGAAGGGATGAAGTCCTGATACGTGCTACAACATGGAGGATCCTTGAAAATATTATGCTAATTGAGAAAAAAGTCACAAAAGACCATATGTTATGATTTTATTCATATAGAAGTCCAGAACAGTGAACTCTATAGAGACAAAAAGAATATTAGTTGTTGTTTAGGTCTTGAGGTGGAGGCTAAAGGGATGGGGGTAATAGTTAAGAGACATAGGGTTTCTTTTCAAGGAGATACAAATGTTCTAAAAGTGGCTGTCGTGTATACAACTCTATGAATACGCTAAAAAACCATTGAATTGAACACTTGAAGTGGGTGTATTGTGTGGTATGTGGATTACATCTCAATAAAGCTGTTAAAAAGGTTTTAAAAATTAAACATCTATAGGAAGTTTTTGACTCATTTCCTATTCTCCCTTTGGTTATTTTTGTTTCTTTGGCTATGATGGTCATATTTTGAACCTAAATCTCTTTTCTGGGTTCAAGGTGTAGATGGTAAAATTCTTGATCACTGTTTGAATATTTCAACAAAAATTCCATTTTAATCTGCTTCACGTCCTCTTTGACCCTAAGCCATGTCTCCTCTTGGCCTCCTCCTTTCTGTCCCTGGACCAGCATCCCAGCAGAAGCCCAGCATCAAGCTTAGGGTTCCCTGGGCTTTCCCTGTCCTTCTTGGCCCAAGTCTCCATTCTTACTACGATGAGTTTAGTAATGCCAACGTTACTTCTTTCTGGATTACCAGCATGATTCTTTAAAATAAGAATATTTTAATGCAAATAACACATCTTTAATTTATAAAGCCTGGACAAATAAAAGGAAGAAAACTTACCCACAATTGCCACAGACAAACACAATGAACGTTTTGGAGTATATCCTTCCAGTCTTTTTTCCTATATGTATCTGAGCTCATAAAGTTTATATTCTTCCATCGCCCACTTTTTTCAGCTAAAACTACATTGCGATTATCTTTCCATAACCATACCTTTTTATGTAGAACATTATTTGGAAAGGCTGTGTTGTAGTGTATTGTATAAAGGTCCCTTGACATATTTGGCCTCACTGCCTTTTCCAATTTGTCTTCCTGAACCCACCTGAGCCCACCTTTGATTGCATGAAGCAGTCTGGTATCTTGGTGAAAAGCCAGGGTGCCTGGACACTAGTTCCCTGCTTCTCCACTTATTAGGTGGGTGACCTTGGACAAATTATTTAATCTTTCTACACCTGTTTTCCTCATTAGGAATGGATATCCTCATTAGGATATGGGTAACAAAAACAGCACTAGGAATGGTGCTTTGTACTTTGTGGGCACTAGGATGTGTCTGATTCCTCTTCTTACCAACCTTTTGTGGTTTCTCACTTCTCATCAACGAAATTCCAAACCCCTTAGCCAGGCATTTCAGGCACTTGAGGATCTCTCCCTAACTTACATTTCTGGCCTTGTTCTTCAGTTTTTTCCTACATGGGCGGGAATGAAATTAACACTCACTGTTGAGATCAGGTTAGGTACTTCGCATAAACAAGGTAATCTAATCTTCATAATATCATTGTGTGAGAAGCATTCAAGGCAGAAATAGGTTCCAGAAGGATTAAGTGACCAGACCAGGCCATCACCTCTCCTGAAGTAGGATTCCAATCTCAGAAGCTGTGATTTCGAAGCCCATGCTCCTTCCTCCTTGTTCGGTCCCTGCCTCTACACTGTGACCCTTCTTTGTATGCTCCGTGTCCTTCTTCACTGCTTGCTCTCCTTGGAAGGTCCTTTCCTGCTCATCTCAAATCCCACCTCCTCCCTGAAGCCCTCCCAGTACAGTACTCCCAGTTGGAAGCACAATTTCCCATGCTGACATCATAGATTACATGTTATTTCTGCTTCTCATAGGCTTTTGAAAACTGCTGACTTTATATTACTGTTGCTTGAACATGAAACACGTTCTGATTGGACAGAAAATGCCACAAAACAGAAGCAAGGACCTCCTAATGTTTCCCTTCCACATTTCATTTCACCTATCACAGTGCCTTGGACACAACTGACATTTAATGACTATTTGTCAAAAGGTATCCTCAGCGTTTGTTTACAGGGTTTTGGTGACAAAGTCCTAGGCTCCATATCTATATCTATATTGATCTCATGACATCTGTTGAGTTTTAAGACAACAAACAAAGGAGCAGAGGGAGGAAGTGCTCAGCCTCATACAAGAAAACACATCTTCCCAACTGGAAACTATGGGCGCAGCAACTGAAGCTTCGTTGTCTTTAACAGGAACTGTGTGTGATCTAAATGTTGGTGTATCTACTTTCCCCCTTTCTTTGGATTTATCTCTTCTTTTAGTAAGATGGGCTGAAGTTCTCCAACAGAACTTCAGCCGACGTCACCTTCACTCATGGCGTTTTTGGCCTCGGCCTCGGCCTCTTATGTTTGGATTTGAGAAGACAAAAAGACTCAAGCCCCGTCTCACCGTGCCAATTTCTTTTCAATCGTTCTGCTTGGTGCTGGTGCTCTCTATGATGGCTGAGTCTCCTTAGGCTTTCCATCTGAGCCTCGCACAGACCTCACTGCTCTAGGAAACAGGATAAATGCATCATGAAATCTGTGTCTATGCTCATCTGCTGGCTGCTGTCACCATCAATCTTCAGCTTTGGCTGGGTATGAGTGGATAATGTAAAATCACCATGCTCTTAGGCCACTGTTAATATACTGAGTCATCCAAGATTCCTAGCAGGCTTCATCCTGAAGTGTTATTATCTTTCTGGCCTCTGTTCAGTGTGGATCAAAAATCACTCTTCTTTCCACACACAAGCTTGTGGATGAATGCGTCAGGTCTCTGTCACTTTCTTTATCAGCTAATTTGATACGGCATGACCGTCAGGCCACATTCCTTGTTCTGTCTTCTCAGGTGTATCAAAGCTCTTGGAATGTCTCTCCCAGTCTGGCCTTTGTTTCAAATTCTCATTATTAATATAATTTATAATGTATTTTGGCTGAACAAAGATGTTACCTGTATTTTGTCACAATTAGAGAACAATTTGTATCATTTAAAATCTATACTAGATAGCCATATTTGCTAGAAATAAATAATGTAGTTCAGGTCTAGTAGGCCTTTTGAAGATATACATTTAGGAACTGAGGCATCATTTTATTGGGATCAAAGAGAAAATGCTTTTCTAGTTTATACATCAGCAGTGGTTGGTTTACTTTATGAATTTACTTGTAACATAAGAATCCTAAGAGAATGGGACACTTTATGATATTACAAAAATTGTCTAATTATTAACCAAACTGTGTCCCCCTTTTATTTTTCTGGAGCACACAACTAAATTCCAGCCCCCCTTGCAGTATCTCTGCTCTTTACAGAGGAATGTGGGTGGAGCAGATTCTCCCACAGCCCACTCAGTTGGAGATGGCTCTCCACTGTTATCTCCAGCTCATTGAAGAAGGCTCTGAAGACATGGCAAAGGGTGGCGGCATAGGATAGAAGGCATGTGAGTCCCTGAGTGGTCATTTGGAGGAGAGCTGTATATAGTGTATATATTGCAAATGTATATATTGCAACTGATCCAAGATGCAATATATACATTTCATTATGTGAAGCTACCGAAATATTGGGCTTGTTACAGCAGCTAGCCTTCCCTTATAACCAATGACTGAAGAAAGAGAAAGAAACGCCGTAGTGCAAGTATTCAAGTTTGGGTCTTTGTGGAGGTCCTTGTTGGTTGTCATAAAGAGGGAGATTCTGGGCAGCTAGAGCTAATGTAAAGGCACTGGCTTTCTAATGGGGAGAAAGCTGAGAGTGGGGAAGCAATAAAAAGTGGTGAGAACCAAACGCTGCTTCTTGGACATTTTTGCATGGGGCTGTTTGCTGATATGAGTCTTATGTGACAACAAAGGAAGGATCAAGTTAGCTAAGACCTCAAGGGAAAGTATCCAAAGCTTACAGCTGTAAACAGCTGGAATCTTGGGTGACCACACTCAAGTTGTCAACAGTGGGTTGACACTGGAATAGGAGGGAAGAGTGACATTCTCTGAGGTGTGCTTTTCATCTTATTAACCTTTCTAGCCAGAAGAGACATATCACATGCTTAAGCAAAAAGGGGTTTGTGGGAAGAGAATTCTTAGGGTTTTATAGGGAGTTCTTAAACTAGGCTTGTCAGCCACTGGTACCACATGCTTGCCAAGGGAGTGTAAACACCTTATTATTATTTTGTTTTCTTTTTAGGGACAGGGCTCTCGCTCTGTTGCCCAGGTTGGAGTACAGTGGTGAGATCATAGCTCACTGCAACCTTGACCTCCAGTTTCAAGTAATCTTCCCTCCTTGGCATTCCAAAGTGCTAGGATTGTAGGCACATGCCACCACACTTGGCCCTTAATTTTTATTTCAAAAGACAGAAAGATACATCTTACCCTTCTAATAATGTTGGGATCATTGCACTTGGCCAGTTTTCCAGCAAAAAGCTGAACTCCAAAGCTTGCAAAAACGAGCATTAATGTCAGCAAAAGAATGGAGACCTGAAAGAAATTGATGAAATGTTAAATCTCTTGTTAAAGACTAAATATTAGGTTTGGTTTAAACAGTGACATAAATAGGACTTCTAAGATAACATTGTATAAAAATCATGGGTTTTTGATGATATATTTTAACTTCTCCACCATAGGTCACACAATTAGCCTTACTGGAAGGTCAAAAGGAGAAAATTAACAAGCTTTGAATTTTTTAAATGGAAACATGAATTTCATGTAAGAAAATGGAATAAGGTATTTTTGATATGGCTTGAACTTTTCTGACTTTAAAATCAACACCTTGATCTTTTTTATTTAATGGAACAAAGGAAAAAAATGTTTAAGTAATTATATTTTGTCTATTTTTTCCCAAATGGACATATATATATTTATTTTTTTTTCTTTTTTTTTTTTTTTTTGAGATGGAGTGCCACTCTGTCCCCCAGGGTGGAGTGCAATGGTGCAATCTCAGCTCACTGCAACCTCCACCTCCTGGGTTCAAGCAATTCTACTGCCTCAGCCTCCCGAGTAGCTGGGACTACAGGCACACGCCACCAAGCCCAGCTAATTTTTGTATTTTTAGTAGAGACAGGGTTTCATCATATTGGTCAGGCTGGTCTTGAACTCCTGACCTCAGGCAATCCACCCGCCTGGGCCTCTCAAAGTGCTGGGATTACAGGCGTGAGCCACTATGCCTGGCCTGGATTCATATTTTTATTAGCAGAGCACAAATGAGCGGGACAGTGGCTTAGCTGTCTTGTAACTGTGAAGGTGTGCGTTAGGAGAATGTTCTATGCATAGAGGAGAGGAGAGAATTCAGTCCTGAAGAGCAAATCTGTTAATTAACTCATGCTCCCTCTGCTGGCTGACTTCTTTGGTCTCAGCAGAGACGAGTGGCAGAGGGCAAAATATGGAACAAGTGAACTGCACTGGTTGAATAACCTAAACATATACCTAAGTGTACTAAAATCACACTGACCACCATTAGGGAAAGGCACAAATTCTCCTCTAAAATTTATTATTGATCAAAAGATTCATATACATTAGCAGTCAGGTGATATTTTCTTTTAATTCCAGCTGTGTGAAGAGTCACTGTTTTATGGCTTTGCATAAAGAAAACAAGAATTTTTAAACCCATCTTAAAAAAGAAATTCAGCAACTGGGAGGCTGAGGTGGGTGGATCTCCTGAGGTCAGGAGTTCAAGGGCAGCATGGGTAACATGGTGCAGCCCCGTGTCTACTAAAATACAAAAAATTAACTGGGAGTGGTGGCACATGCGTGTAGTCTCAGCTACTTGGGAGGCTGAGGCATGAGAATCTCTTGAACCCAGTAGGTGGAAGTTGCAGTGAGCTGAGATTGCGCCATTGCACTCCAGCCTGGGCGACAGAGCAAGATTCTGTCTCAAAAAAAAAGAAAAAAAAAGTCAGTAATGATATATATACCTCTAGTAACATCACAATCTATCTTTAAAATACATTTGTGTCAACTACAACTACAGCTGTTTTCTCATCACAGGTAAGTCTCTAGAAAGCAAGATACAAAACAAGCCTATGTAAATTAATTCATGCTTCTCATGCACAAGCAGACCTCATCAATAATAAAAAAAACTTTTGATCACTGTTTTGTAAGGCAAAGATCTTTCTGTAACAGATTGTGAACAATGAGCCTCTTTCTTGTTGTTTTATCTCTGACCTTGTTTTCAGAAGACCCTAAATCAATGTTTGCCCAGCTAGAAAGTACGTTTTGCCCCCTCAATCATCTTTGTAATCACTCATTACTGTAATGCTGAAGTTAATTGAAGTGGGTTATACCTATATGTTGCATTTTTAAAGTTGTTTTATGTTAACACTCCTGAGATCTAAAGACAAATTCTGTGCTATATTATTTCAGGAACACACAGAATGAGATTAGGAGCCCAAAAGCATGAATTCCTAATCCCATTTGTGGAGTACACAGTGTTGAATCTTCTTATCCTTCATTTTCAGATGGGAGGAAACTAAAACCCAGAGTAGGAATTAGAGTCAAGAGGTTAGTACCGAAAGAGTCAGCAGATAGGAACTCTTTCAAATCTCAGAGTGCTTCTCTTTAGGTGAATTAAATAAACTCATACGCCAGAAGTGCCCATGAGTAAAGTGTTTGAAGGTGCATTGTGTTTTGTTAGTGCCTCCATTACCCTCTGGCAATAACCAAAACTATTGAATTGACCTCAATAAGCAAGACTCACTTTTCCCTCATTAGCTGCATTAGAGGTGGACTACTGTGAACTGGAATCAAAGGATAATTCTCACATACCAAAAAAATTTCCTTGAAGCCGCTGAAAAGTTCTCGAACAACTTTCCTCATCTGGGGCACCAGTTTGAATATGCGCAGAGGTCTCAGGCACCGAAGGACCATTAGAAGCTGAGCTCCCGATTCAGCAGGTACATTTTGAGGCATCCAACAAAGAAATATCAAGCTCACCTAAAGGGGAACAAATGATCTCTGGAATTTATACAATTCATCCCCTACTATTTACATTTTCTGACAGCCGACTGGCCACAACTTTTCATTTAGCAGAGATTCCACTCACTGGTTGTACGTGCCATCTGTTAACTTTAAACAACAAACCTCATCTAGACTTGCTAGGTACCTCAAAGGAAAGTCATCATGTGTATGCAGGAAAGAAATGGGGGTGTCCACACCGTGTGTGTGTGTGTGTGTACACCAGTGCGTTCTGCCTCTTCTTTTAACTTACTACTCTGGAGGCTCCACTGATGTCGATCTGGCTGGAATTCCTTTTATCAAGGTTACTGCTATTTTATTAATGACCTGCAACATGCTACTTGTTAATGATCACAATTCTCCTTGTTGTCTCTGCAAAGACATTGATTTCATGCCTCCTTGGACATACAGGAAAAATAAAAAATTCTCTGAGCCCATTTCTATGGTTTTCCAGCGAGTTTTACTAGACAGTTGAATGGGCAACTGCTATAGCCAGGTATTTTATGCAATGGAATCAGGAGAGAGATACAATCACAATCACTTTAGTTTGCTTTCAGCAATAAGGGGCTCATAATCAATAACATGGTTTATATGAGGCAAACTTTTTTTTTTTAGTATAGAAGCCATAAGGTTTGTGGGATGCAAACTAGATTTGCCATGTTAGACCTTATTAATGTATGTCTCATTCATACATAAAATTGTGATTAGTGTATTTGAACAATATAACTATCCATAGATATTTATGATGCTCTTAATTTAGATTTTACATGCATGGCCCTTATTTGCATATAATGAACTACTCTAGAGTCCATTTAAGAATTCGGTTAGGGAATCTAAGCCTCTGTAACTCATACCTCTTGCGCTTATACCAAGAAATGCAGGAGATTTTACAAAACCATTACATTTTTCATTTAGGCAATAAGCAAAGACTTACAAGATATATAAATATGTCCATTACTCCACCGAAGTCCCTGATGACAGCAGTTGGAGTGAAAAATAAGCCATCTGCCATAATCTTCAGATTAAGCTCAATGCTCATGAATATCACAAACACATACTCAGCAATCTGAAACGGGCAAAAGGCAGTTTGGTTACAATGAACGGAAAAACAGCAGGTCAGTATTTTACCTCCTAGTTGTAAGCTGAGATTTTGCAGCGGTAAGCGGTACCTGCAAAGTAGGTGCATGCATGACTCTTCGAAACGGGGACTCAAACATCATGGAAATGCAAGAGCAGATGGTTACGATGATCATGACCCAGTCCAGGTAAGTGACCAATCCCAGCAAATCACTGCCAAAGACCAAACAAAATTGAGAAACATAAAGGTTCCAGGAAAGGCTTCTAAGAGTTAGAGATGATGGCTTCTGTGGCTCTATCAACATGACTGGTATTTTAAAAACATCATTCCCCAATCATCTATTTCATAGCACTATATAGCAAGAAAATAAAAGAGAATTTTAATCGTTGTATGCAGCATAAAATAGTACATGAAAACTTTAAATGTGCATGGAAAATGAAGTTGGTGATGCTTACTAAAGTTGATGGTACTTTGTATTTTTCACAGCTCCTGTGACAGGGTCTGTTTTAGATCTGTAAGAGAACACATATATAAAATTCTGCAACAAAGCAAGCATGTTTTAACTTGCTAAAAATCATATTTGCAAACATCTCATCTACCTAAAATCTCTTTTACAGCCTCTCTACAATGTCCATTATAAAATATGTTAACTGTAGGTAACTCTGGAGGTCAGAGAACATTGATGAAAGAAAAAATCCAAAGAATTTGCAGTTGATGCTTATGAAAATAAAGTTTTATATTTCTCAAAATACTTGATTTTAGACTTTGTGACTTTGTTCAGAATTTTCTGACATGGGTAGTACAAAATTAAGTTTTGACTTTCATTTAAAAACACTCATTTGAAATCTTTGCCTTAATAGTTCAAGAATGTTAGTTATTCAAGATTATTTAATTAAATACTCCATAATTTAAATAGACTTCTTCCCCCTGCATTTAACTGTGATGTGGTAGAATGATTTATTTAGAATTTCTTGGAAGGGAGAGTCGTTGTTTCTACTTTCAGGAAGCCTGTGAGCACTGTCAATGAGATTGCTTACAGTCTTTGTGTATGTGTCCCCAATTACAACAGAGTCTTCATCAATTGTATTCAACATCAGCTGCCTTGCTGATAAAAGGGAAATTACATCACACTAAGTGAAGTGGAGAATTAACCATGAGATGTTAAGGTACAGGCAGCCAACAGGATAATTCAAGATAAAAAAAACGTACTTCAAGAACTGATCAAATCAATCTCCAAAATGGCATTTTCTTCCTTTACTTTGAAAACTCATGGAAGATTTTAATAATTGTGACTCAGTTGCTTTAAATTGTGAAAGTCTTTATAGAACAGCAGAAAGAACAATAGTCTGGCAATCAAGAGAGAGCCAGGTAGTAGCTGGGTCCCTGAGCAAAGCCCTCAACTTCTGCACGCTTAAATGTCCTCCTCTGTTGAAGGAGGGGGCACACAAATGACACCGAGTGGTCCCTGAGGTCTCTTCCATCCCTGAAATGTTATAATAGTGTGTATTAGTTTCCTCGAGCTGCTGTAACAAAGTACCACTGGTGCTTAAGACTGGATGGCTCAAGCAACATAAGTTTATTTTCTCATAGTTTTGGAGGCTGGAAATCCAAGATCAAGATGCCAGCTGAGTTGGTTCTTTCTGAGGGCTGTGAGGGAAAACCCTGTTCCAGGGCTGTCTCCTTGACTTGTGGAGAGCCGTCTTCTCCCTACGTGTCTTCGCAAGGTCTTCTCTCTGTATATGTCTGTGTCCAAATGTTCTCTTAAGGAAACCAATCATATTAGATTAGGGCCCACCCTAATGATCTCATTTTAATTAACCTGTTTAAAATTCCTATTTCCAAATACAGTCACATTCTGAGGTTCTGAGGGTTTGGACTCTACCGTATGGATTTTGTGGAGGGGGAACAATTCAGTCCATAACAGATAGTGATTATCATATGCTACTAATTAATAACAAAGAAATCAATTTACTTAAACGATGGCATCAGGGACACTCCAACTACATAATGGGAACATGGAAAGTTTTCTCATTTCCTCCATGACTCTTAATGTCTTCAGAATATTTACTTAAAGGTACTGATAGGGTTTGGCTCTGCGTCCCTACCCAAATCTCATCTTGAATGGTAGCTCCCATAATTCCCACATGTTGTAGGAGGGACCCAGTCAGAGATAATTGAATCATGGGGGCGGTTCCCCCATACTGTTCTTGTGGTGGTGAATAAGTCTCATGAGATCTGATGATTTTATGAGGGGTTTCTGCTTTCACTTCCCTCTCTTGTCTGCTGCCATGTAAGATGTGCCTTTTGCCTTCCACCATGATTGAAAGGCTTCCCCAGCCACTTGGAACTGTGAATCCAATAAATCTCTTTTTCTTTATAAATTACCCAGTCTCAGGTATGTCTTTATCAGTGGCATGAAAATGGACTCATACAGGTATGCTTGACAAAAATCCATTTCATCCATTTGTTGCCTGTCAAACTTGGCTTAGGTGTCCACAACTAGTGTCTTCAATGTCCACTCTACTTACGGCTTCTTACACATTTCTTCCATGTTGGTAGGGTAGAGACAGTGAACAGTGGGTTTCCTTCTTATAACAGTTGGTAATGAAAGCACTAATCAACTTTACGTTATTCTCCAAAAAACAAATTGAGGTATTTTTACCACAAAGGAACTACAAGCCTCATGGAAGACATGGACAATGACCTTCCTTTCACCATGTCCTTTAGTCTCCTTTTGTCTCAGTACTTCCAAAATAAAATATGGAGTTAATAATGCCGATATAAGTGTATCAGGAAACTGTTAAAATGCACAAACGAAAATGGCTGTTTTGTGTTTTATCAATGCGAGTTTTCTATAAATGTTAACTACTTGCGACCTTTGTTTTCCACCTGGTCGGGTGTTCAGCAAAGAGGAGCAGCATGATTAATTAGTCCGCAGTTTATTTTGTGACCCCATTAGGATTACACGTTCCTTCTTCTTCATATGACAACACCCCTGCTGTTTGCATGGCTCAGGCCAAACACCTGGCTGAAATGAAGTGTACTTACGCGTTGAAGCGTGCTCGGACCACCACCCGGCAAAAGTTTCTGAACCTGTGTTCTCGCCCGACAATGAACAGTGGCTTATCGAAGTATGGGTGGTTCTCTCTGAGTTCCTCTTCTTGCACTTTCCTTGAAGGAGAAATTCATGGGAGAATGAGGCTAAGGGAAATTTTGCCATTCCCGAATGAGAGCCATGGGACACTGCAGCAACCTGTACCTTTTCATCTCTGCTTGCTCCTTTTTTTCCTGAATCATCTTTATTTCACTGTCTTCTCTTTGTGCATTTCTATATCTCACTGTATTGGAATGCTAGAAATAAATTAACAGGGGGTGTGTTAAAACAGGAGGGTTTTGAATGCAAAATATATTATCAGTTAAAAAACTTAAAACTAATATCTCCCTCAATATAAAGTATAAATATTAATTACATATATTTACTGTTAAACATATATTTATATATTTATATTAAATGTATATTTTACAATGTATATTTATACTAAATGTATATATTTACAACAAATATGTATATTTACACTAAATGTATATATTTACATTAAATATGTATATTTATACTAAGTATATATTTACAATAAATATATATCTATATGAAATGTATATATTTATAATTATGTATATTTATACTAAAGGTATATATTTACATTAAATATGTAATTTAAAGTAAATGTATATACTTACATTAAATATATAAATTTACAGTATATAAAATATGTATACGATTAAATGTACATATTTAATGGCCACAGTCTTCATAGCAAGAGTATTTGTTCCTCTAAAAAGTAATTCATTCAGCACATATTGATTGAAATCCTATTATGTGCCAGGCACTATTCTAGTGTGCAGGATATGGCAAGTGGAAACAAAACATCCTTATTCTCATAGGATGTTCTAGTCAGTGGGAGACAGATAAAAAATAATTCAAAATAAGTATGTAAGAGGATGCTTAGTGATCCGATTTTTTAAAAAATCACAATGGGTGAAAGGCATAGAGAGACATAGACAGGCTAGAAGATTATGATTTTAAATGAACAGGTCAGGGTAGACCTCAATATGAAGGTGCTATTTGAGGAAAGACTAGAAGGAGGTGAGGGTGCAGGCTGTGGTAGGACTACAGAAATGTGTTCTTCCAGAGCTAGGAGCAGGCCTGGCGTGTCTACATGTGGAATAGCCAGGATGCCAGTGTGGGTAAAGCTAAGAGAGGTGAGCAGGCCATGCAGGCCCTTCACAGCCCTTTAGATGGACCCCATGGAAGGTGCAAGGCCAGAGTTCCAGTAACTCAGTAGATTTTACAGAAAGCACTCCTTAGACTTAATTATCTGTGTCTGCTATCATTCAGAATAAGTGAAAAAGTTAAAATTCTCTAATTTAAATCTCCCCTTTGTGGGAGAAAAGACATTATAAGAATTTATTGGAAATGATCAGAACCCCATGGCATTTTGCTATGGAGAAGGTGGGAGATGGATTTTACTATACTTCTACATGAAAAATAGGGTAGGAAGTCTCTGAAGAAGTAAGCTCCGGCACTGAGACTATTCAAATAGGGCCTTTGCTGTCTATGTTTAAACACATTATTTTCAAAGACATGTTCTGATTTGATTCTTAAGTAGGTTGTACATTTCGGTTGAAACATATTGAAGGCGCTTTGAATGAGGGTTGCCTCTTTGACTTTTCACCTGAAAATGTTCTCCGTGCAATATGGCTGACTCTGCAGTTCTAAGTTGCGCAGGCCATATGTTGGATTTGATGGCAATTCTATGTCAACAATATGGTAGCCAATCAGATAGAGCTATGGATATTAAAAATCATGGTGGTAAACAGAGCTCTGTGCCAACTAGAACCATGTCTATAGGGTATTGGTGATATCAGGTGTTCTCATTGCCAACTTCTCGCTCTTGATTTTGCCCGGAACACTTAATAAAAACCATGTACTTGGACTAAAACAGCAGTTTCTACAGAATGAAAGCAGATGTAGTAGGCAAGCACTCCAAAAGCTCAAGAAATAAGAGATAAGTGGTGAAAAAGAGAAAAACGAAATAACCCCAAGGCTTTGCTAACTTTCTCTTGCTAGCCCTCCTTTCTCAAGTGCCATCCTTGGCTCTGAACATTCAAGATTACTTTTTAAGCCAGTTCATCCAGATTCAACCTAACGCCTGTCTTTTTACCAGGGCTTCATAATTACGGTTATTTAATATGCATTTCCCAAACCTTTCATTGTAATCTTTGCATGGTATAGCTGCTGGGCCATATAACGCTTGGCTTCTCTGCATTTTTTTCATGTCTCCTTCATTTCATTTGGGTCTCCGGGATAATGCAGATGGGTCTACGATAACCATCGTATCTAAAATTCCCTGCCCCCAAATCCCCACCTTTGATTTATTTACATGACTTCATTTTACTTTACATTATAAAGCAAATCTGTCACAGTAATGAAGAGATGATGGAAAATAAAAAGAAATCACTCCAGAAATTCCATTATATTTTTATGAACTTATTATCTGTCTCCTATTCTAAAATTTAAGCTCCAGGAGGGCACTGAGTCTATCTTATTACCCCACTGCTCCTCGTTCCTTAAAACAGAACCCAGCACAGAGCAAACACTTGATAACTATTTATAGAGCCAGTAAATAAATCCATGACTTAGAGTCTAAAAGCAAAAAGCTTTCCTGGGAAATACTAGGTAGTCCTTGACAGGAAAATTCTTCTAGAAATAAAATTTCACTTCCTAATATATAAAGCCCTGAAATTATAGACCCTTGATCTAGATTCTAGAATATTCGATTCTCAGTGAATATTCAAAGTCAATGATGCAAATCAATCCTATATACAATGCTTAAAATGTCTTTAATTTCAAGTCAAATCCAACTGATAATGACACTTTTGTGTTACTATTTTAACTAAGACATGTGCTTTGTGTGGGATGACTGGAGTTTTCTGCTGTTAACAGTTACTTCTGATACTTGGCTACATAATTCATATCCTGAGTTTCCTGATTCCCTCTGGTATGAAGTCTTAAGGAGACATGGGAATGCAGCAGAAAGACACTGGGCATTGTCTAAGCAGTCATTTAAATACATTTTCATAATCACGTTTCTGAAATCCAAAGCATTGCTTAAAACTTACATCTTGAGTCAAAGTTTCAAGAGATTTTCCCCTGCTGATCCTCTGGCTGTTTGATCCATGTCTTAGTGACCTAAAACAACCACAGGCACTGGTTAATACATCTCAAGATCAAACTGGCCTTTCAAGCAGTGACCATGATAAAATCAAAATAAAACACTTTTTCTGCTACAACGCCACAAATGCCTATGATTTCTTTTCATAGCAGAAGCTTATACTCTCTCCAAATGTCTTTGATCCCATCTAACAAAATTCAGAATTTTTCCTTCTGATCTTAAAGGTGAGAATTTGGCCATCTCTAAGGAAAAGGATTGTGAAGTAGAGATTTTTTTGAATCTTTGGATCTGATTAGGTGTTTCATTATTGTAACAAACAGCAAATAGAACGCGATTCCTCAGCCATGCCTGTCTGGCAGCCAGGGCTGACAGCCGTGACTGTGTACAGCGACCATTTCCTGTAAAACCCCCCTTTTTTAGAGTCTCTGAAGCCCTGTCTTCCCAAGTATTTACCTGCGCTCTTGGCGGATATGATGCTGCACGCTGAGGATTGACCTCTCCTTTGCGGGCTGCCCCTCAAATGATCCGCTCAGCATGCGCTGTCGGGTGCAAGCTCTAGGAAAAAAAAAGGAGCCCAAGATAAATGCATGGTTTGTACACTTGAGATGAATAACACATAAGTGCTCATTACTTTTATTATTTTAAAGGCAACACCAATGAAAACACAAAATACAGCAAATAACGTATAATTATAAAGGAAAATGAACTTTACGCTCTGCGTCAAGAACACTTACAAAGCAGAAGTATCACAGCTATGAAGAAGGGCTGGAAAATAAACAGAAAGCTCCCCTCTTGCCCCTCCTCCTTCTGCCTCCTCCCTCCTTTCCAAAAATAATGGTAGAGCTTCTATCAGGACACCATAAGCAGAAGGCCAGCCTACCCACAGTGATATGGTTTGGCTTTGTCCCCACCCAAATCTCATCTTGAATTCCCATGTGTCGTGGGAGGGACCCGGTGGGAGGTAATTGAATCATGGGGGCAGGTCTTTCTTGTGCTTTTCTCGTGATTGTGAATTAGTCTCATAAGATCTGATGGTTTTAAAAAGGGGAGTTTCCCTGTACAAGCTCTCTTCTCTTGTCTGCTGCCATATAAGACGTGCCTTTCACCGTCTGCTATGATTGTGAGGCCTCTCCAGCCACGTGGAACTGTAAGTTCACTAAACCTCTTTCTTTCGTAAATTGCCCAGTCTCAGGTATGTCTTTACTAGCAGCATGAAAACAGATTAATACACACAGGCAATCATGATGTCGGTTTTGAATTTAAACAAGGTTTCTAATAAACCCCCTTTGGGAAGGATTTGTCCACTCAGGCTCCTGGAATGATTAAATATATGTTCCAAGGAGATTTTGTAGAACTTTAGGAAGATAGGAAAACATAAGCTTACAAGCAAAAATGAGTCATAAAGAGAAGTAACTAAAGCTGGAATTATGCACAACAATGTAAACATACTTAACACGACTGAACTGTACACTTAGAAATGGTTTAGATGGTAAATGTTATGTGTTGTTTTTAAAACCACAGTTCAAAAAAAAAAAAAAAGCACACAGTTTTTGGAATTATTACCTACAGAAACCTCAATCTGAAGCTTGCAGCTTACTGGTAACCAGTTACCACTTGTTTAAACCACGAAGACTTTTAAAAACATGTTCTTTTTGGACAATAACTGGACTTGTGTTAATTTCTGATTTGCTAATGAGTGAAGACAATTGGGTGGCCTAACACCTGTGGTGTGAATGATTTTGGTGAGAAAAAAAAATTATTCTCCAGAAAATTTTCTCCAACTGGGAATGACAGGAATTCCCTTGAGATAGTTGATAAGTGGCAAGAAAATAACACAAGGGATTAAAAGACCTGTGTGCCAGAAGTTACACTGTTATGAAGTAGTTGAGTGATCTTTGGGCCTAACTTCCTCATTGGTAAAATGAAGAGAAAGCCTTGCTCTGAAAGATAGCTCACAGGTTGAAAATGCAATGATTTTATGATATGCAAATCTAATGATACTCTATTTGCTCAACACCTGAACACACAATTCTGCCATTTTTTACATATTATTTTCACATTTATGTTTCTTAAAATGCATTTCTTGAATGGCTTTGAATATGATTACCATCTGTCTGAGAATTAAGATCTTTGAGAAAAAGATTTGTATGTGCTTAGCGCACTTAAAATAGCAGCTCTTATGATACATGTATAATAGAAGCATTTTTAAGTATTTAAATATAACACATATATTACAGAAGAACTTATATAATACATCATATAAGAACTTATTATATAGTAATACATTATATAAGAACTTACTAAATATGTCATATTTAAGTCCTTAAAAATGTTTTTAATGTGGATGAAGATAATTATGGTGAATATCTATGAAAAATCATACAAATTCACTGAATGTAAATGTATTCTTGGAAACAAACCCTAAATAATCACTATTTTTCATTTACTAAACAGCATGAAGCAACTTTTCTACAGATATATAAATATGTCTAACGAGAACATTCTGAAAAATCTTATTCCATTATACAAGGAGACCACTGGCCACACACAGGTTCCTGGTGAATGAGGGAAGGACCGCAGATGGAAGTTATAAACCTGAGGTTGGACGGTGGATGCAGGAGCAAGGCAATGGGAAGGAAGTTTTATGACCCTTTGGCCTAGAGCTCACCTGGACATTGAGACAGGTATAGAAAGATTCCCATGATAGGACGTTTCTGCATAATGAAACAGCCTTGTACAGCCTAAGCCATTGTCACATTTGTTGGTCATGTAAGAAATTTTGCTATTTTGGAAAATAACAGTGTTGGCAGAAAGCTATGAACTTCAGTTGGACACAATCAGACCTGCTAAGAGGTTACATATACTCTAATCCAATGTGCCCAGGTTCATACAAAAGCATGGTAAAAGTTTGCTTTATTATTTTTTAAAGGGAATACAATGTTACTATAGATAAGCATATACAGTAAGGCAAACCATGAAATAAATACCAAATAGTGTTTTAACATGCACAGTATAATGACAGACTGATATAAATGGGCTCTGAAAAGTAACATGAAATGAGAAATGAATATTTCACCTATGTGAAAGCACAAAAAAAGACTTGTTTTATACTCCATGTTCCTACAGTATGTTATTAACCAAGCTTGTTTAACGCTCATGGCATTTTGTTATCATTAGTTATTCCCCTTACTAGGCTGTGAGTTGATTAGGGACCACTTTATCACTCAGCCTCCCATTCCTAGGAAGTTCAGTTTCTGGCCCTCATGCTGCCTGATGAACAGAATGAGTAAGTGAAAAGGTGGGGAGGGGTGAGTAGGGAGGGTAGCGGCAGGTGCGTGGGGACTGTGTGACCCCATCCCTAACTTGCTAGCCTCTCATGGTTCAAAGAAGTGCACCCTGCAGTGCAGCTGCTGATGGAAAGTTCTGCCTTTGTCTGGAAGCCTAATGGAGAAGATGAGTTGAGAAAACATAAGCTTTAAAAGCACACACTTCTGACTTCAGCTTTTATAAGCTGTGGGACCTTAGACAGGTGATGTGCTTTCTCTAAGCCTCCATTTCCCATATGTAAAATGCAGAGAACAATAATGCCTTTCCTTCTGACTTCACAGGGAGCTGGAAGAAGTAAAGATGATTATGAATGTGACAGTGCTTTGGAAACATCAACGCTTTCTTTGAATTTTAGTTGCTATTATTTCCTGTTGTATCTTTTCCCGCGTCATGGTGGATGTTATAACACTCTACATAGCATATTCATTCTCTCTCTCTCTCTCTCTCTCTCTCTCGCTGACTTGCTCTTCCCATCTTGCTTGCTTGCCCTGGTGAAGCAAGCTGCATATTGTGAGGTGCTCTACGGAGAGTTCCACTTGGGGAGGAATCCAGCAAACCGGATGGAACTGAGGCCTTCATATCACAGCTCACGAGGAACTGAATCCACTAACAACCATGCGATTGAGTGGGGCTCTTCCCATTCAAGTCCAAATGCATGCAGCTTGGAGAGAGACATGACTAAGGGATGCCCAGATTCCTGACTAAAACTGTGAGATGAAAAACGTGTTGTTTAAATCACTTAAGTTTTGGAGTAATTTGTCCTGCAGCAATAGATCACGAATGCGGTTATTATCACTGCCTTAAAAAGACTAAGCCTAACGAGCAGCATGGCTTGCACAGCCCCGTTTAGTGTCCCTCTAACCTCCCTTTCTGGTCTCATCTTTACCAGGAGGAACCTCGTTCTCTCCATGCCATTTTCTTTGTTCTTTTAGTTCGTCACATATGCCATGCTCCAAAGAGCTCTAAGAGAGTAGGGTTTTCTTTAAAATTGGTCATGATTATTTCTCAGCTCTTATCCACAGTAGGTGCTCAATAAATATTTGTGGAATGAATGAACCTTGAAATTCCGTGAAGATCAAATATTTTCTTTTCTGATCACTCCCTGCTTTTGAAGCATGAAAATAATCACGGACAAAACAGCATGTGTTTAAAATATACTTTTAAAGGGGCAAGTTAAATAATCTTAATTTTATCTCAAGTTAGAATATGATGCCACTCAAGAATAATGGGCTGCATACCTACACTAGAAGAGACAGTAATGAAAAAAAAAAGACATTGCTTCTTACGACTAAAAACTTCATACATCTTTCTCTATGTTGTATGTGAAAGCTATTAGGGAAGCCTGAAAGCCAAGAGGGAGCAGAGCAGGCTGTAGCAGGTGAACTTAGTTCAATTTCTTTAACTGGAGATCAGATCTGTTGCTGGGAACATAGTCTCCATATACCTCCTCTTACAGGAATCTAATACTTGCAAGCCGAAATAGTGAGTAACTACAAAATTTGAGACTTCCAATATTTTATATAAGAAATGAGATGCATACATCCTTAAAGTTACGAAGTAACAGACCTACCCAGAAGGAGAAGAACTTGAATATTCCATTTTGTTATATTTTGCCACTTTACATTTTTCATTAGTATTGAGATGCCTTTTGGTCTCATGTAAGGACAAAGGAGGTGCATTTTCAGAAAGAAAATGCTCATTTATTTGCTTCCCAGAGTAAAGGCAAGGCTAATTTTACTGGAAGAATACTGTGATCTTCAGGGACAGTCTCACTTTTCTTAGAGGAAAGACTGGGTAGTGTCAGGTACCAAGGTTTTTAACATCTTCCCTAGATCTTTTCACAATGGCAAGTACTAGAAGGCCAGTTTCTTAGGAACTCCATCTAGTGGCTTCATATAAAAAACTGGCCTGCCTCCTCAGCTTCTGCAACTGGGAGGCACAAGACTTCAAGTGTCTGGTGAAAAATAATGAAGTCTTTTGTCTTGTCTGGGTGAGGAAATTCTTCATTATGCAGGCATATGTAATCCCTTTATTCCTGTTCCCTGGAGGAGAATTACAGTGAGGCATTTTCCTTTTCCCAGTTGGGGTTAATGTTATGCCCTCTCTACCTTTGAAAGTAAAACAAGATGAGGACCCCTGAGGATGATTCAAATGTGGGAATATTCTTCAGCAAACACACATTCCCAGTTGCAAAAATATTACCCCTGGTTTCTTGCCAAGCCTTTGAGAAAAAATAATATGAAAGATTGATCCTTTTTTTTCCCCCTGCATTGCCTTTGTGCTGTGGAATTTCAATTGCTCCTTATATGACAGCCATATATATATATATATATATAATCTTTTATGGACGTTGGGGAAAGAGAATCATGTCTTGAAATTGTCTCTATTTTTCTTGACATTTCTCCATCTAAAATATTTTAAAATTGGCCCAAAGATTATGGTTATAAGAGAGATCTTTGGAGCTTTATTAGCCTTTAAACACCACTAGTTGTTTATAGACACAGTAGCAGGGGGTCCCCGGTTCTTTTCTTCTTTGTCTCCATGTCTTCTTTCTTAATGTCCCAGAACAAGGGTGTGGAAAAAGCCTATACATTCTGTAATGAAAGGGAGAGGCCTATGAGTCTTCAAATTATTTTCACTCATTATAGAAAAGTTAGATTACACAATACCGTCTGGTATTAAACGTAATTACCATCTAAAGGAACTGCAGTATAACTTTGCAGAGCATTACATTTGAGGGATTTTGCTCAAATCTTGAACTCCACAAGTAATTCATTTAAAAGTATTATCCAAGGTTGGTTAATGTAATGTAATCACATTAGCAGACAACAGGAAAATAGTCTTTCAGTGGTAATTATGTAAAACTATGACTGTATAACTAAGAGAATAGATAATGAGTATTTCCTGGAAATGGCTCTTACCTGACTCCACTAGAGTGACAATGTGATCTTCCCAAGTAGAGACAACAGCGGATGCTAATGGGTGAGCTCGTCGGTAATGGCCTCTTGCTGAGATGAGGAAAAAGCTGCATTTTTATCCTAGTGGATACCCCACTCCTTTGTGAGTCAGCCCTATCCTGAGTAAATGGATCTGGCTCTTTCATAGCAACTGCCAGTTAGTTCTTCCCAATCTTGTGTTATTCATAAAAATGTTTTCATAGAAAGGCATGTAAATACATGGGCGACCAGAACTTCATTGTAGGCAGAAAATAAAATAAACCTTGAATGTCTTTATCTTACGCACTTATACCCATACTATAAACAAAAAAGAAAAATTAACTCATGAGAAATCCATGCCTTTCGTGCATCTATTAAATTTCAGCATAAAAAATGTCTGCAACCCCGCATCATTCACTGGGCTTCAAATTTAGTAACCCAACTACTGACTCCGAAACATGCAAATTACAATGCAAAGGCTGAACTTTTTACTACAATAAAAGTGAAATTTTGTAAATGCTGCAGGAACTGCATTGGCCAATTTTCAACAGATATGTATTCCATTTTTCTTTACTACTTTACTCTCCAGTGACAAAATAACAAAAGAAAGACCTTGTTAAGATATCTTTCCATCTCCATGGTTCTATCTTTCCCAGAATGCCATATAGTTAGAATCATACAGTATGTAGACTTTTCAGACTGACTTCTTTTACTCAGTAACAGGCATTTATGTTTACACCATGTCTTTCCATGATGATATCTAATTTCCTTTCCATGCTGAATAATTATTCCACTGTCTGGATGTACCACAGTTTGCTTATCCATTCTCCTACTGAAGGACATCTTGGTTGCTTCCAAGTTTTGGCAATTAGGAATAAAGCTGCCATCAACATCAATGCATGTCTATGGAGACACATATCTATGTATTTCTATGTGCATTTCTATGTCTGTGGAAACAGTAAAAAGATCATTGGTTGCCAGGGTTTGTGGGGAGGGAGGAATGAATAGGTGGAGCACAGAGGATTTTTAGAGCACTCAAATTACTCTGTATGATGTTATAATGATAGATACACATCATCACATATTTGTTCAAACCCATAGACTATAGTACTCTAGGAGTGAACCCTAGTGTCAGCTACAGACTTGGCGTGATAGTGATGTGTCAGTGTAGGTTCATCAATTGTAACAAATGTACCACTCTGATGGGGATGTTGATAGTTGGGGAGACTGTGCCTGTGTGGGGGCAGAAGGTACATGGGAAATCTCTGTACCTTTGCTCCATTTTGCCGCAAACCTAAAACTGCTCAAAAAATAGTCTATTAAAAAAAACTTCCCACATCTGTTTGGTAAAACTCAATAGTAGCCCTTCTAATCCATAACACTATTATAATCACTTTTGGGCTTAACTAAAAACAATCTATAAATCATATGCTATCTCAATAAAATATAACATATTTTGATTACCGCAAATCAGGTACTATCTAAAAATGTGATTAGAATATATTATTTTTGTTTTAGTTATATTTTGCCACTTTTAAATCTTTACTATTTTATGTTTTATGCAAAAACATATATCTACACATCTTGTCTCCTTAGTTTATGGTTGTCTGAATACAGTTAATTTTCATCTATCTACTTAGCTTATTTCCAAATAGTCTTTCAACTAACTTATCAGAGTTTTTAAGTGTCAGGAAAATCTTAAGAAAAAGCCAACAATAACCAGGCAGACTTCATAGAATTGCAAAGATAAATATTTATGACATTCATTCTCATACTCTATTTTCTTAAAACTTGGGGTTATTCATACCAAATGCTAAGAAAAAAATTGCTGCTATCTCAGGGGTTGGCACAAACCCTAGGCTGCAAGGGTCTCTGTCGTTTCTTTCTCTCATCTGTAGGGTCAGTCCAGCACCTTCCCTTTCCACTGAGGAGCTGAGCTCAAAGGTCCAGGGGACGCTGTAAGGTACTCAGGCCCTCCCAGCAGTGTACAGGGTGTCTTGCTAGTTCTGCCCAGAATGCGGAGCTGCAGAGAAATAATATGACCTTATCCAAAGTTGCTGAATAGCTGGCTAACCTATGGAACAATAATTATAAAAGGAGAACTTTCCAAATGGGAAAAAGCAAATGGTGTGAAATGCCTGGCATGTGAGACACTACAGAGATATTTCTCGAATGAATGCGTGAATTCTTAGGGGCACTTTCTTTCAGGAAAAAAAATCCAGCTAATGTCATTTACATAATTGCAGATTAATAAATACATAGTGATTATATATATATGTAAGTAGTATATAAGTTGTATTTATAGTCATTAAATGATTCTTTTAAAATGATAAGAGAAAAACTATCTCTATGTATTTTATTAAATCCGTTTAATTTTTTTCTGTAGTAAGTAGCACTAAACTAAAGACTATTCCTTAAGACTTAAACAGTTATTAATATAAGTGCATGGCAAAGAAAGTTACGTTATAAAACCAAATGTCAGAATGCAAACATCATACGAGACTGAGCATTCGAAAGGTTATAAATATATTGTCCTCACTAAGGAGGTACTCATGGCAAACCACACAAGGATGGAACTTTCTAAACTAATGTAAAATGTTTAATTGTTTTATTTTAACATTTCTCTATTCATTCAGCCTTGCAGGAACGATAATGCATTTTTTGCTCGATTTCAGGGCTTTGAATTAGAGGAAATCTCAACAAAGGTAGTGATGCTTTTGAAAGTACATTGCTATTTGTTTTTTATTTCGCCTGATGAGAGAAAAGGTCACTGCCTTTTGAAAAGAAGCTTTATTTAGTGGAGCTGAACGATACAGTCTAAGTCAGAACAACAATAAATTTAATAGCAATCCTGGATTTTATAATTCAGGTAGTGGAACATCCTCTTCGGATAACTCTTAAAAAACAACAACTCAGATGCCTGTTTGTGCCAAGTGAATCATCTGCATTTTAGCATGGGCCAGTAGCCTCAAGTTCTGTAAAAATGGCCCACTTTTTTTTTTCTCATCAAAGAGTTCTCAAATATATCAAAAAATTCATTTATATTTCTCAAAACATCAATTAATTTTCAAAAGTACAAGAACATGAATTAAAGATGATTATACATAGAAATGGGTGATTCTACCTGTGAGTTACATACCTCAGGCTCTAGGGCCCTTCCTCTCTGAAAGACTTCTTCCTCTGTGGGCTGGAATTTCCTGTTCATAGTAATGTATATAACATACTTTCTGCTAGAATAATGTGGATCCTGTTTCAAATGGAAGATGGATATTTGGAAATGTGGGTCCCCCCTGAGAACTAAGACCCCTGGCAGCTCTCCAGCTTAATTTCCAGGGCTGAGAGCTGAGCCTCTGCGTCAATATGACTTGACTTGTCCAGGAAGGTAAAGCTGTTAAACAGTCAGCAACTTCACCGTTGATTTCAGGCACTTCCCACAAATTCATTTATCTGAACTATAGACTGCTGGGCCAACCCCTTTCTCCAGACAGTAGGTCACTCAACTGGTCAAGCTAGTCACCTACAAATAGTTGGTATTCATTAGGATTTTTTGTGAAGACTCTACCCAATGGGGATCAATGCCAAACTTAAAAAAAAAAAAAAACCACTATAAAAGTCAGTTGTATTTGTTTGTTAAAGGTAATACATGTGTCTGGTTAAAAATCTGAAAGGCACAAAAGAAAAAATAAATTTCATGTGTGAAGAGGACAACATAAGGTCACCATTTATTTTTCTTCTCTTAGATCACCCAAGTCAAGAAGGAGAATGAAAATAGAAGGGCAAACTCGCTGTAAAGAATGGATTACTCAAATGTTGAACCAAAGCCGGGGGAAAGAACATGGAAAGCAGTGGAGAGGCACCAGGCAGGTCGCTTTCTCTTTCTGGTCCTCAACCACAGCACTGCCGTCTTCAGAACAGTAACTATTACTTGTCCATACCAGGCATCTTCAATACTCCTCAACTCATATCAAGAATTCTGCCCAGTCTAAACAGACCTCCATCCTACAAACACTGAAACCCAAACCCAAAACCTTACATATATCCACCTCTCACTTATCCCTTCTGAGACATTATGAAAACAAAGTGGCAGTTTCCCTTACTGGAATAAGTATTAAATTTTGCTTGGTCAATAGATTATTCAGACAATCTTTTTAAGGTAGATAAGAAAACTGAGGGTCAGATTAGTGAGGTGTTCAATGTTACAGAGAAGCAGAGCCTGATCCCAGCCAGGGGGGATTTAACACCAAGTCCAGTATCCTACATTAGATCTTCAGGGGCCCTGAAGATCGCCTCCTCCTAGCTCCCATGGAATAGACAAGAGAGCTGAGAATTGAAATTAATTGTCTGTTTACACAGCCAGGCCTCCAGAAACCTTAAGTCAAGGGGTTGCTTTATTTTTTCCCAAATACTTGTTATTTTTTGGAAAGTTATCTCAAGACGCTAATATTTCATAAAAACTTCCTATTCTTATATCACTCTGGATTTAAGGTTTTTGTGATTTATCTCTATCTGCACACAAATTAGGACGAATGCCAACCTGTGATATTTGCCGGAATGATCCAGCTCAGGTCTCTTTTTCAAGCCTCCCTATACTGCTGTTACTTACCTCCCTGGCGAGGAACCTCTTGGATAAGACTAAAGACAATAATTCTATGAAATTAAAAACACCTAGAAAGTTAAGAGGAATAGAACACTAAAACGGCAGTCTCTTCCAGATTTCTTTTATTTATATCAAGATAGACCCATCTATTAAAAGACAGAATCTGCATCCTCTTTGTCTTAAAAGCCCTTTCATTTTTTAAAAGCCTTCTTTCAAAATGCAAATGGTCCTGGGAGACCCCACTGCTAAGTTATCCAGGAACCTTGGCAGAGTTTAATCGACAGCAAGGTTGGAGCCTAGGAGAGCGGAGTCCCTAGAGGCAGTAAAAAGACACTGAAAAAGTGGTGGAGAGCTTTTTCTCCTTCCCAATTTTGTGGAAGGTTATTCGAATCAATTGTCCTGAGGTTACTGCAAATGTTTTCCTTTTTTTTTTTTTTAAAAAAAATTCTTTTTCTCCCTCTTTTTTTCCTTTTAGCTGTTATTGTTCCTTGAAAAACAGTATAAAACAATACAAACACTCATTGACATGGACCCAATCTATTCTTGACTTTTTAACTGATGGATCACATTATAATGCAGGTATGGTATCATTGCCATTACTATTACTACGATTAGTGGTGAAAAGATAAGTATTCCCAAAATATCAGTTTGATTTTTTGCACTTGCCCTTAATTCATGCAGAAACTAGCATAGAAGCAATGAAGAAACCATTCGCACAGAAGAAAAAACAAAATGGCTTTCTAAGATCAAATTTGTATTTTAAAAAATTCTAAGGTTTTTTATTTTTTCAAATTATGGCTTTTTATTTCCTGAGTTTCAAAAGGTGATATAGCTCAGGTAGTTTTAAGGTGCTGCCTCTCATTCTGTAGTATGCTGGGCTGCAGTAAAATATTATTTATTGGCTGTGGGTATCCCCTAAACTACACCATTGTTAGGCAAGTTAGAGGTGTCTATATTCCCTGATAGTCTTAAAAATATTGCTCATGTACATTATATAATTGAAAAAACAAAAACACTTCTGTATATTTAAAAATCAGCAACTATATCCCTCTTGCACCACGTTAAATAGAAGAATGTAATTTCTAGCATTATTGTGTTTGTGCTTGAAAATAATTTTAAGAAAATATTGGAGACTCTTCGCCATCCAATCTATTCAATTTTATGACATTGGGCACTTATTAAATCAGTTTTCATTGTTGAACCAATCAGCTGAATCTGTCAGAAAAAGTCTGGCTTTATTTTTCAATTCAAATAACATGTAACCACATGCCCTTGTGACAATCATGTTATTTCTAAGGCCTAATCTAAGGTGGATAGCTTTGGGAAGGAAGTTATCCATAAAACTGTCACCTGGATAAATAATAAGGCACGGCCCCATGGGACCCTCTTTTTGGAGAAATCCAGGTGGGAACGGTCCTTTTGCTTGGCAACCCAGAGGATTTTACATCCCAGATTAATACACGCCATAGTTTCCGGATGAGTGAGAGTTTCACCTTTCTTTTGTAAACTGAGAGAGGGGTAAATAAGGACAGGAGGGTGAAAAAGGTAAAGTGATAGATCAGTTTTAAGGAAGAGTTCCTAGGGAAGTGAGGTCTGGAAATCTCTTCCTTGCCAGTATCTGTTTCTGCATCTGCCTTGGAAAGTCTCTGGGAACCCATTCACACAGAGGGCCCATTCACACTGCAAGGCAGTGGCTCTGGACAGGTGAGTAAGGTCCCTGTAGTTCCTGACTTGGCAGGCAGATACTCGATGCAGACTGAGAATTATGATGTCCTTGTAGGTAGTTTCTGGCTTGAGGGTGAATTTCTCTTTTTAGTGAGTGGATCAGCCTTGCTGTAGGACCCTACCATGAACCTGTCTGATGTAGGTGCAGCTGGAATCATGATCCTGATGTAACATGTGTGGTTCAAGGCCAGCCTCACTGCATGATCTGATGGTAATACCAGGATGGAGTTACCAGCCAGTCGGGAGTAAGCCTAAGTTGGGGCGCAGGTTGTCTATTTCAATGAGACCTTGTCTGTTTATCTCATCACATTTTGTGGTGATAATATACAAGCCCTAGAAATGCTTATTTTCATCCTATGACAGCTACTCCAACACATACTTAACTCTATGCATGAACGTCAGCCAATATTGAGAGAAATACTGTCTTGATGAGTTAGGAAATTTTTTTTGCACACAAATTTTAGGTAGTATTATAAAGTAAGAATAGTTTTAAAGATCATATATACTAAGCTTTATTTTCTCACACAGTCTTCCAAGTTATAGTAATATGCATTCTGGAGAGAATGCATTAATGTCTATTCCTAGTAATAAATCTAGTAGAAGGGAGCTAGAACTCCTTATCACTCACCGCAGGTTTGCAGGGGGCTTCCTGGCATGAATCTGTCCACTCGCCTTGCGAGCGATCCTACCTCCAGCTCCCAATCTTGAGTTGTGTCATCTACATATGTCTATGTAATATATGTACCAATAAATGATATTCTAAATGCCTATGTGTTTTTATACTCATCATGTTACTCCATAATATAACATATAGTCTTATAAAACACTCAAGTCGGTTGCTTAGTTTTCCTCCTTGATACTTCATTTCAGCGCATCTTCTAGAAAGTAGCATTAAAAGCATATGTTTTCATAGGCATTCTAAGATTGGTATACTTTTTATTATTTCCGGATTTTTAATAAATGTGCTCTTAATAGTGTAATGAACTATAATGAAAAAGTTTACCCTTTTACCATTTATCCTTTAGATTGCAATTTCTCCTTTACATATCACAAAAGATATAAAACTGTTAAAAATAACAGTAAGTTATTTTCACCTTTTGGTCAATGTTTATACTTATCATTTATGTTTAAATACTTGAAAGAAAGGCCTACTGAGCTACTAAAATTTTTTTTTAGAAATGACATCAATATGTCTTTTACATTGTTTATAAGTACATAGATACTCAAAGCTACTTTCTGGCAGAAAGTATATGCTGATGCCCAGAACATTAATTCATTTTTCAAAAAGCTATTTTTCGATTAATATAATCCCACTTGTGTTTAAATATGTGTCAACATTAATTGGTGTTACCTTAAGATTTTAGTGACTGCGGTCTCCTTTTCCAGAAGGTTCCTTGCCCTGATGCTGAAAACAGACTTGCGAAGCTGAAAATGATAAGAGTATGACTTTTAGTTTTGGAATGTTAAGAAATAATATACTGTCAAATCATTCAATAGATGACATTGTTAAAACATGAAACATGAATATGTTTCGCTAAAGCATCATCGTACAATTGACAATTCTTGTCTATTTTTACTTTTATTTGGGCAGCACCATGAACAAACTTGTGGGGCCCCACGTCCCAGCCACGGATGGTGCATTGGCTGTGCCTCACTCTGATAATGGCCTTCGTCTGAATAAAATTTTCAGTTTCCAAAGACTTTAACGTTGACCCTCATACTGGACTCCTTATTTGTCTTTGATTAGCGCAATGTTCTCTAATCCACATTATGTCTGCTGCAGGTTCTTGGCCTGTAACCTAACACTAATCTGAACAATGAGTTTAGGAGTTGTTTTGCTTGCAGGTGTGGGGAATGAATGAAATGGGCATTCAAGATCTCTTCCTAGTTGGCGATGATAAAATTACTCCAGAGAAGAGAACTAAGGAGAAAACCATCCTGGATGCTGACTGTAAATTCAAAGATATACTCCCCAAGCTCAGTTCTGTGTGGCTTGCTAGTTGCAGATTTTAGATTGGTGGAAGGTGTACAAGGAGTTAAAGCAGGCAGAAGAAGGGCAAAGAGAAAACAGGCAAATGGGCCACTATGTTCTCATAATAATAAATAAATAACTAGATTCACAATAATAAATAACTAGAATAAATAATAAATAACAGGAAAGTGTAACTCCAGTAGTCAGACTGAAGATAGTAATTGAGACCTGTTCATTTTGATCAATAGATTAGATTTACTGAGCACTTAGCATGATATTAGTGACCATAGGAGATTTAGGGTAAATAGAATTTGGAGTTCTTGGTTTCTAGAAGTGAATAGCCTAGATAGGAAGACAAGGGTAGGACACATGAGATCATCAGTGACAAGTACAGTGCAGTAGATGGCACAGTGCTAGATGATACGTAAAGGAGAAAACACAAGATCAGAGGGGCTGGAGCTCTCTGCGGTGGAACAGCAAGTCTGGACTAGTCGGCAAAGGCTTCAATGAAAAAGTGGAGGTTATACTGGGCCTTGAAGGAAGGCTAAGATTCCTAGAGGCAAAGGCGGTACTGGGTGAAGGACTGAAGTGGACATGTGTGCACAGGGCAAGTTAATTTGGTACAAACTACCTGTATAAGTGCTGTGCTAGCCAGATCTTGAAACCAGGCAAGAAGCCCTACAGGGCATACTGTGTGTCAAACAAAGTTGAGGGGGGAAAGAAAACCCTCAGAAGACAGAAAACTCTGTATTCAGTAAAAATAGATCACCTAGTTAGTTTCTTTTCAACAAGGGTTAGGTATGTTGAGGTACAAACTCACAGCACCCCATTCTACAAACAAAGCTATGAACAAATGCTATAATGTCAGTCAGTGTGTCCATAAAGCCATAGTGGAGAAGAACCAGAGTAACAAACAGGTCTTTTTAGTCACAAATGATAACCTAGATAACATCAAAACTAGCAATCCACTTTTCATATTTTACAGCAGATATGTAGTAAAGATCAGCATCACTGAACATACTGGTGATTTCCCCCTCATGAGGAAAGGTGGTTTGTTCATTTTTCTGCTCAAAAATGAAAAACCGGAATTGGTTTCATTATTCACTAGAACTCTTAGGAGAAAAATTAATGTATGGACAAGGAGACAAGAGTGGATACCAACTATTTGGAACTTCCATTTTCTTGGTAGCACATACATGCTATTTCCAATGATAAATCTTGAAACTTTCCTACTTCTCCCCTCCTGAAAGAGTTGACTTTTGGCATAATTTTTTTTTTTTTTTTAAGATAGTCTTGCTCTGCCATCCAGGCTGGAGTGCAGTGGCGTAATCTCAGCTCACCGCAACTTCCACCTCCTGGGTTCAAGCGATTCTCCTGCCTCAGCCACCCGAGTAGCTGGGACTACAGGTGCCCGCCACCATGCCCGACTGATTTTTGTATTTTTAGTAGAGATGGGGTTTCACCATATTGGCCAGGCTGGTCTTGAACTCCTGACCTTGTGATCCACCTGCCTCAGCCTCCCAAAGTGCTGAGATTACAGGCATGAGCCACCACACCCGGCCAAAAGTTGACTTTTGACATGGATTTAACCTCTCTTGAGTTGACAGCTCAGCTCCTAAGGAAAGCTGCTTGGAGCCGCTTTTGGAGATGGAAGACTCAGCTGGTGGCCCCATCATCGTGGAGCATCTGCTCTTTAGACACCTAAGAACACACATAGTCCTGAGACAGACCCAGGCACAGAGGTCCTGTGACAGTGAGTTTTAAGAGAGGACTCCAGATTCCACAACTCTTATTTCATCTTGAAAGGACAATGACATGTGTTAGTTGTCTTTCCTTCAGTGGAAGATGAGAGTCTGAATCCAATCACTTATCTACTGCCCCTGCAATTTCACGTTAGGAAAAACTTTTGGGATAATATCTGGTACACTATTGCCTAAATGATTTCTGCCCTGCACAAGATTGCTAAAAGGCTACTGAATGGCCTTTGTCCTGAATTTGAACTAAGACAAAATACAGTATTAATTCATACAGGAGAGTACTTGAGAACTGTTTTTATAACTAATGCCAGAGGTAGCAGGAGAATCAATATTATAATAGAAAAACATCAGATTTAGCTTTGGGATGTTCTTTTGTTTTGTTTTGTTTTTTGAGAAAGAGTCTCACTCTGTTGCCCAGGTTGGAGGGCAGTGGTGTGATCCCGGCTCACTGCAACCTCCGCCCCCTGGGTTCAAGCAATACTCCTGCCTCAGCCTCCCTAGTAGCTGGGATTACAGGCATGCACTACCACACCGGCTAATTTTTGTATTTTTAGTAGAGACGAGGTTTCACCATGTTGGCCAGGCTGGCCTCAAACTCCTGACCTCAAGTGATCCACCGACCTTGGCCTCCCAAAGTGCTGGGATTACAGGTGTGAGCCTCCACACCTGGCCTTTGGGATGTTCTTAAAAGAAGGAAAGGACTCACACACACATATATATGTCTTCTTTCATCTACTTATACATATATATATGATATTACATTTGATGTCCTAGATATGTATTTAGATCGTTATATACTTTCTTTTTTCTACTAAATAAAGAAGGCCTATAGTGATTATCTAGTTATTCCCTTCTTTTTTCTTACTTCTATAGTAAAGCTTTGCGAATTTTTTTTGGCAAAGGGCATTCCTAGACTGTGCTAAACATAAAGAGCTCAGAGCTACACTGCTCTGCAGTGCCCTCTTCTGGCTCTAGAAGATACTGACAATCACCTGAAATAATTAGCAAAACAAAGAATACAGAGATCCATTTCATGATGAGTAATTTCAGATCTGAAATTGTAAATTACAGCTATGAAAGGAGCCAGTAATTGCTCATTCTGGATGTAAACATATCAGAGATGTGGGAATAAAAAGGAAGGGGATGAATGATGGAATTACAAGGAGTTTACTTTGAAAAAAGTCAAAGATTCGTTGAAGAAGATTTTCTTCGGTTTTGTTTGGAAACTGAAAACATCCAACTGCCTCAGATAACAATTCTTTGACAGAATTAATAACTCAAAACAAGTAAATTAAATTTAAATTATCAACAATATAGAGATATTTTAAGTCTTGAACTTCTAAGTTAAAACACGTTTCCAGAATTACATACTTTAACACATAATTCAAAAGCTTCAACTCAATTCCCATAGAGTTATTTGTGATTGAATAATTTGGACCTGAAAGACATTCCAATGTATGAATCTTGCTGATTTTTTGGCGATGTCTTCTAATTAATCTACATGTTACCCTTTTTTCCCCTTAAAATAGAGAAACCTGGGCCATTTGACCTATAGTTTTTGAGTCTGGATTTTTTTTTTTCTTTTTTTGACAGGGTTTCGTTCTGTCACCCAGGCTGGAGTGCATGCAGTGGAATTATCATGACTCACTGCAGTCTTGACCTCCTGGGCTGAATCGATCCTCCTGTCTCAGCCTTCTGAGTAGCTGGGACTACAGGCGTGTGCCATCACATATAGCTAAGTAACATTTTTTTTTTTTTAAGAGATGGGGTTTCTTCATGTTGCACAGGCTGGTCTTGAAATGCCTGGGCTCAAGTGATCCTCCTGCCGTGGCCTCCCAATATGCTGGGATTGTAGGAGTAAGCCACCGCACCCAGCCAAGAGAGAGTCTGGATTTTGCTGAAAGCACACTCTTGGTACAGTTCAACACGTTCTTCTGTCTTCTATTTTCTGAAAATCGGCAGCTGGATCCAGAGGTTTCATCATACAGACTCTGGTTTCATCCCTTTGGCAAGGCCATAGGTGGTGTCAGATTCTTCCATCGAAAGGAACAGAGTGTGTGTGTTTCTTTTTGTGATGTTACGGGTCTTGATGTTCATTTCTTAGATCCCTTGACTTCATTCCGTTTGCAAAACTGTCATTTCTTTTTCATTTATTAGTTGGGATAGTTTTATAATGAGGTGCTTTCCCTCCTGTATTATTTGGTTACCCAGTAGCAAAACTGGTATGGAAAAGCCAAGATAAATGCTTGATTATCGACTTTTACTTATTAATTTTACATGGTTGATTTTCTATCATCGCTCAAGGTAACCAATTACTATTTAAAAAATGTCATTATGAACTCAAGATTTAAACTTATTTAATGTTTAATGGATTTCAGTCCATGTCAATTACCATTTCTTACTGTTAGTCAAATTATCTCTACTGTGCTCATTGGGAGTTTTTCAAGTTGGTCAGTCTGTAGGTTCTTTTTATATGACCCTCGTAGTCTTTGACAAAGCTTCCTTGTTCCTAGTATGACAAGATGCTCCAAGGTCAGCTTGTACACTTCCTATTCAAAATCAACCATTTTCTTCAAGAAGCCCTGGTTTACTTATTGGAAAATTGGAAAAATGGTGTTTCAAGAACATATCTAGAGCCCATAGATGCTCACTGCTATGGAGTTGGTCACTGTTTCAAATATTTTGCCTGGGTTTATTCTGATGTTTTCAATTTAAATTCATGACCCAGGATTTTTTTTTTTTTTTTTTAGTTATACTTTAAGTTCTGGGGTACATGAGCAGAACGTGCAGGTTTGTTACGTAGGTATGCATGTCCCACAGTGGTTGGCTGCACCCATCAACCCGTCATCTACATTAGGTATTTCTCCTAATGCTATCCCTCCCCTTGCCCCCCACCCCGATAGCACCCAGTGTGTGATGTTCCCCTCCCTGTGCCCATATGTTCTCATTGTTCAATTCCTACTTATGACTGAGAACATGCTGTGTTTGGTTTTCTGTTCCTGTGTTAGTTTGCTGAGAATGATGGTTTCCAGCTTCATCCGTGTCCCTGCAAAGGACATGAGCTCATTCTTTTATATGGCTGCATAGTATTCCATGGTGTATACGTGCCACGTTTTCTTTAGGATTTTTATTTTTACCTAAGCTTTTCTATATGATATCTATATCTCCTTTTTTCTCCACAAAGAGCACTCTTGATTATCAAGAGCACCAGGGATGCCAGAATTAGATTGTCTCAACAGTGACTCAGTTTTATTTCACATTTCATAGACAATAGTCTCAGAATGAAAATACACAACCAAGAAAACTACTGAATATCTTAAGGGTTTGCATATCTTCTTCCCGTTCACCTCCTCATTTGTATATCTGTACTCTATCCATATTAGAACAAATAATTATTACATATTTCACTCTTCATGTTGTCCTTATGTAGTTAGTTGTTACATATGAATGTGAATTTTTATGCCAAATGGTTTAAGAGTCCCTTTTGGAGTTCATTTAGGTTATCTGAGGCATGTTTTTTAGTAGATTACAGGTTCATTGAAACAAGATTACTTGTATCTTACATTACTCATATTCTTAGATCTTGAAAGCAGTTTCTCTGACCTTGAAAGTTGAAAGTCAGTTTTCAGGATGGAAAAAAATCTGGCTCAGATATTCTTTGCCTGGGCATCCTATATATGTTACTCTATTTTCTTCTGACATAAAGCATTGCTGCTGAAAAATCTCATGATAATCTAACGTTCTTTCCTTTATAAATCACTTGTTCTTATTTGGGCTAGATAATATATTTTTAAAAAATTTAAAGACCTGTCATTTGTCTGGTGTATGTATTGTTTTTAATCATTTACTCCAATATTTTTAGGTGTGTGCTGTCAATATATAGTTTCATATCTTTTTATGTTTCAGAAAAGTTTAGTATACGTTTTATTCTCTTGCTGTGGTTTTTCTTCCTTAGGGACACCTATAATGCAGATGTCGGATTTTTGACTTTCTTCAATTTGTCATTTTTCTTGCAAATCATTTTCATCTCTTTCTTCATTTCTCTTTGATTTTAAAAAATGCCCTCTTCTCCATTTTCTATTTCTCACTTTTGAATCATCTGAGGTCTCTTTATGTTCCTTCTCGTTTAGTTTTCATTGCTTTAATTTATAACTTTTCTCAGTTCTGGCACCTCATTTCTGAGTTTTTCTAACTTTTATTTATGTTGCTATTTCATCCTTATGTAATTTTTAATGTCTTTTAACTAATTTTTCAATAGTATGCTACAGTTTGAGCTGGTTAGAGCACGTTTTTGTAGGTTGCTTTCCTTGTCTACAGTGAGAGACAGTATTCTGCTGTTTTTTTCTTATAATAACGTTTGCAGGGAATTTGGCTTTGATAATTTTCCTTACTCATTTTTATACAAAATTAGTTTTCCCAAACAGTTTAGTATTTCTCTTCTAACTTCAGAGTTTCCTCTTCTGTTGTTTTAATATATCGATCAAATATGGTAGCTTTCTTTCTGGAATTTCCAAGCTCTGTTTCCCAATCCTCCTCCCCCCACAAATTTTGTCTGGATCTGCTTTTATCCTTATCACTCTTGTTCCTGGCCTGTTCAATTTTGATTCCACTCCTGGACTTTTTATTTCAGAATGGAGCAAAGAAGATGTTCTACCATTCCATGAACATTGGACGCTCTGTAACTAAGCTTGGTTTCCTCCCACAGACACTAATATCATGCAAATCATGTGGCTGTTTGTCAACACTTGCTTTTATTTAGGGTTTGTGGATTACCGAGTTTTATGGTAAATATTAACTATGGATTTGGGGTTTTGATATCTTGGTATTCTTTTTGTTTTCATGTGGGAATTCAAGGTTAAAAAACAATGTCAATGCCTCTGTCATCTTTATAGAAGAAGGCTCCTTAATTTTTTCTTGTTGAATTTTAAAGTAGATTTATCAATTTTATTACTGCTTCCAAAGAACAAAATTTCAATTATGTTGATATTATTTATCACCTCTTTCCCCCCATTTGATTAATAACTGCTTTTCTCTTTATTATTTCTTTCTTTCTGCTATCTTAGTGTTTCCTTGGTTGATAATTTTTCTAAATTCTTGAAATGAATGCTTGGAGGATTAATTTAAGCCTTTATTTCTTTACTAGATATTCATTCAGGGCTAAATTTTTTCCTCTAAAAATGCCATTAGCTACTTCCCACAAGTTTGATGCATCTTTTGTTCATTATTTTTTAATTGTAGATATTTTCTTATTTTCATTGGTGTTTCTTCTGTGCTTATTTGAAAATAGTTTTAAATTTCTGAATGTGTAGGTTTTTTTGTGGTTATTTTCTTCTTATTAGGTTTCTGATTTTGTTACATTTTGGTCAAATAATATCTTTTCTAGGACACTGATGTGTATATATTTAGAAGTCTGTGGTAAATGGTTACATTTAAAATCATACATGTGTTCTTGAATTAGAATGTTATTCTCTAGTCATTGAATGAAGAATTTTATAGATGCCCATTGCACATTTAAAAATGTACATTTTATAACTTCTACATCTGTATTTCTTGGCTCCTTGATCTGTGCTGAGGTGATATATACATATTTTAAACTTAATCTTCAAACTAATCCTCATAGGTAGGTAAGGTATTATTATCTCTTTTTTCCAGATTAAAGATCTAAGGCTCATAAAAATTAAGTTGTCTAAGTTCACTCAGATAATAAATTGCAAAATTATTACTAGAACTCTGGATCATGCAGCTTCAGTGTTCAAATCTTTTCACTGCATTATGTCTATGTAAAATGTCACTAGGCTTAGTATAAAAAAGCATTTTCTAAACTATATCATAACAAAATATTATCTGCTTGACTTGAAATATTTTGTTTACACATATTATAAACTCTTGCTATTCTCACATCCTAATGCAAAATCGAAACTAACCAACTTTTTGTTTGTTCTACATATGCATAATTGATTTTCAGAATAATGACTCTGAAGCACTGAAAGAGATCAATACATTTCCTAACTCATTAAAGCTAGTATGATCATAGTTTTTATATTTTACACTTACTGATTCCTTAAAATCTGGGATCCATCAAAACTCTCAATCAATCAGAATATTAATTTGATTAATTCAATCACCCAGAAGTAACCACAGACCTATCTTGAATATAGATTCCTTTAGGATGCGGCAATGCTTAGACCTAAAGAACCATAGCTTGACCCTAGAAACCACCTTCAGAATGAAGCCATCAATATTTATTTGACAAAGCACACCACAAGTATTATAAATATTCAATAGCTTTTTTGATTTACAATGTTAACAATACATTTCTGTTTCTAACTGGGAAAAAGTTTGAGTGGCTCCATTTTTCTTTTCTCACTTTACAAATATTAACAGGTTAATAATAAATGGGAAAGTGGTTATAAAAACATATGACCATAAGACACAAAACCACGGTCCAATGAATATGGCTTGATGAATGTCATTTCTGCTAGAAAGTTGTAGTGTAATTATTGTAACGAGCCACTTTATTGAATAAGTCTCCCAAATAAAATATAGTAATTGGGAATAAGCAATTACTTAAAATTGCATGGGTCGAAGGTGGTATCTCATTTGACTGTATTTGAATTTTCATGCACCCGTGAATTCATAATTAATCCCAAAGTGCATACGACAGATCATGTGTGTGGCAAGATGTTTCTATAAAATAAACTTTCTCTGGAATTGACATTATGCTTAGAAAAAAAATTTTAAAAGGTGATTAATGTGAGCATCAGCAAGATTAAAATGTTGATTATGGATGTATATAAAGGTGAATACCATTATAATATCATGTTATGAAGCTTTGAACAGTATCTTAAAATGTGAATTTTGTGAAGAGAATTTTAGATGATGGGTCAAGATTTCTTATTGTAGGCCAGGTGCGGTGGCTCACGCCTGTAATCCCAGCACTTTGGGAGGCCGAGGTGGGTGGATCACGAGGTCAGGAGATCGAGACCATCCTGGCTAACATGGTGAAACCCCGTCTCTACTAAAAAATAGAAAAAATAAGCCGGGCATGGTGGCGGGCGCCTGTAGTCCCAGCTGCTCGGGAGGCTGAGGCAGGAGAATGGCGTGAACCTGGGAGGCAGAGCTTGCAGTGAGCTGAGATCGCGCCACTGCACTCCAGCATGGGCCACAGAGCGAGACTCTGTCTCAAAAAAACAAACAAACAAAAAAAAAGATTTCCTATTGTAACTTATTTCAATATCATGTGTTCTGAACCCTGTAAAAACACTATGTGTAGGAGTTAAAATATTCATATAAACATGCATGTGCACGTGTGTGCATGCCATGCATACACCAAATCTTCGCTCTTCCTTTGGACTCCTAGGCACCCAGCACAAGTTGATCCCTGCCCTGTGTGAAACATCTTTTTATCTTTCTGTAAATTCCAATAGATTGTAAACTCCTTAGGATATGTATAATGTATTCTTTGTTTATTACATTTTCTTTCATTGTCTAGCACTGTGCATTGTTGGTGCTTGAAATATATTTGAAAATTGAATTAATTTCATAATATTAAAGTATTACTTTTTCTATCTTATATATTTTAATGTAGTTAGTCCTTGAAAATAAGAAATATGAATGACGTAAAAATTACAAAGAGGGACTGCTTATTTTGAAATGAATCAACTAACTTGATATATAGGAACAGCTTGTAATATTAGAAACTAAACAATTTAAAACTTAATGGATCTGATTTTTTTTTGCACGTGAATGTTATGACAATGTTTCGGCCACTAACACAGTAGCCTGGGGTCACTTGGTCAAATCTCCAACATCTTACACATCAAATAATGAAACTGTGCAAAAATCGAGGGAAAAGCAATATCTTCGAGTACTGAAACAAATTTAGATAGGTTTAATATACAGTACTTAATGATAAGAAACTATAAATGCCCGGGTGCGGAGACTCACGCCTGTAGTCCCAGCACTTTGGGAGGCCGAGGCGGGTGGATCACGAGGTCAGGAAATCGAGACCATCCTGGCTAACACGGTGAAACCCTGTCTCTACTAAAAATACAAAAAAATTAGCCGGGCGTGGTTGCGGGCGCCTGTAGTCCCAGCTACTCAGGAGGCTGAGGCAGGAGAATGGCGTGAACCCGGGAGGCGGAGCTTGCAGTGAGCCGAGATCGTGCCGCTGCACCCCAGGCTGGGTGACAGAGCGAGACTCCGTCTCAAACAAACAAACAAACAAAACTATAAATATACGCTAGATAGATTTTAATTACAAAAGTAAAATACAAAATGACTTTATGATTATATCTAATATAAACAGGAAGGCAAAGATTGGAAATCTGCAGAGACAAAAGAAGGTGAGTGGGCTTGTGATTCTAGAGTAAATGTCAGATGCTTTTAACCTGTTTGTGAATTTAGAAATTCCAAAATTTTTTTTTGTTTTGAGACGGAGTCTCGCTGTATCGCCCAAGCTGGAGTGCAGTGGCATGATCTTGGCTCACTGCAACCTCCGCCCCCTGGGCTCAAGCAATTCTCATGCCTCAGCCTCCCGAGTAGCTGGGACTATAGTTGTGTGCCACCATGCTCAGCTACTTTTTTTTAGTAGAGATGGGGTTTCACCATGTTGCCCAGGATGGTCTCGAACTCCTGAGCTCAGGTGATCCGCCAGCCTTGGCCTCCCAAAGTGCTGGGATTATGGGTGTAGAAATTCGAAATTTAAGGTCTGTGGCAACACAAGGAAGCAGGACTTGGACTCAACACCATCATCAGCAACAAATACAACACACTGAGACTAGCATGACACTTGATAGAAGAGACAATTTATAAGTAAAACTGTAGTCAGAAGAGGAAAAAGTTTAAAAAGAAGAGCAAAATGTAAATTTCCAAGATAGATTTAGCAGCGGCCTTAACTCCTTGATACCTCTTTTGTGCATGATACAGAAAATGCGATTAAAAATCTTTTAAATTACCTATAAAAAATTCTTAATCCTAGACTGATTTACTTTTGACTCTCAATGCGCATTTACTAAGGAATACAAACAGCTGATACATAGTTCCAACCTAAAAATGGTTACACAATTAAATATTCTGCAAAAATAATCATTGAGAGGGAATTCCTACTCTAATGTTAGTTGAATATAGAAAGATGTGTTTGTTTACTCAGGGCCCAGCAAACTGTTTGCATATAATGGTCCTCAAAAATGATTGTTGGATGAAAGGGTGAGTGCTCACACACACAGATATTTGGTTTTAGCTTGAGAATTTACTGCAAAGACCAGTAAGAAGAAAAAATGGTTTGATTTTATAGTACGCATCGTTTTATTTATTTATTTATTTATTTATATATTATACTTTAGGTTCTAGGGTGCATGTGCACAACGTGCAGGTTTGTTACATAGGTATGCATGTGCCATGTTTGTGTGCTGCACCCATTAACTCATCATTTACATTAGGTATATCTCCTAATACTATCCCTCCCCCCTCCCCCTGCCCCATGACAGGTCCCAGTGTGTGATGTTCCCCTTCCTGTGTCCAAGTGTTCTCATTGTTCAGTTCCCACCTATGAGTGAGAACATGCAGTATTTGGTTTTTTGTCCTTGTGATAGTTTGCTGAGAATGATGGTTTCCAGCTTCATCCACGTCCCTACAAAGGACATGAACTCATCCTTTTTTATGACTGCATAGTATTCCATGGTGTATATGTGCCACATTTTCTTAATCCAGTCTATCATTGATGGACATTTGGGTTGGTTCCAGGTCTTTGCTATTGTGAACAGTGCTGCAATAAACATACATGTGCATGTGTCTTTATAGCAGCATGATTTATAATCCTTTGGGCATGTACCCAGTAATGGGATGGCTGGGTCAAATGTATTTCTAGTTCTAGATCCTTGAGGAATAGCACGCTGTCTTCCACAATGGTTGAACTAGTTTACGGTCCCACCAACAGTGTAAAAGTGTTCCTATTTCTCCACATCCTCTCCAGCACCTGTTGTTTCCTGACTTTTTAATGATCGCCATTCTAACTGGTGTGAGATGGTATCTCATTGTGGCTTTGATTTGCATTTCTCTGATGGCCAGTGATGATGAAATCTTACGCATCTTTTTATTTCTTTCCATTATTGTGACTAAATTGGGAATCCATTATCTACTAAAGCATTTTTAAGCTAGAGAGAAGTGTACAGAGTTTTCATATTTGACATGAGGAACACCAATTCTTCCCTTTGAGATACAACCCATGGTTACATGGTAGCATCATGTCATCTGTCACTCTTTTCCTGGAGATACATCTTGAATGGTACTGCAGAGAAGCTAAGCCATTATTTAAAAAAAAAATTCTTTCAAAAGACCAAAAGCCCTAAAAATGAAAACAGGCTGTGTTCGTTCGTTCATTTGTTCATTCTCTCTCTCTCTCTCTCTCTTTTAAGGTGAACAAACATTCATTCATCCTGGAAATTATAGATCAGGCTGAGTAACTTGCTATGTGAGGAGTTACAAGAACAAATTATCAAGCACTCTATAATCATATAGAACATTATAAAATGCTGTATGGCAATAAAAAAAACGGAAGAGTAAATCTTACCAGAATGACCTAATTTACTTCTTCAGATTCGAAGACACCGTGTAGACAATAGGGATAGCAACTAAAATATCAACAAAAATCAAACTCTAAAAAAATCAGACTTAGGTACCATAAGGAAATTGATCAGTAATTAATATATTGCACTCAACTAGACTGTTACATCTGAAGGTTAAATTTATGTAAAAGTCTTTTGTCCTAACTGATGAATAGAAATCTGTTTGCTGAGTCTGACTTCATGGTACAGTTTAGTAACAGTAACCTTTCTTGTCTGGTTTGAGAGGCACAGAACATATGCTAGCCCAGGTGCAATGCTAGGTATTTAACATTATTACATTATTTGATTCTCACAACAAACCTTGAAAATGAGAATTATCTCCACTTTACTGATGAGGGTTGGAACCTGCACCACTTAATCACTCTTCTACCCAATTTCTCTCAAACATCGAGCACCTGATGCTTTGCATACCTTTGCATATATGTCCCCCTCTGCCTGGGGTGCTTTCTTCCTTTATCAATCAATCACACTTCTTCTGTAAGGGGAACTTAGGGGGTTCTGTCTCATGGTTCCAGTAATACTTTTTACTTTCATGCATGTATGTGCATTTCCTCCCATTGGACTATGAGCTTCTAAAGGGTACAGTTCGCATCTTGCTCACTGTTGAATTCCCACAGCCCAGAGAATAGCAGATGAATAACGGGTGCTCTATAAGTGCTTGTTGAATGACTGAATGAATGTTAATGAGTTATAAAATAAAATGGGTAAACAAAACATAGTCATTCCAATGATCATTTTCCTCTTTACTGTACATAAGTTAGCTGTTCATTGTGAAGGCTTATTAAAGAACTATCATATGCTTCAGCAGAAAGGAGGCTGACAAGAGGGTGGGCAGATATTGCCCTACTGTCAGAGAAAATATTCACTGTTCATTATTATGTGGGCTCTGATTCTATGCTGGGAAGTACAGGGGCACGAGGTGGAGGTGCTGGGACAGCCCTCATCCTAGCATGGCTCCAGGAGGTTCACTCATGCTTCCCAGGCTATTGCAGGTTCTGACATAAGAAATGGTGCATCAGCCAAGACAGCAGCACAGAACCATCCTCAGGCCACAGGGCAGTGAGACGCTGTAGACTCAACCACAGGTGAGACCTTGACCTTGACTGGATGTCTCACTTCGGAGAACAGAGCGGGCTGCTTTTATTACAGGGTTACTGGAAAGTCAAGTTCAGATCTCACTTTATTAATCACCACTCTGCTTAAGGAAACTAGAGTTTAATTTCAATAATATGGAGGAAAAATACAAGTAGAAATTGTTGCTTGATTTCTTTCTGCTTGGAAACTGGAAAAGCCCCTGTCAAAATCCTTGAATCAGGAAGAAAAGGAACCTCTCACAATTGCTCACAGGAACGGTAGGTAGCAGGATAAAGGGATGGGGAAATGACCACTTGGGAAGGTCGTTTCTATGGAGTCTCAAACGACAGGCAGGAAAACACTCTTTCCTGTCTTTTCCTTTTAGGATCTGGGTCAGCCCCAAGATTTTAAAGATTTTTGTTTGCTGGTTGTTTTCTGGGAGAAGGACAGGTATTTTAAACTGTATAATAAAGGTGATCCACCAGGGCTATTTTTAAAAACATGGTTTCTGCAAAGTGAGGTTGCCATGGGAATTACTCATCCCTGTTCAAAGCTTGGGTAATTACTGGGAGAAAATCTTGCCTAATGTGCTTTTGTGTTTTCTGCAATGCTTCATCAAACCCCAGCCCCCTTCTGGGGTTGCTGTCAGTTGTTGTTTTTTTCTCCCTGAACTTGCAGTCTTCAGGCACCTGGGGCTTCACTATTTTCCCTGGAAAGAGAAAGGTGATTCCCTCTAGCATAGTGAAGTCAGAAGTTTCTCCTGGTACAAGATAACCATTAAGAGAACAGTTTTATTTTATTGTTCCTTTGTTCATGTTATGAGAATCACCGATAAACCAGCCTCTAATGTCCTTTTTCTTTCATACCAGTCACTGAGGAAACACAGCCTCAATTTGCACAATTTGCAGAGGGCTGGGTGGTTTTTTTTTTTCACGTAGAGTGAAGAACCCTGCCTGTCACTTTACTGTGACTAGGATTTCCAAAGGCAATTGGGATTTTAATGGAAATTTCTAAGTGCTCGCTGAAAAATACTTTATAAGGGGAACTAATGGTGGTAGGGTCTGTGACGGGGATTTTTGTTCTGTGTTTATGCGCTCTTGTTTTTAAGTGGCTTTCGGGTTTCTTAATAAAAATGAAAAAGGCTTGCCGTATTCATAATACAAATGCCAGAATGCTGTCTCCGCAATTTGTGCTTCCATTAAATCCTTATCACTGAAATCCTTTGAAGAGGGATTTTCTGCTTTAGATTTCCCTGGCCCAGGGGCACTCAACAAGGTTGACAAATCCTAAGGTCTTATGAGGAACACCAAGAACTGGTGGGAACTATTGCTGAAAATGGTGGATCCTGAAAAGAATTAAGTCTACTTTTCTGACAACCTAGATCGAATCAAAGCTTTAAGAAAGCGTGGATAGTAACAGGAGCAGTTGTCTTGCCACTCCCATAATAGGGTCCTCTGATGAAGAAAAAGTATGTTTTTGACATTCCACTTTCCAAGTGGGAGCAATAAGACATGTTGTATGGGATAAAACGTGTTATTCCAACTGTACCTGGGGAGGGTTCGCTTCGGGCGGGCGCACAGAGGGGCGGGCCACATTCTCTTTAGACTCCTCCTCAGCCCGGCACATGCCTCTCAAGACTCTTTTTATCTTTGTCCTCACCAAATCAAAATACTGTGTTCAGGAAATGTGAGAAACAATCACATTTCCTTTTAGAGAGAAAATAAACTCATATTTCAATTTTGTGTTTCCAGTGGGGTAGTGTTACCAGTGATTTTTAAAAGCATGTCATGGTTTTGTGACTTTGGCCATAATGGAAATCAGCTCTCTATCCTCTTCCTGGAGATAAGTGGTCACAAGGACAGCCCAGACTTCTGGCTTACAATCTGCTTTGGAAACAAAACAAAACAAAACAACCTGCTTTCTAGTCCACGCAAACTGCAATTTCAGACTGACTGGCTGAAGCCAAGGCACTATCTTCCCACTTGTTTATCCACTGACATATGACCTTCTGCTTCCATGCCCCATGCACAGTGTTGAGTGGATTATAACTGTGAAGAAGAGAGGTGATAAGTTTAATTTAAAAAAATCAAAAAAGCCAGGCATGGTGGCCATGCCTATAGTCCCGGCTACTCGGGAGGCTGAGGCAGGAGGATCACTTGAGCTCAGGAGTTCAAGGCTATAGTGCACTATGGCCGTGCCTGTGAATAGCCACTGCACCCCAGCCTGGGCAACACAGCAAGATCTCATCTCTAAAAAAATAAAAATAAAAGATAAAAGTAAAGCCTCTAAGGACAGCTAAGGGTAATATGCAAGCCTTTAAGGATAGTTAAGGGTCATATGTCCATATCATAATTTTTCACGAGAAATTTAGAAGCAAAGGATGACCTCAGTTGAAATCTAATTAGTGTCCTGGAAGACCAAGCACAGAACAAAAATAGAGAGATGGCAATCCCAGGGGAGAGAGAAGCAGATGGAAGAGTAACAATTGAACGCAAAATAAATGGAAATTTCCCTGAGCAAATATCTTAGTTGGCAAGCTGAAAAGACTCTAGTTGGAGCAGTTCTGATGAAAAAAGACATATAAGGTATATTCTAAGAAAGCTTCTGAACTCCAAGGATACACAGAAAATCTTACAAGTTTTCCTGAAGAAACAAGCAAACCAAGTCTACCAACCAAAAGGCTAATTACTTAAAAAAAAAATGACATTGGCATCAGACTTGTCATTTACAATCTTGGATTCTGCAAAGATAGTAGAATAGCATCTCTAGATGGCTGAAGGAAAATCAACACATGGAAATCCTTGAAAAAGAAGAGACATCCTGCAAAGAAAATCATCATCATTTTCAGCAAGAGCAACATGACTGAACTACAGCAGAGAACCTGGGAGCTGGGGGAGAGGTAAACGGGAGTAGTATCACATTAGGGGAGGGGAGGTGAGAAAGAGGAGGAGAAAAGGGGGAGGTGAAAAAGGAGGAAAAAGGGGAGGCAAGAAAGAGGAGAAAAAGGGGAGGCGAGATAAAGAGAAAGGTGAGGGAATTCCAAAGGGTTCATCCCTGTGGGAAGGGAAAGAAAGCGGAGAGAAAGAAGATCCTGGAGGATGAAACAGTTGGCATTTTATTGTCACATGATCATAGAGAAATATGGATTTCACTATAAGCAAAAGAAAAAGGGCAGTAACAATGTAAAGGAATAAAAAACACTCTAGGAATGCCAAAGTGGAATACTTGCAAGTGAACTAGATGTTTTTGCAAACTCTACTGTTTAATCTCTTTAATATTAAAGGACAATTATTAATCTTTCATTTTCTAACTGAACTGACATTGATTATGTGACCAAGCTGATATATATAGTTTGATACTATGCATACATATATACACACATATACATTTATATGTCTATGTGTGTATATATAAATATGTTTACTTATTATACCTAGATAATACATTCTATGTCTTTTTTTTTTTTTTTTTTTTTGAGATGGAGTCTCACTCTGTTGCCCAGGCTGGAGTACAGTGGCACAATCTCAGCTCACTGCAACCTCTGCCTCCTAGGTTCGAGTGATTCTCCTGCCTCAGCCTCCCGAGTAGCTGGGATTACAGGCATCCACCACCACGCCCAGCTGACTTTTGTATTTTTAGTAGAGATGGGGTTACACCATGTTGGCCAAGCTGGTCTCGAACTTCTGACCTCAAGTGATCCACCCGCCTCGGCCTCCCAAAGTGCTGGGATTACAGGGGTGAGCCATGGCACACAGCCCTTATATTATTTTTTTTAAAAGTGAATAAATGAAAAAGTACATTTCTTTAAAATTATTACCTAAATTTGCTTTATTTATATGTGGTTCCCTACTGATACTTTGCTGTGGAATCTGAAAAAAATTTTCCCTTCTACTTTTCAAATGATAAAGAAATAGGTAAACTAGAACATGAATAAGCTCTTGCACCTAAGTTCCTGCCACATACTAAGCATTGAATAAATGGCAATTCTTTCGACCGATTTTAGAGAAACATGCTCTCGTATCCTCTCTGATGTAATAAGTAGACATAAGCAGTTGTACTTGCAGGAGATGGCAGGTCATTACACCTGGACTGAGCCTTGGAGATCCCAGCCCTTTATTCCGCACCTGAGAAAATGCAGATTTGGGAGGCTCTTGATGTTTACAAAGTCGCATGGCTGCCACGTGGCGCAGCTCAAAAGCTTACACGGGCAAATGCAAAATTTCAATGCATAGAGTAAAAAATGTTAGGTTTCATGATATCTTTTACAAATGAAATCATTTTATTTTCATTATTCTCTTGAGAAATTGGATTCCAGGACCCTAAAGAACTCTGCGGTTCTTTTCTCAAACATAGATGCTTTTTAGAAGCCTGGTTATTCGAAACAGCAGATCTTACTTTTTGGTCGATGTATTTGTTGTCCTCAATTGCTGAGCGTTTGGAGTGGTCGCAGGAGGAGGAAGAGGTGGTCGGGAGGCTTCTCAGGAGGCAACATGTGTCCTGTTGCTGGCGGTCAATAAACTGCTTCATAAAACTCTCCCTTTGCAAATGAAGTATATGTGCATCAGGCATTATTAGTGGAAGGGAGCAAGTGACAGCATTTTGCAATGATGAGTTTGCTTGAGCAAAGATAAAGCAGTGATAAAAGATCATAGAAAACTAGATCATGACTAAAATATTTCATTAGCAACAGCTTCCTGAAACTCAGTGACTCCTGCTTAAAAAGCAATATCCTTGAAATAACTTTCAAGCAATATTACTCAGTAACCGATGGTAGTTTTTTGAATCTTTTTTTTTTTTGAGACGGAGTTTCACTCTTGTTGCCCAGGCTGGAGTGCAATGGTGCAATCTCAGCTCACCACAACCTCCGCCTCCCGAGTTTAAGCAATTCTCCTGCCTCAGCCTCCAGAGTAGCTGGGATTACAGGCATGCGCCACCACGCCCAGCTAATTTTGTATTTTTACTAGAGATGGGATTTCTCCATGTTGGTCAGGCTGGTCTCGAACTCCCGACCTCAGGTGATCTGCCCGGTTCGGCCTCCCAAAGTGCTGGGATTACAGGTGTGAGCCACCGCACCCAGCCCAGTTTTTTGAATCTTATTGTGGTAATAAAACACTTTTTTTCCCCCTCTAAGACTTGGAAGAATTAGTTGCTCTCTCTAAATGTCCATTTATCATAAGAATGACTAAGAGAGAATTTTACATTTTAAGACTCAAAAGCAAGTGCGTTCATCTGATCTTCAAAGCATAACGAAAATTCAAGTAACGTCTCTTCAAATTACCAAATTCAATTAATTTTGTTTTTTAAAATTAGAAATGCAAATATATTTCTACCCGAATTTTAAATATTATGGCACCATATATAGTCTCATACTTTTATAACCCCCCACAGAATTATTTTTAAAGCTAGTAACATATTACTGTAATTCTGTTTGTAATTTCTTGAGCTATAACTAGAAGAATTTCCTTTTATTATTAAAAATAGGTGTTTAAAGCATCTTTTATGCATTTGCTTAACTGGAGGGCAAACGTGGTAGAAAATCAAATCAGTATGAGTGGAAAAACGCCACGGTTCTTCTTTTAAAAAGTGGAAGGCAAATTATATATGGTAACCTGACATGGTAGGCTCCATAAACACTGTAGTAGTACACAAACTGGGCCAGCTGTGGTTTCCCTGTTTGCTTGAAAATAAAAGGGCCACAGAGGCAATTTTAGTCTCATACGGTTGGGGTCTGAGATTGATGTCTACCTGCCATCCCTGCAACACTGAGCAGCTTCTCCAGTTTCCTGGGATGTCCCATTCCCGAGGAGTCATCCCAGAGAGAAGCGATGGGAAGCAGCCTTCTTGCTTAGGCTACTGCAGTTATAAAGTGACTCTTCTGTGAATACATTGCTTAAAAGAGTCAAAGTTGTTTATTTATTTATTTATTTTAAATAGAGGTAGAGGTAGTAGAAAGATGACAATAAAATAGAAAGAAACCCAACCCACATATACTTAAAAGAAGGGTTAAATCAGATTTAAGATGATGAATCTTTTACAATATATGTGAAATATGCAATTAAAGAAGTATTTTGGTACCTGATTTTAGGAACTGTAAAATCTGAAGGAAGCTTTGAGATTTTCACCATTTGAGGTCTGTTTGGAAATTTTTCAAAGATTCGCAGGCGTAAAGGGAGCTTTTCTTTGGTGTCCGCATTTGCTTCACTTTGCTTTAACTAAAGAAAAATTGGAAAGAAGAAAAAAAGGGGGAACCTATAATACTATTATATACGTTACACAAAATTAGTTTTAGAATGGAAGCAATAAGTAATTACATGAAATGCCAGTAGATGGCAGCAAAGGCCTACCAAGTATACCTCTCTTGCCCGCCATAAATTGCTCTATGAGCTAAAACTTTTGAGTTAACAGAAAAAACAAAAACAAAACTTAACAACAAAAAAACTAAACCAGAAAAAAATTCAAGGAAAACTTTATGTCATTTTATTCCCAAAGACAAGTCTCTTTTCATCTCAGACATTTTTAATGGTTTACTATTACTTGCATATTTAAACAATAAAATTTGTTTACACATGCCTAACGCTAGAATTAAAAATTTTTAAAAACCATGAAAAATTTAAAAAAAATTAACTACAGAATCATACTAAGTAGTAGCATTTGTAAAGAGAGACAATGGCAGGAAAATTGGTTATGTCGCCTAGCAGATTAAAACAGAAAAGCTCAAAACACAAATACCACATTTGGTCCATGCAGCGAGTTTTCCATTTGGCTGCAAACATGCTTGGACACGACGAACTTAAATGCCATATGATATCTTTGTGAGGAATGACAATCAAATGGATTTATTTAAGAGTGTATATTTATATTTCTACAAATTGAGTTTCAGGGAAGCTCAGGTTTAACATCATAAACTGGAACAAGGCTGAACTAAGATACTACAAAGGTGGACTGTGGCTTCCAGAATTCATGCTATACTTTCCTATGCTCTCTTTTTCTCTCCCAGTGCCGACGTCTCTTGGAGTCCCTCTTTACTTCTGTTTACCTCTCCCCTTCTCCAGGACCTTCTGCAGAGTGGAACACCCTTCCCCACGTCTGCCCTGTCTTCTGTCCCGGCTTCCCAAACTGCATCTTTTAACACTGATGCCTTTCAAAGAGTACATGTAATTCAGGCTGCCTTTTTGGAGGGATTTGGGGGGTGGGTTTCAAAAATCATCCACTCATTTACCTCCTTGTTGGGTATGGTTTTACTCTATAATTTGTTTTAGGAATTATGGAAAGATAAGAATTAGAGGCCAAGAGAGCTTTTAAAACAGGAAGAGAGATGGCAATGCATCCCTCCTATATGTGGAAATACAAATTGGCTAAGGAGAACAGGAGGGCTTCTTTTTGGGGAAACATTCCCATTTCAATATGATGGATGACTCAACTATCCTATTGGTTGTGAGCTCATGATGAGATTATACATCCTGATTTCTGGTTTTCTTATTAGGCTGCAGAAATCGCTCTTATGTTTTTGTTTTGTGTAACATAAACATTTACCTTAGCCATTTGTAAGTCTGATTTGATTTTGTGGGTAGCCTTTGGTTTTTCTGTCTTAGATGGTAATCTTATTTGGAGAAGGAGTCACTGCTGTTCGTTGCCTTCCTCCCTTCCTAACTGGAGTGCTCAACGCAGTAATGTGTGCAAAATGGCACGTTCTCAACAGTTCCATGGTTATGATGATGACAATGGTAAGGAATTAGCTCCCAAAGACACAAAACAAAAAGTAGTAGCATCTCTGTGAGAGGTACACAGTTAGAAAAATGATTCCACACACGAGTAAAGAGATTTACCAGGAAGAGTCTTGTTTTCTAAAAGTTGATACAACTAGTAGAAAAATACTTGTCAGTGGTAAATAGAGCAGAAGTAGAAAAAGCAGTTAATCTATTAGATCAGATCAGAGTGTAAGGCAGGTATATCAGGCCAAAGGTGATAAGACAGAGCAGAAATAAAGTATTGTTAATTCATGCATTTGCTGACTCATTTATTTATACATTGATACTGTCACTTATAAATCAAATCTTACAGGTCAGGTTCTGTGCTAAGCTCAGGGGATATAAAAAGAAATAAGTCACTGCACTCGCCCTCACGGAGCCCACAGTATAACTGGGTAGATAGTTCTATAAAGAGACAATGATAATAAAATAGAATGGCCACTCTGGCAGATATAGGAACAGAGTGCTCGGAAACACAAGGTATAGAGCAAAGAGAGAAATAAGAAAAAAAATGAAGGCACTACTTCTACTCCACGAGACTTCACGGGCAGCAGAATAGACACACGTGGTCAGAAGAGTTGACTTGGGGGCTCTAGATGTATCAGGACTGGTATGCATATTTTATGAGAATTCAATGTCTTCAAACAGACACAAGGGCAAATGGTATATTAATTGGGACATATCATTGAAATGAGAACACAGAGTTCTTTCCTAAAAGCCTCTAGGCCTGCCCACTGCCTGCATCCCCACCAGTGCCTCCCTGGCCAATGCACCACTGGGTTCCTGCATTTCCTGCAGTGCTTTCTCCATCTGCTTCAGCTCTTTCTAATCTGCTCTTCATTCTGCGGTTATTGCCATTTCTCACGCTCTGTCTTAAAACTTTTCAATGGCATTCCACTGCCTTTTTCTTCCTCTCTCTCTCTTTTTTTTTTTTTTTTTTGAGATGGAGTCTTGCTCTGTCTCCCAGGCTGGAGTGCAGTGGTGCGATCTTGGCTCACCGCAACCTCTGCCTTCTGGTTCAAGCCTCAGTTTCCTGAGTCGCTGGAATTATAAGCATGCACCACCACACCTGGCTACCCACTGCTTTTAACAAACAAACAAAAAAACTTTTGTTTTAACAAACAAAAACAAAAATATAAACTTTTCTTTTTTAAAGATATGGGATCTTGCAATGTTGCCCAGGCTGGCCTCAAACTCCTGGGCTCAAGGGATCCTCTTGCCTCAGCCTCCTGAGTAGCCGGGACTACAGGTGCGAGCTGCCATGCCTGGTCAAAATCTCAATCTTCAATCTAGGCTCAGAGGCCTTTTTTTGGCCCCTCCCTGCCTGTCCAGCCTCAGCTAGCTCTATCCCCACACCGGGTTCCAGTCACATCCTTCAGTTGCTTGGAAACATCTGCACCCTCTGCCTCAGAACCTCTGTGCCTCCCCCACCTCTGCCGGCCCTCTGCTGGCCCTCTGCTGGGTTCCCCTTTCTTCCTCTTTTTCTCTTGAACTCCATCAAATTCTACTTGTTTTCTAGATTTCAGTTCCACTAGAAATTCCTCACAGAAGCTTTCTCTGACAAAGTTTTCCTCTTACAAGCTCATAACATGGTAGGATGAATCCTATAATATTGCTGTTTGTGTGGCTCAAAGCAGTTGAACATCTGCAATTTCTTACGGGTCAATTGAATCCACAATACATTAGTTTCCTAGGACTCCTGTCACACATTACCACTAGATCATTAGCTTAACACAATAGAAATTTACTCTCTCAGCATTCTGGAGGCTAGAAGTCAAAAACCAAGGCGCCAGCAGGGCCATGCTCTCTCTGAAGGCTCCAGGCGAGAGTCCTTCCTTGCCTTTCTCTTGTTTCTCATGATTCTCAGCCATGCTCGGAGTTCCCTGGCTTGTAGCTGTAACACCCCATCCCTGCTTCTGTCACCACATGGCCTTCTGGGCCTGCGTGTTTCTGTGTCTCTGAATCTGAATCCCCCTCTCCTTTTCCTTATAGATGCCAAACACTGGACCATCCAGAACAATTAACTTAACTGGTTACCTCTGCAAAGACCCAATTTCCAAAGATGGTCTCATTCTGAGGATCCAGCTGGACAAAAATTTTGGGGGAATGCCTTAAACCCCCTACTCGTACTGTCGTTTGACACTATATTGTGTGACCCCTTGCACAACAGTTCTCTTTTCCCTGAGACTGTAAACTTGGTGAGGACAGGAACCATGCAGGGCTCTGCTCATTATTCCACGGGCAGTGGCTGGCATGGCACTGGACACAAGGTGAGCTGAGCAAATATTCAGTGAAGGAATAATGGTATTGATCAGGTGGCGGAACTCAACTCTAAGCTAAACTCTCCAGCAGACAACTGGGAAATAAAAGAAAAGATTTTAGATATATCCTGAAGGGTAGAGAGATAAGCATAAAATATCTATTGATTGATTGAATAAATTTGTTAGTGTGGAGTATGCGTGTCCTTAGATTCACAGAAGAGAATAAAATTAGACTCCTGTGTCGTTTAACCTGAACTGATGTCTGTCGTTGACAAACTAATGAATGTTTAGACAAAGTACAGATATAAAAATTTTGTAGGCTGGGCGCAGTGGCTCACGCCTGTAATCCCAGTACTTTGGGAGGCCGAGGTGGGCGGATCACGAGGTAAGGAGATCGAGACCATCCTGGCTAACACGGTGAAACCCCGTCTCTGCTAAAAATACAAAAAATTAGCTGGGCGTGGTGGCAGGCGCCTGTAGTCCCAGCTACTAGGGAGGCTGAGGCAGGAGAATGGCGTGAACCCGGGAGGTGGAGCTTACAGTGAGCCAAGATTGTGCCACTGCACTCCAGCCTGGGGGACACAGCGAGACTGTCTCAAAAAAAAAAAAAAAAAATTATAAAGGGACATGTTGGAGAAATGGCAAGTTATATTTTATCGAATATCCTTGAATATATTGTTTAACATATGTAGGATACCAACAGTCACCTTGTTTACACATTTTAAAAATGGGTTTCACCCGCATTCTAATTGGTATTAGAGATATTTACACTCCCCAAAGCTTGTACGCTCCTTAGGAACAAGATACCATTTTAAATTTACTTCTATAGTACATTCTAGGGAGTAGAAATAGAACTCTTTGTAAATAAATGAATTAGAACTCAGCACAACTTGGTCATTGCGCTGTGAAACTACAAAGAACAGACGGGAAGCTCTTTTTGGAGACTCAGAAGGTTCTTCACGATTGTGCAAACCTGGCATCATTGCCCTACAGTTGTGCATTAAGGGCCAGTTAACACAGAGAAGGATGAGCGGCTGCTTGAAGGGTGAGTATTTTGAATCTCATGGCTGAGGCACTGAATCAAACCTCCTAAAAGCAAGGACTTGTTCTTCTGGACAGCAGTTCCCATGCACTCTTTGCTGTTATTAAGAGAGAAGCAGCATCAACTAAAAATGAGCACAGGTAAATCCAGCAGCCCTGTGGATCCTCTCCTAGGTGCGTGCCTGCAAGAACTGCGTGCACACCCACAAGGCACAAGCCCTCCCTTGGCCACAGCAGTGTCAGTTGTTAAAAGTCCCAAAATGTGAACTGTCCAAATGCCCACTAGCAGTTGAGTGGGAAAATACATTTGGGTTTATTTAAATATTTGAATGAGTGAACTACATCTCAGTGTAAGAAATGTGGATTTCACAACATAACATTGAGTGAAGGGAGCCAGACGCAACAACAGAGTACATACTGTTGTATGTACTCCATTCCACGTGGAGGAAGTTAAACCAGCAGGTGGCACTGACGTGTGCTGCCGGGTGTCTGCAGAGTGGTCGTCCTGGGTGGGGGTGGCGGGGAGCGGGAGGGAGTATGGAAAGGAGCTTCTAAGGCACAGTCAATATTTCCTGAGCAGGGTGCTGGGTGTGTTCAGTTTACAAAAATGTATACTATACCTCTTTCTATATGTATATTAGAGTTCAGTTAAAAGTTTTTCAAAAGGGAAGATGATGCAGTTAAGCAAAATTATTCCATTCTTACTTCGGCACTATCAGCCACCAAAACTTTGACGTCTTTCCCAACCCATGATTTTGACCAAGCTACAGACACAGAAAAAGGAAGAAAGAGTAAGATGGGAGTAGACAGGGTGTGTGTTGGTGGTGGGGGATGAGGTGACCATGATACACAAAGTATTACATGTTATTTTGAAGCCACTATTAAGTTTCTTTAAAATGTAATGAAATGGTATTCTACCTTTTATCCAAATTCTTTCCCCTTTTTTGCATTTAAGCAAAGATTTTGCAAGATTAAATTTACTTTGATGCAAATGAATGAATAATATATATTATAAGAAGTGGTTATGAATTTTTAAGATCATTATACTATACCAAGAAAAGAAGATCTTTTAACATAAAGTAATTATAATTGTAAATGTCCATTTAAAAAGTGTTTTTAAGATCATGATTCTTGAAGGAAAAGAACACAGTGTAGAGAATCCTAGGATTTTATTTCTCATATTGAAAAATCTAATGTAAAGAACAGTACAAAGGAAGTTTATAATGGCCTCAGCTGAGCATGAAGTCTGGCTGCAACCGAGAGATCAAATGATAGCTTTGTCACACATTCACATGGTAAAGAAAAGCACATTTGCAAGAATGAAATTAGAATCAAAGAAACAAACTTCAAACCTTGAGCTTTAAAACTAGAAGTCGTCTAAGCTCAGTGCTATTCTACGGCTCAGCATCTGCCTGGCTGAGATATCATTACACATCGGGCGGCTGAAATCCTCTGCTTTCCCTGACTTCTCAAGAGACTTCGGGTGTAATTGCTCTGCACGACACATACTGTGTTCTGCCTCATCGCTTAAATCTTCCCTATTTCAGCCTGTGCTTTCTTCTGTTAAAATATTCAAACATTATTCAGTTTCAGTTCCTTTCTGATTGCTGTGAGGAATAACTGAATTGAAGAATTACATTAAATAAAAATTTTTGTAATTTTTTGGTATGATTTCCCAAAAGAAAACAATTTAAAAAACATTCAGACTTGGGAGATTCTCATTTTGAAATCTAGTCCGTGTTAGTTTGAAAACTGTGCATAGATTTGTGAGTTGATGTAACTGTAGAATATTTTTTGGTTGTTCAATATAGGAAAAATAACCACATTATCTTCAATCAGAAGAAAGGAGTCCCTCCTCTTTGTTATGTGAATAAATTAAGGCTGAAGTCTCTTTGCTTCTTTACACAGTGGCTTTAGCTATTTTTTCTGTATCTATATATATGACATAGCAATTCAGAACATAGAGTCTTGCTAAGGCGTAAACTATTATTTTTCAAGGGAGTTTCTCTTGCTAATTTGTATATGTGATTTTACAACCCAAATCGCACAGTCAAAACAGATGGGGCATCTGGAATAATGATCACACATGTTGGTTTTTAATAATACCTCTGTGTAATTATAAAACCTTAATATGCAAATACAAAGAATATCCCTCACTGGCCTGTGAAATCCAATACAGAATTTCTTCAGGTGGGTGGGCACTGTCTTTTCTGCTGTGGACAAAAGGCAACCAAGTCAAATTAGTGCATAGAAGACAGCGATACTGTACAGTTTTCAAACGTTTCATCAAAAAACATGTTTAAGTCACTAATTTTTCCCCGTTTTACAAAAATATTTAATACACCCAGTATATCCAAGGTCAAAGTGGGGTTTTCAATTATTTGGACGCATCGACTGAAGCCACAGATAGAAATTGGAGGGCTCATTTCTTGGTTAGCCTATGGGCCATAAAAGCTACATTTTTATGTGATAGCTGACATCCAAAATGTTCATAACATTAGCTGATTAACTGCATGTGCTGTATCCTGGCTGGTTACTCATTCGTCCAAGCAGCATGTCCCTTAAGTAAGTATGAAGAGAAGCTCTGTTTTCGGAGGGGCGGATGCACTGGGCAATTAAGTGGCTGTTTTGTGTTTGTTGGTTTGGGAGCTCAGCAGAGCACTTATAACAGACTGTTGCATTCCTGCCACTTATGATATCCCTGAAGTGTGCATAAAATGTTTACTTTCATGCTGTTATCACAACCCTTAAGATCTTACAAGCTTTAAATGTCCTTCAGAAGGTTACTTTGTGCAACAACATAGATAATATTTGCAGCAAGGCTAAGCTAACCAACAACTCTAATGAATTAGTAAAAGAAAAAAAAAACTATTCAAATCCAGAATACCTAATTATGTTGAATGAGCACATTTTGCTCATATTATTGTCCTTTAATATCCCATTAATGTAATTAATAATTTCTTAGAGACAGTGGTGATGAATAAAGATTGATTTTGTAGGTTTATTCTTCTAGGTCCCAAACATCTCTATTTTATATTATATCTGTCCTTTGTTACTCCACTGAGACACAGTTGTTTCCATCAGAGAATTTACTGAGTCATAGAAATATGCTCAGTGTGATAAAAAAAAGTATATATCTTTTTTGCTCCACTTCAGAGGAAATTATATTAGAGTTTCATGTCAACTAGATACTTGGTTCTTATTGTGAGATGATTCTTCGTTAAGTGCTAGGGAAAAATGTCACACCAAAGGGAATTCAGGATACACACACACACACTTACACACACACAAACACGCACATACACTCCCATGTAATTTTTCTCTTTTTTTTAATTTATAAAACATCAGAGATAGCATAAGTAAAAACAGTAAAAAACAAAGTAAGAAGACATGGATTTAAACTTTTGTTCAGTTTTATAATCTCTTCACCCCTTTGGATTTCAGTGTTCTCAAATAAAAAATGAGGATCTTTAGTCTTTCATATAAATGCCAGACGTGTAAGTGAGATAGCAATATGCCTGTAATTTGAATTACTCAAGGGAAATGTGCTATACAAACCAAAGCTATCACCATGCCACAGTGACTGCTTGCTCTACAGGAGGAGGACTTCACCCATATGAATGGGGTGACACATATGTGTGCTTGAGTCCCTTCCCTCTGGCTAATCTGAGACAACTCAACCTCTCCCTCTTTCCCCAATTTCTTCTCGTTTGCTATGTTGATTGGATTGTTTTCTCAAGACTCTTGGTTGTAAAAATGAAAACGAAAATAGGCAGTTAAACCATTTCTCCTGATCATGCCTCCTTTGCTATTTAAGGTTGCTTCTTCAAAGAGATGCTTACAGCACCATTATATCGCTTCCCACCCCTCTTCCAGCCTCTCCTGTCTCAGGTGTCCCCCCCTGCCTCAGTGGGGCTGCTCTTGGCAAAGTCAGCGTATTTCCCATTTTGCTGAATCCAATGGTCAATTGGTCATCCAAATTTCATCTCGTTGAGACTCCTGAAACCTTCCTAACTGGCTTTCTGTCTTAGTTTTTTCCCTTTAAACCAATCTTTTAGAACATCTAGAAAAGAAATACCTTTATGTCCCTCTGGTCCTTAAAGTAATGCAAAGACTATCAATTATGTACAGAAGAAATTCTAATCTTCTTAGCATGGCATAAGCGGGTCTTCCAGTGCTTTGCCCTCTATGCTCTAACCTGTAGGTCTGTGCCCCCCTCACACAGGGATGTCACATGAAGATACTGCTCCCCATGCCTGCAATACACTTATTTAACTCTTATAAATCCTTCCAAAACCATCTTCTCCAGGAATATTTCTCAGAATAACAACTGGTAGGTGAAGCAGTAAACACGCGTGCTGGATATGATGCTGAACACTTTATGCTAATATTATTTAACCCTAAAAATTAGCTCCCTGATGTCGGTACCATAATTAGCTCCATATTATGCAATGTCATCGATGAGGAAACAGGTCCATGGAGCTTCAATTAGCTGCCTGAAGTCACATAGCTAGAAGTGGCAGAACTGGAATTTGACAACAATTTTCCTGATTCCAGAGCTTGAGCTTCTAAAACTGTTGTATACTGCCACACCAAAACAACACTTTCAAGCAATTGGTACACTTTTACTTGTGAATCTTGTGCCTGTTATTCCTCTTATATGGGATATTTTCTCTCGTTTTCCTAAGAAAATTTTATGCATCATTTTTAGACACATCTTCCAGGACCTGCCTCTAAACCAAATTAGGCACATCTTCCTCTGTGCACCTTGCATTTAGTCACATCTCCCTCTGTTGCACCTTGCTCAGGGGTTTGCACTATAACTTTCTAATTACGTGTGCTTTTCCCCTACTAGCATGATGCATTTTTAATTAAGGGCACAACTCTCTGTGGCCCTGTGGCCTCAAATTGTGCACACAATACAATGATAATCCAATGGTGATGAGATGAGAACAAGAAGGCAACACTAACGGAGTCCCATCAACAGGCAGAAGAGGATCATTTGTAATATTTCTCTTCATTCTATTATTGTTTTCTTAGAGCCTTTACAATATGGAATCATCTATATTATCCAGCACAAGCAAGTCTGCCGATTTCAGATGAGTTATATTACTGGCAAAGATGAAAGAGGAGTAATGACAAGTTACATCAGATTTTCTATTAGAAACAAAATCACAAAAAGCATTTGGCTCTTGATAAAGTGTGTGTTCCCAGCTTTTTAAGATCAAAAAAGAATAATAAAGTATAAACTTGATACAACGTATTCATGGCAGAAAGCTACACAGATGTACATATCTTTGAACAAGGCAACACAGGAGCTAATTTCTATGTTGCATTATTACAGCTTACCATAGAAAATTCTCATCCTGTTTACAAAAACACTATTTTGAAGTAATTTAAAACTCACATGAGAGTTGCAAAGATAGTACAGAGAGTTCCTGTATACCTTGACCCAGCATGTTATATACCATAGAACATTTATCAAAACTACAAAATTAACCTTGGTCAAATACTTTTAACTAAAGAAGTTATTGGGAATTCCCAGGTTTTTGCACGAATGACTTTCGTCTGATCCAGGAGCTCATCCTGGAAACCACATTGCATTTCATTGTCACATCTGAAGTTTCTCTTGGCTGTGACAATTCCTCTAATTCTTCTTGTTGTTAATGACTTTGATGGTTTCGAGGAGTATCAGTCAGGTAATTTGCAGAGTGTCCCCCAATTTTGGGTTGTCTGATCTTTTCTCATGATTAGACTGAGCTTATACATTTTTGGGACAAATACCATGGAGATGATACGCCCTTCTCGTCATATCAGTGTGTATATGACATTGAGGTTAACTGTCCTTACTTGGGTAAGGTGATGTCTGCCAGGTTTCTGCATTATAAAGTTACATTCAGTGTTTCTCTTTTCCTACTCCATTGGCTTGAAGCAAGTCACTGACTCCAACTGACACTTAGAAGAATTAAAGCTTTATCTCTTAGGAAGGAGGAGTATCAAAGAATTTGTGGGTGGATGTTAAAGCTGCTACAATAATTAAAAAAAGACTTGGAGAGGACACTTTGAGGCCATGCAAATGTTTTATTTCTCCTTAAAGTTTCACATACTAATTTTGGTATTCATCAGCTCTTGTCTGTGGCAATTACAACAATAGTTTCCTAATGGCAATTTTCTGTTTACTTCATTTATTATTCTATTATTTCTATTTCTCTACATTTCTTACTTGGAATTATTCTGAGAGAATCAGTTGTCCCTCCTCCTTTATTTATTTATTCAATCATGTATCTGTATAAATATGTATTTGTGACTATTTATTGTATTCTTTGGGTTATAACCCAGTACTTTCCTTATTCATTTCATTGCTCAAAGTCTTCCTGCTTTGGCCACTGGGGGCACTTTCAGTCGGCTTCTCTAGTCTTCAGACATACTTCTATCTATTTTGTTTGTTTGTTTGTTTGCTTGTTTGTTTTTTCCTTTTTAGCTCTTCTTTATTTTCTGGCACCACAAAATGTCCTATCCTCATCTTGTGTTCTCTTTAATTCAGCTCTAAAGCCAGCCATTTCTTCAGAGTGCCGACTTGTTTTATTGGAGAATGTTATTTAGGGACCAAAATCCCAGCACTAGGTTTCTCATTGTTTCTAGTATATCCTTACTTCTAGGCTCCCTCAGCAGAAAGAGCGGGGAAATACATGTATGTATACTAACTCATGTACACACACTCTCTCACATTTACCTAGTTTTGTATATATTTACCTACGTATGTATCTTACATAACCCTCCAACCATATGTATGCAGGTATATATATATATATGCATGTAACTACCTACCTATCCTCTCTCTTAAAATAAGCTGAGTTCTTACTGATACTCCTAATCTAGCCCCACAGGTTCTCCTGTGGCATCTCCCCTCTGCTCATTTATAACTTCTTTCTCTGATGGTATGAACTCTGGCTCTCATTTTCTATAGAAAATTCCCTTATTTGTTGCACTTAGTGTGCATGTAACGTTGTATCAGTAATGGTATTTACTATCAAATAAATATGACACTTTAAATTAGAGGCATGGAAAATACGTACTTTGGAATGCAGTCTTAACATTGGGGTCTTGGACCCCAGCAGTGTCCTATTCCCTTAAGTAATTTCTTTTCTGGCCACAATCATGCATTTCCAATTATCATTTTTGTGTATGTCTGTGGTCAAATGAATAGTTTTTAAATGTCTCCTATGTTGATAAAAGGGCTTATTAGATACACTATGAAAATTCACATTAATCCACATATTTTATTAAAAACAAGTGGAAATAGGGATAACATTAAAGAAAATAACATGTATATACTGCACTCATGTCCCAGTAACAATCTAACAAAATTAGTATATTGTTAATACCTGAGTACAAGTTATCAAGGCAGATGGTTCTATGGTTATGTAAGACACATGCATAGATAGGTAAATATATACAAAACTAGCTAAATACATGTATGTGTGTACTTGAGTTAGTACACATACATGTATTTCCCTGCTCTTCTTGCTGAGAGAGCCTAGAAACACTGATATACTGGAAACAATGAGAAACCTAGTGCTAGGTTTTTGGTCCCTAAATACCATTCTCCAATAAAACAAATCAGCACTCTTTGAAGAAATGGCTGGCTTTAGAGCTGAATTACAGAAAACACAAGATGAGGACTGGAAATTTCACGGTGACAGAATGCCAGGAATGTCTCACCTCTCACTGTGCCTGGGGATGCCCTACCTCTCACTGAGTAATGCTCCAAGTGGAATGTAAGGGAAGGCCAACAGTGAAATCAGTCATCCTCAATTATAGGAAAGTTGGATTATAAATGAGGATAAAAGACTGGTTGTTATCCCTAGTTAATTCCCTAACTTTTTGGTCAACTTTGGTTATTAAAAATTTACTTCAGTGCAGTCTAGTCTCATATCTGATTCAAACCTCCCTTCTTCCTCACCCCATTACATGACAGTATGACATATGGTTTTGAGCTAGGGAGGGGACATGGTCTTTTTTTTTTTTTTTTCCTGAGATGGAGTCTTGCTCTGTTGCCCAGAGCTGGAGTGCAATGGCGTGATCTCAGCTCACTACGACCTCTGCCTCCTGGGTTCAAGCAATTCTCCTGCCTCAGCTTCCTGAGTAGCTGGGATTATAGGCAGGCGCCACCACACCCAGCTAATTTTTGTATTTTTAGTAGAGACAGGGTTTCACCACGTTGGCCAGGCTGGTCTCAAACTCTTGACCTTGTGATCCACCCACCTCAGCCTCCCAAAGTGCTGAGATTACAGGGTGAGCAACCAACTGTCTTTTCTTTCATTGCTCCACATCTTCTTCTTTTGGGTGTAGCTCCTCCAAAGTTGGGGTCAGAGTGGAGAGTTAGGAGCAGAAGGTATTATCTTAGGAAACCACTGACCTCCCTTCTAGTTTGGTTTGGATCTACACCCATTCAGCACTTATGTCCTTTGTTGATAGGGTTAACATATAATTTGTGTGATTTCTTTTTTGTATAAGGAGAGTTTTACTCTGGTCTTCCGCAGCCAAAGACGTCCTAAGAGAAAGAGAATCTTGTCTTCCTTAGGTCCTTCCTTTAATCCTCTCCTGAATGAGCATGTCTTGGCTTGGCCTCTGCCTGTGCAGCCCTCTGCCTCCCCAACCTTCCTCTAACATCTGTCATGGGCACCGCTGAGCTCCCCTCTGCACTGTCTGAGGTGGCAGAGAAGGAGAAAGGGGTGGGGTTCCCCCAGCCCAGCATTAATCTTAGAAAATATTCTTCTTGACAGTCCTTTCTTGACAAGCTACTGCTAGCTGTACTCTGGCTGGCCTCTGACTTTCAGAACTGTCTATGTCACGCAAGGGCAGGTTCACTCTACCCCCATCTGCACCATTCTTCAGAAGGAAGATGCCAGCTTCCTTTCACAACCAACTCAGCTTGCTGTAATCTAGTGGCTGAACTGAGTAGAGCTACGGGTTTCCAAGCTTCCAGATAGAAGAGCCAGTCTCTTTCTGTTTGACTGGTACTCCTCACTCCTACAAGTGATTCTCTGGAAGTCCTCTCTTGCGCTTTGGCAAAGGAGGAATAATCTCTCTCCGTAAACACTGCTACTGATGATTCTACCACAACTTTCCTCCCACAGCACTCTCCTTATTTCATCTGGGGGAGTGTGAGCTGGGAAGATAATCAGGAATAAGAGGACCACCAGTCATCTTTGGAAGGTGGAATCTCAATTTAGAAGATAGAGCACTTAGCACTGAGATTTTAGGCACAAATCCAGAGTAAGATGAAATGATCCAGTTAAAAATATGTTGAAGGCATATGAGAATCCAGGTAGTCATATAATTCCCTTTCCTAAACTCCCAGAGTGAAAAAATAATAGGAAAGTGGGAAAGTTTGATGGCATATTAAGTAAATGGCAAGGAATGAATATCATCACTTTCCTGACTTTTATTCTTTCATTTGATCCATGTACAAATACAAAGCAATGCTGTCAATGACAGCATTTATTAATACAACCAAGATTTCTGCTAAGAGAAAATTGTATGTATTGACAAAATCTGACTATTCTCAGAGGAGATTACTTATCTAGGGCCCTGTGACCCCAGCTCTAGTGCCAGAGCTTGCAGCACAGGTCAGGTACATGGTAGACCCAGCTCTTCATCATGGCTTGCAGTCGCCCCCTCCGGGTGGTTACTAACATGTTGCCTATGCTGGGGATTGCGGTTTGTGTAGGTGGCCAGGGGTCGGAGCAGAAATTCGCAGTAATGAACAGAGAACATATTAGAACTACGTATATTAGAAAACCATGCAGCATGAACACCCCAAAATCAGAAGAGACACTGGACATAAACAACAGATCTGTCATAATGAAGTATACAGCTACAGGTGTCCCAGTAATGACAGCTCTCGACTCTTTCCCGGATGAGAATTTTAGATCTAGAAGAGATCTTGTCAGGGTCTAGTGCAGGGGCCCAGATTTAAATGCCTATGAGACCAGGGAGATGATATAAGTGCCAGCTTGGATGACATAAAACAATCATATAAGACAATATATAGGAGTTAGGACTCGTGTCATCAAAGAAAAGAGGGCACACCGGATCTAAAGATACCCAAGTTAGATTTGGTAAAACTGAAAGAGAGGGAAGACATTTCTCCAAAATCACATCTCTTTGTTAGTGAGAGAGAAGGTTTTTTTTGTTTTTTGTTATTTTTTGTTATTTTTATTTTATTTTATTTTGAGACGGAGTCTCATTCTGTCGCCCAGGCTGAAGTGCAGCGGTGCGATCTCGGCTCACTGCAACCTCTGCCTCCTGGGTTCAAGCGATTCTACTGCCTCAGCCTCCTGAGTAGCTGGGACTACAGGTACACACCACCATGCCTGACTAATTTTTTGTATTTTTAGTAGAGACAGGGTTTCACCATGTTAGCCAGGATGGTCTCGATCTCCTGACCTTGTGATCTGCCCGCCTTGGCCTCCCAAAGGAGAGAGAAGTTTTCATTGTTTCCTCCTGTGGACCACTCAGTGGAAGGAAAATGTTTGCAAGGTCCCTTCTAAATTTCCTTCCCTCTTCCTTCTTTTTCGCTTTGTCTGTGTCTCTTGCCTTTTATCTGCGCTTATCATAAAGCAGAGAGGTAAAGTGAGAACAGGAGCCATATGAAGGTGTAACTGACCAAGCGTGGGGAGGAGGGGCAGGCTAGGAAATGGGAACCAATACTCCCTCAGGACCCTACAATGGCACTCACATCTGCTTCCTCCTGAATGAGTGGTTGGGGAGGAGCTGGATTATCTCAGCTCCTCTTTTCTGTTACCTTTGCCTAGACTGTTAAATTACAGTGGCATGCAATAGATAAACATATTAAATCTCTCTGTAATATGCAGGTGAGTTCTCCAAATGTCTGCCTGTTCTGTTTTTTGTTTTGTTTTGTTTTTGTTTTTTTTTATGAAGGTGTTTCTTCCTTATAAATTGCCTTATGGTACAAAGTAACTCATCACCCTTGTCAAAGCTGGTTGAGCCAGAAACCGGGCCAAAGACAGGGACTTTCTATAAGACTGGCCAGCATTGCGAGGCAATCAGAGATGAAATTCCTGCCTAAAAGGAATCATATTGATTAGCTGGATCGACCAAATCTGTTCTTATTGATCAAGTTTTGAACCTGAGATACAGAAAATGTTGACTATTTGCAATGGAACTGAAAGTGAAAATACACAAGGAGGAAAACAGAGACAGGTTGAGTTACCATAAAGGCAAACACCAGCAGTTATTAAATGTTGCTCTTCCTCAAGGCTCCAGCATATTTTTTCTTCCCACCCTATACAATCTCATCCAGATTTACACCTTCCAGTATTATGAAAACATGGAGAACTTTACTAGGACTGAAGCTCAAAGGAGGCAGTCATTTTTGTCTGTTCTGTTCATTGACCTACGCCACATGTCTAGAACAGCACCTGAATAAATAATTGAGAATTACATTGAATGTCCACATTTATATCTCTAGGCAGCCATCCTTCTCCCCTGAACTCCAGACCTATACACAACTATTAGGCATCTCTGTTCAGACATCTTGAAAGATTCACCAACTCAACATGCCCAAGGCTGAGTTGATGAACGTTTCCCCCAAATACGGTTGTATGCTAGTGTTTCTTAACTCAGTTAATGACATTTCATTCATGCAACTGTAGAAACCTGAAACCAGGAATCATCTTTGAGACTCTCTCACTCATGTCTTTAAATCCAACCTATCACCAAGTCCCTCTTGATTTTATTTTCCAAACAGCTCTCTGGTTCACCACTGCCTCCCATCTTATAAGCTTTCAGTGGCTCAGGTTAAAGGTAAACATTAAAGGTAAATGTTCTGGCTGGTATGGTGGCTCATGCCTGTAATCCCAGCACTTTGGGAGGCCAAGGCAGGCGGATCACCTGAGGTCAGGAGTTCAAGACCAGCCTGGCCAACATGGTGAAACCCCGTCTCTTCTAAAAATATAAAAATTAGCCAGGAGTGGTGGCGCACGCCTGTAATCCCAGCTACTCGGGAGGCTGAGGCAGGAGAATCGCTTGAACCTTGGAGGTAGAGGTTGCAGTGAGCCAAGACTGTACCACTGCACTCCAGCCTGGGTGACAGAGTGAGACTGTCTCAAAACAAACAAACAAACAAAAAACAAATGGTAAATGACCTTACCGTGTTTCTCAAGGCACTGCATGGTTCATGCCCTGCTGACTTTTCCACACTTACTCTATACCACTCCACCCTGGTCTTCCTGCATTCTGGGTGCACAGAGGCTTTCCCTTCTCCCTGGAGTTGTGCTCCCCTCCCCTGACCCACCACACCTCCGTGAAGTCCACAAGGCTCATCTTGCAAAACTTAGCTCTCCTGTAACTTTCTTCATCCTCACCCCTGACCACCATTTGTGTCGGGGTCTTCTACGAGTGTCTCTCCTTAAATGATGTTATTTTCTGAAGAAAGCTCATCTCAATCTTTACACAGTTAGGAATTATTTTAATTACTTGATTTACATCCAACTCCCCTATTAGACCAGAAGGCTCCATGGGAGCAAAGAACTTACTTATTATTGTACCTGGCCTAGCGTTGTACACATGGTAGGGACTCAAATATTTGAAGAATGGATGATAAAGCAGATTGTGAGGATGCTTCCAGAAGAACGGAAAAGTACATGAATTACTTGAAAAAAGATCCAAACGGACTGTGTGAAAGTTGAGTTCAAAAGGAATCAGGGCAATGACTCCAGCTCCAGCATGTTCCTATTTAATGTGTAGGTCCACACAGGGTAAACCTCACTATTCTAACTCCTCACAACAAATCTTAACACAACTATAAGAGTGCCTTTTTGTAATTCAACAACTGCCAGGCACCGCATAAAACTGAAAACTGTCATGCTTTTCTCTTAGAACCATTGCAATCTAGTTTCCCACTGCCTGTGACAGGATCTGAAAGAAAAAGTGCTGCGAGGTTGCTCTTCCTTATCATCCTTGCTGTTTTCAATGGTACAGTGCAGTAAGCTCATGCTTCTTAACAATTTTGTTCTCTTGATTAAAGGAAACAAAATAAAATAGCATCCTTACAGTTAAGCAGTGGGTGGTGTTCAGTTGGAGTTGAAGTGTGAGCTTCTCTCCTGTTTGGGCACATCTTCCCTCCAAATCCCACTATATTTTATTTTATTTATTTTTTTGAGATGGAGTTTCACTCTTGTTGAGATGGAGATTCGCAGACGCGATCTCAGCTCACTGCAACCTCTGCCTCCTGGGTTCAAGTGATTCTCCTGTCTCAGTCTCCCAAGTAGCTAGGACTACAGGCGCCCGCCACTACGCCTGGCTAATTTTTTGTATTTTTAGTAGAGATAGGGTTTCACCATATTGGCCAGGCTAGTCTCAAACTCCTGACCACAGGTGATCCACCTGCCTCGGCTTCCCAAAGTGCTGGGATTACAGGTGTGAGTCACCATGCCTGGCCTATATATATATATATTTTAATTGAAGGGTTACCTTGCAGAGTGCTGTGGAAACTAGAATGAAAATAATTCTGAATTAGCACAATTAAAGAATGATACAACCGACAACCCACCATTGTAGACTCGAGTGGACAATCTTAGGTGTGTAGTTTCATGTTTGTTCCATGGTAAGAGAGATCATGCTAACAAAACAGTCCCGAGTACCCATGGATGAGGCAAAGAAAAGGTCTCTAAAACAATGTCCTTCTGGTTTGAGTTAATCACACATGACATGAAATTTTGGAAGGGCTTACAGAAACCTTTCCTCTAAGAAAGTCTCAAGTCTATAAAATTTTACTATGATGGGGTTTGATTCCTATAATCAAAGAAAGGCAGAAGAAAATAACTCCAACTGCTGAGAAAGCTGCTCCAGGGTGGCGCAGGCTGGCGTAGGATTCCAAGGGTACGTCCATTGTTCCCTGCTGCCCCATGCTCTCAGCCAGGCTACTTGCCAGCTTTAGAAGGGATCGTTTCTTCTTGAGTCCAGAGAACAAGGCTCTGGAGGTGTGTTAGTTGTCTAGGGCCGCTGCCACAAAGTTCCAAAAAACTGGGTGGCTGAAAACAGAAATGTATTGTCTCATATTTCTGGGGGCTGGAAGTCTGAGATCAAGATGTCAGCAAGGCAAGCTCCTTCTGGAGGTTCTGAGGGGGGTCTACTCCATGGGACTTTTCCAGCTGCTTGTGATGCCAGCAATCCTGGGTGTTCCTTGTGGACCACATCACTCTGGTCTGTGGCTTCATCATCACACAGTGCTCTCTCTGTGTGTCTGTGTCTGTGTCTCTTCTCTTTTTATGAGGACAACAGTCATATTGAGTCCACCCTAATGACCTCATCTTAACCTGATTGCATCTACAAAGACCCTATTTCCAATCAAGTTACATTCACAGGGACTGAGGCGTAGGGCTTCCACGTACCTATTTGAGGGACAGAATTCCACTCATATCAGGAGAACATCAATTCTAACAGGTACTTCTGTTTTGAACTGACTTTTTGAATCTCCCACCTATACTTATTTGACTGTAAAAATCCAGTTGGCTGTTTCTATCTTTATCTTTCTTGGGGGGTTGGGGGGACAGGGTCTTTCTCTGTTGCCCAGGCTAGAATGCAGTGGCACAATCACAGCTCACTGCAGCCTTGACCTCCCAGGCTCAAGTGATTCTCCTACCTCAGCCTCACAAGCAGCTGGGACCACAGGTATGGACCACCACACTGCGATAATTTTTATTTTTTGTAGAGATGAGGGTCTCACTATATTGCCCAGGTTGGTCTCCAACTACTGGGCTCAAGCGATCCTCCCACCTTGGCCTCCCATATTTCTACTTTTTGAATGACTTCTAGATTCCTAGGCTGTTGTTTTTATGTTGATAATTGATATTCCCAAATTCTGAGCCTCTGTTGTGACTTCTTGGCTTAAACCTTGATCTAAACTGTTCTGTCTTAGCCATTTCATTTCTTCAAACCAATTTTATTGCTGTTTATGTCTTAGTGTGACAGAGAATTTATTATAAAAAGTCTAACATTTATTATAAAAGTAAGAATTTATTATAAAAGTAAGTAGCTATTTCAGAAATAGCAGATCAAATGCTCTATAAGCTGATCTTTTGAGATTTACATCATGGAAAGTTATGGGCAATAATAAACTGACCTCAAAAGAGTCATCTCTGACCAAAAGATTGAAAGAATGGCTTCAAGTGGAGTTAGGTAGCATCAACAGATTTGAGTGAAATGCAGAGTTTTTCAACTCTCAGCCACTAATGATTTATAGGTTCTTCAGGGTACGGTCCTCTCGCTCCTGGGCAGCTGTTCCCTGGAGCATCAGGAATCCTTGATATCTGATATTTCCAGCTGCTTTTGCTTCCTACCTATTGACTTCAGCGTGTTGTACAAATATCATTCTCTATGCATACCACAATGGCAAAAGGTTGGGTAGCACTGTAGCAAATGGTGTTAACATATCTAACAAAATTAAGAATCAGCCAGCAACCAGGTGGTCTATCTGGAAACAGAGTATGAGGCGTTTGAGGAAAAGGTTGGTGATCCACCTTCACTTCCTTACCCGTCATTGATTCCCTATCCTCTGCAACCCAGCTCTGTATCATCGAAGGCCCTGAGCTTGCTCTTATTGCCTTCACTAACCACCTCCTTATTGTTAATATGATCAGTTTTAAATAAAAGAAATTAATTGTGGTAAAAAACATACAACATAAATTTTGCCATCTTGATCATTTTTGTCGTTGTTGTTGTTATTTGAGACAGGGTCTCACTCTTGCCCAGGCCGAAATGTAATGGCATGATCACAGCTCACTGAAGCCTTGATCTCTTGGGCTCAAGCAATCCTTTCACCTTGGCCACCTACGTAGCTGTGACTACAGGCATGCGCCACCATGTCCGGCTAGGCTAATTTTTTGTATTTTTAGTAGAGACAGGGTGTTGCCACGTTGCGCAGGCTGATCTCAAATTCCTGGGCTCAAACAATGTGCTTACCTCGGCCTCCTAAAGTTTTGGGATTACAGGCGTGAGCCACCACGCCTAGCCCCATCTTAACCATTTTAAGTGTACAGTTCAGCAGTGTTAAACATACTCACATTGTTGTACAACAGATCTCCAGAACTTTTTCATCTTTCAAAGTGGAAACTCTGTACCCATTGAACAACAATGGGTTTACTCCCCTCCCTAGCCCCTGGCAACTCTCATTCTGTCTTCTGTTTCTCTGAATTTGACTACTTTAGATAAACTCACATAAGAGAAACCATACAGAATTTGTCTTTTTGTGACTGGCTTATTTCACTTAGCATGATGTCCTCAAGGTTCATCCATGTGTAGCATGTGTCAGAGTTTTATTCATGTTTAAGGCTGAATGATATTTCCTTGCGTGTAGATACCACATTTTGTTTATCTATTCATCCACTGGTGGACACTAGGGTTGCTTCCACCTTCTGTTATTGTGAAAAATACTGCAATGAACATGAGTGTGCAAATATGTCTTTGAGATTCTATTTTCATTTCTTTTGGATATACATATCCAGAAGTATATTTTATCATATGATCATGCTACTTTTAATTTTTTGAGGAACTGCCATACTGTTTTCCGCAGCAGCAGCACCATTTTACATTCTCATCAACAAAGTACAAATGTTGCAATTTTTTCACATTCTTGCCAAACTGTTTTTTTTTTTGATAGTGGCCATTCTAATAGGTATAAAGTGGTATCTCATTGTGGTTTCTATTTGCATTTCTCTAATGATTAGTGATGTTGAACATCTTTTCATCTACTTGGCCATTTGTATACCTTTTTTAGATAAATGTCAGCTTAAGTATTTTGCCTATTTTTAAAACAGATTATTTGTATTTTTCTTGTTGACTATAGGAGCTCTTTCATATTCTCAATATTAACTCCTCATCAGACACACGATTTGCAAATATTTTCTACAATCCCATAGGTTGGCTTTTCACTCTATTGATTGTTTCCTTTGACGTGCAAGTGTTTTTAAGTTTAATGCAGTCTCCTATTTTTGCTTTTGCTGTCTGTGCCATATCCAATAAATCATTGACAATTCCAATGTCATGAAGCTTTTGCCTTGTTTTCTTCTAGGAGCTTTATGGTTTTAGGTCTTTTGTTAAGGTCCTTAATCCATTTTGAGCTAATTTTTATATATGATATAAGGTAAGGGCCAAACTTCATTCTTTTGTGTGTGGTATCCAATTTTTCAACATCATTTGTTGAAGAGACTGTCCTTTCCCCATAGTGTGGTCTTGACACCACTGTTGAAGATCATGTGACTATATATGTGAGGGTTTACTTGTGGCCTCTCTATTCTGTTCCACTGGTCTATATGTGTGCCTTTATGCCAGTATCACACTGTTTTGATTATTTTATCTTTGTAATATGTTTTGAAATCAGGAAGTATGACATCTTCAAGTTTGTTCTTTTTCAGAATTGTTTTGGCTATTTGGTATCCCTTAAGATTTCGTATGAATTTTAAGATTTCTTTTCTATATCTGCAAAAAGCGTCATTGGAATTTTACGAAAGATTGCATTGAATCTGTAGATTGCTTTGGATGGTATGAACATTTTAACAATATTAAGCCTTCCAGTTCTTCAACACAGAATGTCTTTTCACTTGCAGATGTTCCTCAACTTACAATAGGGTTTATAAATTCATTATAAGTTGAAAATACTGTAAAAGTGCATTTTTTAACTTATGATATTTTCAAGTTACTATGAGTGTTTCTGGATATAATTCCATCATAAGTTGAGGAGCATACTGAGCGTGTATCTGTTTTGCACCATCATAAAATCAGAAAATTGTAAGTTGCCAGGTTAGGTGGTTCACGCCTGTAATCCCAGCACTTTGGGAGGCTGAGGCAGGTGAGTCACTTGAGGTCAGGAGTTCGAGACCAGCCCTGGCCAACATGGTGAAACCCTGTCTCTACTGAAAATACAAAAATTAGTTGGATTTGGTGGTGCATGCCTGTAATCCCAGCTACTTGGTAGACTGAGGCAGGAGAATCACTTGAACCTGGGAGGCAGAGGTTGCAGTGAGCCAAAGATCATGCTACTGCACTCCAGCCTAAGGAAAAGGTTGAGACTCTGTCAAAAAAAAACAAAAACAAAAACTGTTAAGTCGAATCATCGTAAGTCAGAATTCATCTTTATTTGTGGCTTAAGTTCTTTCCTCAGTATTTTATAGTTTTCAGGGTATGTGTCTTTGCCTCCTTGGCTAAGTTTATTCCAAGTATTTTATTCTTTTTGGTGCTACTGTAAATGGGATTGCTTTCCATGGTGACTATTTTTTTGACCTCTCTGAAGTCTTTGAGATCGTTGAACAAGGATCTCTCTTGAAACTCTTTCACCTTTTGATCTTGGTGACAAACACATTCTAGGCTTTCCTCTTACCTCTTGTGCTGTGACTTCTCATACACATTTTGGCTCCTCCTCACTGGTTCATACCATTTATTTATTACCCCTTAGGGAACCATCCTTCCCTTGGTAAGTTCCTGCTCTCTAAAGGCTTAAATTACCATCTGCATGTTGATTTTGCTCTTTTTCAGTATCTATTTCAGCCTAGATATTCCACCTAAGCTTTAAACTTTGTATCTCTCCATAGACATTGTCTCATAGATATTTCCCAGGCATCTCAGGGAAAATATGACCAAACTTCTTCCCCCGAAAAAAAACCCAAATAAACAAAACTCTCATTTCTTCTTTCTCTTGTATTTCTTCTGCATCAGCGCACTTAAAGAAATCTAGAAATCTGGGTGACATCCCTGTGTCCTGGTTTTTCTCACTTCCTACATCCAATTTGTCACTAAATCCTCTTCTCTGTACTCCACCGCTTTCGATATTCTCTCATTCCTATTTCCTTTGGTTCAGGCTGCCATCACCACTTGCCTCAAGAACGGATTCTTCCATCTCCAGTCTGGGTGCCCTCCAGTGCATTTCACACTGACACCAAAATGTAGGTATGATTATGACACCCTGTGGCATCAATACCATCAGAATAATATCAAAATGCTTAGTGCTGCTCAAGCATTTCCTGTGCTGGTATCTCCTTATTTTTCCAGTTAACAATTTTCTCTCTTGCTCTACACATTAGCCACAGCAAACTCTTAGTGTCGAGAAAGCCACTCTGTTTTTTTCCCACCTAAAAAAGACTCTGCAGTTCCCTTGGTCTTCACTACCCTCCTTCATGCCATCTTCCTCCAACCCTCTTCACCTGGATTAGCACTACTCAACCTCCAGATTTCAGTCTGCACCTGCTTGTGAGAAAACGTCCCTGATTTCACAGTCTGCTTTAGATGTTTTCTGTGTGCTTCCGAAACATTATCCTTATAATCATCACCACTGAACCCAAACTGCCTGTTTACTTGTCTTTTTCTCCCACTGGCTCAGGAGTTATTTTTGAGGGTAGAAACAGTGTCCTGACCATCACATGTCCCTAGCCCCAACACAATATCTATAGCATAGTAGATGAGTGTCCAGACCCCAGTTTCACAGAATGAGTAGATTTAGTTTCTAGGTCACTAATATCTCAACTGTAAAAGAGATAACTCAGTTGATCTCAGCCTATCTTAGCCTATGCCATTATGTATTTTTAAAAATATTTTTATTTATTTTTAGATTTTACTTTAAATACTGGGATACATGTGCAGAATGTGCAGGTTTGTTACACAGGCTTACATGTGCCATGGTGGTTTGCTGCATCTATCAAACCATCATCTATGTATTTAAATCACACAACCTTTCTCGCCTCCCTCTCCATCCTGATTCCTGGCTCACTAAGCTATAGTCTGATTATAATTTGGCTTCTTCTTTGAATACCCACAGGGAGAAAATATGCTGATCTAAAAAATGGATAAGCATCTCATCCAATCCACACCTAGATATGCTTTTCATTATAAATGAAGGAGCTGGTTCTCTGCAGGCAGCATGGCCTTTTTCAGCAAGGACATTGGTTTAGGGTCAGACAGCCTTTGTGGCTCTGACCCAGGCACATATGAATTGTGTGGACTTGGGTGAGAAATTCACTCCCCTGAATGTTAGTTGCCACGTCTTTAATATTTAGGATTAAATGTGATAATTTAATATAAAGTAGCCTACACAAGGTAGTTCTCAATAGATAGCATTTGCTCCTGCAGCAGTTATATCAGTCTTTTAAAATTACATTAGTTTGAGTTCATTCATGAGAGACTGACAAAATGCTGAGAAGATTGAAGATTCAACTAACATCAGGAGATGCAACCAGTGCTCAGCCGAATGGCATCTTCCAGCAGTATCCCTGCCACCTTGCTACCGCCCTCAATCTGGAATGAACTCAATATAGGCGACAAAATGGACATGCAAATGAGAGCTTCAGGTGTGTTAGGCAAGATTCTCCAGAGAAACAGGACCAATAAAATATACATCAGTATTTATTTTAAGGTATTGGCTCATGTAATTATGGAGGCTGATGATAAGTCCCACTATCTGCTCTCTTCAAGCTGGAGACCTTTGGAAGCCAGGGCAACATTTTGAAGGCCTAAGAACCAGGATTCCTCAGGGCAGGAGAAGGTTGTTTACATGGTGCAGGCAATGAGACAGACAGCAAATTCAGCTTTCCTCCACCTTTTTGTTCTATCTGGGACCTCAAAGCTTTGGAAGTGGTTTAACGACATTGGGGAAGGAGGTCTGCTTTACTCAGGCTACCAATTCAAATGCAAATCTTTCCAGAACCACCCGACAGATGCACCCAGAAACAATGTTTTACCAGCTATCTGGGCATCCCTTAGCCCAGTCAAGTTGACACATAAAATCAACTATCATGCAGCTTAAGGCTAAAGAAAAACATTCACCTAGAGCTCATACTTTAACAAAAGAGAATATAAGATATTTATGGTTTTTGTTTAAAAAAGTCACAGTCAATAAGAAAGGAAAGCTTCTTAATATATAATATCTATCCAACACTATGCAGTGGACTCTAGCAAAGACCAAACATCATTAAATTGGAACCAGGATTCAAGTGAGACTGGATACAGGGCTGGGTAAACAGTTTTCAATTTCACAGCTCTGAATTTAATCTAAACAGACTACCTATACTTCCCTTTTCGATGATTCCTCCCCTCAGGCTTTTCTGTGGGTTTTTTCTTCCCTCAAAGCTTAATGAATTTTATACCACTTAAAAGAAAACCCTTTATATCTGTCTTTCACCAAATTTGCAAAAATCATTAAAGCTGCAAGAATTCTCTTCATATTCAAACCTTGCAAAACTCTGTGTACATTCCCCAGTGTCATTCCTGCATCACTTGAGCTTCACAGTCATCAACTCTTCCGTTCAGAGAAGTTTTAGGTCAAGGGTTTTGTTGTAGCCTCTATACCAACTGATTTATCAGGAATCTCCTCAGCTCACCACAATCTCATTTTTAGCCAATTTTTAAATGTCATGCAGAAACAATGTTTTATATATATGTGTGTATAAATACTAAATATAAAAAATATAATTTTTATATACTGTTACATATATTACACACATTATGTATAATTTATGTCATGTATTACATATATTTATAAATATAATCTTTATATTTAATATATACATATACGTATAGATATTACATATATGTAATACAAAATTATAATATATTTTTGTATTTAATGTATGACATATACATATATGTTACATATATTACATATATGTAATAATAGATATACACACACACACATATATATTTTTTTCCGAGGTCTCTGTATTGGCTTTTGGGGATGCTGAAAAGAGAAATATGGTTTCTACGTACTTCAATATGGGGGTCATGTAAATGATGGCAGCTATGAAAAGATTACGCTGCCCTATTGCTATTAGCAATCAGCTGTGTCATATATATAACACACAGGGAAGGCAATAGAGGAATTTCATATGGTTATATGATTGAGGTGAGTTTTTGGAACATGATTGTGGGAAGTGACAAAGGAAAAGCCATAGAGGTGACCATCACGGCACACACTGGTGATGTCTTGGAGAGGCGGTGATGGGAATAAACACACCAGAGCCTCTCAAAATTTCTGTGCAAAAAGTCCTTTTACTTTCTCCTCTGGATTCTAAAACCCAAACTTCTTTCCTGCCAAAATGCCTCGATTAAGCAATAAGAAATTCATTGTAGCTTTAAACAAATTTGCTTAAAGGAAACTATATATGAAAACACTTCAGAACTATAGTATTAAGGAAACAGTGCTGCCACTTAGAATTTTCAGGTTTCCAGCTAAAAGTATTAAACTTGACATTTTATTTAGCAGGTGCGGGCTTATATTAAGTGAATGCACAATTCTCTTCCAGCTTCCTGAAGTATTAAAAATGACACCATAGCTTCTCATGAGGACGCCTAGAGCTCAGCAGTCCTTGGCTAGAAACCACCTCTGATGCACACGGAGGTTGCATAGAAAAATAATGGGAAAAGACATACAGCGCCATGCTTCTCTTCCAGGAGAACACGGGCCCACCGACAATCCATCATGCAGCCCATGCCTGCCCTCAGGGAGCTTCTGAGGGGAACGCCCTGGTGGGCTTTGACTTTTGGCCACTGACTTGCTCACATTCCTAACTCTGGATTTGGCCACATTCCTGCACCTTTATCCCTGAGTTATAGTCATACTCTTTATTTCATATCTGGTGTTTTCCTACTTCACTTCTTCCTTCTTTTCCATTATAATTTCTTCACTAGTACCTTTTCACTTTCTACCACCATCTCACACCCTTAGCTTAAGGGCGGCCTCTCCTCTCCCCTGTATGAGGGCTGCTTCCTCTTCCTCTGTTGAGCCCTACTGAGTGTTGCATGTTAACACCCCCATTTATTGTTATTATTATTTGAGACGGAGTCTCGCTCTGTCACCCAGGCTGGAGTACAGTGGCGCCATCTTGGCTCACTGCAAGCTCCGCCTCCCGGGTTTACGCCATTCTCCTGCCTCAGCCTCCCAAGTAGCTGGGACTACAGGTGCCCGCCACCACGCGCAGCTAATTTTTTTGTTTTTCGTATTTTTAGTAGAGACGGGATTTCACCGTGTTAGCCAGGATGGTCTCGATCTCCTGACCTCGTGATCCGCCCACCTCAGCCTCCCCAAGTGCTGGGATTACAGGTGTGAGCCACCGCGCCTGGCCAACACCCCCATTTTAGAGCGAACAGGCCCTGGTTTTTATTACTCTTGAAAAAAATCTATGAACCAACTTTTACATATTAACACAGTTAAAAACATATCGATAATAAAAGACATTAAAGTCACTAAAATGCTGCTATGCTGCAAGCCTGTTATGTAGGCGTCTGAGGAGGATCATCACTCCAAGAAGATCATTGCAAAGTGGCACCTTGAGTGGCGTTTGCCATCGCGCAGCAAGACTGTAACTCCAGTGGCTCTGATTAGATCCTCTGAGTTTTGAGAGGAAACAAAGAACTAATGTGAATAGTTTTAACGATTGGGTTGCTGCATTCACCGCTATTCTCAGAAACTGTCCTTCATTCTAACAGTTACTTGAATATGAGGATGCCTTTGTTATCTACAACATCATTATTTATAAACAAATAATTCATAGTCCTATGAGTGCCCTCCCCAGTATGCATGACTCATGTTTGGCCTTTATATAGCTTTAGTTTGAATCAATACAGTTTAGAGGTTAAGAGTGTGGGCTTTCGGTCCAAATTGCCTAGGTTCAAATTCTAGCTCCGACATTTGTTGGCTGTGTAACCTTGAGCAAGTTACTTAACCTCTCTATGTCTTAGTTTCCTCATCTGTAAGATGGACATAATAATAACACCTGCATTGAATGGGTCGTTTTGAAAAATAAGTGAAAACATAAAACACTTGATACTGAGCAAGAATTCAACCAATGTCACCATAGCTATGAGAATCTACATACAAGCAGATGTGGTAAAAGAAGCAAAAAGTTTGAACGGAGCAAAGATGGAATTTGGAATGCATAGCGCTTTCTGAAACTTGAAACATTAAGAAAATCAAATACTTTTTTTGAACATTTCCTCCACTCTACTCTCTATCTGGGAGTAGTAAAAATAGAGTACATAAGTTTAAATCTTAAGGACTGGATTTGTACATGGACAATTGAAACAAATATTTAGGGTACCAATTTCATTGTTTTTTAAAAGAATCTGTAAAAGACAGTCTAAAGTTTCAGGTATCCACATGACCACATGTGTATATGAAAGTGAATGCATGAGAATGTGTGTGTTTTTAAAAATATGCAAATGAGCCCTACCTTAAAGGCCAAGATCACTGAAAATAAGAAAAATCAGGGGCATAAAAAATGACACCGTTGTTAAAAACTACTGAAAACAAAACATAATCATACAAAAATGAGAGAAAGTTAACCAGGAACACTTTAACTTAGTTTAATAATATTTGCTATAATGAATTTCAGGTTCAACGAGTTTCAAGTATGAAATTAATAGAAGAATTTAATAGATACATAGTTTCAGTCCAACCATGAATAAAGAATAGTGTAAAAAGTACTAACAAAAATGGAATTGCTGCGTTATGATTGGAGTTTTCAATGCCCAAATACCCAGAGTATATGGTCCAAATTGTAGGCTAGTGCAATTGGATAACCAGTTCTGATATACAGAATTTCCAGAAACACAAAGCTTCACTAATATCTAGCAAGTGATTAAAAGCCATTTTATAAATAATGACATTTACCCAAAGTGAAGGGCCATATAGTTTATTAAAACTTTATAGCCCAGGAAGAATGTCAATGCCAATTAAAGTCCTGACTTTTTATTGTTGCTTCTTCACTTTGGGTCAGATATGAAATGCCTATTGTGACCACTAGATATAAAGATGACAAAAAATTTAAGTAGGCTATGCATATACGTGTATATATAAATAAGTTAAAATGTTGAAAAAAATGAACACTGCAAAGTATCCTTAGGTTTGAATTCACAATCCTGAAAAAATTGCTACATACAAGTTTATTTTGTTGCTTTCCAGCAGAAAAATTATTTTACAAATGAGGGCTGGAATTATATGGTTATTTAAAAGCATATGGAACCTGGCGGTAGCACTAGCTAAAAAAAATTGGATATTTTAAATTTTATCTATAGAATACACATTGTAACATACTGTCTCAGAGGATAGTACATATCTGTGCATAATAACCATGGCATGAAGGAAAAGTGACAGCTCAATACCAGATTTGTAAAGCATGGACTAAAGTGGTTCTACAGCAGCAGATTTTTATTGATCATGTCTAATTATATGGCTGGTCACTTTCAATCTTGAATTCACCTATTAGATATTTTTTTCTGCAACTAGAAGCCACACAAAGTATTTTCATTGATGGCATAAAGGAATGTCCCAACTCTCATTTGAAGAATCTATCACTGCTGCCACAGAGTGAAAAGACGGGGAAGAAATCATCTCTAGCAGAGCCGGGAAGATGCCCATTTGCCTGGGTAGCTGTAGGATGGTAAAGAACTCAAAACCTTTCTTGGTATGCTCCAAGTAGGAATCTTCATAACAATTTTTTTTTGTTTGTTTGTTCTGTTTTTTTTTTTCCTTGTTGATACCCTCTGTTAAAAGCATAGGCTTTAAAGGTAAGAGTAATAAAATGAAATGCCTAACCTGATCATGAGATAGATTAAAAAAAATTAAAAAATTTAAATAGGTTATACTTTTTGCTTTGTTAAAAATAGAGAGCTTTGGGAAATTCTGAATATGGAGGGCCTGCTTATAATTCCAAATGGAAAGTTTCAGAGCCATGGTTCTGTTAACATTATAACAGGTGTGGTTCTGTCAACATTATAACATTCTAACAGTTGGGTAGAGTTTGGTAGTTAACATCTCAACTATTCTCTCAGTTTTGGGGAGGGTGATACAAGAACGTTCCACCCATTGTCCCACTCTCTTGCGAGCTCTTCTTCTCAAAGGGTCTGTACTCTTTGATAGAGCCAAATATTCAAGCCAAATATCCTCCATGCAACAGAAGCTATAGGAATGATTGACGATAGCTGTAATCCTCCTGCCATTAAGAACACAGCATTCACCTATTTCTAGTTTCATTCTCTGGGGTATAACTTTCACCATGATGACATCCCGTCTGTTTTCATACATAACTGGGTCCACATTTGATCATTTATTCTGTTTCTTATACTCACTATGGGCACCCAGACTAAATTGTCCTTTAGTGTCTAGAGACCAGGCAGGTTGATTGTAGTATTTTTATGATGATGATAAAGACTATTACATATAATTATGCAAAATCTGGCCTTGAGGCATCTCATTTCCAAACAACCTTCATTTAATGGCAGAAGGAGAACAGTCTCCAAATCCAATTAACTATACTCTGCCCATTTTACTTTTATTCAAAAATAATAAAACTATTCCTAGGATATTTATAGAGTAATAGAAAGTTTCCCTTGTTAATATTAGATAAAAGTTAAACTTAACACCATTTTACCACCTTCGATAGCCTTATTACATTTTATTTTTACTTTGAAGCTCAAATTTTTAATATTGCCTATAAGCAAATGGTTTGCCCCTGGTTTTTTGTCCTTTTTAAAAAAAATCCCCCACACACTACTTACTTGTTTAAGCTTCTTTAGGTCTTCATCAAGTTCTAAGTTGTCCAAAATAACAGCAACAAACAAACTCAGGAGGATCTATAAAATGGTGAAATAACAATGAAAAAACCCACATGCCATAAGTATCAAAATATTATATGTATAATATAGCTACCTAAAATATATTGAGTATATAATTCATTAAATGCAAAATAAACATGCAGTGATGAATCATTGCATAGGCATTTCAAGGTATTTATCACAAATACATGAAATAAAATGCATACGTTCATTGAAATAATATGTTAACTTGCTTTATGAAACCAACTTACTTAAAAAGGAAATTAAGAAAAAGGTTTTTTTGAACTCAACAATCCCACTTGTGTGATAATATTCTAAAAAAGTGATCTGAACTATTGATGAAAAGCTTAATATACACAGGTGCTTATTAGAGGGTTGTTTGTAATAAGGAAATATTAGAAATAACATCCAACTTTGCATGAATAGTCAATACAGTTATAGAGATTTATGTGATAAGATACATGCAGCCATTACAAATTCCCATGTGGTAGCTACTCTTCAAGATGGCCTCCAGCGTTGTTCTAGACTCCTGGTTCATGCCTTTGTGTAGTTCCCTTCCACACTGAATATGTCTGGCCTGTGTCATCAGCAGGTTGCAGAAATAATTGTGTGTGACTTATGAGGCTAGGCAATAAAATACACTGTGTCTTTACCCTTGGTCTCTCCTAGATCACCTGCTCTGTGGAAGCAGGTGCTATGTTGTGAGGATGCTCAAGCAGCCCTCTGGAGAGGTCCATGTGGTGAGGAACTGAGGCCTCCTGCCAACAGCCACTGGAGTGACCCATCTTGGAAAGAGGCACTCCAGCCCTAGTAAAACTTCAAGGTGACTGCAGCTGTAGACAACATCTCAACTGCAACCTCATGACACTTTGAACTAGAAACACTCAGCTAAGCCTGTCTCAGATTCCCAACCTTGAGAAACTAATTGAGATAATAAACATCTATTTCCTGGTAGGCTTCTAATGTGTGGGTAATTTATTACACAGCAACAGATACCTAATACACTGGTGAATTTTTATGGTGTTGAAAACACATTATAACAGTAAATACGAGTATATATATATATATATATATATGGTAGAAGCTCAACTATGCATATAACGGAGTAATAGAGAAAATGCTTGAAGGAGGTACTTTAGAAATATTAATGGTACTTGCTTTTGTGTATTGGAGTAATACAATTTTTCCTCTTTTAAAAAATGTTATGATTTTCTCAGTTTTTAAAAAATGTATGCTTCTTTTAGAACAGGTAAATAAAATAAAACAAAATAGCATAATTTTTAAAAATATTTTACGCTGTAGTCCCTCTTCAACTTTGAATTTTTTTAAGTCCCATATTCACTTGATCATCTTTTTCATTTCTAACTCATATTTTTCTTTTCAGTTTTCTTCTTAATGAATTATTCCCATTTGTTAATATTAGGTGGTTAAGCATGAAGGTCAGAAAGTTGAGATAATTCAGCCAGTGCTAGAGAAGTTATTATGCAGAAGTTAATGGCTAGCTCTTTTTCAATTTTAATGAGTATATCAACATGATTAAATTATGATGGGATATGCTTGGCTTGGGACAAATGCCAGCACCCTTCTTTTCAACAGCCATGCCCTTTGGAGTCTTACCATAACTTGAAGAAGATACAGAATGATCTAGACCAGAGGGTTTTTATTAACATCACCATGACTGGTACACCACTGGTAACTGGGCATCAGGCTTATTCTGAACCAGACATCATTCCAAACTGGACATTTTAAAGTTTGCTCCATGTTCAGCCCATTTCCCAATACCTCGACGACAGAAAGTAATATCAGAGGCAGAGTCTACCTTCCCCTGTCTTGATTTCTCACCCCGAATTCTGAGATGTTCACCTGCTGGTTTCCTTCTGCAGGAGGGGATATCTTATACCCCTTCTCTCACACCTGGGCACTGGAGCAGGCATTGTTCTGTGTCCTAATTTAATCATGTTTCCTCTCTCTCTAGTGAAAGTACAAACATGAATCTAAAAAAAGGGGGGTCGGAAGGGATCCTGTTCGCCTCCCTTTTCTTAGAGCATTTCCTTTATAAGACTTGGAATTGTAAATTCTTTCCCTTTCTGTTTGAGATGTATATAAATACTTTTAAGAGCCAAATAAGCTTCTCACCAGTTCTACAACCTAAAAGAATGTTTTCCTTGAGGGCTGTCTCCTTGAAGTAATGTAAACATCAAGGAAGACAAGAGCCTCCGTCTCCCCTTCTCCGTAGAGGGTGGGAGTTTAGACATCTGGCTCCAAGTTGTAAACCTACCTACTTGTCACGGAAATATGAGAAGTTTTAATTTTCCTTTGGATAAAGGCAATCAGCTCCCACAGATGGCCACCCCACTTACCAGGTGAATTTAGGATAAACTATATTTAACAAGTGGTGCTGTCAAGCCTTCTTACTTGAGGACTAGTTATTTCTATCTTGAGAACACGTATGGAAAGCGGTGATATAAAAGAGGGAGGTATTTTCTGCCTCCGTGATCTCTTTAGCAGATTGCCAGTGATGTGCATTGCAGCCTGCGTTAGAGCTTTTTCAATAATAAAACTGGGCTCTCTCTCCTCTACCTTTAAGGAGAGGTTTCGTGGGTTGGCAGGAGATTTTATTCTTAATTATATCCCCCAAACTGGACAGAGGGCAGGCTACTTAAGGACAGCAAGGCTATGTTATTCTATTAAATTTGACAAACAGTTGACTGGACTCCATGGATGTGTGAGGCACTGCCTGGTCTGATACATAAATACAATATTGCACTCACTGCAGTGATGTTTATCACTGAATTAAGCAGACATAGAAGAGAGCACTGTGCTTGGAGTCAGAGAGCTCAGGTAGCAAACAGGCTGTGCCAGCTATGAGCCACGTGGCAACTGCCAGCCCACAGTGAGTTTCGGTGCTCTCGTTTGTAAAATATTACAAATGTAATAATAGCTCAACAAATTGCAGCTTTTTTTTCATTTAATTCTCCCCGAGCAACCCTGACATGTAGTATAGCTATACAATGTCTGAAAATATACAGACATAAAATTAGTTATGCAAAGCTAAAATAAATTTCTTGGTTTTTCTACAAATGAATTGAATTTGGTGCACAATCCCTCCATTTCTGTTGGGGGCTGGAAACATTATCTTGCTACATCAGTTCCATTCAGTCCTTTCAAGCTCAGTTACATTTGAATAAATGCTCCTTTTCTTTTTAGGGTAGTTTAAGGTCAAGGTTACCCACTACAAGCTGGGTAATATGTCCTCCATCCCCCATCAGGGGAACTGATGAGGCTGTACAGGGGGTTTGGGGCTTTCTTTCTGCTGACTTGACCACCATCTCAGCTCCCAAAGCTAAGAGCTCTGATTCCCAGTGATGTCCTCCATATGCGCTTCCTAGAGTACTGTAACACCGTGCACGGAGTTGGTAGCTTCAAACAACAGACATTTATTTGATCACAATTCTGGAGGCCAGAGTCCAAAATTGAGTTGTCGGCAAGACCACACTCTCTCCAAAGGCCACGGGGGAGAATACTCCCTTGTCTCTTCCAGCTGCTGGTGGCCTCCTCTGTCCCTCGGCTTGTGGCTTTGTTAACACCAGTCACTTGGCCTTTATCTAACACCAGTCACAAGGCTTTCTCTCTGTGTCTTGTGCTCTTTTGTGTCTTACAAGGACGCTTGTCATTGGACTTAGGGCCCACCCAGATAATCCAGGATGATCTCATCACAAGATCCTTAATTTAATTACATCTGCAAAGACTCTTTTTCCAATAAGGTCGTGTTCATAGGTTCTGTGGGTTAAGCCATGGTCCTATCTTTTGTAGGGGCCCATTTAATCCACTATACTCTCCACCTGGTCTTTTTTTTTTTTTTTTTTTTGAGACAGGGCCTCACATTGTCACCCAGGCTGGAGTGCAGTGGTGTGATCTCAACTCATGCAGCCTCCACCTCATGGGCTCAAGCGATCCTCCCACCTCAGCCTCCCAAGTAGCTGGGACTACAGGCACCTACCACCATGCCTGGCTACTTTTTTTTTTTTTTTTATTTTTTGTAGAGACAAGGTTGACCAGGCTGGTCTTGAACTCCTGAGCTCATGAGATCCGTGGATCTTGGCCTCCCAAAGTGCTAGGATTACAGGTGTGAGTCACCACGCCTGGCCTCCGCGTGGCCTTTGGCTTGGGCTGTTGTTCCCACAACACATGTATTAGCTCTCAACTCAGGGAAACTCAGAAAGGGCTGTCATTCCACTTGGAACTAACGGAGACTTGTTCTTGTGGGATATTCCGGGCCTCTCCACCGAGAACTCTCAGGCAGCTGCCCAACTCTGCCCTGGCTGCCCCTGGCCCATGTGGGGCCCCCAGCAAGGTTCTCTCCCCATCAGGTTCCAAGAAGAATTAGGGTCAAGTCTTGGATGTCAAAACACACCTGTGTGGGTACCAACACTGCCGATGCTCCCAAGTGAGGTGTGTGGGCATCTCCCACGGAAACACGCTTTGTCTCTCTCTCTCTCTGCATCTGTCTCTCTCATGCTCCATCCCAGAAATCAGTCTTATTTCTTCTCAGAAAGCAGAAACGTGAAAGAAAATTGGAGAGCGGATGGGAAGGGCGGCCACGCAAGTGTGAAGAAGGAGGACCAGAAATGAAGCCCCATCATAAATTCACACATTTAGTTCTGTACCATTTTGAAGCATTTAGACTTGGAGAGCCCATCTGGGCACATGGGCCAGGGGGGCACTTTCCGAACACTACTTATCGAAGATTGTGAGACAATGACAGAGAGCCAAGGATGCTCTCCCAAGCCACGCAGATGCCAAGGAGAAGACTGATTTTGGAAAAGAGCTGTGAGGAACGCATTCCAGGTGGTGTGGTGAGGGCCTGGTGAGTAAGTCTGGCCAGAGTCTGGCTTCCAGGCAGAGGGTTTGGAGGCTGGAGAGGAAGGCAGGATGGACAGGCGTCTTGAGTGCCACAGAGGTCACGGATAAGAGAGGGAGGCTGGAATAATCACAAAGTGATGACATCAGTTTCTTTCTGCTAAATTTTTCCTTTTAAAAGTTCTGGGGCTTTTTGTGTGTGTGTTTTTGTTTTTAATGCATGTAATGCAGCAAGTTTAAACTGGCTCAGCTGGGCATGGTGACTCATGCGTGTAATCCTAGCAGTTTGGGAAGCTGAGGCAGGATTGCTTGACCCCAGGAATTTGAGACCAGCCTGGGCAACCCTGTCTCTCAAAAAAAAAAAAAACAAAAATTAGTCAGGCATGGTGGCGCATGCCTGTGGCCCCAGCTACTTGGGAGGAGGCTGAGGTGGGAGGATTTCTTGAGCCTGGGAGGTCGAGGCTGCAGTGAGCTGTGAATGTGCCACTGCACTCTAGGCCTGGATGGCAGAGCAAGTCCCTGTCTCCAAAAACTAAAAACAAACAAAACAAAAAAATAAACTGGCTCACTGAAATAGTAACTAGACAAGGTTAAGTGCAGTTTGACAAAATGTTATTAGATATATAATGTTTTCTAGCCGGGTGCAGTGGCTCACGCCTGTAATCCCAGCACTTTGGGAGGCCAAGGCCGGCAGATCACGAGGTCAGGAGATCGAGACCATCCTGGCTAACATGGTGAAACCCCGTTTCTACTAAAAGTACAAAAAAATTAGCCGGGCGTGGTGGCGGGTGCCTGTAGTCCCAGTTACTCCGGAGGCTGAGGCAGGAGAATGGCGTGAACCCGGGAGGCGGAGCTTGCAGTGAGCCGAGATCGTGCCACTGCACTCCAGCCTGGGCAACAGAGCGAGACTCCATCTCAAAAAAAAAAAAAAAAAAAAAAAAGATATGTAATGTTTTCTTACATTGGTTAAACAAGAAACTGGTATATACTTTTTCCTTGGGATAAACAGAGAAAAGCCACCCTCAGAGCAGGACAGAGAGAGCCACGGCATGCCAGCTGCACTGACTCCTCAAGGCAGATGCATTTGATATTTGCTGTGGATAGGAGAAGGCAAGACTCCTAAAGGAAGAGCTTTGGCTTCTCTGGGAAAACGCTGCGTGACTTCACAACAGGAAGGCCCAAACTTAAAGAATTAGAACAAACTCTTGGGGAGGCAACAAATTTAAAAATAATATAATAAAGTTTGAAGTTTGCTTGAAAGTAGCATAAACCTAATTTTATTCAGCAAATATCTTTGTTTAGGCATCATTTTTCAATTAATTTGACAGTGGCATGACAAAAGCACAAACTTACAAAACAGAAACTGGTTCAAGATGTATGTGTGTGGTAGGGGGCTTGGGTTTCCGCTGAAGCCCTATTTGAATGTGGACTTTCAGATTGATCCTCATCAAACTGTCCCTGGCATGTAGGGCACTGTGATAAGGTGGCAACTGGCACTCCGGGTGAGAGATGACTGAAGTCTGACCCAAGGCTTTGGCTGTGTCTTTGCAATGGAAACAGAAGATTCAGGAGGTGCAGGGTGAGTCTGTAGCTGATTGCCAGGAGGTGAGAATGACTTTGCGGTTCTTTTCTCACAGACTCTAATAAGGTGACAATAAGCACTGCGATAAAGGGTAGAAGTGAAGGAAGAATGGCAGCTTGGTGTCCATCATATTTAATTTATGTTATCAATGATACAGTATTTTCCTACAAACCCAGTGCAATGTGGATTTGGACTGAAAGAGCAGGTCGACCTGGGTGTCAGACACTTGCCAACACATGGTATGGAAAGTCATGGGAGTGGGTGACAAGCCCTCATTCTGAAAGGAAGAACCATTTTTCAGTTCTCTGAGTGTTCTCATTTATTCTGTTTTTACAGAAAGCTGAGGTAATGCTCATTAGTAATCAGAACCCATTACAGCGATGTCTGCATATTACCTTCAGCTAATGTTTACCTACACTACCACATGTTGCTGTGCCAAAAGGTTTTTCTATAGCCACTAAATGTGATTTACAGGTTCATATTAAAACGGTATTGATGTAATAAAGGAATTTTACAGGGACTTGCCACATTAAATCACAGGAGTGTCATCATATGTATAAAACACTTTTACCTTTGTGTTTTGACTGTTCTAAATTATGCAACTAATTTGCTTTGCATTATTTATTTCTTAATATTTAGATTTATGTGATATTTCTATTGAGTGATTGATTGATTGATTGAGGCAGAGTCTCTCTCTGTCCCCCAGGCTGGAGTGCAGTGGTGCGATCTCAGCTCACTGCAACCTCTACCTCCCGGGTTCAAGTGGTTCTCCTGCTTCAGCCTCCGAAGTAGCTGGGATTTTAGGTGCCTGCCACCACACCAGGCTAATTTTTGTGTGTTTAGTAGACACAGGGTTTTACCATGTTGATCAGGCTGGTCTGGAATTCCCGACCTCAGGTGATCCACCCGCCTCGGCCTCCCAAAGTGCTGGGATTATAGGGGGAGCCACCACGCCTGGCCCGATATTTCAATTTATACTGCAGCAGGATATACTATGTCCCTATTTTTTTTTAATGATATAATTTCAGGGGAAAAAGGCTAATGACACCACCTTTCATCTCCTCTTGAACCCTGCTAAGTACATGTATGCTTTCAACACAGTGGTGTTTAGTTTGTACAATGCTGTAAAAAAGAAAGCCAAATATCTATTTTTTCATGCATTTACTATTTGGCACTTTTAACAGGTCTATAGCGTTTGATCATATTAATATGCAACACAGCATTTGTCCTACTGTGTAATATACAGCTGATGTATGTATCCACTTTTTAATTTTATGACCGATATTGATACATTATGAATCAGTGATGTCAATGAAAAAGTGGAGAATAACAATGTATTTCAGATATCTAATTCTTTATTTCCCTCAGATTATAATGCCCATTGCTAAGGTATGTTTAGCATTGACAATGCATTCAGTGTGGAAAATGCCACATTATCAGGCCTGCTGAAGTCTGGGAAGTCTCTCTCAGAATATTTATGAATGATATAATAGGATTTTGACCTTTCAGCTTAGTGGATTTCAAAAGCGTAATTTTCCAGGTTCAAACTGGTACCTGGACCAGGGTCTCACAGGCGTTTGATTTCTCTAATATTCTTTATGACGCTCCTCTTTCTCTAATACCTCCTCTTCCTTTTTCTCCTCTGAAACAGCCCAGATTCACCTCAGTTAATGCTGTGGTAGTTATTTGCTCTGTTTAAGTTTTATACATGTGACCACAGATATATTTATTTTTTTTCTATTTAACTACAATAAATTTCAGTCAAATTCAATAAATTACTGAAATAGTTGCATTTGCAAGTATAATTATTTCTTCCAATTTTGTTGTGATGCAGATCATTTTGTCCAACATAATGTAGTTCTCATTCCCTCGGAATAAGACTTTTGGATTAGCATGATTCAAACAGCTGAAAAGTATGATTTATTTTTGCAAGAGGGCAGCCTTGTCATTCACAATGGATTTTCTGGTTGAAAATTTCTCTCCCTGCAGCAACATATCCTATTTTACATTCTCTCTGACTCTGCAGATAGCCATGACCTTACCCTATATAGCTTTCCCTTTTCAGTTTTCTTTCTTTTTATAAAGTTTAATTTTATGATTTTTTTCCTTTTATATAGCTTAAAGATGTCCCTTTAGCTGAAATTTCACCTTTAATCTTATTTTCTTCTTTGCTGTGAACTTTATTAATAATTTCTTATCTTTAAATTATTTTGAAATATACACTAGAAACACAGCAGGAATCAATGTCCCACACTCTTGTGTTTTTCTTTTCCTGTTTACCATTTATAATCACCCTATCCTAAGCTGTCTTGCCGCCTGTGGTATGAAACAATTTCACTTTTTATATGGGTCAACAAAAAGTCAAATGTAATCAGCGCAGTGTAAAATGGGATACGTTCAACACAGATGCACTTTTAAATGAATTCTATACAATCAAGTTATTTAATTTACACTTTGGAATGCCCATTTGTGTCAGCAAAATATGACTATTCTCAGCAAGCTGCCACTACCGAGGCAAAATCAAGAGATTGCTGTGTTAATTTCAGCACTTCAAAGGTAACAAAAAGACTACCCACAATGAACGCTTAATTACATTTTCTTTCTTTTCAGTATTCACATCACAGGGCTTTCCTTTGAAACAGTAATAGACAGAAAAACATTGCAGGAAAAATGGAGTCTTTCAACTTGTTAGGTCTTCCATAGTCCCTATCCCCAAATCATTGGCAAAGATGGGGAAAAAGATGAATTTAACAAGCATTCAATAAACTGCAATCAGTCAGGACAGAAATACAGAATACATACCTGGCGGAAGAGAGAGATGTTTGAAAGGGACAATACATGGAGGTTATGAATATGCATTTGCTATATACTTCAGCTTGATTTTCATTGTGGGCTGAAAATTGGTGCCCCCAGGGGTGATGAAATAGCCTGCTGTTCTTTATTCCAGAACAAGCTGCAACCACACATTTTATTTTTCGCTGCTTGGCACATGCCTGTCCCTGGGAAGACTAAATCAGGAACTCATCAAGTTGTATGGCACCACTGTTCGGTGTGAACAAAAGACACATCAGAGCTTGTATGTTTACACAGACTACTTTTTTTTTCCCTTCTCACCCATTTGGGTTAAAATGCGTTGTAGCATTTTGTAAAAGGAAACATACAATTAAACAAAAATGCTCATTTTAAGGTAAGTTCAGCTCTGAAGACAGGCTTATGGAATATTTTAACTTGTGAAGTTTAGTTTTTAGGGGCATGCAATGTGTGTGTAACACAGACCTGTCACCCTCACGCATGTGTTTATATGTTAGCCCACAGACTATCTCCAGCTGTTTCACTGCCACTACTTTTGATATTTCTCATAAGGCAGATTGGGAACAACTGGGAAGCAGATGTTTATTGATCACATAGCAAGTAGCAATGTACACATGCCTCTCTTACCATTTGCATCTTTAGGCCTTGGAACCACTGGTTTTATTTGTTTGTTGGTTAGCCTGTCTGTGTTCGTTATTGCTAATTTCCAATTATTTGTAGCCCCTAAGAGGACATGAATTAAGCTCTTTCCCACTTTGGCCAGGACGTAGGTTAGTACCTGCACGTGGTAGTAGAGGTTCAGTAAAACTGTATCAAATCAAATTGAACTCACTTCATAAAGCCCATTACAGTAACTGTTAGTCTAAGGGTACAAAGGAAAAGAGAAACAACTGCTGACCATGTTTTAAGCAAAATTTTTTGTGAACTGGGGAAGTGACTTCAGTATTAGACTTTTTTTGGGTAGTATAGAAGTGATAATCTTTGTTTTAATTTAGTTATATAGTGTTTCCTTTTATTAAATTATATATCATTTAAAAAATAATTTAGAAATTTAAAAGTTTGAACAGTTTACCTTTTTTGTGTTAGACTTCATAATCAGATAAATCAAATAAATATTCTAAACCTTGCAGTTTCTCATATAAATCTGAGAAAAATTGATTTGAGTTTTATTTAAACAGTATATTTCATCTAGCTTATGCTATATCTAACTAGTAAGTAGAGATGAGCTAAAGACTTAAAGGTGAAAAGCAAAAATTGTAAACAATTAGAAGAAGATATAGGAGAATATTTGTATTACCTCAGGTGGGAAAGAATTCCTTAAGCATGAGGTCAAAATAAATACAGACCATCAGTGAAAAACCGATAGTTTTGACCTAATTTGATCATTCCACAATGTATGCATGTATCAAAACATCACGTTGTACCCCATAAATACAGTAGGCCCCCCCCTTATCCACTGTCTCACTTTCTGTAGTTTCAGTTCCCTGTGGTCAGCCACAGCCTGAAAATATTAAGACATTTTGAAAAGGAGAGATGGAGACAGAGAGAGAATGCGTATTCACATAACTTTTATTACAGTATATTGTCATAACTGTTCTATTTTGTTATTATTGTTGTTGATTTCTTACTATGCCTCATTTACAAATTAAACTTTATCAAAGTTATGTATGTATAATAAAACACATAGTATATATAGGGTTCTGTACTATCCATGGTTTCAGGTATCTACTGGGAATCTTGGAAAGTTTCCCTTGGGGACAAAGGAGGACTACTATATATACAATTATTATTTGTTAACTAAAAATGAAATAAAAATATATAGAATGTCAAAAGACATCACAGACAAACTGGAAGACAAAATACTGCCTAAGAGAGGATATTCGCAACACATGTAATAGTCAAGAGATTAATATCCAACAAATATCCAATAAATGAGTTAAGACAAATTTGTTTTTAGGAAAATAGGTAAAGCAAACAATTGAGTCACAAAAAAGATGGTCAATAAACATAGTAAGAGGTGCTCCCTTATTAATAATTATGGAAATGCAAAAATGCAAGCCCAATTGATACCAGTGTTCACTCATAAGATTGCCAAAACCTCACATGTCAAACAATGTGACGTCTAAGTGAGAGTGTAAGAACACAGGAATTCTCAACTATTGCACTTGGGAGGGTAAATTAGCACAATTTATCTATAGAGCAGGAGTCCACAGTGTTTTCTTAAAGGTCCAGACAGTAAACATTTTAGACGTTGAGGGTCATGAGGCAATACTGAGGATATTCTGTGGGTACCTGTATAACCACTAAATTATAGAAACCATTTTTAGCTCACAGGTTGTATAATACAGGTGGTGGGCTGGATTTGGTATCTGGGCTTGCAGGTCCCTAGTATAGAGCAATTTGGGCAGTACCTAAGATCTAAGCATTCTACTTTTGGACATATATCCTAGAGAAATTCACATAAGTGGGCACGATACATAAATGTATTGCAGCATTATAAAAGTACAACTTTGGAAAACAGCCTAAATAGCCATCAGAAAGGGAACTGATAAACAAATATGGCATATTCACAGTCCGCGGAGTACCATACGGCTCTCTATAACAATGACCAAATTAGCTTCATGTGGAGTAAGATAAAAAGATCTCAGAAAAAAATAGCCAGTGAAAAATTTAACTGCAGAATATATGTTGAGTTTGATACCATTTGTTCTAAAAATTGCTGCCACAAATAATTGATAAGGAGGGAAACACATGACCATGTATAACTTGGCCCCAGCATGGACTTATAGGGAGAGAAGTATGTATTACCAGACCACTCCCCTAGGGATGGCCATCAGTTGACTGGAGCAGTGCTTTGCAAACTAAGAAAACTTAATATTAATCTTCAGAATTTTGGGCATAAAATGTATTTAGATGGTAACCTTAAGTTTAAAATACTATATGTATACATATATATACACACACATATATATACATATATACACACACATATATATACATATATACACACATATATACATATATACACATATATACACACACACACGTGTGTGTGTGTGTCTGTGTGTGTGTATATATATATATATTTTTTTGAGATGGAGTTTCACTGTTGTTGCCCAGGCTGGGGTACAACAGCATGATCTCGGCTCACTGCAACCCCCACCTCCCAGATTCAAGTGATTCTCCCCTGCCTCAGTATCCTGAGTAGCTGGGCTTACAGGTGCTCACCACCATGCCTGGCTAATATTTTGTATTTTTAGTAGAGATAGGGTTTCACCATGTTGGCCAGGCTGATCTTTAACTCCTGACCTCAGGTGATCCACCTGCCTCAGCCTCCCAAAGTGCTGGGATTACAGGCGTGAGCCACCGTGCTGGCCATAAATACTATATTTTTAATGGATGCATATATGTGTGGGAAACCTCTGCATTTCATTGATTTTAAGATGCACATTTACTTTCACCTTTTAAAAACTCTGAAGTAGGGATGCCCCTTATCCTCTATGTGTATAGTTTAATTGTTTTTCTCTTTAGTGTTACACAAACTGAGTCTTCTACTGAATGACAGAATGTTAAATTTAGTGAAATATGTTCTAAAAATTGGAAAATGAATTTATATTAAAATTATCAGAGTCATTGCCTGGGAGAAGAGGTATAGGGAAGGAGAGAAAGAAGAAGAATGGAAATTAATTCAGGAAGGGGCATAAATGATACCCTAATAAATGATACTTGCATAAATTAAAAATATCTGAACATAATATAAATTTAACATTTATTAATATATGGCTTTAAATGCACAAACCGTCTTATCTACATTTAAAGGGGCTCAGTGCTGGTGCTCTAAAACATCCTCAGAAATACAGGGTTAACTCGCAGATACATGACAACCTTGGAAACTGGGTGTATTGTGAATTATTATCCTCACTTTCCGATACAAACAACAGAGAGATCAGGGAAGTTATGTGAGTCTTCAGAAATCAGATATCGAGTGACCAGCAGAGCTAGAACCTGAATCTGGATTTTTGCCTTCCAATTTCATAGTCTTGTACGACACCACATTTACCAAACTGTTCTCGTTAACATGTAGACTTCTGAATTCTCAATTGCCTTACAGACTTTTAAAAAGTGTGAATAAAAGAACAAGTTATTTCAATTTTCAGTTTTAACTTATAACTGTTGTTTGAAAATTGCAATAAAAAAGTTAGAACAGATGTTTTGGGTAGATACTTAAATCAGTAAGTGGAAAGAGTAGAATTAGAGATTGGTTTTCATCTTGTGCTCTGTGGATTCCTAAAGCCTCAGGTGAACCCCAGGAGTCCTTGGATGAACTTTAAGTGATCTATAACCAATGCCATATTTTAGCCCATAAAGAAGATTTAGATTGCCCAAGAAGGCTATATACCAGTTTTAATATTTTATTTTATTATATTAGTGACCCCAGTAGAATTTTCACTTGAAAAAATATTACTTTACTAAATAATGTAATAGGCTAGTTTTTTCTTCCAGCTTTCATTTTTTGTGTCCCTGATTTAAGAATCAAACATATATCTGAGTGTGAAACATTTTCAGTGAGGAAAGTAAACCATTTTGTTGCTTTATTAGGAAAACGATTAGGTTGATTACTATAAAATAATTAGATTGATATTCCCTGACATAGATGATTTCAATGAAATCTATCCTGCATTTAACCCACAATCAACAGTCTGAGCAATTCCATAGTTTTAGAGTAACTTAAACACAAGTAGCTTAATAAACTTAGTTGAACGCATAAATGATGTGTAAATGAATGGATGAATGAATAAATGGCACAGGCTTAAAGGTCCTGGAAGGGAAGATGCAAAGACCCCAGGGCTAAGTGTTGTGCAAACACCAGCACAGCCAGATTCAGCTTTGCAAGCCAGGCTTCCATTCCTATTGCACAATGTTCCTATCTTTCGCGTAACTTTTAAAAGTCAACTCCATGTATAAAAAGGCCAAAACTATGTCTATGTAGTTCTACTGTTTGAGCCCATGACTTCACACCATGTAACAATGAATTCTCATTAACTTTTTGGTGGACATGTCTTAGTTTTGAAAGCCTCTGTCTGTCTATAGCAAACACAACTTCTAAGTTATATCTAGTTTATCAAGGACTTATTTCATTCATAGATATTTAGAATTAAAACTGACCTTAGAGATTATATGTAATTTGTTTGATGTGAGTGATTCTTTGGCAGAAGTTTGATTTGACAAAGACATTTTTTCAGACAACTTTAAACTTCATTATCCAGGGAAGCAATAATAATTAGCTGCAAGACTAAGGACCAAATCTAGATCAGACAGACCTGGGAACACTCTGGTCATATTTACATTCCATGTGACATCAGATAAATTACTAAACTCTTCTGAGTATCAGTTTTATCATCTGTTAACTGGGAATACTATCTAATCGGGTGTTCCAAAGATTAGCAATAATATTGTAAGATATTTTGTAACTGTAAGACATATTGCCAAAAACAATAGTAGCAGTTGTATTTATTTCTTGTATTCCTGATAAAGGGAAACATTTGAGTCCTCAACTTGGAACTTCTAACGTGATGTTAGAACTTAGGTTTGCTTCTTAAATATGAACAAATTTATTACATAGAGATGAGCATTTGGTATTACATTCCTTAGTAAGTCACAGGCTGCATTTCATAACATTTTTTCTTTGTTTTTAATGGAAGTATATTGAAGAGAAAAATCTGCTTGTGTGACAGAAGTCGGTTCTTACTGGACTTTGGTATTCAGTTTTCTTGTGCTTTTACAATACTTGCAGCAATGTGTTTTATTTTTTTCCATGTGTTTTTTTCCAGTCGCACATAGCACAAAACCACTGTGCTGATTTCTAATTAACTGACTGCACCCTGAGGTCTATAGCTTCTGTCTTCAGTTTAATTACAGCTGTGAAGAGGATGCAGTGAAACTGAAGACAGTGTCTCTACATGAGAAAAAAAATAATAATGGAGTTCCGGTTTGATCCTGAGATCATCTAGGTGTGAATGCTTGGGGATACTTAAATTGGTATGTAAATGTGAGATTTTCATTTTGTTCTGTCTTGTTTTCCCTCTTACAAACACTGGTACCTGATGGAGAAAATATCTAACTTAACAAATCAAGCAGTTCTTTGATGTGTAGAAACTTAGAATGGAAGGAGGGATCTCATCCAACCAGATTAGTCTGCATTAGTCCTTTGGCTCCCATTTTGAAATTGACAATAGGCCAAATATCTGTTGATGTTCATCCCATTATAAATTCCAAGATATAATTGAAAAAAAAATGCTGAACTCACCAGAGTGGCAAAAAGATGATAGAGAATGAAATAGATGGCAACCACGGGTGCCCACATATGTCCCACAGCATTTAGAGTTTGGTCCATTACGTCCACCCATCCTTCCTGGGTGAGGATCTGGAACATGGACATAAATGCCTAAGAGGAAAAGAACAAAGGTATTACACACTAGCTTTAGGCTTGCATACAACTTCAAATTAGCATGTGATGTTTGAAGACTTTGATCTCAATATTATTGATTTTTATCTGATCAGGGCAAGAACAGTCTTGATTCAACACATAGGAAAGATATAAGAATAAAGATCTTAAAAATGTGATATTTAACTATTTGATGTGGAATAAGAAAATAATTACCCTGAATTAAAATTAGTTTTGTTCGCAGTAAATGCTGTTGAGCAAATTAGAAACAAATTCAAGATCTTTGGTTTTTGCCGTTAATTTTTTTCCTTTCAGCAAGCTATCTAACATTTTCAACAGATTACTTTTTCTTTGTTCCTGCTGCTAAGAGAAACTTATTTTTATAGTGAATTACACTTGTCTAAGGCATATAAAGGCATATAATTTTATTTTTATGGTACCTTTCTATCATATTATTTTAGCTATCATATTAAAAACATGGGACTCTTTAAAAAAGAAATATTTCTAAGTGATATTGCCACACTGGACAGCTTGAAGACAAACACATTTTTCATGATTTAAAAAAAGTTTCAAGGCACAGGGTCAAGATCATGGAAGAAGCCAAGACCAAAAAAACAAACAAACAAACAAAAAAGAAATAAAAAATAGAGCATTCCAACAAAGGCCAGCCAAGCTAAAAATCTCACACACTTTCTGCCAATATCTTTGGCTAGTTTCATTCTTACATATTTTTCTAATTAAATATATGTGTATCTGTGAGTCTCCAACTCATGTATCCTATACACATTAGTAGTCAATAAATACTTTTTAATGAGACTATGATGATATCTGGAGCAAGTTGCCCCACTGGAGTCTAGTGACTCTTTAAAAACATCTTTATAGACTTCAGTACGATAAAGACATAAATTGAATTCTCAGATATTGGGATTCCAATAAATAAAGTCCAGGATAATGCAAGGATGGACTGAGACCAAGACAGAAACCCAGTTACACTGGGGGACCTAAAGATAGACCTAATCTGGTAAAGATGATTTCATCTGATTCCTTCTTTTTTTTTTTTTTTTGAAGATAAGGAAAATGAGGCTCAAAGATGTTAAGTGATTATCCCAAAGTCACACTATTAATTTCTGGCACTAATAGAAGTAGCACCCAGGCATTAGGACTCCAAAGTAAGTACTTTTCCAAATATTGCATCCTGCATTCAGTGAAGTCTACCCAGGATCTACCAGGCCTAATTACATAGTAATCTAAGTATAATTTTCACACTTGATCTTAGCCAAAAGGCTGAGAAGCGACCTAACTGTAATTTCCTTCAGTAAGGATAACAAACTTTCTTAGAGGTACACTGTTCAAGGCCCAGAACACAGTGGACCTATTTGAAAAAGGAGCAATTAATTGTTAAATGAACCACGAACTAGAAGATAAGTTCTTCCACTTATCCTTTGTCCATGTGCAAAGTAATTATTTTTACCTTGAGTTGATTTTTCTATAATCTCATTACCTTATGAAGAAGTGTTTTGTTCATGAAAATATGAAGCGTGTTGTTATTGATACTTGACCGCACCATCACCAAGGGCAATATACTATTTTTCTTGTTATGGTGCCCAAGAGACAGCCACTCTCTGCAAAAATTATTCCTTCTAAAATTGCTTTTGAGAATTTTTCAACACATCACTTATCCTTATAAGTATTTCAGAACTCATCATTGAGGGCAATTATTTTTTTCCTGTATTTTTTTTCTCTTGAATATTTATTGTATCCAAAGGTGAGGAACACGAATTCCAAAGATGATTCACATAAAAATATCAGATTGCTGTATTTTCTTCAATGAAGGTATCGGTGTGAAAACATGTACATATCCTGGAGATTCAACAGCAATAGGTGAAGAGTCAAAATGCCTGCCAGTATAAAAGAAATTTCACTGGACATGGCTTTCTTTCCCCAAAAGTAGCAGGACAACTCATGATTAAGCCCAACAGATTTATTTTGGTATCTGGAGACTAAAAATGTAAGTGCACCTTTCAGCTGTCTTGGGCATGAACCAGCTGATGTTTTCTCATCTGTTGCATTACATTTGATCAACACAGTAGCTGCTTGGGAACGTGGAGTTATGGGATTGTAATCTGTTGTTGTGAGATAAGCGATGTGGGCAAGAGCACTGGGGTTATCCTCTTTTCATTTCAGAGTCTCGGGAGAAAAAAAAATCGAATTTCCACACAGCTCAACCACCTGAAAGCTCATATTGTGAGATGCACTAAATTATATTTGCGAACAAGGCTTTCTGTGACAATGGGATCTGTGTGTTTATGGCTGCTGAAATGAATAAACCAATGAAAGGTAGTGCCAACAAATACTTCTATTAGAGGCTGAAAATTAACTTGTGTCTTGCTTGAAGGGTGCCTTATCAGTTTTGTGGAGATTTTTATCCAGAAATTTAAATTCAAATGGTAGTGTGCTTGAGATAGTGACTCAAGTGCACTTACTGACTTACATTGTCCGTAGGGCCTGTGCTCTTTATTTATTCAAACAAGGATTATTAGTGGTTACTAAAGGTTTGATGCATTGGGGATTGAGTGGAGTAAGACATAGTTTCTTCCCTTAAGAATTGTATAATTGAGAGGGGAAGAAAAAGATGAACAGGATCAATTCTCAAAAAGGAAGAATACTGGCTGGGCATGATGGCTCACGCCTGTAATCCCAGCACTTTGGGAGGCCAAGGCGGGCAGATCACTTGAGGTCAGGAGTTCCAGACCAGCCTGGCCAACATGGTGAAACCCCGTCTCTACTAAAAATACAAAAATTAGCCAGTTGTGGTGATGGTCACCTGTAATCCCAGCTACTCGGGAGGCTGAGGAAGAAGAATTGCTTGAACCTGGGAGGCGGAGGTTTCAGTGAGCTGAGATTGTGCCACTGCACTCCAGCCTGGACAACAGAGCGAGATCCTGTCTCAAAAGAAAAAAGAAAATAAAAAGAAAGGGAAGAATAGTAACTTTGGTGTGTAAGCAAAATATGGTTAAAGTACTGAGGGGCAACAGAGAAGAGCCAATTTAGTCCTCTTGGGTGAATCAAGAACAGTTTTGGGAAAATGAAGCAACTGACCTCAGTAATGCACAGGAGTAGAGTTTCAGTGGAAAGAAGGCAGAGAGGAAGTTGTTTCTCTGAACTACCTATTCGCATGTTATTCCATTTTTCTGCCCTGTTGACCATTTTATTTTCTTTATTGGTTTCCACCAACTCTTTACAAATAAGAAAACCCATCTTTTATCTGCCATGTATGTTCAGTGCATTTTCCCCTATACATTTCTTATATTTTTGCAAAGATCAGTTTTAAATTTCAGTGTGGTCTAATTTGTCATTCCTTTTAAGTGTTTTTATTTTGCTTAAAAAGACTTCTCTCACTGCATGATTAGACATAAATTTACCCATGGTTTTATGCAGTAGTTTGACACTTTCCTTGCTTTATTATTTTAAACATGTTGAACCTGAATTGGCTGTTTAAATCAGTTTAAATCTGAAATTTATTTTGGTATAAGTAATGAGACAGGAATTTTTTGTTTTCACTTCTGATGGCGTTATGCCTATCCCTATTTAGGATTTCTTGATTTATCCACTTTAGACATAGACTTCTGCTATGATATGTGAAGATTTCATTCAGGCACAACATCACTCCCCACTTCCCTTAACCACTCCCAAATTTGGATGTAAATCTCGATTTCTTTTTCCATCAAACTAGAAAGACTTGACCCCTTCCAGTGTGAGATGAAGGTATTACCATTGCCACTTGTCAGGTCACCTCTTCTCTCTGCTTTCATTTTCCATCTCGTGTCATGTATACATTTATATCCTCAAGTTTGACAATATTTACATTTTGTTTTTCTATCATAATTGGGTCATCCGTGCTTCTCAGCAGGTTGATAATCAATATGTTGATAGTCAATGTTTCCTATGAAAACATTGCTCACTCTTGGGCCAGGTAATGTTCTAAAATTATACTTCCCCCTCCAAGACTCTATTAGACAGTAAATGGTCAAGGTTAAATGGAACCTTCCTTACTTTCCATTAATTGCTCAGAATCTGGGCCAATTTAACTCACGTTATTTGAGCCATTTTTTTTTAATACAATCTTTGGTTTGGTTTTGTTTTTGCTGAGATTTTCTGACTATTTCTCACATGTCTCATTGGGAAAATAAATATATTCTTTCTTTCTTCTATCTCAAGTAGCTTCCAGATTCTCACACATTACACTTATCATTTAGAATAAACCCTTCTTACTATCCTGCAGATGTTCTTTCTTTAAACCATCAATTGCCCAGAAACCATTTGATTCTTACTCTCATAGATATTATTCTTGGGGTCCTCTCACTACCTGTTTTAATTTGAACTAATTTCTTTCTAGACTGGTTCCACAGTTGCCAAAATTTCCACTTTTAACATTATTATCTAGATCTTTCATTCTTTCTAATACAGGGGCAGAGAATTATTCCAGATATCTCATCCCACTCATTAGCATCCTTTTTCAATTTATCAACGAGGTTTTCTTCTCTGTGTTTTACTGTTTCAGTATGAGGAGAGGGGTACAGGGAGAGAAGTATTAGCTGAGGCTGTGTATGGGCAATTATGCTTGAAATATCAGGCTTCAGATATTTCTTCAATTCAGGTAGGTTCAGGAAATCTTTATTGCAGCCAGAACTAATCAGTCCTAAGTGTTCACTTCCCCAAATTCACTGGCCTCTCTCCAGCCATCATTCCCACTCCACTGACTCCAGGTGAGGGAGAAGTCAATGTCCTCCTGTTGGTTTTGGTTCTCTGTATGGGCGAATAGGACAACTCCTGGGGCTTTCGACACCCCTCTTTATCCTGAGCTTCCTGTACTCTTGAAGCTTCTGTTTTTGTCTCTTCATATTTTCATTATGCTACATTTTTGTAGCAGAATGGGAGATGATTCATTTTCAGAAGGTATGACATTTTGCCTTCACTCTCAAGCCTCCTCAGCTGAAAAAAATAAAAATGGTGAGATCTAGTGGATTATTTTGCCTCTGGAACAAGTGGCTTCTATACATGAGTGGTTCTTATCACTTTCCAGGGCTCTGCATAGCCCTTTGGCCACAGACTTCACAGATTGGGGAATTTGAGTATACGGTTTCGTTGTTTTTCCAAGTTTATTTCTTCTTAACTTCTTCCAGAAGACAGTCTTAAGGGATGAGCCTAGAATATTCATGTTCTCTCTCATTCTCTTCTCCTCCTCCGCGACCCTTTCCTTTTCCTCCTCCTTCATCTTTCTCTTCTTTTCTTTCCTCCTAGCTGCTATTCGGAGAAAATGGCATGAAATTGTAGCTCTTCCTTACTGTAGTTATGCTGGTATAATTTTCTCAGGTCATTTTATTCATTTCCTTAGGTTTTATTAGCAGGGGAGTTGGGTAATTTTGCTATTTTACCCCTCAAGTCCAAACCTATACATGTAAGTATGAGTAAACAACTGTGTTTACAAGTGCTATTTTGTTTGCTGCTAGTAACATTATCACATATTAAACATCACTATACGGGTCAATCACTGTTAATGCTGCAGATGCCTCCCTGCTGATAACTGCACCAGGGATGAGCAGTTTACTTGAGAATGGTCCAGTTTGCTATGAGGTGATCTGGAACAAGCAACTCTACCCTGCCAGGGAAGAAATAAGTAAATCAAAAGCATCTCTAGTGAATTTTAATGGGAAACTATGAAGAAAAATCAGATTGCCAACAGTAGGCTCTGGAAGTGAACAAATGAATGGAGATCAGCCATGCAGTTGAGTGGGACAACAAAAGGGAAATTACAAAGTCAAAGTTGCCAGCACATTGATGTTCCCAGGAATCAGTCTCTGCATGAACAGAATTTAAGTGGAAAAGAAAACATATTGAATAAACAGACTGCAATGATTTTTACCTAATGGAGAAGAAAGATTTTGAAAATAATGAGCTGAGTTCAGTTGTTGTTTCTAATTAGAGTGTATCATCTTCCTTGGATATATGAGAACAGGGTGAGAACCAGAGAGTAGAGGGTGAAAGCACAACAGGAATGTATGAGGAATCTTATGCAAAAATTAATTCAAGATGGAATAAAGACTTAAATGTCAGACATAAAACCATGAAAACCCTAGAAGAAAACCTAGGCAATACCATTCAGGACATAGGCATGGGCAAAGACTTCATGTCTAAAACACCAAAAGGAATGGCAACAAAACCCAAAATTGACAAATGGGATCTAATTAAACTAAAGAGCTTCTGCACAGCAAAAGAAACTACCATCAGAGTGAACAGGCAACTTACAGAATGGGAGAAAATTTTTGCAATCTACTCATCTGACAAAGGGCTAATATCCAGAATCTACAATGAACTCAAACAAATTATAAGAAGAAAACAAACAACCCCATCAAAAAGTGGGCAAAGGATTTGAACAGACACTTTTCAAAAGAAGACATTTATGCAGCCAACAGACACATGAAAAAATGCTCATCATCACTGGCCATCAGAGAAATGCAAATCAAAACCATAATGAGATACTATCTCACACCAGTTAGAATGGCGATCATTAAAAAGTCAGGAAACAACAGGTGCTGGAGAGGATGTGGAGAAATACGAACACTTTTACACTGTTGGTGGGACTGCAAACTAGTTCAACCATTGTGGAAGTCAGTGTGGCAATTCCTCAGGGATCTAGAACTAGAATTACCATTTGACCCAGCCATCCCATTACTGGGTATATACTCACAGGATTATAAATCATTCTGCTATAAAGACACATGCATATGTATGTTTATTGTGGCACTATTCACAATAGCAAAGACTTGGAACCAACCCAAATGTCCAACAATGATAGACTGGATTAAGAAAATGTGGCACATATACACCATAGAATACTATGCAGCCATAAAATTGATGAGTTCATGTCCCTTGTAGGGACATGGATGAAGCTGGAAACTATCATTCTCAGCAAACTATCACAAGGACAAAAGTCAAACACTGCACTTTCTCACTCATAGGTGGGAACTGAATAATGAGAACACATGGACACAGGAAGGGGAACATCACACACTGGGGCCTGTTGTGGGGTGGGGGGAGGTGGGAGGTATAGCATTAGGAGATATAGCTAATGTAAATGACAAGTTAATGGGTACAGCACACCAACATGGCATATATATACATATGTAACAAACCTGCACATTGTGCACATGTACCCTAAAATTTAAAGTATAATAAAAAAAAGAGTTGGAAAAAATAAATAAATAAATCATGCTGCTATAAAGACACATGCACACATATGTTTACTGTGGCACTATTCACAATAGCAAAGACTTGGAACCAACCCAAATGTCCAACAATTATAGACTGGATTAAGAAAATGTGGCACATATACACAATGGAATACTATGCAGCCATAAAAAATGATGAGTTCATGTCCTTTGTAGGGACATGGATGAAGCTGGAAACCATCATTCTCAGCAAACTATCGCAAGGACAAAAAACCAAACACCGCATGTTCTCACTCATAGGTGGGAATTGAACAATGAGAACACTTGGACACAGGAAGGGGAACATCACACACTGGGGCCTGTTGTGGGGTGGGGGGAGGGGGGAGGGATAGCATTAGGAGATATAGCTAATGTAAATGACGAGTTAATGGGTGCAGCACACTAACATGGCACATGTATACATATGTACAAACCTGCACGTTGTGCACATGTACCCTAGAACTTAGAGTATAAATAAATATATATATATAGAAATGTCACAGGGATGCTCCGGGTGAAAACACAGAGAAAAGCAGTGAACAAGCATCTTTCAGTCACCAAAAGAGCCAGAGCACTGCACTACAGAGCCACAAAATCCAATGCCAGCCCTTTGCATGCTCCTTTGCTGGTTTCTCTTCAATTTCCTAATGTCTAAATGTTACAGAGCTCCAGTACTTGACCTCAGATCTTTTCTTATATCTCAATACTCACTACCTGCTTGATCTCATCCATTGTAATGCCTTCACATCCCTTGTATGTTCTGATGACTTCCACAGTTATATTTCCAGCCCCACCTCCAGAATCAACTCCACATTTTTACTTGGACAGATGTTAGATAACAGGAATCTCAAGTATTTGATGTGTCATATGAAACTCCTCATGCCCCACTTTCAAACCTGTTCTTTCTGCACTCCTTCCCAGCCAAGAAAATGGCAAATCTATTCTTCAAGTTATTCAGGCCAATGACCCTGAAGACATCTTTGGTTCATCTCATTTCCTCACATCCTACATCCAATCTTTCAGGAAATCCTGCTAAATCCAACCTTAGTCCTTGCTTCCAGTTCTGCATTTGTCCCTGATCTTCCTTGATATTACTTCCAAAACAGATAACATTTTTCCCCTAAATGCCCTCACGCTTTGGTGCTGTATTTTCCGGTTATAAGTTGAGATTAAGAGCGTCGGATAAAAATAAGACCACCAAAGAGGGAAGAAAGGGGGATAAGCAAAAGTTTCCACAGCTTCTCTTTTGTTCCTAGCACCCCTTAAACATCAACATAGGTGGGCTAGGCCATGTTGCCTACACTAGGCTTCCCACAGGGCCACTGAGGACCCATGCCATAGGGTCATGGCAGAGCCAGATCATCAATAGCAGAAGATCCTTTTCTCTCTCAAGCCCCAAGAACCCATTTCTGACCCTAAATATCTCTAATAGACTTCCTTAGAGTTAGGTGAAGGCAAAGCAAGGGTATTTTCCTATGCTGAAATAAACAGGCTGAAAGATCATGCAAAGGAGTTTTAAGCCCTTAAAAAATATCATGGATGACCTTTGAAATTTGATGACTCAATGCATATTTTGGTATTTTAGTATGTGTGGATATCAATTTAAGTTCAAACATAGTCAAATATTAAGAAAAAGTAGAATGGTTAAACATCTTGGGTTTTGGTCAAAGTAGAGTAAGTAGAATATATAGTACCATCCCTTTGCTATATCCCAAGCACATAGATATGCTTTTGTGTGCATATAAATGCTTGAAAGTGTATACAATAAACCTGTAACTCTAAGGACTAGAATGGAAAGGACTAAGGAACTATGGAAGGGGTCTATACTATTTTTTTTGACTTTTAAAAGAAATAGGTTTTTGAGATACAATTTGCATACCATAAAGTTCACCTTTTAAAGTGTACGATTAAGTGGGTTTTAGTTTATTCACATGGTTGTGCAGCCATTACCACTATCTAATTTAAGAACATTCTCTTTATCCCCAAAAGAAGCTACATACTTGTTAGCTGTCATTCTCCATTCCTCCCTCCCTCAGCCTTTGGAAATCAAAGACATCTACTTTCTGTCTCTATGGCTTTTTGTACTCTGGATATTTTCTATAAATGGAATCACCCAATATGTGGCCAGGGGTCATCCATGTTGTAGTATGCATCGGAACTTCATTCCCTTTTGTTGCCAAATAATATTTTATTAATGGATATACCACATTTTACCTATTTATCAGTTGATATTTGGGTTGTTTCCACCTTTTGGCTATTATGAATAATGCTGTTATGAACATTTATATACAAGTTTTTGTGTAAACATATGTTTTGATAAATTACTTCTGACTTTTTTTTTACTGTTTGTACTAAAATACGTGTAAAATGTACATTTTTTCATTTAAAAATATATACACTAAAAATGTTAAAATGTGGTGGGGAATACAACTCGTATCATCCACATATAACTTTGATTTTACAACATAACTTGTATCAACTTTTTAAATCTTTAACTGGTTTCAAGAACTCTTTCTCTACAAAAAAAGTTGCTTTCAAAATAAAATCTACTTGATGATTTATATAGTAGCTCAACCTTTTTATTGAGAGAGTCCCTGTTATATCTTACTATAAGACAGCCCTAAAATAGAAGACTTGCCTTGATGGTATTCACTGAGTGCAAAAGTGACTTCTCTTCTGTTTTTAATTGCCTTAATGATTCATTTACTCAGTCTCCTTGTTTCGATTTTTCCCAAACAGCAATAATTAGTAGAATAGTTTTATCTTCAGAAAAACCCACTGACCTCATAATCCGTTAATATTTTGTTTTATAATTCCTTTGCTTTTATTTAAAACTTAATTCAGCTATTCAAAGCTACAGCAATATTTAGGATAATATTGATATACAGTAAATGCTGGTCGTACCTAATGTTGGGGTTACATTTCTAAAAAGTATATTGGTTGGCAAAGTCATAACTGACGGGATGAAGATCTTGTGGAGAATTAGGGGTTAAGGAAAACCAATGAAGATGACATGAAATGTATTTAAAATCCTATGGTAAATAAAAGCTCCAGAAGCCACAACTTACTATGGCTAAACTAAATTGTACCTAAATACACATAGTGTGGATTTGGAATTTGGAGTATAAATATAGTACTGTTGGTTAGAGCCATTGACCATAGCTATTTCTTTATTTCAGATCCCTCCAATTCAATCACACTCTTCCCAGTTCTTCAAATTCCATCTCTCTGTCTTTTTTTGTGAAACCCTCAGGAAAAATATCGATTCCTAGGTGAATCTGATACTCCATGGCTGCCCCTAGCCATCCAGCTGCCCTGTGGAGAGAGCTATATCCCAGGGAAATGGGTTCCCTCCTCACACAGCCTCCAAAGGGACTTCGACACTGCCAACAAAGCTCCTGCTCCCATTAGTACATGCCTATCAGCCAGGAGCTTTTCAAAGCTGCTCCCCCTGGTGTAACTTCAGCCACCTCCATCACTGCTCTCACTCTAAAGAGATCACCTTTCTAGAAGGAATGGCTGAGGGACTGCGTTTAAGATAGAGATTGAATCGCTGAGTATGCAGACCAGGATGCTCTGTAAGCCAGCAGATCAGTGAGGTCAAGAACCAAGTACTCAGCCTCTGCTTTCACAGCGTCTGAGTCTAAGTCACCGACTTACTTAACGGCTTTGGGAAAAACATTCAGCCGTCCTGAGACCAGCCTTTCTCAAATATGCAATCCCATTGTCACTCGAAGATTGTTTTGAAAATCAAAATAACATATATGTGAATACTTTAAAAATAATAAAGCATTATATAAAGAATAGTTGAAATAATAATTTTGAAATCTGCCTTAAAAATATTGTCCCAAGGAAAAGCAACTTCTATCACAGTGGTTAAATTCCGGAATTCCTATGTTTTCTTTTTTTTGAGACAGAGTTTCGCTCTTGTCGCCCAGGCTGGAGTGCAATGGCACGATCTTGGCTCACTGCAACCTCCACCTTCCAGGTTCAAACGATTCTCCTGCCTCAGTCTCCTAAGTAGCTGGGATTACAGGTGCCTACCACCACACCTGGCTGACTTTTGTATTTTTTAGTAGAGACGGGGTTTCACCATGTTGGCCAGGCTGGTCTTGAACTCCTGACCTCAGGTGATCCACCCACCTCAGCTTCCCAAAGTGCTGGGATTACAGGTGTGAGCCACTGTGCCCGGCCCAGAATTCCTGTGTATTCTTTATGACTTAAAATGTTTGGTCATATATGGTGTGATTCCATTTTTATAAAGTTCAAAAATTATAAAGGATAAACTATTTTTTAAGGAATTTCTTTTAGATACATAATTTTGAAAATTTGACAGTGTTTTCAAAGACATTATTTCCTTTCATCTTTGAAGTACACGATACATATCTTCCAGCTATAAAGGTCTACTATTCTATAATCTATTAACTGTTAATGACAGTCAATTGGAAAATTTTGTTTTTTTTACAATATACTTTCCAGTCTATTTTTCCAAGCCAGATCTTACCTATAAAAGTTAAACAAAGAAGCTACAGTGACTTCTTACTAATAGATGCTATGAATTGCCTTTTGGTGCTGTCAACTCATCAGGGTCTTCTACTGAATCAACAGTAAAAATTGCAGTTGGCAAATTGACTGAAAATAAGGAGGCAGGTAAATTAAGTGCTTTGCTCTATGTCGTAAGTCATCACATGACTGGATGTTAAAACGCAATGGAACACTAACTGAATTTTGGTGTAGGGTCCTAGTCTGGGGAGTTTAATTATGAGTGACTTTTAAATGATAAAGATTTTGTAGCTATTTTTATACATATCTCTCTATGTATGAACTCTTTTGGAATTAGAGATCTGTTGAAGTCAATTACCTTTATGTTAATAGAACTTAGGCGTTTAAAATATCACTGTATCTGTAAAATAATTCCTTATTCCTTGTGATTTAGGAGGAAATAAAGTTGAAACTGGTGGTTTCAGTTAATTCTGTGACTGCCTTTTATGTTGGCAAGAAAGACCAAGTAGTTCTTTTTTCAAAATGAACCCACATTATTTATTTTGCTTTTACAATTCCCAAAATATGCTTGTTGCCAAGCATACCACTTAAATGAATAAAGAGAGAGGAGAAAAAAACTGTTTATTGTTCAAATTTTAGATGACTAAGGAAAAGTCTTCTGAATCTAGACTTTTGTAATTGGCCTTAAATGTCAAAATGAGCTTGAACATAATTAGAAGCAAAGCAGACATCAGAACATTATGCCTATTCCAGCAGCAAATTACTTTAAGTGGAGTCTACACTTAAATATAATTTCAAGAGTAAAAGAAAAAAAAAGTAACAGAAGCACATTGGCAAAAACCAGCGAATCTTTTTGCTAGTTATGAAAATATATGTAGGTATGTCCAATTGTCTCTTTCCTTGGCTATGCTTGGGTTAACTTTTATGTATTATACCATAAATGACAGCTGGACAAGGTCATGAATTTGTACTAGGATTTCATTGCAGCTAAGATGAAATGATATGAGAACAGGCACTGAACCAGGACTAGCATTTGTATGGTGCTTTGCAATTCCCACAGTAGTTAATTGTCCATTATTTAATATAATCTTAGCAATGACCCTGTGAAGTGATTACTGTAGATATAATGGCCCCTACTGCAGATGGAGAGCTGAAGTACATAGGGTTTAAATCAAGAACTCCAGCTTACAGGTAGCAAATGGTGTTGCTCAGTATCCAGGCTGAGATCTCTTGACTTTGATTCCTTCTGTGCTCTTGGGTGTTACAGGTAAAAGACATTTAAGATCTAATAATTGCTGATCCCTTTCCATTATTAAAATTAATAAAACAAAGAACATACATGCATATTCTCAGCAATATCTAAAAATTTTAATCCTCTTTTTTCCAGCACACCTATATTGCACTCCATATAATGCTTGGCTGATTAATGAAAAATAGATATCCTCAGTATTTTTTACTCTTTGCTAAAATAAGCTCTACTGATTAACATTTTTATGTATGAACACATAACCTTTTTATTTTTATGAAAATATAAAATTACAAAATATATTTTAATAATAAAAATATTTCAGTAATTTGAGACTTAAAGTTCCTGTATTAGAAATATTTATTTTAAGGAAAAATATCAAGATCAACTGAATGAACTTATATTTTACCCCTGACAATCTTTCTTGCAGAGCATGGTATTTTTAGTTGAAAGGTATACTTCCCACCGATTATGTTAAAATAATGTTGAACTGCAACCGTCTAGCTGACAACAAACAGCTGTGAAAATGAGACCTGGAGATTTATGCAAATAGGGGACTTTTGAATTAATGCTCTTCATAGAACAGACTGTCAAGTTTCTTGGAGTACTTATGACCTATTTCTTAATAAGAGATTTTGCTAATGTCAGCCATATTACATTTTTATAAGTTAAATGCATTTCATTGTCAATCAAATATGTGCTATAAAATTGTACATGAAATTGATATTTTCATTTCAGTGCAATGATAATTACTAATATATACAAAACAGTGCTTCGAAAAACACAGATGTATGCCCCATTGTTAAATGGAGGATTAATTAAAAATATTTCCGTAACTAAAACAGCACAGAATCTACATAGGAAATTTCACTATGTTCTCGCAATACTATGCTCAAAAATAATATTTTTATATTTAGCTTTAAATAGAAAGCAGCTTTGGTCAGAGAAATGCTTATGTTTTGCATATTAAAATAAACCACACTTCAGACATGGAGTTTGCCTGGCTATTGTTCTTCTCTTTACAAATGTGGAAATATGACTACTATTTTCTCTGCTCATTTCCTCATGCCCAATACTTAATTTTTAAAAGTTTTAAATCTGAGATTTTCTAAAATCTCACCCAATTCCTGCCTTCCTCCCTCCCTGTATCTTTCTCTTATCATGTGAAAAAGTAACCTGTGTAATCAACTTTGATTTCTCATTTCTCTTCACTAAGCTCACAAATAAAGAGCTTTATCAAAAATGATGTGGTCTTTTGCAGATATAAATTTCAAAGCCACACTTCTAATAGTGCTTATTTAGTACTTTAATACCTTAAAAATAAACTTGATAGCTGTTTATGAATAAACACTTAATTGAAATTATTTTACTTTAATAAAATATTTTACAAGTCAAAAACCTAAATTAGTTTTATTGTAAATATAACTAGCATGTCCGTGTGTGTGTGTATTTTCTTTCTTTTAGAACTTTACCTGTTCATGTACTTGCCATTTAAAAAATAGTTTTTTTCTCACTGATGTTTAACTATAAAGTAAGGTTTTATATCTATTTGTTTATCAGTCCACCTGTTTCCATTTTTGAAGATTTTCATAGTAAAAAATCTCAAAATACCAAAATATATGAAGCATAAAATAATTCAAACAACAGGTTTTTTAAATATATATATATATATATACACATATAACAAAAAATGTATATATTTTGTTTTGTAATTTAAACATTCTATCAGTTTGTTTCTAGGCATACAAATGTACTTGAATCAAAATTGAATTCAGCTGCAAATATAGTTTGGTAAAATTTTTAAAAATATTTTATCATCACCATTTCTCTCACTCATGACTTACATCACTAATTAGTCTATAAAAATATAGTTTTGATAATTGCATGATAAACCACTATATTTCAAAATTTACTTAGTCATTCTACTATGGTTGGACAGAAAAACTGTTTCAAAATTTTCAAAACAGTAAATAATGCAACAAAAAACATTTTTTGAAGATCAATCTTTGTATGCATCTCAGGTTACTTTCTTAGGAGAGATTTTTATAAATGCAATTAGAAGATCAAAGGATAAGATGCTTTTTAGTGTCATTTTATATAATAAAAAACCAATTCTCAGAAAAGTTACACAAATTTTCACTGCCACATGCAATATATCACAGTATCTGTGCTTCCTTGCCAGCAGTGTGCATTGTTGATAACAAAAACCAAATATAGCAAATAAATCTTGTCCATTTGACATTTTCTTACTGAAATGGTAAGTTAAGGTTGTATTTCATATTTTGTTTAGAAAATATTTTTGGTGGTTATTTTTGACTTGTTTAAAAATTCAAATTCATTCTTCTTTGTAATTGATTTTATTCTGTTAGGCTTAGGTGGCCTTTGACTATCCAAGATTAAGATTTTATTTTCTTTTTGTTCTCTACATTTTTCATTCTTTAAATATCCTTGCTCTAATTCATCAAGAAAATGTTTTGATACATAGTATTGAGACATGAAGCTGGCTGGGCTTCTGGGTTGAGTGGGGACTTGGAGAACTTTTCTGTCTAGCCAAAGGATTGTAAATGCACCAATCAGCACTCTGTGTCTAGCTAAAGATTTGTAAACACACCAATCAGCACTCTGTAAAATGGACCAATCAGCGCTCTGTAAAATGGACCAATCAGCAGGATGTGGGTGGGGCCAGATAAGGGAATAAAAGCAGACCACCCAAGCCAGCAGCAGCAACCTGCTTGGGTCCCCTTCCGTGCTGTGGAAGCTTTGTTCTTTTGCTCTTTGCAATACATCTTGCTGCTGCTCACTCTTTGGGTCCGCACTGTCTTTATGAGCTGCAACACTCACCGCAAAGGTCTGCGGCTTCACTCCTGAAGCCAGCGAGACCACGAACCCACCGGAAGGAATGAACAACTCCAGAGGCGCTGCCTTTATGAGCTGTAACACTCACCACGAAGGTCTGCAGCGTCACTCCTGAAGCCAGCAAGACAACGAACCCACCAGGAGGGACAAACAACTCCCAACAGGAGGAACGAACAACTCCAGATGCGCCACCTTTATGAACTGTAACACTCACCACGAAGGTCTGCAGCTTCACTCCTGAAGCCAGCAAGACCACGAACCCACCAGGAGGGACAAAGAACTCCCGACGGGAGGAACAAACAACTCCAGATGTGCCACCTTTATGAACTGTAACACTCATCACAGAGGTCTGCAGCTTCACTCCTGAGGCCAGCGAGACCAGGAACCCACCAGAAGGCAGAAACTCCGGACACGTCCAAATATCAGAAGGAACAAACTCTAGACACACCATCTTTAAGAACTGTAACACTCACCGCAAGGGTCTGCGGCTTCATTCTTGAAGTCAGCAAGACCAAGAACCCAACAATTCCGGACACAGTATGAGAGGGCTTTAGTATTCCCAACTTAACTTGTTTAATATGTCTTTTAATCATTCATTGTGACACTTTGTTACATGTTGTTTGAGTGAATATATGGTGATATGGTTTGCATGTGTGTCCTTTCCAAATCCCATGTTGAAATGTGATCCCCAGTGTTGGAGGTGGGGCCTGCTGGGAGGTGTTTAGGTCACGGGGCAGCTGTCTCACAAATGGCTTGGTGCTGTCTATGATAACGAGTGAGCTCTCGCTCTAAGCTCTAAATTCACAGGAGATCTGGTTGTTTGAAAGAGTTGGCGCCTCCTCTCTCTTTTGTTTCTGTTCTCGCCATGTGAAACCGCTTGCTCCCCTTTCACCTTCTGCCATGACTGGAAGCTTGCTGAGGCCTCACAAGGAGCAGACGCTGGTGCTACACTTCCTGTACAGCCTGCAGAATGGTGAGCCAATTAAACCTCTTTGCTTTAGAAATTGCTCAGTCTCAGGTATTTCTTTATAGCAATGCGTGTTTGCCCATTCATCTGTCTGCGAACCCTAAGTCATACACTTCTAGTTATTGTAGCCTTATATGTTTTCTTGTTGGTTCTCATCAATTTCTGGTGCTGTTCCTCACTGCTTCTTTTTTATAACGTCCATAATTTTCCTTAATGAAGTCGTTTTGAGAATTATATTAGATATATGTGGATATCTATGTGTGTGTGCACCTCTCTCTCTCTGTGTATACCCATCCATCTCTCCATTTTTCTTCAAGGCTCTTGTAAACTCTCACACATAAAAAGCAATCACATATAGTAACCATTAAGATTAATAACATCCAGAAAAATGTCTTTCTGGACTTGATCAGGAATAATTATGCTTCTCTAGGAACTAGTTGGTACCTCATAATCACTGTAGAACTTGTATAAACATGTTTGTCTATCAAAGTGTATATTTGCTAGAAAAATTAGTCACGCTTGGTCCGGGATTCTGGGAAACATGAGTGTCCTCATGATGAGCCTTTTAGGTTTTGGAGTGCCATTTTTTGTTTCCATCTTAATTTGTTTTATTTTTAATTACTTTAAATTTTGATTAAATTTATTTGACCTGGATATAATTATTGCCGGACACATTATATTCTGTTAGAACAAGGCCAAATATAATAAACATTTCTTTTTATTTATTGTTGAATTGGCAGCAACTATAAGATGAAGATAATAATCTTTGTCTAGTGAGTAATACAGGAAAGTTCTCCCTCGCTCTTCAAGAGAGTGTTGCCTTTCCTTTCATTTGCTGTACCTTTGCATAATCCCACTGGCTTTACTTCATTTTACTCAACTTGAAATGACTTGGTTTATCCCAAGAGACAGCAAATGTGACATTTGTCTAGAATGTTAACAGAATTCACTTTTTGGTGGTTCATATTAATATGCATTCTTTATTGCCAACTTTGCAGAGTTCTCACAGGAATTTAGCAAGTACATTTCTGTTGGATTGAGGCAGGATTTTTATCTTTTGCCTGTTGCCTTTTTCTCCGGAATTCTGAAAACTAAAATAACAACACAAAGAAGCAACAGCAAAAGCCACAGCAGCAATACTGCAGACCTCCATCTAAACTAGCTACTAAGGTTCTTTCTGCATCTGGTCCCACCTGCTCTGCTTTTCCTTTTGTATTGCACAATTTAAGATTATAGGATGCAGCCCATTAGCTTCCATTTGCTTAGAGGGGGTCCCTCTCTCCTTCCCCACCCCCATCTGCATGCACATGTGCTCAGCCAGATGCATGCTCACACACGTACACACATTATGCTTTATCCCATCATGCTTCCTGGAAATTAAGATTTCAACATTGATTCCTAGAAAAAATGTTAGAGACAGTCCTCTGCAGAAGTAGGCATTTTAGTCTTCTGGCACACTAAGACTCTGGGTGTTACATCCAAGAAGGGTATACCCAAGAGAAAGAATGAATATACATATCATTGGGTGAATGGTCTCTGTTTAGTTCCGTATATGTAATAGTTAATGATAAGCTATTTCCGCGTCTGGAAATAACTTGTCGGTTTGTCTTATTTTTCTGTAATATGATTTTTTTTTACCTTTTGCATTTGTCTGGAAAGTCGCAAAAGACTGATTAAAAATAATCTCCTAAACTGGAATTGGGGACTATTTTTAAAGTTTTAAACTTTCTATACAACACAGAAAACTGAGTGCCCACCATTCCATTAATTCTCCAGTCATTTACCCTTGGATGCTGGGCTACCTCAGTGCTGCTAGGAATTCAGCATGCCATGCTAAGACATGGGCTTTCCATGCATTTAAGAAGGACAACTGCTACTACTTGTTAAGTGCCTGTTTACATGGCAGGCGCAGTGCTAACTACTTTGCACCTGTTACTTCCTTTAATCTTCCTACCAATCCTCTAAGTTATGTATTATTATCCTGTTTTATTGATAGGAAATTGTGGGTAGCCATGAGAGACTGACAATAGAGTCTCACTACAGACTGTATTTTTTGTAGGCAAGACTACATAAATCATGTGCCTGTTTTGTTGTTCAAAATTCCACCGACATTCTTTATGCAGTAGAGCTAAAAGGCATACAGACACAAATGTATGAACTGTCCTCTTTTTGTAGGCAAGAATCCACAAAATATTTAATAACACGGTCATGTTTTCATCACTGAAAACATACTTGAGGAAGCTCATTATAATGGAATGAGACAATACTTTTCATTAATGACTTTCATTTATTTTTAAAATTTGAACAATGGAACAGTCTGATTATTAAAATAATATTAATGTAAGATGGCAATTAAATAGTTGGGAAATTGCAAATAAGATGATTGGTGAAAAACTACCAAAATAAGATGAGCTGCAAAAATAGGTTCTCCCTGAAAGAGTACTCTTCTAGGGTTAGGGGTAGGAAACAGGATGCTTTATTCAAGGAAAGTCATAATTCTGATCATTGCAGTTCAGTGGACCAATGATATTAATATACAACAGCAGGAAAAGATGGCCAATTTTATGTGATTCATCCTCTAAAAGGAAGTACACAGGATATTATTTTATCATTTCATCATTATGCCACAGATGAGTCACCACAAAAATAAATTCCAACAGGAGCAAGGAAAAAAAAACCCTAATGTTATAGTAGAAAGGAAATAATGAAAATTAATTTTACAGTTTTTTTTGGGGGGGGAGACAATGACAATAAACTATATATATATATATATATCTCATGGTATCACTTTAAAATAAGCCAAATTGTTAGTTTCTATTGCAGAGTCATGCTCAACCATGGATAACAATCTGGCCTAAAGCTTCAGATGAGACTCAATTTTATGAAACTGTGAAAGATTTGACACAGTAACAGCCTCACAGAAAAAAATATAAAATATCTCCAAAGATGCCTGAAATTTATCAACTGATCATAAATTCTTGTCTTTCATCAATAAAAATGAATTTTGTTCAATGAAAATACCTCCTCATAGAAATAACATTTCTTCCAGTGTAACTTTCCTCAAAATAGCTCTTCTGCTATTCTCCAAGAAAAAAAAAATTAAAAAAAATAAAGTAAAAATCTTCAAAAGCTCCCTTGTGTCACAGTTCCAACCACTGAAGACCCTCCATGTCTGGTTTCCCATTGCTACTGCCATCCTTTGGTCATATGTCCCTCCATGCCTGTGATTCTCCATGTCTCTAATTTACTCATTTGGTTTTTCTTATATGGAATGCCTTCATCTAATGCCATGACCCAAATCTCTACCTGTTGAAATTATATTCACCCCTAAAGACAAATCTTTATAAAGCTCTGCACACCTCCTTCTCTGGAAGCAATATTTTTCTCTCATTAAATGAGCTGATATTTGGAAGTGCTAGGCACACAGTAAATTCCCAGAATTTTAAAATACTCTCCCAAATGTCTTTGCTATTACTTTAGAACTGAGTACATCTATTGTAGCATATGTCACCTTTGGCTTACTTGAGATCTTTCTTATGTGTTCTACTATGGGATGAGTTGTTTCAGTCCTTCCTTGGGTTCTTGACAATGCTATAGTTAAAGAGGGCAGTGAGTACATTTGTTCATGTCGGTATGCTTCCTAGCTGTGTTGCATAAAGAATGTTGATAGAATTATGAATGAAAAACCAAGAACATGATTTATTTATCTTCATCATAAATGGGTATATCAGATATTTTGTGAAAGATGATTTTCAGTGGTGTGGCAGACTGAGGGAGGGTAAAGCTGAGGCTATGACATTCAAAGAGGACACAATATCCTCAATGCAAACAAAGGCAAAAGACTGTGAGGCTGCGGACAGTAAAGGCAAACACTGGGATGGCCTGCCCTAGATCATGCTCATTTTAAAAAGTCTATCCATCTGAAGTCTTATCCATCTGATAGGAAGGATCAATACCATGAAAATGGCCATACTGCCCAAGGTAATTTATAGATTCAATGCCATCGCCATCAAGCTACCAATGACTTTCTTCACAGAATTGGAAAAAACTACTTTAAAGTTCATATGGAACCAAAAAAGAGCCCGCATTGCCAAGACAATCCTAAGCCAAAAGAACAAAGCTGGAGGCATCACGCTACCTGACTTCAAACTATACTATAAGGCTACAGTAACCAAAACAGCATGGTACTGGTACCAAAACAGAGATATAGACCAATGGAATAGAACAGAGCCCTCAGAAATAATACCACACATCTACAACCATCTGATCTTTGACAAACCTGACAAAAACAAGAAATGGGGAAAGGATTCCCTATTTAATAAATGGTGCTGGGAAAACTGGCTAGCCATATGTAGAAAGCTGAAACTGGATCCCTTCCTTACACCTTATACAAAAATTAATTCAAGATGGATTAAAAACTTAAATGTTAGACCTAAAACCATAAAAACCCTAGAAGAAAATCTAGGCAATACCATTCAGGATATAGGCATGGGCAAGGACTTCATGAGTAAAACACCCAACGCAATGGCAACAGGAGCCAAAATAGACAAATGGGATCTAATTAAGCTAAAGAGCCTCTGCACAGCAAAAGAAACTACCATCAGAGTGAACAGGCAACCTACAGAATGAGAGAAAATTTTTACAATCTACCCATCTGACAAAGGGCTAATATCCAGAATCTACAAAGAACTTAAATTTACAAGAAAAAATCAAACAACTCCTTCAAAAAGTGGGCGAAGGATATGAACAGACACTTCTCAAAAGAAGACATTTATGCAGCCAAAAGACACATGAAAAAATGCTCATCATCACTGGCCATCAGAGAAATGCAAATCAAAACCACAATGAGATGCCATCTCACACCAGTTAGAATGGCGATCATTAAAAAGTCAGGAAACAACAGGTGCTGGAGGCATATAGAGAAATAGGAACACTTTTACACTGTTGGTGGGACTGTAAACTAGTTCAATCATTGTGGAAGACAGTGTGGCGATTCCTCAAGGATCTAGAACTAGAAATACCATTTGACCCAGCCCTCCCATTACTGGGTATATACCCAAAGGATTATAAATCATGCTGCTATAAAGACACATGCACACGTATGTTTATTGTGGCACTATTCACAATAGCAAAGACTTGGAACCAACCCAAGTGTCCAACAATGATAGACTGGATTAAGAAAATGTGGCACATGTATACACCATGGAATACTATGCAGCCATAAAAATGGATGAGTTCATGTCCTTTGTAGGGACATGGATGAAGGTGGAAACCATCATTCTGAGCAAACTATCGCAAGGACAGAAAACCAAACACTGCATGTTCTCACTGATAGGTGGGAATTGAACAATGAGAACATTTGGACACAGGGTGGGGAATATCACACTCCAGGGCCTGTCATGGGGTGGGGGGAGGTGGGAGGGATAGCATTAGGAGATATACCTAATGTAAATGATGAGTTAATGGGTGCAGCACACCAACATGGCACATGTATACATATGTAACAAACCTGCACGTTATGCACATGTACCCTAGAACTTAAAGTATAATTTTTAAAAAAGTCTATCCATCTGAGAGTCCATGGAGTACTGTTTCTTCTTCTCAAAAATTTATTAGTGAACCTCAGTTTCTCATCCTGTATGGAAAAAAATGATTCAAAAACCCCAGGAAATTCTGGATAAAATGCAAAAAGCATCCTTTTAAAGGTGAATAGTCCAAGAAAATAATTAAAAACTCCAGGGACCAAAAGCTAAGAAGTAGCTTGAATCAAGAAAAGTCAGTTTCTCTAGAGAATTTCCGATCTCTGCTAGACTTTGGTTTTTAATGTTGTGTCAGAGATAAGGTACAAAGTCATGAACCTTTGAAAGGAGGAGACTGCTGAGATACTTGAGCAAAGCTATATAGTTATTGGTTTTAAACCTCAGAGAGGAGGTTGATCCAGATCCAGTAAAAAAAATTCAATGGCAAAAGGGGATGACAAGGGAGCCTGTGCCTCTTGACTTGGGCACTCACATATGGAACCACGTTATGACACAGCTGGCATATGATGCAGAACTAGGGGGCATGAATAGATTGGTCAATAAATGGTACTGTGGCAATTGTTTATCCAAATGGAAATAAAATTGTTCCCTCTCTCACAGCAGCCACAAAAATCAATTCAGGCTAAATGAAGAGCTAAGTGTTTCAAGCAAAATAAAGCCTGACCAGACCAAGTGTTCCTGAGTGGTAAAGTAGAGAATACTCTCATATACTGCTGATAGCTTAGGATAAATTGGTAAAACTACTTTGGAATGAAAGTTTATCAATACCAATGAGAAATGAGGATATGTTTATTCTAAGACCCAGCAACTCTATTCCCAGATACATACCCTAAAAAGAATTATTTCACATGTGCACAAATCAATGTACAAAAATGTTCAGAGCAGTACTGTTTGGATTTACAATATTTAGAAACATCCAACACCTGGATGCATTACTTTTCTATTGATGTGTAACAAATTACCACAAACGAAGCAGCTTAACACTCATTTGTTACTTCACAGTTTTTGAAGGTCAGAATGTGGGCATGGTGTAATATAACTGTGCTCTCAGCTCAGAGTCTCAAAAGGTGGAAATCAAGATGCTGGCTGGGCTTTGGTCTCATCTGGAGCTTGCGGTCTTCTTCTAACTTCATTTGGGTTATTATCAGAGGGTTGTTCCTTAGGGTTGCAGGACTGAGAGTCCTGCTTTCTTGATGGCTGTTGCCCAGGGTCTTGGCCACACAGCACTTCACAACATGGAGGCTTACTTTTTTTTTCCTATTTATTAATTTATTTATTAATTTATTATACTTTAAGTTCTAGGGTACATGTGCACAACGTGCAGGTTTGTTACATATGTATACATGTGCCACGTTGGTGTGCTGCACCCGTTAACTCATCATTTACATTAGGTATATCTCCTAATGCAAGCCAACAGAAGACCCTTTCTTGCTTTAAATCTAAGAAAAGGCCAGTACCTCTGATTAGGACAGGCCCACACATGACAATCTCTATTTATGACTGACTCAACATTAAATGCTTAGCAACCTATTCACAGGAATGACAGCCCATCATATTCACAAATCCTACCAGTATCGAAGGGTAGGGGATGATGCAGGGTATGGACACTCGTGCGGAGATATCATGGGGGACAGCTTAGAATCTGCCTACTGCACAGGAAAATGAAAAAATAAATTGTGTTCTGTCTGTATAAAGAATGTATTATATATGCAATATAATATGTAGTTGCTTTTTATACAGTAATGACAATAAATAAAATACAGCTCCATGTACTCATTTAGGTAACTCTCATAAACATAATATTGAGCAATAAAAGCAATTAGCAGGAGAAATAGTACAGAATGAGACCATATAAGGCAAGTTTAAATTACACAAAAGATATATGATTTTCAGTTGATGTCCATATATGCATTAAAAGTATAAAGAAATTTATTAACAAAACACACATCAAAATCAGAAAAGTGATTCTCCATGGGAGAGTGAGAGGACAGAGATCAGGAAGAGGCACCCAGGGACTTCAGGTCTATTGCAATTTAGTGTTTGTTAAGTATGGCCACAGAGGAGTATGTTTTATTATTATTCATATCTTTTTGCACATCAAATATTTCATGATAAAATTAAAAATACATGAAAGACAGAACAAAAATTAAAGATTTCAGCAATATTAATTGAACTAATAGTTTTAAATATTAAAATAAACCTTGAATCTATTAAAAATGTCACACACTCTCACTACATCTGACAAATAATTTAAAAAATTAAGGAGCAAATTGTTTCTTCAAATTTTTTGGTAATTCCTTTAATACAACTAACTGCACGACTAGTCATTTTGGTGGCAAGAGGAAAGGAAAGTTAATTTTTAATTATGTGTTTTATAGCATTTGTTGCTTCTATCGTGCAATAACTGTTTTGGACATATTTTATAAGTGAAAACTCAATAGAGCAAGTAATTAACATTTAGAGAATGAAAATTAAGAAAACCTATATCAAATAAATCATACTAAAATTTAAGTACTTTGTGTTATAGAGGATAATATATTACTTAGAAATAAAAACTATCCCCATTTATACAACCGCTAAACATATGAGGTCTGTTTATTATTTTAGTGGGAAATCAGAAGGAATAAAGGTACAGAGCTGGTTAAAGATGGACAGTGAATGTTTACTGCATTTATTTCAGTAATTTAGAGGCAGTTGCTTTCTATAATAAATGGAGGAAAAACTGAGTAAAATCTTACTGAAGCTGCTTATGAGCTTTTGTTAGGCAATTATGGAAAAACATGCAATTTGTTTTTGTTACAGAAAGACTGTGGTTGTTCTTGCTTATGGCAATCTGTCTTAGGACCTGTACAGGCTGTTCCAGAATGAATAGTTCATCTAAATTGTACTCATACAATATATTCATCCCAACAAAACAGGAACTGTTGCATATTGCCTTACATCAGGATTTCATCTTGTTATTTCTATTTAGCAGTGTAGCTGTTTGGTCCAAACTAGAACAGAAAGTTATTGGCTTGAGATGACAAAGTTGTTTTATTAAATTCTATCAATATAGCATTCTTTGTTTTTCCATCGAGTAGAATTCGAGCATCCCTTCTCCATCTCTTGGGCTTATATACTGATAGAGTCCTAGCTGTCTTCCTTTCTGACTCTACTTACTGATGCTTACAGATCCCACTGCACAGTGTTAAGTGCTCTTGGAGGTGTAAGGAATGCACATGCTCTCAACCTCAAGGTACCTGTAGACTAGCAAAGGCAGTAAGACCCATGTGTAATGTCAATGGTATGTGATAGAAACTGACCAGTACCATAAAAACAGGGAGAGCAGGAATCCATAACTGATCTACTCTGTGTCCAGCCCTATGCTAGCTACTTTGCAGGTACCTACCTATTTGGGCATCTTGGGAAGGATCTGGGGTCCAGATGTTTCTGGTGAAAGGAATTAAACACCAGCTTTCTTTCTACCACGTCTATTTACAAACCTTGTTTGCATGGGGAATATAGGAGCAGCTTTGGAGACAGAGCTGAGAGAAATCTTGTCCAGGTTTTGGGTCTGACCCAAGTAGTTGTCTTCACAACATCTACTCCTTCCCATGTGATTAACCAAAGCCAGTAATTTTAATTCTAGGAATGACCCTGTTACTCAATCCTGCCAATGAGAGATGACAGCAAGTTTGCTGGAAGGAAAGGGATGATAGAAAAGGTTTCCTGGTCCTAAGGAGGAGGCCTGGGAACAGAGGACCCACATATTCCTCTAGATGTCATCAGGAAGCCTGGAAATGTCACATCCATTTTGCTAACATAGGAAGACAACCCATGGAGAAGGTCACTGTATGAGTTTGCTAGGGCTGTGGTAAAAAAGCTCCACAAACCTGGTGGCTTAAAACAACAGAAATGTATTGTCTCACAGGTATGGAGGCCAGAAGTCTAAAATTAAGGTGTTAGCAGGGCTGTGCTCTGACAGCTCTAGGGAAAAAAATCTTCCCTTGTATCTTACGGCTTCTGGTGTTTGCCAGCATTCTTTGACATTCCTTGGCTTGTAGATGCCATTCCAGTCCCATGGCCATATCCCCGTGTCATACAGTTTAGATCTGTGTCCCCACCCAAATCTCATGTTCAATTGTAATCCCCAATATTGGAGGTGGGGCCTGATGGGAGTGATTAGATTATAGGGGTGGTTTCTCAGGAATGGTTGAGCACCATCTTCTCAGTGCTGTTCTCATGACACTGAGTGAGTCATCATGAAATCAGGTTGCTTAAAAGTGTGTAGCACCTCCTCTCTCTTTCTTTTCCTCCTGCTCCAGCCATATAAGACTTGCCTGCTTCCCCTTTGCCTTCTGCTGTGATTGTAAGTTTCTTGTGGTTTCCCCAGGAGCCAAGCAGATGCTGCCATGCTTCCTATACAACCTGCAGAACCGGGAGCAATTAAACCTCTCTTCTTTGTAATTACCCAGTCTCAGATATTTCTTTATAGCAATGTGAGAGCAGGCTAATATACTGTGGGTCTATATCATCTTCCTCTTATGCATATTTGTGTCTGTTCTTTCCCTTTTCATAAAAGCATCAGGCATACTGGATTAGGGTCCACCCTGATTACTTCATTTTAACTTGATTACCTGTATTTCAAATAAAGTTATATTTTGAGGTTCTGGGAGTTGGGATATCAACATACATTTTTGGGGGAACACTGACAATTCAAACAACAATTAAGAGAATTTCAGTGAAAGATCCAGTCCTGACTTCCTGAAAGCTACCTGATCTCTTGAATTTTATGGAATAAATTTCCTTATTCTTAAAGTCAACTGGAATCAAGTTTTCTGTTACTTGCAGCCAAAGTGTTTGCAACGGAATTATGCAGACGCTTCTGATTGGATAGGGTAAGGGGAATGATGGAGGGTAATGAGGATCCTGGAGGAATGAACAATACTGGGAAAAGGAATCCGGCATGCTGAGCCTCACCCAGTATGTAAGGATGACAGATGTTTGTGTTGGTTCAGCATTGTTGCTCATTCTCCATTCAAACACCTCTTCACAAGCTGTCACTTGGAACATCCTTTCACCTGTCTCATGTGTGGGATCTTCTTAGACAAATGCTGTTTCTGCTGTGGCACAGAGACTATCAGGTGCTGGTTTGGGATCCTGACATGATCATTCCTAACACTCACAGGCTGTGCCCCAAAATGTTAATACCTCTATACCTTTCTTGATTTCCTGAAGTCCTCTGGGAAGTTTGTGATGAACTATTCCAGAGGCCTTTCCTTCCAGGTACAGATTGACAAAATATTTATATTCTTGGCACTCAATAAGTATTTCCTAACTGAACACTTTCTAGTGTGTTTGCTTGGCTAGAAGTGACCTAATGGATAATAGTTGGTAGGAGCAGTAGACAACTTCAAATCCAGCTGTCCAGCTGTGTAACTTTGTGTGGGTTATGCAAGCTCTCCAAGCTTCAAAGTCTTACTATGTGTAAGTAGGGCTCTTAGTTATCATGCCTGTTTGATAGACATCATTACCATTTTAAAAATGAATGAAGCTCAGACAAATTAAGTGTCACCTAAGACTACACACCTGGTAAATAGTGCTGAAGCAGATTCAGGGTGAGTGCCCTCCCCAAGCCTCCCATGTGCTTCCACACTTTATTTTCCCACACCATTCTGCAGCCCTATAAACATTGCTGGGAGGCAGCCTCCAAGACGGCCTGGACCCAAGTCAAGATAACATAGACAATTGCTGATTTTTAAAGTCTGTATTTCACTTTGCGATACATCATGTGATTTTTCTTGCAGAAAATTTGTTCTGGTCATGTCCTGTGCCTTGGCTAATACTGTAATTAACCAACCTACCTTAAGCACTCAACCACTGGATAATGTCTAGAGAAGGGAGGGAAAAGAAACCCAGGGATGTGCGTCTGACGACAAATCTAGCCTTGAGTAAAATATGTTTTTAATCATCTCTCCTGAATGATTTTCTATCTGGCAAGTAAGACCAATTGGTGATGCTTTATTTGATTAGGGATGATAATGACCCCTTTTGTAATTGTAATATTTTTTAACATTTCCTTGTAAAATTTTATTACTCTTCATGGATTTCACCTTTAGTAACATTTATGTGAAAGGAAAAATATACTCCTTCTAGTCACTTCACACGTTCAGGCTGTCACCATTGTCAGCTGCTGAATAACTGATTAGGGGGCCTGGGAGAGGCCGAGCTGCTTTCATTATGATGGTCAAAATAATCAGGCAAAATGGTGCAATTGAGTAATTGGAGATCTGAAAATGTAATACTACTTGATTACTATTATAGCTGGAAAATAGAGCAAGTATAGAGGGGCTAAGTCAGGAATGGATCTAAAAAGCAGCCTTGCCATTTATACAGATAATATTATCAATTTCAAATATATTACATAGGCTGTAATCTAGTCTTTTAAGAAATACTTTCTAAGCCCAGTTGTGTCATCTTTGTATATTATTTAATACACAAAATGCAGAAGAAAAAAAAACACATTTCGGCTTACATCTTGGTTGTGAAGAATAAAAATGTAAAGAATGATTTGCCCAGTATCACATAGCTAAAAAGCAATGGGGCATTGATGCACAATCGGACTTGTAGGGACAGAAGTACAGACTCTTAAATGCATTTTTTAAAAATAGAGGCCCACAGTCCTTATTCACAACTCCAAAATTTAAAAATTTCTGAAAATACTTGAAGGTCCTTTTGAATTTTTTTTTTTTCTTATAGTACATTTAGTAGCAAAATCTACTGCAACCTCTGACTCCCTGGTTCAAATGATTCTCCTGCCTCAGCCTCCTGAGTAGCTGGGATTACAGGCACACGCCACCACACCCAGCTAATTTTTGTGTTTTTAGTAGAGACAGGGTTCCACCATGTTGGCCAGGATGGTCTCCATCTCCTGACCTCATGATCCGCCCACCTCAGCCTCTCAAAGTGCTGGGATTACAGGCATGAGCCCTGCACCTGGCCAAAGACACCTTTTTTACTATCCCTCTACATCCCTCCTCTCAAAACCTTTATGCTTTCACTTGGACCAACCCTGACACAGGCTACTCCCAACAACTCATCTGGACTGTCCTCCCCTGGGGGTTTAGAGACAGCCATCACTATTTCAGTCACTTCAATTAGACCTCTCCCAACTACCTCTACAACCCAGGATTTTGCTGCAATATGTGGACAGTTTACTCCTTTGCAGCCCCTTTCTTGACCATTGTATTCAACACACCACCAAGATTTTAAATGTTTTGGCTGAATGTGGGTACCTGGTGTCCAAAAGGAAGGCCCAATTAACCTCACCGAAAGTTTCATACCTAGGACTGATCATAACTCCAAATACCCGAGAAATGCTGTTGGCATGAAAGCAAGGTGTTCAACAAATCCCATTTCCTAAAACGAAAAGGGACTTACTTTCCTTCCTTGGATTAGTGGGATATTTCCGATTATGGGTAGCAAATTTTGCCATTATTGCTAAACCCCTTTATGAACACACAAAAGGAAATCTTGACCAACCACTCACTCCCACCCCAGACCTTTATCATGCTTTTTCTCATCTAAAACGTGCCTTATTGCAGGCCCATGCTTTAGACATTCCAAACCTCCTAAGACCTTTTCATCTATATTTACACAGTTCTCATAATCAGGCCCTTGGACTATTAGCCCAACTTATGGGAGACTCCTTCTCAACAGTGGCATATTTTTCAAAACAACTAGACCCCATTTATAAAATCTGGTCCCTTTTCTTAAAAATTTTGGCCACAGCCTCTCTAATTATCTCTGAGACACAAAAACTCATGTTCTACAAACCCCTTCAGGTATTTTCTTCTCACAGTCTACAAGATATGGTCAGCCATAGGCGCTCACCCCCATCTCATCCTCTCATATGCAAGCCTTACATTTAACCCTCCTTCAACCCGCTATCTCTCTTCATAGATGCTCCCCACCTAATCCCGCCTCTCTTTTACCCTCAATACCGATTTTAGATCCTGACCAATACTCATGCTCTGATCTAATTGAAAGTTCTCCTACCATGTTTCACCATCTTACTTCCACTCACATAAAGGGAGCCCCAGACTGGTTTATAGATGGCAGTGCATCAAAAAACCCTCCTCTCCAAGCAGGATATGCCATCATTGAGGGATAGCGTTATGATACCCACTCTCTCCCATCTAGAAGAGTGATAGAGGCTGCCCCCTTGCCTTTGGGCACATCCGCCCAACAAGCAGAATTAGTTGCCCTAATAAGAGCACTAACCCTACCAAAAAACACACAAGTTAATAATACACCAATTCTAAATATGCTTATAACATCATCCATTCCAATGCCTAAATTTGGAGGGAGCGGGGCTATCTCACAGTTATAGGAACCCCTATCATTAATGGAAAGCTCATTCATCCTCTATTAAAGGCACTTCTACTTCCAGAAAAGGTTGCAGTTATTCATGGCAAAGAACATCAGACAAAAGCCACATTTCTTTAGGGAACCATGAGGCTGACTACTGGGCAAAACATGTCTCAACCAATCACCCAATTCCCCAATACTTATTTCCCTTCATACAACATATCCCCTTCTTTTATCCAGAACACCAAACACAACAACTAATCATGGCAGGGGCACAATTCAAACCCCCCAAACTGATTCATACAAAACAAATTAGTCCTACCTGACCCTGAAAAAAACAACTCTTTTACGGGACATTCACAACCTCTTCCATGCTAGCCATTCACCTCTACAACACTTCTTAAATTCCCATAAACACATAACCCCAGATATAAAGGAACAGTTAAAAGCCATTTCCCATCAATGCTCTATTTGCCAGAAAGCTTCACCCCATTCCAACACTAGACACTCTTCTTTCCCAATCCATCAAGCCAGGGGACACCTTCCAGGACAGGATTGGCAAATTGATTTTACCCATATACCCCCAGTAAAAAGGGTTTGATTTCTTTTAGTTCTGGTTGATACCTTTTTGGAATGGCTTGAGGCTTTTCCCACAACCAACAAACGAGCCTCTAATGTCACCTCCAAATTAATAACAGAAATCATCCCCAGGTTTGGGGTGCCTCTTTCTTTTCAATCTGATAATGGCCCTGAATTCATTTCTCAGATTACTCAAACACTTTCACAAGCCCTACAAATTACCTGGAAGCTACACATCCCCTATCGACCTCAATCTTCAGAAAAGGTTGAAAAAATGAATGGCATTCTAAAAAACACCCTCACCAGGTACTCACTCCAGACACATAAAGACTCGGTTACACTTTTGCCTTTAGCCCTTCTAAAAATTCAGGTGCTCTCACATAAACCTTTAATGCTCAGCCCCTTTGAACTCACATATGGGAGACCACTTGCCCCTTTTGGTCCACCTCAGGGTCAAGCCCCACCTCTGCCAACCCCTCTCATTTCCCCTCTTGTACATACCATCTGCCATTTCATTTGGGAATATGCTGACAAACACCTGCCACAACTTGTCACCAACTCCTCTAATCCCTTCCTACAGCCAGGAGACTGGGTTCTGATAAAAGATCCCAGTCCTAGCCCCAATTCCCTCCTTACACCTAAATGGAAAGGACCTTACCAGATCATCCTTACTACACCCATGGCAGCAAAACTCCAGGGACTCCCCAACTGGTTTCATTATACCTCTCTCAAGAAAACAGACTTCCCTTCACCACATACACAAACAACCAAATCTAAAACCCCTTCAGCCTTCTCTTGTGTCTCCACAGGACCTACTTCCCTTCGCCTCACCTAAATCCTGGAGGAAAAGGAAGAGAAATCCACATAAGCTGCTTATGTCTCTTTCTCTCCCAAACTTTCACTGCTTCCTAACCAACCTTGCTACAGACCTTCAGTGGTACCCTTACAAAGCTCCCATTATACATGCTAATCAGTTTCTGACTGTTCTATGGTACCTATGGCTTCAAGGAACTTTCCAGGACTTTACTACTACCCAAATAACTTTTTTCTCTTTTTGATTGTTTCTTTCAATATAAATTCCCTAATCATATCAACCTCACCAATAAAACCACTCCTCACTGCTCTCAAACTAGAATGCTCTATAAACCTTACACAATCCCTCTTGCTGCAAAGCTAACTCTTCCTTTGCTCCAGAGTGCTGGATATGCTTATCGCTGTCTTCCTCAGCTTACACAGCCCTTCCTACACCCCTTCATGACCTTTGAACAGGAAATATAACCCTAACTTATAAACTCCCAAAAGGAGCTTCCTTTTTTGAGAGAGCCGACACCCTGTTCAGAGATTATTTCACTTCCAGGGCCAATCGGGCCAACAAAATATTTCAAACCTATTACAACTCTCTACAATGCCTTAAGCACCAAGACCCTCCCATTGAAGGGCCCATAACTACACACACCCCCCTTTTACAACAAGCCTCACTTTGCTTTTCAGCCTCGGAGGGAAATTTCCCTGTAGGGTCCTTAACATCTAACCAATGCAATCACACTATCATTGTTAAACACCCCTCTGACCATCAAAGTAGCCACGTTGACTACCAAGTATCACCTGAAACAAATGGAGCATTTCTGCAACCAGCTAGTTTACAGCCTCTCCGTCAACCAATGCCTCCTGCCTAACTTGCGCTGCCCCTGGTGCCCAACTTTTTCCATGGCTCAATATCAATGGTGCAACATCCGATTGCATTAAATGTGTAAAAAATAACTCTTCCTATATCTCTACTATAGTGGGTGTCTCCCTGGCCTCCTCCTTGTCCACCTGGAGTAAAAAACCGCAGGAAAGAAAAAACACCCCATCTTTAATTTGCTTATCTTCTTTCCCTATCTCCGCCTGCATTATGACAAAGGCTTGTTCTTTTTATGCGGTACCAACACATATCTTTTTCTCCCCACCAACTAGACCAGAACCTGTACCCTAGTTTATCTTTCTCCCTCCGTTGGACTAGTTCCTCCTAATCAATCTTCACCTGTTCCATTCATCCAGTATGTTAGAAAAAGGAGGAGCATCCAAGTCATTCCTTTAATGGCTGCCTTATGTATAACCTCCGGGCTTGGATTGGGAGCAGGCAGACTGGCCAACTCCTTAACATACTTTAAAGTTCTTTCAACAGAACTACAGGATTTATTAAAAGATATAGCCCAAAGCCTTATAAGAGTCGAAGACCAATTAGACTCCTTGCCTGGAGCAGTCCTCCAAAATAGACTGGGATTAGATCTTACAATGGCTGAAAAAGGGGGTCTCTGCCTCTCACTGAGTGAGGAATGTTGCTTCTATCTCAACCAATCAGGCCTAGTAAGAGATGCTGCTGAAAAACTTGAAGAAAGGGCTAAAACGTGAAAGGAATACCAAAACAACCAAATACATTCTTGGTTTAGAAACAAAATCCTAACATGGACCATCCCATTCTTGGGCCCTCTCCTAATAATATGCCTAGGACTAATGTGCTTACCTGGCTTAATTCACCTTTTTCAAAGATTTTTTAACTGACAGGATCATGGACATCTCACAATTACCTAAAAACATCTACAGATGGCATTACTCCCACAATCAACCCAAGACCAAAGAACCCTCTGACCCTCCACTCAGCAGGAAGTAGCCAGAAAGAATATACCACCCCTCTTCCTTTCTATAACTGTAGGGACTGGATTGACAGAGCAGGAGATCGTCGTCTTGGAGAAACACCACCATTTTAAGTTCCCTTTGATTAAAAAAACACCCAAATCAAGCACCCAAACATCAGCCTAATGCCTAATGTCAGCATCACCAGAAACATTCCAACCCTAAGATAAACCCCCTCTGACCAGAAACACGCCAACCCTGAGACAGCCTCCCCTCCAACCAGACATCCCAATCCCAACCCCACAATAAACTTTCCCTCACATAGAAACATTCCGAACCTGCGATAAGCTCCCCACTTCCTACACCCTTAAATACCCTTAGTCTGTAAGAGAGAATGCTCCTGAGCAAAATTGGCCAGAAGCCCCTCTAAAGTTTATTCTCCAAAATAAATCTGTCTTTTACTGTTGAGCTGCTTTTTGTGTTTCTTACCTCTTTAACTCTTACAATAACCATCCCCATGTTCCCATGGAAAAGATGGCCAGCTGATCTTTTTATTTACCCAGTGAAGGGGCAGACCCAGAGAAGGTGGGCCTAATGATGTGGCTATCATTTTGGCTTGCCTCCCTCCAGCCTCCGTTCCAGGAGTCCTGCTCCTGGCCAAAATCCTATGTGTGATCTGATGGCAAGGCCTTGCCTGGGAGACCTCCCGGGGACCACTGCCATCCCCACCCTAGACATGGTGCATGACCAGGGCACTGCCATTTCTGGAGGGACTTGCAATTTATGACTCAGCTCTGCCCTGCCAGGCCAGCTGGGATCATGGCCATAGCTGCAGTCCCAGACCAGGTGCCTCTGTGCAGAGGCCTCCTGATCAGGGCCCAGATGAGGCACTTTCCTCCATGCTGGCTCCGTTCCTTTCTTCTCCTATCCCTTCCTTCCTTATGCTTCCCCTCCCTAGGTGCAGGAATGGCTGGAACCTTTTGTTCAGGACTGCTTAGCAAGGAAAAGAGCCCTCCCTCCCCCATGCCTGCTGATCCACCTGACCCTTAACCAACACCTCCGGACGCTGGAGAGCTGGAGAGCGGTGCCTACCTTTGCCTCCTGCCTGTACTGTTGCAGTGAGGGAACAAAGTCTTGATTGTAACTTTCAGCTTGGCTTGCTGTCCTGAGGATCACCTCGACACCTGTCAGCTCAACACCTGTCTAAGGCCAATCTTTGTCCTCTTGCTGTGGATACTGCCTTCTCCCACCTCTGCAGGAACCTTTGCCATCATCCTCCTTATCTCACCCATCTGCAACCTCACTAGCTACTTGCCCTCTCTCATCAGCACTTAAACATCGTATGTAAGTGCACCTGAAAGCAATAACTCAAGCATACCCCGAGAATGACCCTTCTTGCCAGACACACCTGAATGTGTGTTCTGAGCTAGGGAATCTAGGAGTGGCCAACCCAGAGATTGACTCCTTGTTGATGAGGAACATCTGAGTCCCCATCTCCTCCCGTGGAACACTGGCTATACACAGGGAATTGAGGCCCCAAGTCTGGGGTGAATTAAGATTTCCATGTGGAGGTTGCTGGGGGAGTGTGCTAAGTAAAAATGCTATGTAAATTGCATGCATTTTGCAAGCAGGTCTTGTTCTCCTGACCAGCCAGCCAGCATTGGACTCCCTCCCCTGTATGTAAGCCCTCAATGAAACCCCATGTCTCATCTGCTGGCTCTGGGTCTCTTCTTCAGCCTCTTGAACCTGGTGCCTTCCCTACTAGAGTTGATAGGAGTTTGGCATGACAGATACGATCACACTTTCAACCGACTTCAGAGTTCCTTGGCCTTTTGTCCTCCTCTTACCATTGATGGTTCTTGCTAAGTTCTGGAAGAAGGATTTGCTCACCTCAGACATTTAGTACATGCTGTTCCTGTGATGGGAATCCGTTCCCTTGCACTTCCTTTGGCTACATCCAGCCATTGGAGTCACCTGTTCCCATAAGCCTTTCTGGACTTTTCCATGCCTGGGAATCGGCCTTGCCTCTGTGTCCCCAGAGCACCTGGTGTCTGCCTTCATCAAGGCCTGTGGTGCCCTGTGCTTACCTACTGGTTCCTCCCCTCAACTGAGAATTTCTTGAGGACTTATGTCCCCATGATTACCTAAATGACCAGATGCTTTAAAGGCACTCGACAAATCCTTGGCGGCACATGAATGAAGAATCTGCATTATAAAAGGATGAATTCCAACACTGGTAGCTAAAATAATAAATTTAGCATAGGATTTTTAAAAAAATCCCTAAAATAAAGCTAAGCTATCCATTAGAAGTACAGACCCTTTTGCTGTCAAAGCTTAACTTTTAAAAATATATGTTGTTTTTACCCCAATATTATTCTTCCCATATGATATGGTTTGGCTGTGTCCCCACCCAAATGTCATCTTGAATTGTAGCTCCCATAATTCCCATGTGTTGTGGAAGGGACCAGGTGTGAGATAATTGAATCATGGGGGCGGTTTCCCCCCTGCTGCTCTTGTGGTAGTGAATAAGTCTCACGAGATCTGATGGTTTTATAAGAGGTTTCCCCCTTTAGCTTGGCTCTCATTCTCTCTTGCCTGCCACCATGTAAGATGTGCCTTTCACCTTCCACCATGACTGTGAGGCCTCTCCAGCCACGTGGAACTGTGAGTCCATTAAACCTCTTTTTCTTTATAAATTACCCAGTTTCATCGAGTATGTCTTTATCATCAGTGTAAGAATGGACTAATACACCATATAATAGGCCTTACTATTTCAACTTAGGGTAAAAATATATACATTATTTGTCTGGTCATTGTATTTTTTTATGTTTCTAAGTCCACATAGAGTTAAATTTCAAGGTCCTTCTGGTTAAGAGCTGTACCTCTTACATGACTTTTGTTTATGGATCCATTGATTTCTAACTTCCTTTTTAGCTTAAGTGAATTCTACTGAGAAAGCTGAGAGACATTTAAAATCTGAAGAGCCTATGAATTTTATTTTATTGAAAATCAAAAGCTTCCTTCTAGATTCTGACTAACATAACAATATATAAATTATAAAACATTAAAAATATGTTAACTCTCTTGAACACAAAAATGCAAGCTTTATTTTAAAATTCTGCTGTATTTTAATTTATAGGTGCTAAGAACCCTAGCATTCAGGTTTCAGCATCTAACTCTATTAGATTATTTCCAGAATTTTAGAATTGATATATAATCTGACAATGCTGAAAATGGTCTCAAACACCTGCACCCTGCAGAAGAGACAATTTTAAATATTAAAATCTAATTATCCCAAGTTATCAAAAATAGGATAATACTTCTGAATGACTAAAGTGAAATTACTTTGATGTTAATCATTATTACTAAAATAAGAACAATGAATTTAACTTACTGCATTTTTAAAACTCTTACCCTCGGAAACGTAGTAAATCTGTCCAGTTCTTCGACAAAGCAGAACATCTGCAAACTAATTGCTGACATAACAATCAAGAGGCTGGCAGTAAATACAACCAAACTCCCAAGCTTTTTTCCAGGACCAAATATCTTGTACACAAAGTCTTCTAATGCAGGTGAAATCTTAATCAGCCGAACTACTCGGAGAACCTATCAAGGGAGAGAGAAACATTTATTTACACATATGATCATTTATTTACACTGAATCTTAAATATATTCATACTAAAATATTATTTTATAGTGCTTTATGAAAATCATACCTCTCTATTTGAATATCTAGTGACTAAAATTAACAATAGAATAACCATTGGTCTAGCTCAATAAATCCCAAATGAATGGATGAACTAAGTGTTTTAACATATTATATGATTATACAAAATGATATTCACTAGTACGTATTGTTGAAATAAAATTAATATTTTTCTAACGTTCAAATATGCAAGGAAACCTTTAATTCAATACAGGTTGAACATTCCTAATTTAAAACATAAAATGCTCAAAAATTTAAAGTTTTTGAGTGCTGATATGAGGCCATAAGTGAAAAATTCTACACCTGACACCTTTGCTTTATGATGGTTCAATGTATACACACTTTGTTTCATGCATAAAAAAACTATTAAGAATATTGCATACAACTACCTTCAGGGAATGTATTTGAGGTGTTTATAAAACATAAACAATTTTTGTGTTTAGACTTGGGTCCCATTCCCAGGATATCTCATTATGCACATACATACAAATATTCCAAAATCTGACAAACATCGAAAGCCAAAACACTTCTGTTCCCAAGCATTTGGGATACAGATACTCAACCTGTATTAGTTATATTCACTGTCTCATAAAATATTTTCCTAGGTATTATTAGAAAATCACAAGGAAATGGAAAGAGAAGCAAACTTTTGCCAAGAATCTTTACTTCTTATTGAGATTATCAGCCCAGTATCCATTTTCTCTTTCCTCCTTTAAAAAACAGAACTTTCCGAATTCTAACCTAGCAAGTGGTTGCCTGGGGCTATAGCCTACACATTCCAGTCTCCCTTGCAGCTAGCTGTCTCCAGTGGACTGGGTTCAGACCTACGGAATGTGAGAGGAAATGATTTGTACAAGTTTTGGTGCATTAAGTTAAACTTTCTCTGAATCCTTTTTAAAATACCTTTCTCTTGCCTGGAAATGGAAACAAATAGTGTAGCCCCTTTGGACCAGAAATAGAAGGCTTGCATAGAATACGACAGGTCCTGTCCAACCCGACAGGCTGGGTGACCATGGGGGGCACAGCCACCTGCTTTCCCTGCATACTTACCAACTGCTGCAGAGAAATAAACTTCTGTCTTATGTAAGTTTTGTATTTTTGGATCTTTGTTATATGTACTCAACTATTCTCTCTCTATATATACACGCATGTATATGTGTGTGTGTATATATTTACATATATTTTAGTCATGCATCGCATAACTTTTGAGTCAAGTATGGGCCACGTATAGGATGGTGGTCCTATAAGACTTACCTTTTCTATATTTAGCTATGTTTAGATATACAAATACTTACCTTTGTGTGACAATTGCCTACAGTATTCAATGTAGTCATACACTGTACAGGTTTGTAGCCTAGGAGCAATAGGCCATACCATATAGCCTAGGTATATAGTGGGCTATACATCTAGGTTTGTGTAAGTAAACTCTATGATCACACGACAACAAAATTGCCTAACAATGCATTTCTCAAAATGTATCTCTGCTGTTAAATGATGCATGACTGTGTATACACACACACACACACATCTAAATATATACAGATATATTTAGATGTTTTGCATACTCACATTTGCAAAAAAAAATAAGTAATTAATTGACAAATTTATTCACTCATTTGTTTAACAAACCTTTATTGATTACTATGTGCCAAACTTTGTGTTGGACAAATAGGATTCAATGGCTACTATTACAAAGCGAGTATAACACAAAGACACAGCTTTTAAGGACATATTTATATGATTAGTATGTATAAATTAGTACATAATTAAAAGCTGAAGTATATAGTGTGAAAAATACAACTTTTCATTAAGTCTAAGATGTCACCAATTTTGTATGTAGCTCTAAGAAATAAAAAAATGCTGCCAATTAAAGTATAACACACCACTGATTATAACAGCTCCCAAATTCAGAGATATTAACATAGGAAAATTGCATTCTTGGCATAAATGAAATATAGTTTATACAATGATCATCCAAGATTTTTTGATGTCAATAAGAGATTGAGTTGTCTGTTAAAGATGAATAGTGTATTTAGAACACAGTAAGAAACAGAAAATTCATTTTTAAAAATTAGATTTTAATTTTTACATGTCTAAAATAACATTTGTTTCTTTTTGGCTTTCCAGTGCCTCTGGCTTCTTCAACTCTGCCTGGTTTTCCTTTAGCAAATCATTCCTACCCCAGCCTTAGTACAAAGGTGCAAGAAGGACTCCCCACCCGTCATGATCCAGATCTGGCCAGAGTATTCACAGTCATCTGAGTCATCCTCAGGGCTTTTGCTGGATGCCTTTAATAAGAAATGTTCTATTTCTTTTTTTTTTTTTTTTAATCCCCAACGGGTACTGCTGTAAGAGTCACACAAACTCTTACAGAGCTCCTGGGAGCCATCTTTGCCTTCACATAGAGAAAACCAGCTTAAGAATGACACCGACACACCAACAGAAGAAAGGTAGGTGAAGACATACACTGAGCCCCTGACACCATATCGGCCTCTGAATTTTGCCATACCTGAAACCACGTTTACTGCATTTACTTTGATTTAACAGGAAGTATCAGTGGTCAGTCTTATTCCTATTGTCTGCAGAATGCAAATGATATGGTTTACAGCATGTAAGTAAACCAATTGAAAAAAAATGACTAAAGCATGTTTCCTTCATGCTAATTTGCAATTTTTAAACATATGTAAGAAATTATGTTGTTCAAATTAAGCATCATACCACATGGTGCAGCTACCAATTTTTCCTGCTGTAATTCTTTTCTTTTCTTTTTTTTTTTTTGTGACGGAGTCTCACTCTGTCGCCCAGGCTGGAGTGTAGTGGAGCGATCTCGGCTCACTGCAAGCTCCACCTCCCGGGTTCACACCATTCTCCTGCCTCAGCCTCCCGAGTAGCTGGGACTACAGGCGCCCACCACCACACCCAGCTAATTTTTTTGTAATTTTAGTAGAGACGGGGTTTCACCATGTTAGCCAGGATGGTCTCGATCTCCTGACCTCGTGATCCGCCTGCCTCGGCCTCCCAAAGTGCTGGGATTACAGGTGTGAGCCACTGCACCCGGCCATCCTGCTGTAATTCTTAACATACATTCCCAAATCAGGACATATTACTCTCAGATAATCTTTACAAAGAACAAGCAAACAGCTTTATCATAAGAACTATTAAAGTATTAACATTCGTATTAATTTCCAGAATAATAATCTGGAAAGATTTCACATTTTTATCAGATTTGTCTATTTTCGGACATAAATAATTCAGTACCTAACTGTAAACAGCTTGAAAAAAATGGAACTATTTAATACCACTTCCACATTGGTGATTTGATCAGCATTTTCAAAGGGTTAAACCTGCATTCCTAGAAAGGAAAAATCCCTGTCAGTGAGTCTAATTGTGCCTTTTCATTTATTCAGGGATCAGCAGGTTTTTCACTCTATCTACCCTATAAAGATTTTTGATTTTGTGTTCCTACAGATACAACATGAAGTAAACCATACTCTCAAAGATAAGCACTTCAGAACATTTTGTCTCTGAAACACATTTTCCTGGTCACATTTCTGAGTCCTTCTCTTAAAGGTCACTCTGTTGATTTGTAGTGAGATGCTGTAGAAATTGCATAGTTAAGAATATGAACTCTGAAATTCATGTTCTTGGGAAGAATTTTTTTTTTTTTTTTTGTGAGACGGAGTCTCCCTCTGTGGCCCAGGCTGGAGAGCAGTGGCGCAATCTCAGCTCACTGCAAGCTCCACCTCCCGGGTTCACACCATTCTCCTGCCTCAGCCTCCCAAGTAGCTGGGACTACAGGCGCCCACCACCACGCCTGGCTAATTTTTTGTATTTTTAGTAGAGACGGGGTTTCACCATGTTAGCCGGGATAGTCTTGATCTCCTGACCTCGTGATCCACCCGCCTCGGCCTCCCAAAGTGCTGGGATTACAGGTGTGAGCCACTGCGCCCAGCCGGGAAGAAGATTTAGCTCCATCATCTGCTAGGTATGCGGTCTTGGGCAAGTCAACAGATTTCTTGAGACCTCAATTTACACATACAGTCCTTATCTTAGGGCTTGTTATGAGAAACAAATGAGACAATGCACTCAGCAAGATGCCCGACCCACAGGAAATTCACAAGACGCACCAGTCAATATCATCAGGATGATACCGATATGTAAGAACCACAGCGTTTTGCAAGACCTGATGATTTCCCACAGGCCATGCTGCCCTGCATTGGTTGCAGCCCAGCCACGCTGGCCTTTGTGCTATTCCTTGAACACATCAATCATGCACCCACCTCAGGACATGCTCAGTGTGATTCTCTCCACCTGGAATGCTTCCCCTCAGACCTCCTTACAGTTTGCTCCTTCACTTCATTCAGTCTCTGCTCAAACCTCACCTCTTCAGAGAGGGCTTCTATGAACAACTAATCTAAAATAGCCCCTACTACACAATCTCTATGCTTTTTACCCTGCACACTTCTTCCTTAAGACATTTCCAGTACTTGTACTTCACATTCCTTTGTGTACTTCTTTGTGAACTGTTTGCCTTTAGAATTTCAGCTTCATAAAATGGGAATCCTCTCTGCTTTGTCCACTGCTCCATCTTCAGTATCTGGAACAGTGGCTGACACATAGTAGAAGCTCAGAAATATCACTTGAATAAATACATGAATAACTTCAGTAGTTAGTCTAACAGATAACTAATATTTTAAAGGAAGCCACTTTGCACTAAACATTACTTCATTTAAATGTGAGAAATATGAAATTGTCTAAGGAAAGACTTGTTGCCAACACAGTAAAGAAAGGTTGATTGAAATGAGAAGTGTGAGGACCAATAGGGAAGACCAATGTAGGCCTTTATACAAAGAGCCGCTCTGTCTGGTACAGTGGATTCTCCACATGCAAATTTGCAAAAACCCTTGTGACACCTAAGTTTCTCAAGAGATTTACTTTCTAGCCACAAATTAACTGAGATCATTTTTATTCATTATTAATACATTAGAAAAAGAGAAGCATGGCCATGTATAGAGAGATACAAATGAAAATCACCTAATCATTAACATAAATTAAACAGAACCAATTACAGAATAATCCAAAATCAAAGACAAAACTGAAATTGCAAACTTCACTGTGATTTGACTATCTATCTACTATCTATCTATCTACTATCTATCTATCTATCATCTACCTATCTATCTATCTATCATCTGTCTATCTATAAAATGGTTACAGCCTTGCAGGCTAATATTAGATATTTTGTAAAAAAACAGACTAGTAGGAAAATCAGACATGATGACAAGAGTAGGAAACTAGAGATGATTAATAATTTGTAATAAATTGGTTTCTTTCTAGTCATTTTTTTCCATTTTATAGGTATTTTACATATGTATATAATAAATATATACATACATATATGTAGTTATGTATATAATATAATTTATGCTGTTTATCGTTTAAATAAAACAGTCATATTTCTAAGTTATAAAAAACTCATCACAATTATAATTTTATGGTTAAATTCGCGTTATGACTTATTAAGCTATTCCTCAAATGTTTGTCATTTAAACAGTTTTCTTTTTTCTCTCATTAATTCTATAATAAATATTTTGCACACAAATGTTATTTTCTAACTTTTTACTGAAAAATGGCATGTCAGAGACTATAGCAATTTTAAGGCCCTGAATATATTTTATACTGTACCTTTGCTGAAATAGGCAACACCAATTTTCTTAATTTGGCTACTTTAATAGCTTTGTAAAAAAGGTATGCTGTTGTTTTGATATAAAGGATATTCTCTATAATTATGTGCAATGATGCCCTAAGGTAGGTACTCAATGGCCATGATAACTTTGTGAATCTAGAGAGCAGTGCACAAGAGCTTATAATCACAGGAATGTTTGGAAAGCACATTTTGTATCAAGAGTTTTAAACATGTATATCTCTTGCCCCAGCCATGTCACTTATGATAGCTAAGCTTCAGGATATAACTCAACAAATGAGGAGAGATTTACATCCACGGATGCTGAGGGAAGTGAGCGCTTGAACTATGAAAACCCTCTGTGGTTTCAATATGCTTAGCTGTGATTACAAGGGCTCAGCTTTTTGCCTGGGTTTGTAGGGGGTTTTGCTTTTTACTTTTTGTGAATTATATTTGCATGTCCTTTCCCCCAGGTACTAAAAGTGTCTAGTTACCTGTGATCTGGCAGTTAAAGTGAATATTGTTCTGAAAATAATATTTTGGTATTACTAATAAATAAAATCAATAAAGTTGCAATGCATGTTCTTTTTCCTAAGGGGTTAGAGTCCTGTTTCTCAAAATTACTTCTTTAAAATTCTACTGTCATTTTATTTCCCAAATATTTAACAATATCTATTTAGAAAACAATCAATGCACATTCTAGTGTTTCCATGATAAATTATATAAATGCGAAGGACATGAACAGACACTTCTCAAAAGAAGACATTTATGCAGCCAAAAAACACATGGAAAAATGCTCACCATCACTGGCCATCAGAGAAACGCAAATGAAAACCACAATGAGATACCATCTCACACCAGTTAGAATGGCAATCATTAAAAAGTCAGGAAACAACAGGTGCTGGAGAGGATGTGGAGAAATAGGAACACTTTTACACTGTTGGTGGGACTGTAAACTAGTTCAACTCTTGTGGAAGTCAGTGTGGCGATTCCTCAGGGATCTAGAACTAGAAATACCATTTGACCCAGCCATCCCATTACTGGGTATATACCCAAAGGACTATAAATCATGCTGCTATAAAGACACATGCACACGTATGTTTATTGCGGCACTCTTCACAATAGGAAAGACTTGGAACCAACCCAAATGTCCAACAATGATAGACTGGATTAAGAAAATGTGGCGCATATACACCATGGAATACTATGCAGCCATAAAAAATGATGAGTTCATGTCCTTTGTAGGGGACGTGGATGAAATTGGAAATCATCATTCTCAGTAAACTATCGCAAGAACAAAAAACCAAACACCGCATATTCTCACTCATAGGTGGGAATTGAACAATGAGAACACATGGACACAGGAAGGGGAACATCACACTCTGGGGCCTGTTGTGGGGTGGGGGGAGGGGGCAGGGATAGCTTTAGGAGATATACCTAATGCTAGATGACGAGTTAGTGGGTGCAGCACACCAGCATGGCACATGTATACATATGTAACTAACCTGCACATTGTGCACATGTACCCTAAAACTTAAAGTATAATAATAATAAAATAAAATAAAATAAAAAATAAAATAATATAAAATAAAATAAAATAAAATAAAAAATAAATGACCAAGTTTGAATCAGGAAAATGACTACATTTGAGGTGTTTTTGACTAGAATACCATGTAGACATATTTTATCATTTTGACTAAGTATTTACCAGGACAGTGAGCGTGTTGCTATATTCAATAATAACAAAGAATGTAACTAATAATTACTGTTTATTGCATAATTAGAAAGCAATGTGATCCAATATATCACATTTAAAAAAAGATATCCAATTATTACAAGTTAAATAAGAATTATAAGTGCCATCATGAAGTAACAGGCATTTATAAATAATACTGTATGAGTAATTACAATCTGTAAAGGTAAGTTTTATAAACCTTTAATATTTTCATTATAAACCGTTGTTGAGCAAACACTTAGCCTTATCGACAAGGAAGAGAAACACTTGGGATTAAATTAATGTTTCCTAGTCTTTAAAGTTTGTGCCAACATCTTATGTAGTTTAAAATTTGATACGCATGTATGGATATATGTTATCCATATATAAAAATATGTGTATCTATATACTGCTAATTTAGGAAAAGTAAGTAAAACATCTACATTGTTTCTGTGAATTTTCAGGAGTTTTAAAAAGCGATTGTTACAATTTGTGAATGCACTTTTCTAATTTGTAAGATGTCATTGTGCCTTTCTCAAGTTCATATTTACCATAATAGTTATTATATATAAATATTATATATAATTCTATGTGGTTGTTAAAATAATGTGACAGGTATTTACTCTGGAAATAAATAAATTTCTAAAGACAAATAGGCATTATTTTTATTACCTGAAAGTACGTGAATTGTGAATGATAAAGATCTGGGTATACATGAAGAGTAGTTCCAATTACGAGTAGTAGTTCGAATTTGTGGAGAGATGAGCTAATATATCCAGTAAATCCCAAACACCATATCTTCAGAAGTGCTTCCAAATCAAAAAGTACTGTAAAAGCCACCTAGAGAAACAAAGAAACATTGAAATTGAAATTCAGAACTATAATTTATTCTAAATTATTTCACATATTTGTCAGTGTATGAATTTTTGCCACTATCATATACACTAAGGTGCCCCATAAGGTCAAGAATGACATTTTACTTTAAGAATGCATTTGAAACATACCAACTAGAACACAGTAGACCAAAGCAATCTTAAACAATTATAAAAACATGTTATGATTTTGAATGTTTGTGAGTGGCATTATTTCTTTATTATCTATATTTGATATTATTTTAAAACCATTATTATTTAAAGACTTTCTATGTACACAAAAGGCTGAATTTTTTTGTATGTTGTATTTTTTAAGATAAAATTTATTTAATGTACATGGCATATTATAAAATAACAACTTACATATTATTAACCTAATTAAACTAAAATTTAAAAGTTAAAATATCATTTATTCCTTTATGCTTTAGGCCACATGGCAAAAGAGAAATTGAGATTTCATACCAAGCAATTGATCTATGTGTGCTTATGCAAATAAATCAATATGTTACTTTAATATTAATAAAATTAATGATCAATATTAGTATATTAACACATTTATTTGATCTTTTAATCTCTCACATGCATTCTATGAATTTACTATTCCAAATAACAATATTATAAAACACACACATAAAGACAGCATGTTATTTCCTTTACATGTCCTATGAACAAGAATTTTCATTTTGTAAAGGAGATTGCAGCTGGAATTAAAATTTGCAATAGAAGATTAACTTCTAATTAAAGACTATGAGGGTGACTACTGGGATTAGTCATAATATGTCCCTCTGAGAAGACACTACATGATTTATTGAAGATAGGAATATAGCAGACCTTGCTTCTCTTCTTCTAGACTAATGTGGAGTATCAGAAGGGATTTTCTTCCACTCATATATGGAACATGTGGGGAAAATGCAGTTTTAATAATAGTGTTTTAAGAAATGAAACATTAAAGGCACTGCAGATAGTTAATTTAGATGTGAAGAGGAAATTAGCATCACTTCTCAAATCTACCATTTCTGCAGATTCTAGTTGCTTTTTAATTTTAATTGCCATTTCCCTCCTTAAAAAACATAACAAGGTAATATATTTTAAATTTGAAATGATCTTAAGTCCACAAAACACGTGGATGAACTCCTTTGCCCACGTTTCTCAGGTATTTCATGTTAATGTCATGTATATTCTTTCCTTGATCATCTGCTTCTTCATCCACACATATGCAATCACAGAAACAGGCTTGCAATTACATGTTTTTACATGAGATGTAAAAACAATTGTTACAATTTATGAAAGCACTATTTCTAATTTTAAAGATGTCATTGTCCTCTGTCAAGTTCATACTTTCTATACACTTATTATGTATAAATATTACATACAGTTCTATGAAGTTGTTAAAAATAATGTGACAGGTATTTACTCTGGAAAGAAAAAAAATTCTAAAGACAAATAGGCATTCTTGGTATTACCTAAAGTTACGTGAACTGTGAATGATAAAGATTTGGGTATGCAGGAATATTATATATCACTCTGCAACTTGTTTTCTGAGTCACTAACAATCGTGGATATCCCTCCAGATTAAGGGATATAGGTCCTATGTTTTATTTATCAGCTGCATAATTTCCCATAGTGTTCAATGTTTATGTAACTCAACATTTTCTCTACTAATTCATTGATGGGTGGTATTTGCAGGAATCATCAGGAAGGTGGTTAAGCACATTGCTACTTCAATAAAAAGGCTGCACTAAGCATCCTCCCTCAATACCAGTATTTATTGAGGCTTTCATATCTATAAATAGATTTCCAAAGTTGGTATTGCTGGGGCAAAGACAGATTAGTGTGTTTTAAATTTAGAAAATATTAAAGTGATTACTTTCAAAATATTATAAGAAATCATTTGCCCTTCAGCAATACAGGAAAGTTATCTTGTCTCAAATCCATGCCAGTATCAGTGTAATCAAACTTATTGTTGCTCATCTGTTTATATGTTTATTAATCACTTTAATTTCTTTTTAAAGTAATTAAATGTTACTGTCCGTAACCTTGACACTATTATATGGTGTTATGTTGTGTTCCTTATGCGTTTTGGGAGTTGTTGGTATTGAGGACAATAATCTTTGCTATATATACTGCAAACATTTTTTCCCTAGCCAACAGTCTGGTTTCTAACTTTGATATTGTTAGTGCTACAAACATAAAATTTACATGTTCACATATGTCTACAACTTTATGATTTTTTTCTTTACCTTTTACATATAAAATAGAACTTTAAGAAGATTAATACTAGTCTTCATATCCAGGAATGCACTCTTTTCCTATTTATTTGAACTGTATTTTACGTTCTTTAATAAGTTTTTTCCATATAAATATCCTAAATATCCTATCTTTCTTTCTCTCTCTCTCTCTCTATCTATCTATGTATTTTTTCTTTTTTACTATTTCTACCCAGTTAGTTCCAGTGGGAAGAAAAGCTATTGATTTCTCTATATTGACCTTCTGTACCCACTTTACTAGATTCTTCTATTAATTCTAATATTTTTCATAAAGTCTCACGATTTTTATAGAAATGTGCACAATTTCATAAGGAAATAAAATAAGATTATTTCATTTTTAAGATTTATTTTGGAGTTAATCATATGAATGCATTAGTTATAAAGGTACAGTTATATAATGGTTGCTAAATACAAAATGGTAATAATAGGAATCCATAACTTGCTCCTTGTTTTCAATGAAAGTTTCTTCAGCGTTCATATATAGTGGTTGAAATGAGTCTTGGTGATTAATTTTTATCATGTTTAAAGACTTTCCTTTTCTTCCTATTCTCCTTCAAAGGATTTAACCTTTAATTCACTGAGGCAATGAAATATAACACAAAAGCTCCTGATGTTAACCATTTATTTATTTTTGGAAAAAAACTCTAGATGATAATGCTAACATGTTGGATTTTATTGGGTAATATATTTTATTTATAATTTTCACAGTTACTGTTTTATGTGAAATTGGCCTATAGTTTTACTTGTATATCATTATCAGGTTTTGGCTAAGATTATGCTAGCTTTATCATTCATTCTGTACAGTTTTTATCTTTTGTATGAAAATTTCTGAAATAAAATAAGAATTAGCACACCTTTAAAAGTAGACAGAAAGCACCAGGAAACCCACATGGGCACAGGCCTTTTGGTGATGGTGGAGCAAAGCTGTCCAGTGCTGTTCAGATCAGGTTTCTTATCTCATCCATCAATTTGGCAGTTTGTATTTTGCCAGGAAATCATTGATTGTCTCTAGATTTTCAAGACCTGCATTTAGGGTACATATTTTTCCAGAAAGAATTGGTTCTTCCAGGGAACCTGGGTCATCTTAGAAATTTGGGTCCCCCTTAAATCAACTTTTGGCTGCTGTTTCTCAGATTCTGGACGTAATGGGATTTTGAGCTCCAACCCCACGAGTGGGCAGGCTGTCTTACACAATTCAGTACAGATAACATGATAACCTTTTTTTTTCTTTTTCTGAGACAGAGTCTTACTCTGTCACCCAGTCTGGAGTGCAGTGGCATGATCAGTCTTAGCTCACTGGGACCTCTGCCTCCCAGGTTCAAGTGATTCTCCTGCCTCAGCCTCCCGAGTAGCTGGAATTACAGGCACATGCCACCATGCCTGGCTAATTTTTGTATGTTTAGTAGAGATGGGGTTTCACCATGTTGGCCAGGTTGGTCTCGAACTCCTGACCTCAAGTGATCCACCCACCTCGGCCTCCCAAAGTGCTGGGATTACAGGCGTGAGCCACCATGCCCGGCCAGAGATAACATTTTTGATCTGCCAGGGGTCAAGGTCCAGAATGATGATCCCATCCTTTCCCTCTGAGGGATGGGATTTTTCCTTCCTGATGTTATGTGGGGCCTCTCTTCTGCCTCTTCACTTTGCACAGGCCTCTAGTCACTTCCATCCTGGACACACTCCTGAAAACTGCAAGTTCTGGTCACAAGGATTTGCAAATGTCCTCAGGGCAGCCACTGCCTTGGGGCCCACCTGGTATTCTGGACTCACGTCACATTTAATTTTTGGCCTCAAGAATTTTCCTTAATTTTTTGCACACTCTGCTGAACATTTAAAACGTCTTAATATTTTAAGTGTTTGGTAGAAATGATTTTTAGTTACCTTGCAGGGCCACTTTGTATGTGCTTCCTATAAGCAGTGTACAATTTTTATTTTGTGTTTAAACATACTCAGATTTTCTAGGGTTTTTGATAAGAAAATTCAACCTGCTCAAACAAAATGTGCCAAAGTTATACTTGGTCTTACGCTTCCTGTGTATTTTATGTCATTGCTGTTTCATTTTTAACCTTATCTTGTCTTTTTTTAACTTGGTCAACTATTTGCTAATTTCTTTCCCTATTCATTAATTTGGACGCTCGACTTGGTTTTTCTAATCTCCTGGCTTAATTCTCAATGGTTAGACATCAAACCAATGCTTTTTTCTTATTGCTTCACAACTAAATTGCTGGCTCACTCATCCCTCCACCCCACACATCTGCAAACTTCATAGTACACTTCTACCATCCCACTCTCCTTTGATATCACACCCTTTCCTAAGTCCTGGTTTTGCTGAAATCATTTACAAATTTATTACTAGTTTCTTTAATGTTATCATTTCTCTTTTTTCAAAGATCCCTATTTGACATATTTATTATTATCTATTGAGATCCAATGCCCATCAATTCTCTCTTCTTTTGTCTAGTCATTGAGATTGCAATTTACTTATCTTGTGATTAGCACACTTTAAAGTAGTTTTCTCAAATAAATACAAAGGGTTTTATGCTCTCTTAGTCCTTTTGTATATAAAATGCATTTTTAACACTGACAGATGAACATGTTGTCTGTGTTCAGATTCTGTAGTTGCAGTTCTATTCTCTCAGTAGTCTATGTATATTGATTCATTACCTTCCACTTTCCAGTATTGTAGATGAGTCATCCATTGCACAATACATTTATTTTACTTTTTCAGGTTTAGGTTCAGCCTGTTTAGGGGCTGAACAAGGTTACTTCTTTATGCTTGCAACCTAGGAAGGTCACCAGGACATGAGTAAGCATCTATTTTCATTTAATCTCACTAAAATTTAGTGAGCTCTTTCAGTTTGCAGATTTATGTTTTTTTTTTTTTTTCATTTATGTAAGCTTTCTTCCGTTGTTTATGACAACTTTTCTTCTATCTGTTCGCTTTTTCCTTCAGGGACTCCTATTATTCATAGCTGTGTGGATAGGCTATTTTACTTTGCCCTTATTATTATATCTCTACCACTTTTTGAGTTATTTTTTCCTGCTTCATCTCCCATATTAAAAACTAGCTCTCAAGGACTATGCCCTTTTTTAACTCATTTTTTGGACATTTTTAGTTGAAGTTACAGAAATTGTATTTTGTGCCCTGCTTACTTTTTCTTGAGACAACAACAACAACAACAACAACGGATTCTCTCGCCCATCAATTCTACTTGCTTGGGAAATCTCTAGACTAGACATTTGTCTTGATTCTCTGAGTTTCATCCTCAGTTTCTGAGTCTCCCTTTGTGTGTGAGTTAACTTTTCTTTCCTTCACCATGGATACATGTTTTTGATGTAATTGTCGTTTGTCTTTTATGCTATCTTAAGCAGTGGCAAATGAGGGGTAGTAGAGGGCACCATAGTTTACGGAGGCGAAAGACCTGAAAAGCCATAGCTCCTTTGCTGAACATCTGAAGAAGGCTTTTTGGTGACAGGATTTCCCAGAAATGAGTGGAGTCATTTATTGACCCCCTTCTCCACCTGGAGTAATTCAGTCTCTAGTGAGCTTCCCTTCCTGGCCCACTGAGACCCACAGGACTCTGTGGACTGCTCCTGGACCACAAGCAGCATACAGGCAGGTCCAGCTCCTCTGCGGGAAATGAAAGGCTCTCTGCCCTGAGCAGTGGCCTCAGGGGACCAGAGGACTCAGACTTTGCTGCAAGTCCTGCGACAGGTACTTCCTCTCTAGCACAGGCTTCTTAGTTCTGGCCTTGCAATGATATGGGGAAGACTTGAACCTGTTTTCTCTCCTATGGATACTAGGGAATCTCAGGAGAAACTGAAATTGATGTGTCATGAAGGTCCCATCCACATGCCTGACCTGGTTGCTGTATTAGCAGAGGAAGCAGTAATAGGCATTCATTACATCATCTCTCCCTTCACCTGTATTTTCAGACTGAGATTTTCATTCCAAAAAAAAAGAGTGGTGATCCATTTTAAAGTGTTTTTTTAAAAGAAAACTACTAATGAATGCCTGAAAGATATTCCAATAGATTGTCTAATTATGTATACATACAATTAATCACCTTACTAACTGCATATATTATCAAAAGGACAGATGGAATGAACTGTTTAAATGAGCATAATTTATAGTAAAATATGCAGCTGGATCTGTTTGCATTACAATTTTCTCTGTGGGAAAATGATATTCTTTTGAAAGACACTAAAAGGCACTAAAAGATTTAGCAAATTGTTATGTGATTATATTTAAATATCTATAGTCTCACTGATTTTCCCCTAGAATTCCTGATTCCAGATTCTCTTGGAATCAAATGGCTTGCTTTGAACATAATTTGTTAACTTTTACAAGCCAACACTCTAGCTCTCTGAAATATTCATGCCAAAGTGATAACATTTTATGGAAAATCAATGCACATAAAAATATGCCTAACTTAACTTGAAGGTATGGGTTATCCTGCCATAGAGAAGAACTGTGTCAGGATTTAAAGAAGGTGATTAGGAAAATCAAATTAGTTTAAATGATCACTAAGTATTTCAGTGTAGGTTATGGGGTTTGGTACAGGACTTAAATTCAGAGGACTATAATAGTTCAGAAGAACCAAAATAGAAGCAGTGGAGGCAAGCTCTAGTAACCACTTCTCAATGTGCAGCTCCAGATTATTGCAGTGAACTCAACCTTGATGGTAGCTGGACAGGGTGGAATTTGCCAGGGGCATGCTGGGAGCCATCTAAAAGGGAGAAGGCAACTGGGGTCTCTGCAGAACCTAGTTGCCTGGAGGGCTCCCACCAAAGTCACCTGTGCAGGTGTCCAATCTCAAGGCTTTCTGCAAATCCCAGGCATTCAGCAGGCAGCCTGTGGAAAAGTGGAACGGTGGCTTCCATTTGTCACTCTTAGCCTGGCAGCCCTCCACTGCTTTGGCCCTCCTCAGTCTGCAGCCCCTGCACCAAGAAGGGCTCATTGGGACCCTTCTTCTGTTTCATATTCTGCAGTGCATTCCACCTTTGTGAGTACCTACAAGTTAAAACTTAACTTTTTAAGAGTTAAGACAAAATTTGTAAGAGTATAATAAACTTTTCTTTTTTTTTGCATTACTTTAAGAAAACTTAGAAACAATGCATAGAAAAGAAGAGAAATATTTATTTCTTCTTACAAATACCCCAAAGCAGTGTTTCCCAATCTTTTTTTAAATCACCTCTTCTAAGAAGTCTTTTAGAGATTTTGTTCTTAATCACCACCTCATGGAGTTTTGATACCTCTACCATATTATATATCTTTTTACATACTCTACTTTGGTTATTTGGTCTACAAGGCAATCTGCATTATAAAAGAGAGAATTTTCTACCCCCCAACTAAGAACATATTTTCACCCCTTTGGAGGTGATTTTACTCCCTGTTGAGAATGCATGCTCAACCGATATACCTGGTTTGATGTCGCCATAATGAGGCAGGAGAATAGGGTCTGGAGGCAGGGAACCTAAGTCCATTTCACACTGACTTCTTAGAACTAAATTGAAAGAAAAACCCTAACTTTCCATGCCTGAGTAGCAAAAGGACCAGGGGCTACTCCCTTTGCAAACCCCCACCTTTTCTGTGCGGCAGATGGATAATTGAAAGTACCTCTGATCGGTTGCTTTTCCCAACCAGACACTTGCCTAGGAATGTAACTTCGTAACTTCACCTCAGCCTCTGATTGCGGGCAACCACTTCATTTACATGGGGTGAACACCAAGTAGGTGGCCAATGGGAAACCTCTAGGGGGTATTTGGACCTGAGAAGATTCTGTATCTGGGGCCCTTGAGCTGCTGCTTGGGCTCACTCCCACACTGTGAAGTGTACTTTCACTTTCAATAAATCTCTGCTTTCCTTGCTTCTTTCTTTCCTTGCTTTGCTGTGCGTTTTGTCCAGTTCTTTATTCAAAACGTCAAGAACCTGGACAACTTGCAGTCGAGACCCTCTACCAGTAACAACAGCAGAGTTTAACTAATCTCGTAAACACAGGCCTATGAGATAAAATGGTAGAGATGGACATTGCCCATGAGTGGAAAGATATTTGAAATGTGTTATCTAATATTTGTGTTGCAGTCTCTGTTTTCTAATTTCAAAGAATCATGATGGATATCATGAGAAAAAAATGCATATTTATCACAAAGGAAGATTACAGGACAAAGCTCACAAGAAAATCAGTTCAGGCAATCCCATTCTCTTACATGAAATTCAGATTCAATAACAACAAAAAGTGATTACTGATTACCTGTATCAGTCTGGAGCTGTCTGTAAATCACCTACTCTTAGCTTATAGTGTATATCAGTATGTTATAAAGAGCAAATTTTGAGATGGATGGTTGAGAAGTCCAGATTGTCATTATTGTATTATATTTTTACCTAACAAGATAATGTCCAGATCTTTTAGAAACACACACAAAAAGTAATTGTCAGAAGAAACCTATTTACTTGAAGTTTCCCAGAAAATGAAATTAAACTCAACAATAATGTCAAAGACTGCTGCTATGGCAAGATTGATTATTTTCTTCATTTGGCCAATTTTTATGATTAATGAACTCAAACGTGGGTGTCAGATTTTGTTGGGGCCAAAATAAATGACTCTTCATTTTAACAAATATCATAAAACCAAATGTCTTCAGAGGAATGCAGAAATCACTTTTCTAGAAAAGAGGACTCCCTGCAAGACGGCAAAATGAGTTCATGATTTATGAAACCCCTTCTGTTTCAAACATACTGTGATCAAAGGAAAAAACAGGAAACCAAAGAGGCAGGAAGGAATTCTAAACGAGGTTAACCTCTTTGTTGACCAGAAATGCAACAGAAACATATGCTAGGTCAAGAATCAGGCAATGTTGGACTCAATTGCTTCCTATAGGGTGAGGAGACTAAGGCACCTTAGATAAGGTAAAGATGAGAACCTTCATAGTGAAAAGACAGGGACTAGAATGGGTTTCTCTGCTAAGGAAAGGACAGAGACCAACTACCCAAGGCTAAGACCTTATAGGCAGCTGCAGGCCTCCAGAGGCAGGAGGAGAAATTATCAGCTTATCTGAAAAATCAGAACAAGATATTTTATGGAATATAGACTAGTGACAAGAACTGTGATATCACCCATATCAAGGGGCTAGCATTCTCCAAATGACACTTAAAAACCTGGCTCTGGATGGTAGGGTCCAGGGTCAAGGTTAAGGCAACTGCAATATCCCTAAGAAAGTAGAAGTGATCATAGAGGGAGGGAGAGAGAAATAAGAAAATCTCCCAAGCCAAATGAGGCAGCATGCAAAGATTTTAAATAAATCTAATGAGAAAGAAAACAAAATTCTAAAATTCAAACTATGAATTTACTCTCAGTAAAATTAATTTTGTCAAACTTTTTTTTCACCATCATTTAGTTGTTTTCATTATTTTATTTTTTTAAATTAAATTCAATTAAATTTAAAGTTCCAGGATATATGTGCAGGATATGCAGGTTTGTTACATAAGTAAATGTGTGCCATGGCGGTTTGCTGCACCTATAAACCCATGACCTAGGTATTAAGCCCCACATGCATTAGCTATTTATCCTGATGCTACCCCTCCCCCCACCTCCTGATAGGCCCCAGTGTGTGTTGTTGTTCTCCCTGTGTCCATGTTCAGCTATTCAGTGTTCTCATTATCCAGCTCCCACTTATAAGTGAGAACATGCAGTGTTCGGTTTTCTGTTCCTGTGTTAGTTTGCTGAGGATGATGGCTTCCCGATCTATCCATGTCCCTGCAAAGGATGTGATCTCGTTCCTTTTTATCGCTGCCTAGTATTCCATAGTGTATACGTACCACATTTTCTTTATCCAGTCTATCCCTGATGGACATTTGGGTTGATTCCATGTCTTTGCTATTGTGAACAGTGCTGCGATGAACATATGCATGCATGTATCTTTATAATAGAATGATTTATATTCCACCCAGAGAACCCCAGTAAGAATTTTCAAAGAAGTTTAAGATGACCAAAGAGATAAATGAAAAAGAGAAAATAATAAAGGTGAGAGGAGAAATTTAAAAAACAAAGAAATAAAGGGACTTAATAGTTCAAAATATTGGGAACGAACCAATAATTTCAGGTACATTAGAAACTGTTAGTGTCAACCAAACTAAAAGCTGGTTCTTTGAATGAAAAATAAAGAATTTTACTGGCTTTTGCCTCAAGTTCCTGGGAAGTAGCCTCTACATCCTTGGAATTTGCCAATTGATAGGTATCTTTGTTATTTATGGTGACCCTGGTAGTTTATGGCAATGAGATCATTCATGAGCACTGGCCATGTCAGAAACTCCAACCTTGTGTGCATGGCCAGTGATTCCAGCGATCATGCCTACCTAAGGAAATCCCAATCAGAAGCCTCAGCACAAAGCTCAGGTGAGCTTCCCTGGTTCTCAGCGCTCTGAATATTGTTTCACATCCATGTGCTGAGAGGGTGATATGTCCTCACTCCATGAAAAGAGGAAACAGCAAGTTTCACATGTAGGACTCTCCAGACCTTTCTCTCTGCATCTCTTCTTTTGGCTGGCTCTGATTTGCAACCTTTTTGCTTTAATAAAAATGTAATCAGAAGTATAGCACTTTCCTGATTTCTGTGAGTCATTCTAGCAAATTATCAAACTTGAGAAGGCTAGTGGAAACCCCCGAGTTTTTAGCCTGTTGATATGTCATATGATATGTCATATGTCATATCAACCATATTAGCCATATGATATGTCATATGTCAGGGAGGCCCTGGAACCCCCTGAGCTTACAGTTAGTATCTCGAGTAAGGGTAATCTTGTAGAGGACTGTGCCTCTGTGCTGTGAAGTTTGGTCTAAAATCCAGGTAGTTAGCATCAGAAGTCATTTACTTCTATAAAAAAGAAAGTTATAAATAAACAATATTGGCAGCAAAAAGGATTATACATTCAGTTTCAATAGAGATTATAAAAATCCTGAGAGAAAACTGTGGAAATGTGAGACATTAGTTAAAATTAATGACTCTATAAATAGCAAGCAATAAACCATGAAACTGACAAACCATAATAATCAAACCATAAAATAAGTCATTAATCAAGATCTCTCTTCTCCCTTTCTCCACCAGGGATCCCACTGCAAACAATAGCCCTAGATGGTGTTCCAGAGGGACTTTATTCATTCTTTCACAGAAGAGAAAAAGAGAAAAATATGTCTATTCCATTTGTGAAAGGAAGTGTAACTTCCCTAACAAAATCAGACTAGCAATGTAAAAGAAAATAAAATCACAGAACTACTATCCTTATGATTGAAAATTCCTAATATAATGTCAGCTTATTGGATTTGTTTATTAAAAGTAATGCTATAAAATCAAGTGTTTCAGGAATCTAAAATAGTTTCAGTATCAAAATATCTATTATTCTAATATACTGCACTAAGAAATTAAAAAGGAAAGTCTGTGTAGTCAGCTCAGTATAGGTAGAAGAAGATTGAATACTCAACTCATAATGAGAAATGCTCTTGGCAACCTAGAAATAGAAGTGAGCTTTATTAACATGATGAAAGGCATCTATAAAAACCTACAAATGACATTAATGATGAAATCATAAGCATTCGTATCAAAATATAGAAAAACACCCAGCATGTCCACTATCACTGCCTCTATTCAACATTTTATTAGAGACCCACACCCGGATAATAAAAGAAGAAAAAAATCAGAGATATGATAATTAGACGTGGAAAGACAAAACCTTAATTTCAGAAGATACAATTATCTACATAGAAATTCCAATCAAGTCTATGGATGATCACAAACAACCAATTGTAGTAAAGTTGCTGGCTATGAATTAGGTCAATATAAAAAATTAATATTATTCCTACATCAATAAAAATGTAATTGAAATTATTTCATTCACAAAAGAAACTGTAGGATATGTAGGCATGAATGTAACAAAAAATGTGGAAGACCTTTGGAGAAAATTATAAAGCATTGTTGGAAAACACTAAGGAAGGTTAGAATAACTGAATAGAGATGTTCTTAACATCAATTAAAATCTCATTACTAAAATGAATTAAATTTTCATAATGTAGAGCAAGAATAGCAAGACCAAGAACAGATAAAACAAATCTGAAGAAGAATATCAACATCAGTAGCTTGCCCTAATAGATCTCAAGGTTTATTATAAAGGATAGCACTTATGACAACATGTTATCAACTAAAGCTTTGATGTATAGACACAGACTGAGGTGTCCAGAAACACAATTGTGCACATGTGTAAACCTGATATATGACAGAAATTGCACTACAGGAGTGAGGAAAGAATGAATTTTCAATGAATCTTCGAAGGACAATTGTTTATATATGGGGAAAAAATCAAGTCCTTATCTCATTCCAAATGTATTGGAGTCTAAAATTGAAAAAGCACAACTTGAAAACTCTAGCCTTTACTATAAGAGAATGTCTTTAATGACTCTGGTATAGATAAGACACAAAAAGCACTGAATCAAAAATTAAAGATGACTATATCTTACAGTGTTAAAATTAATAACTTCTATTGAAGAAAAGACAGCAAATAAAAGTTAAAAGACAAGCTGAAGGCTGGGAGATGTCTGCACTGCATACTACTAGATAACTGAAAAATCAATTAGGGTACAGATTAAACAGGCAAAATTATAGAAGAGGAAATTCAGGGCTGACAGAATACGAAAAAAAGGTCAAATCTCTATGGTAACCAAGAAAATGTATATTAAGACTATAATGATTATATGAGATTGTAAGAAACTTAAAAATCCTGAACAAAAAAAAGTAGTATGAAGTAGAGCTGCTCATATATCCTGGTAGGAATGTAAATTGACACAAGCACTTTGAAGTTCAATTTAACAATATTTAGCAAAGTTGAAAGTGAGCATATCTGACAAATTCACAATTTTAAGTCTAGGTATATATTTAGAAAGAGCTCTCCCAAATGTGGCACAGAAATTCTAATGACAATGTTTACTGAAGTATTGTTTTCAACAGCAAAAAGTTGGAAGCAATTGAAATACCCATTGCCCTTACATGCAGAACAAATAAATTCATGCTTCAATCGACATGAATCAATTTCCCAAATATAATGAGGATTGAAAAAGTGGCACCTTAATACTTCATACTATTATAAAGCATGCATTGATATGATGAATATAGTTCTCTGTGGATTAGGGAGAAGGAGGAGATCAAGAAGTGGTACACAGGGATCTTCTACTCTACTAATGATGTTTTATTTCTGATTGAAAAACCTGACCCAAACATGAAAAACTATTAATTTTTTAAAAATCTGGGTGACGGACACACAAATATTGGTTATAATATTTTCTCTATGTGTTGAATTTATGAAATACTTTCTAATTAAGAAGGAAATAAAAGAAAGTCACAGATTTTCAAAGGATAGAAATTTCAAAAAGAAGGAAAAATAACCATAGAAAAAGAATCCTGCAAAATAATCATATTAATACACAAAGGCTAATGGTTGCTTCTGACATCATAGGTATCTGACATAAATAAGTCTAATCCTGCCCAAATCTTATTTGTGTAAAATTAATTTAGTCTCAGCACGTTTTGCTTCATCAATAATCTGTTTTAGAAACAACATTCTCTCAAGCTGTAACTTCTCTCAGCGAACTAGCACCTTGGCAGTTTATGACTCATTCCCTCCGACAAGACAACTTAATACATATTTAGTCTACCACAATAGAGAATGATTTTTAGATCTATTGGAAACACGGATTTAATAACTAAAACTGCTCATATGGATATGATGTGTTGAGACAAACACTGACTTGGAAATTGTTCTTAATTTCTTCTTGTAGAGTCACTAAAATTTCTTTGATAAATCATGTTATTGCCACAAATTTTAGGTATACACCTCACTCAAGATTACACCAGATAATCTCACAGAACTATAGCTTCTAAGAGTAGAAAGAGGTCCTTAGAGTCACACATCGATGGCCATATCTTATTTACTTTATTTACCTCTGATTCCCCATCACCAAGCACAACTGCCATGTAAGAAAGGATACTAGGCCCTTCTTCCTCTCTGTTCTCTGACTTTATAATTGAAATGAGATGAAAAATTTTATATCCATGTGAAATCTTTGCAGAGAAACTCTGAATGTATTTAAAATAAATATTTCCTGTGGGGGACTAAGAGGGCTTAAGTAATAGATGATACTTTCTTTTCTGAGGAATCTAGATCCTCTTAATAGCAGAGCTTTTTGTTTTGCTGAACAAAAAGCAAGTGAAGATGCAAGTCTGGGGGTGGAGTGGAATTGCTGTGCATGAGTAGCAGGGGAAGAGCCTGCCTGGCTGATGACAAGTTGGGGAGATATGGGAGTAGGCTGGGTAGGAGGGATAGACAGAGTTGAGGGTAAGAGGAGTTCTAGTTAATTTACTGTGGGGTATGTAGCACAGAGTCCTAGGACTTCTTTCTCCCCTCTGGCTTCATTGGAAAACATGACTGTCCTCATTAATACTTAACACCAGGAGGTGGAAGAGGATTGAGCTCCCCATTCAGATAGGTCTAGAGGAAATCAGAGAACATAGCTGGGGATAATGCTAGGGGGTGACACAGAGCTAACTTTGGGCCTCTCTGTAGGTCCGTTGCCTTCCTTGTTGTATCTCTCCCATCTGTTTGTGAGTTTCTCAAAAGAAGAATTGAGATAAAAGAAGATAAAGCTTTTAATCTCCTGTGCTGTGCTGATAAATTTTGTTAAATGTACAGTCTAATGGATACAAATACATTCATA